>NC_000023.11:10262488-10887488 GCF_000001405.40 Homo sapiens | reverse complement strand
AGATATCGTGAGGAACATTATTCTAAGGTGCTAATATTGTGCTGGGCTCCAGAAGGATTATTTATGGGATTTAATACTGATGACAAGGAACAGGTGTTTACTTTGTTCTAAGAAGATGAATTTTTAAAACTGACTACAGTGGAAAAAAATTTTTTTAAGTAACTGATGAAAAT
Source organism: Homo sapiens (assembly GCF_000001405.40). Taxonomy (NCBI): domain Eukaryota; kingdom Metazoa; phylum Chordata; class Mammalia; order Primates; family Hominidae; genus Homo; species Homo sapiens. The sequence goes on along the minus strand of NC_000023.11, from coordinate 10,887,315 downwards.
AAACACATAGGAAAAAAGAAAAGAAAACAATTTTGTTTTATAGGTCACCAATTATATTGTGGGACTTAGGAAATCAAACAAACAATAGGGTCCTAATTTGTAAATCAAACAACAGGTATTTAATAAATACTATTTTTACTCTTTGCTCTGTTAGTTGCTGTGCATACTACAAAGGGATATGGGGCACAGAGCTTATGATAAATTTATGATATTAATAGTGAATATCTGTTGAGTCCGTAATATGTGGTAGGGTTCAGTCCAGTGCTTTACATGTATTATCTCACTTTATACCTACAACAGCCATATATGGTAAGTACTGCTATTATGCCCATGTTGTCTGAGGTCTGGTCCAGGACCTTTTCTAAGTCACACTGATACTTGGTAGTGAAGCTGCTATCTAAGGCCAGAAGGTTTCACTCCAGAAACTCCAAGCTTGACCATTATGCTACACAGCTATCAAGCTGCATGCATGGGTCCTCGCTAACTAGGCATGTGGCAGAGAAGATTACCAGGCTTGGGAACTCATTAAAAAATATATCACTTGCTGCAGCTTTACTTTAAAAATCTCAGCTTTGCTCAACTTCAAATGTGTGTGTGTGTGTGTGTGTGTGTACGCATATGTACATATGTGGTGTGTGTTATTTGGTTTAATCAACCAATATACATCCACAGTATCCCATACATTTGCTTGCACATTCCTATCTCTTCAAAGAAGTTTCTATTCCTTGTTTTTGTAGGAGCTCTTTGTCTTTAAAAAAAAAAAACAGCTTGGCTGACTTCATTTTTATGGTCCCACTTCAATGGCAGGCCGCATGTGAAATTTCAGTCTTGTTTGGGCTCTGCACATGGACAGATTTCATAGTCTGTCATTATTTCCCAGTGACATGGAATTAAAGGCCTTTCCTTGTGTTTGTTGGCAACTTTTGGTTCCTTGGTCATATTGGGGTACTATAAGCATGAAGCAACCCTGCTGGGTTACCAGGAATTTTAGTTTAGCATGCCAGATATTATTTCAGGCAAACCCTATTTGTTCATTTTCTTTTGGTTGACTTTGGTCTTTGGACTTTTATCTTTGGTTATTTATTTGTGCTTCTGTTGTTTTAGAATGCAAGCTTCCCTGTTCTATAGTATCCTTTCAAACTATTAAGTCGACCATGAAGACAACAAAACATCCTTATTGCATTATCTTTCCTTGTGTCGCCTTACCCCACAGCTTCTTGGTCGGGGGCTAGAGTAAGACTTGCTACTGACTGGGTGCCAAGCTGTTCACCATATCATGTCTGTTAACTGTACACATGGTGAGAGCTCATGTGCAGGGTGAGGGGCATCCGTGGATAAGCCCCTTCCCTTCCAAATCCCTTCTAGAATGACTTTCCCATTTCCTGTCCTGCTGATCGCACCCTTGGAGGGGATTTGAAGTCTGGAGTGTCTTTGATGTTTTCTTCTGGCCGTGCCAAAGCCTCTCCAGGGGACAACAGCCTCTCTCAAGCCCGTGCAAAAGGGTTTTTAACTCAGATGCGTCTGCCAAGTAGCTGTGTTTCATCCCTCTCTCTTTGATGTCCATCTAGCATGGTGCCTTGTAGGCCTCACCCAGTGCCTGGCATGTGGTGAGACCTTATTACCATTGGCTTATTATGGAAACTTGTGTAGAAAATATTTCTGGAACTCCCCCTCCTCCTATGGCAAGTTTATTTTCTTATTCCCATTCCATCTCTTTCCCTCTCCCCTCTGCTGTATAGACATTTGCCAGATGTGATCAAACTTCAGTAAAATTGAAACAAAACAAAACAAACAAATAAGTAAACCCAGGATGTAATAAGAGCTGCTTCCTTTAAATGGCAGACTGCAGGGTTGGAATACATTTGCGTGTCACTTACTGAGAATCTGTGGTTTCAAGGCTTTATATCTTCCTACAAGGCTTTGGACTCATTCAATAAGCCCAGCTTACGTATATTCTGTTCTTGTTCTTTCTGAGATTTGAGAAAGGTATTTATGGAGGGGCTGATCAAAAAATGAGGTGTTAACAAATTGGACAATCCCTTTCACCACCTTTTGACACATACATGGATATCTACTGACAACTTCCACCACGTTTTTAAATTTTATGCTTACTAGTTGGTTTCTAAATGAAATATTTTCTTTTTTAACATGGTGAAACTAGTGAAACAAAACACAAGGGGTGCACCTTTGAAGGATGCTCTGTCAGGGCCGAGCACGGTGGCTCACACCGGTAATCTCAGCACTTTGGGAGGTGGGGGCAGATCACGAGGTCAGGAGTTCGAGACCAGCCTGGCCAACATGGTGAAACCCCGTCTCTACTAAAAATACAAAAATTAGCCGGGCATGGTGGCATGTGCCTGTAATCCCAGCTACTCGGGAGCCTGAAGCAGGAGAATCGCTCCTGGGAGGCAGAGGTTGCAGTGGGCAGAGATCATAGCACTGCACTCCAGCCTGGGCAACAGAGCGAGACTCTGTCTCAAAAAAAAAAAAGGATGCTCTGTCAGATTTCGAGTTTGATAAAGCACTGATGTCATTCAAAAAATACATACATATACTTCAATTCGTAGACTTTTAGAGCTAAAAGGACACCAGAATTTTCCAGTGTAACTCTACCATTATACAAAGGAGGATACTGAGATGTGGAGAGGTTATGGGACTTGAGTCCATGGCCATTCATTGAGCCATTTTTCCTCTTGAGAATTTCTTTGAGCATTCTCTTCTCTTTCTTACTGACTGATGGTCAGAAATCTCTGCTGTCTTTTGGCTCATCTTGGTTGATATCTCAAACGAATGACTTGCCAATTGTAGATTATTAAGACTAGCCTAGCCTTAGCAGACTCTAGCCCTGGGAGTATTTCCCAAGGGACAAGTCAGGCTGTACAGTCATAGGATTAGCAGCATCATATTGCTTCAAGTGATAATAAATAATGCAGTGAGAGGAGAATAAGGGCAGAAATGTTACTTCTGTTCAACCTTTGTTAACTGTGGAATGTAGAGGGGCTTAGACACAGATAATTCAGAACCGAAACATAATATTTTTTGCATGTGACTTAAGAATGCTCCCTTTGCAATGAAATTTGAATGTGAGGCTTTTAGACTTCCAAACAGTCTCACTTTAAACACCACTGGCATTTAAACACTGGACTGAGGCACTGGGCAAGTTGTCCAGAATACTTCTGAAATCCTCCTTCCAAATTTCATTTGCTGAAAATGGGCAGTATCCCATACTCTACTGCTTTTTGTAGCCCAAACTATTCGGGTTGAAGAGTGTTTTTTCACAATGCATCCTACCTTCCAAGTACCAGAGAGACAAGCATCATTAGAAGTATCAGCCTAGCATCACTGCCGTTCTGTGCTTCTTCCTTCCAGGAGTCATAGGTCAGAAAGGTTTGCAAAAGGAATATTCAACACAGAGATTGTGGTCTCCAGTAATGTACTTCTTTCATAATTATGGCCAAGTGTGCTTTCAGAAGGAAATACATACATACACAAAAAATGCAAAAAAATAAACATATAAATTTGTAAAATGGTCACATATATGTCTGCATTCATTTATTTATTTAAAACACAACCAACTTCCTGCCTGAATGGAAGAAGCATTTGTCTATGGTAAAAATCATAGAAAATAAGAAAGAGTTAAGGAAACCATTGGACCAAATGTCCAACAAACAAAAAGTGTTGCCCTAAACACACAATTTTTCAAATTTTTTATAAGTATTTATGGAAATGAGGTAAGGTGTCTTTCATTGTCTTACATATACTGGTGTCTAAGAAATAAATATAAGAAATTATATTTGCAAACAAAGGATTTACTGTTTTAAAAACAAATTCTGCATTGGGCACACAGGTAGCATTAAAAATAAATGTTGAATGAAAGAATGCACATTGAGTTAAAATTTTGTTGATCATAAGAAATAGAGAAATGCTTCATCTTCATGTAATGCCAGAATCAAATGTATAAAATTATTACCACAATACCATTGGTTTAACCCAATTTAATGTTTCTTTTTTTTTTTTTTCTTATGGCTTCATAGAATGAGGAAATACTTCCCGGTTGGATAGAGTTATGGAGATTATGTCCCTTTTTCATCTGTAAACGTGAGACTTTTGGTTCTTTATCCTTAATAATGCACAATAGGGTTTGAAAAAATGTCATTTTTTACCCTGGCCTGACAGTTTTAGGAAGATAAATAATAGGCTTCTTGAGCTGTGGCAGATGATATCCCAATGGCTTAAATGTTAACAAGAATCTAGGGGGCACAGCAAATATTGAGTGCAGAATGGAGATCATAGAAATGATACAAAGCTGGGAATGTGAAAGACATGACAAGAAGTGGGAACCTATGGAAAGACAGTTCATGAGAAATTCCAAGATTGGGGGATGAGCAAAATATTTTAAGGCAGAGATGCTAAAGATTAAGTTTCATATCATTTGGTGTATAACAGGGTGAACGCTATCCTTTGCCTCCAACCTTCGATGAAAAACTGCTATACCTAGAACTTTGTGTCATTGGTACTTTGAGTGGTGTCTAGCACACACAGGTCAGTAAGAAAAAACTATGTGTCAGTTTGGCTCCGGTAAGAAGCATATATGCAGATGGAGAAAGTGTCAATGAAAGATAAGCAGGAGGTGTCAGGGAGAGTCGTTAATCCATGATGCAACTCTGACATCTGTGAGGGGAAAGAAGAAAGGAAGGAATATTGGGACAGAAAACTCCTAACCTGTAGTGCAGCTCCAAGAACATCTTGGCCTGGCTAATGGGGAGCCCCTGAACAAAGCTTGCCCATTAGAGGAATCCACATCAGACAGGGGTCTGTCTCTAGTCCTCTGCTGTGCTCAGTCATTGGCTGGGAGTGACCTCAGGGCATAAATGCCACAGGGGAGCTGTATGCACAAGAGCTGGTGGTTGTCTGCTAACCATACTCCTGGCAGGAAGTTCTCATAAAGGGAGATCTGAGTGGCACAAGCCTATGGTCACCAAAGACAATAAACTCAGTAAGGTGAGGTGATCGAGACACCAATCTAATTCATCAGAAGCAGAAATTTGAGTCAGAAACAACTAGAAGAAACCCAAGCCCCACCTACCTCCATGAATCCATGGAGGACCTCCTCTGTAATTGGGATGGAGATACCAACCAACTTAATGACAATCAAAAGGGAAAGCATGACTCAGCTGACATCTGATTTATACCCTGACTTGTCTTATAGAATGAAAAGGAGAAAGTTAGGCCAAGCCCCTCTTGTGTTTCATCTGTGCATATTGTCTAGCAGTGTAATCAACTCAAAAGTAGATGGAAAAGTTCTCAACCAGAACGCTTTCCTCAACCAATGTTCTGGTTGAGAACTTGTTCACAATGGCCAATTGTAAACAAGAGATAAGAGAGGTGTCTAGTCATTTTAAAAGCGCTTAATATTTTATCTGTGAGCATAAATATCTTATTTTCAGAGGTCTTTGCTTTACACAAGATGCATTTCAATATGGTCCCCAATTCTGGACATAGCTGAATGTAGGCAACAGTGGCAGATTCAAGTATAGTTTTATTGGAACTTGCCTCTAGAATATTAGCCGCTGGTGACTTTTTCATGTAAAATGGGCATCCTATTATCTTAGAGGACTCAATGCTTATGATAATAAAAGAAGCTACTTTCTAAATTGCCTTCTTAACATAATATTGCATTTTCAGCATATATAAACATCTCTTTCCCTCATGGCAAACCACTAAGTTGATGTTCATTTTAGACTTGACACTTATCTTATGGAGAGTTGGTTTTCTTTAATTGAATTTTAGGAAATGTTTTGTTTATATCAACATCCTGACTATTCTGGAGAAATCAAACTACAAAAGGCCTTCATTATAGCCTTTTAAAACATTTAAGATTTTATTGTGGTTTCAGGATTTTTTCCTCCATCTAGACACTGTGAATATTTACAGGGATGATCTTGGTTCTGGGCACTTGAAGGACAGTCACGTGTTCCAATATCAAACCCAGATGGGTGCAATTTGTAACACCCACGACAGGTTTCCCTGCTGTATGCTAGCCAACTCATTGTGGATTGCCCAGGAAAATCCTGGGCACTGAAAGGCCCACATCTTGGGAACCTCCCCAATCCCAAGCAAATGGAATGGTTGTTTACCCTACCATGCTCTCACCCTCAAACAAAATGGCGGAGTGGCTATTCTTGACAGGCAAATTACATTCCCCTTTATTTTCAAAGGTAGGACCGTTTAGACTTCTTGAATTGTTGTCATATTATTTCAAACATTTAAGAGTCACATTGATGTAGGGTATCTAGTGGATTTACCAGAGTTACTGATTTAACAGAATATATTCTTCTTAAATTTAAATATTGAACAAATTGAAATCATACTTATTTTCCAGAAGCAGTGAAGGGATGGAAACAATTGTGTTCTCAACAATCTACATATATATATTTTGTTCTCTCTCTTAAATTTGCTTTTATTCAGCTTCTCACTCCTCAGAGCTACTCTATATGAATAAATCAAATTAACATTAAGTTCAACTATGCATGCAACTCTTGCTTTATTTTAACTTCAGTTGTGCATATGTATACACATATATAGTACATATATACATGTATACAATATATGTATACACATATATAGTACATATATACATGTATACAATATATGTATACACATATATAGTACATATATACATTATACAATATATGTATACACATATACAGTACATATATACATGTATACAATATATGTATACACATATATAGTACATATATACATGTATACAATATATGTATACACATATATTAGTACATATATACGTGTATACAATATATGTATACACATAGTACATATATACGTGTATACAATATATGTATACACATAGTACATATATACGTGTATACAATATATGTATACACATAGTACATATATACGTGTATACGATATATGTATACACATAGTACATATATACGTGTATACAATATATGTATACACATAGTACATATATACGTGTATACAATATATGTATACACATAGTACATATATACGTGTATACAATATATGTATACGCATAGTACATATATACGTGTATACAATATATGTATACACATAGTACATATATACGTGTATACAATATATGTATACACATAGTACATATATACGTGTATACAATATATGTATACACATAGTACATATATACGTGTATACAATATATGTATACACATAGTACATATATACGTGTATACAATATATGTATACACATATATAGTACATATATACATGTATACAATATATGTATACACATAGTACATATATACATGTGTACAATATATGTATACACGTATATAGTACCTATATACGTGTATACAATATATGTATACACGTATATAGTACCTATATACGTGTATACAATATATGTATACCTATATTTCTGTATTTCCTGGCACATCTTGAAAATCAGTAAATCATAAAGGAGAGAAATGCAAAAGTGGTGGTTTATTCCTAAAAGCAAATTCAGTGCAACTGAATTACTATTTCAGTTCACAATGTGAAAAAGCCAATTGGAAATGTTCCAGATGTGGAAGAGGTAAAAATGCCAACTTTATTAAAATGTAAGCCAATGCAAAATTACAGTCTAAAATGGAAATAGAATTGAGAAAAATGCTGATTTTTGTCTGGCATGTACTGTAAAATTCTAATTTAATGTAGGTTAAAAAAGTGAAATTCCCACCCTTATATACGCATCGAGGGAAAGATAAGCCCACACTAAGTAGATTGTCCATAGTTCTTAGATTTTTGTGTTAATAATAATTTAAATTTTTGATAACATTTTAAGCTCAATTGATAATGGCATTGAAAGATTTCATAAACTAAAACAAATTGTTTTAGTAGAGACCACCAAAAGGGAGACACAATTTGATCTTGGGAGACCAACTTGGACCTACCACGTATCTGTATGTATACTACAGATGGAGTCATAGAGGAGCCACATTTTTAGAAAAGATTGGAAATATGAATAGAGCCTTTCCATAAACTGAAGAAAGCCATTGTTTTTTAGTGCTTTAGGTATGATTTCTCATAGAAGGATGATCCATATACCTGTTTATAACCTATAGGTGAAGCCGTAGGGGAGCCACATTTTCACAAAGAAAAAATGAAGAAAGTGTCTTCTCTGTGACTTTAGGTATGATTTCCCTTAGGAAGATGATCTAAATACTGTGCATACCAATGAACTGAGAAGGCATATAATCAGTAAGGCATAAAGTACTTTGATAAATAGGAAGATCGTAGGGTTTGGAGTCAGACAGACCTGGGTTCAAATCCCAGCATAACTTACTAGCTGGATAAACTTGGGAAAACTAATTAAGCTCTCTGGACAGCACTGTCCTCATCCACAAAATGAGGGTGATAATACCTACCTAATGGTGTTGTCTGGATAGTAATTACAGGTAACATTTCTTGGGTGCTTAGTGTGTACTAGAAGAGTCGCTGTGCTAAGTGCACTGCATGATCTTGTTCAATCATCACAATCACCTGATGACATAGGAACTCATGTTTATCCCATTTAATAGAAAAAACATTGAAGTTTATTGAGGGCAGTTAGCTCCCCCAAGGTCATCTAACACAGGGTGTAGAGTAGCTGGGACTTGAGTCCAGAACAATCTGATTGCACTGGCCTTTCCTCTTAATACATATTTACAAAATAATAAGCATAGCACTTTGCAAATAGTTGCTAATACTCTAATTATATCATCTGTCTTAGGCTTTTCCCCTATTTGGTTCCTAGAGGGTGTTGCTACCTGGGAAGATATCCAGGGCATGCTTTCCTTCCCATGCTCAACTCAGTACCACATATACCTCATTTCATTTTATAAGAACCTATCAATCAAACAGCAGATATTTTCCAACACCTTTTGCACTCACATCGGCTACCCAAGCAAGTTCTTCAGTCACTGGAAAGCCTAGAGTCTTGTGTCTTTGTATGCTATTCTAACCATCTACAAAAATGTCAGATAAAAGTATTTTTAATATCTATCCCTTAGTCTACCATCCAAAGAAAAACCCTTTACTCTTTTGCTGTTTGCCATTTACAACTCTGTTCTTTAACTGCAACAAAATTTTTCTTAAAAATCATAAAAGAAATATTTCAAAAGATGATTTTTTAAACATAATTTTATAGTTAAAACAGATTTCCAAGCAAGACTCAAACTCTAAAAAACATAAAAGGAAACAACTTGAACCCTAATAATGAGGTAAATAGCATAATTGTAAATTATAACAGTGGAAGCTCATATTTGCATGCTCATTATATGCAGAAAATAATGTAATGTCGTGTATGTATTAACTCATTTTATCCTCAAAAGAACCCTAGGAAGGATTTCCCACCATAATAATGATAGATAACTGAGTGTAGAAAAGTCCCTGAATCAGAACTAGTAAAGAGCAAAAACAACATTTGAATATAGGACATCTCATTTTAAAGCATGTTATATAAAAACTAAAAATTTCTGATTAGCAAAAAACCTACCTACACAAAGTTGAGAGACAAATGAAAAATATGACAGATGAAGAGCTGAGTTTATTGAGATATAAAGAATTTTTATGAATCAATATCCGAAAGATGTATACAGGCATATAACAGGAAAGACAATGAATAGCTTTTAAGCAAATTAAGTTCCAAATTCAGTCATAATTAAGTAAATGTATATTAAAAGAACAAAATACTAAAGATGAAAAACATGCAATAGAGGTACCAGCTGTTGACTCCCTTTTGTATTCTTTATGAATGATAAACACATGAAAAAATGTTAGTCCGATATTCTGCAAGTAAGAGAGTACCTAGGGCACAATGGCTTAAATAAGTTGAGGTTTACTTTTCTCATATAATTAGAAGTTTAAAGGTAGGTGGCTTCTGTTTTGGTGGCTCAGTGCTTCCATTATCTCTTGTGGTTCTCTTGGCCTTTCCCTCTCACTGTGGCAAGACGCATACCACAGCACCAGGAACCATGTCTGCATTCAAGTCAGTAAGGAGCAAGGAGGGAGAGAGAAAGTAGTGCTGACACATCTCTTCCTGTATTAGGTAAATAAAAGCTTACCTAGATAGATCCCAGCAGACTTTGGTTTATACCGTCCTGTCTGGAACTGTGATATAATTGAACGCTTATAGATGCAGGGGAGACTGAGAATGTGTTAGCTTAATGCAGAGAGGCAAGAAAGAAAGGGGGTGGGAACAGATGTTGGTTTAAACAACCAACAACATTGCATCTGATACACATTTGGAGCACAATATTTATCAAAATCTACATCCCAACTGACCATATCATTTATTGGAAAAGATTTGGAGCAACTGGAACTCTCGTACACTGCTGTGAGTATAAAATGGCATGATCACTTTGTAAAACCATTTGGCAGTTTATTACAAAGTTAAACACACACCCAGAAATTACATACCTGGGTGTTTGCCTAAGAGAAATGTACACCTGTGGCCCCGAAAGATATTTTCAAGAATATTTGTAGCAGCAATATTTGTAATAGCCCACAACAAGAAAGAATTCAAATGTCTATCAAAGATGAATGGATTAACAAATCGTGGTATACTCATACAATGGAATACTACTCAGCAATAAAAAATAAACTATTGATAACAAAACAACATGAATGAATTTCAAAACTCTCCTGAGAAACAGAAGCCAGGCACAAAAGTGCACACACTGTATGATCCCACTTGTAAAATTCTAGAACAAGCAAAACTATGTTGATAAAAAGCAAGTAAGTGGTTGCCTAGAGCCAGGGTTTGGGGAGGGATTTTCTGCAAACAGCTGTGAGGGAACGTCTGTGTTAATGGAATTTGTATTAACCATGTTTCTACCATCTGTAAATGTGATGCTTTAACATCTGCCCTGCATGCATATGCCGAACACACCTTGCTCTGGACAACCCAGTGAAATACCTAAGTCACTTTAAATACAAACCAACCAATCCAGAGTCTACATTCACTTCTCTAACAACCAAAGGTCATTTCTCCTCCCTTATGCTTCCTGCAGAAACCATGATAAAGGCCTAGGCCCACAGTTCCTCTTTCTCTTGCCCACTGGCTTCGTTACCTTACCCTCAGTGATTCCCCAGGTGACTCCCCAATAGTGTGAAGTGTACTCCCTCTCTTGGAAACTGTGAGTATAATAAACTGTCTTTTGAATGACAGTCATTTCCTGCTCTGTCAGCCTTTACCATACCTAAGTAATAATAAAGCCTATTAAAACACAAATATTCTATATCTGAATTGTGTTGATGGTAACATGGACATACACAAACTGCACACTTAAAGAAGATGCATTTGATTGTATATAAAGTTTATTCAAAGTAAATGAAAATATACATACCTTTTATTTCAGCACTTGATTGCTAAGACTTTATTTTTATTTTATTTTTATTTACCTATTTTTTGAGACGGAGTCGCACTCTGTCACCAAGGCTGGAGTGCAGTGGCGTGATCTCAGCTCACTACAACCTCCGCCTCCCAGGTTCAAGCCATCCTCCTGCCTCAGCCCCCCTAGTAGCTGCGACTACAGGCATGCGCCACTACGCCCAGCTAATTTTTTTTTTTTTTTTTTTTTTGTATTTTGAGTAGAGACGAGGTTTCACCCTGTTGGCCAGACTGGTCTCGAACTCCTGACCTCAAGTGATACACCCACCTCAGCCTTCCAAAGTGCTGGGTTTACAGGCGTGAGCCACTGTGCCCGGCCTATTCTCTAGATATACTCGCAAATGTATGTATACAAAGGTAGAGCAAGATCTTCATGGCATTGTCTGCCTCAGACTGAAAAAAGCACAAATGTCTGTCATCTGGGGATTGTTTGTTAATGCGGCATAACTGTGCTATCAAAATAAGTATCATGCATGCTATAATTTTGAGCCAGACCCACCTACAGCTTTCCAGCTTGGCCATCTGCACCATAAGCCAGGTCCCAAATGTACAATGAAATATTATTTAGCCATTAAAAAGAATAGATAAGTCTGTATAGACTAAAGAGGAGCAATGACCAAGATAACATTGTTTTAAAAATCAAGGTTAAGTAGCAAGGTCAAGAATACTGTGCACATTCTCTCCAATTTATGTTGATAAATATGGGAAGGGTAGGTTTTAAACATTGTATGTATCATATATTATACTTGTATATGCGTATAATGTGTAATGGTAGTAAGGATTCCTTCTGGGAGGACCAGAACCTGGATGCCTGGAGAGGAAATGAAATGTAGTTATCCCTGCATATCCTTTATAAGCTTAATTATTATCTTAGTCCATTTTCTGTTGCTTATAACAAAATACCTGAAACTGGGTAATTTATTTTTTTAAAAAGGAATTTATTTCTTACAGTTGTGGAGGTTGAGAAGTTCCAGGTTGAGTAGCCACATCTGGTGAGGGCCTTCTTGCTGGTGGGGACTCTGCAGAGTCCCAAGGCATACTTCAAGAGGACACATTTGATTGTTTATAAAGTCACATGGCAAAGTGACTGAGCATGCTAGCTCAGGCCTGTCTTCCTCTTCTTATAAAGCCACCAGCCCCATTCCCACAAAAACCTATTAATCAGTTAACCCTTAAATCCATTAATTCATGAATGAACTAATCCATTCATGAGGGCAGAGCCCTTGTAACCCAATCATCTCTTAGAAGCCCCACCTATCAACACTGCCATGTTCAGAGTTAAGTTTCAACATGAGTTTTGGGAGGGACAAATTTTCTAACTACAGCAATTATTATTGTAACATTGCATAAATATATTACTATGTTAATAAAAAGTGGCCATTGCTTTATAAACAAAATAATAAAATGTTAAAAATTAAATCATTTAGAGTTTGCAGAAACACAATATTTTATTACCATCTCAGGCTGATATAAGAATTATCCTGTTTTTACTGGATTAGCTGCTATTCTTAAATCAGTAAATAAGTGTAGCAAGTCCATGTTTCAGTACCTGCTGCTGGGGCCAAATATCTCAATGGAGAATGAGCATCCAAACAGCTTTAGCATGTAATAAATGTCAGAAAATAGAAAACAGATTCCACCATCTTCCAAAGGTCTATAATTCTCCAGACCACTACTTTGAATGGAGTGCTTTTCTTTTCTTTTTTTTTTTTTAATTATACTTTAAGTTCTAGGGTACATGTGCACAACGTGCAGGTTTGATACATAGGTATATATGTGCCATGTTGGTTTGCTGTGCCCATCAACTCATCATTTACATTAGGTATATCTCCTAATGCTATCCCTCCCCCAGCCCCCCACCCCCCAACAGGCCCCGGTGTGTGATGTTCCCCACCCTGTGTCCAAGTCATCTCATTGTTCAATTCCCACCTATGAGTGAGAACATGCAGTGTTTGGTTTTCTGTCCTGAGAGAGGGGCGTCCTTTCTTGTACCGGTTTTCAAAGGGAGTGCTTCCAGTTTTTGCCCAGTGTGATATTGGCTGTGGGTTTGTCATAAATAGCTCTTATTATTTTGAGATAAACATTCCGTCAATACCTAGTTTATTGAGAGTTTTTAGCATGAACGGCTGTTGAATTTTGTCAAAGGCCTTTTCTGCATCTATTGAGATAATAATGTGGTTTTTGTCATTGGTTCTGTTTATATGCCGGATTAAATTTATTGATTTGCATATGTTGAACCAGCCTTGCGTCCCAGGGATGAAGCTGACCAGATCGTGGTGGATAAGCTTTTTGATGTGCTGCTGGATTCGGTTTGCCAGTATTTTATTGAGGATTTTTGCATCGATGTTCATCAGGGATATTGGTCTAAAATTCTCTTTTTTTGTTGTGTCTCTGCCAGGCTTTGGTATCAGGATGATGCTGGCCTCATAAAATGAGTTAGGGAGGATTCCCTCTTTTTCTATTGATTGGAATAGTTTCAGAAAGAATGGTACCAGCGACTCTTTGTACCTCTGGTAGAATTCAGCTGTGAATCCATCTGGTCCTGGACATTTTTTTTATTGGTAGGCTATTAATTATTGCCTCAATTTCAGAGCCTGTTATTGGTCTATTCAGGGATTCAACCTCTTCCTGGTTTAGTCTTGGGAGGGTGTGTGTGTCGAGGAATTTATCCATTTCTTCTAGATTTTCTAGTTTATTTGCATAGAGGTGTTTATAGTATTCTCTGTTGGTAGTTTGTATTTCTGTGGGATCGGTGGTGATATCCCCTTTATCATTTTTTATTGTGTCTATTTGATTCTTCTCTCTTTTCTTCTTTATTAGTCTTGCTAGCGGTCTATCAATTTTGTTGATCTTTTAAAACAAAGCAGCTCCTAGATTCATTGATTTTTAGAAGGATTTTTTGTGTCTCTATCTCTTTCAGTTCTGCTCTGATTTTAGTTATTTCTTGCCTTCTGCTAGCTTTTGAACGTGTTTGCTCTTGCTTCTCTAGTTCTTTTGATTGTGATGTTAGGGTGTCAATTTTAGATCTTTCCTGCTTTCTCTTGTGGGCATTTAGTGCTATAAATTTCCCTCTACACACTGCTTTAAATGTGTCCCAGAGATTCTGGTACATTGTGTCTTTGTTACCATTGGTTTCAAAGAACTTCTTTATTTCTGCCTTCATTTCCTTAATTACCCAGTAGTCATTCAAGAGCAGGTTGTTCAGTTTCCATATAGTTGGGCGGTTTTGAGTGAGTTTCTTAATCCTGAGTTCTAATTTGATTGCACTGTGGTCTGAGAGACAGTTTGTTGTGATTTCTGTACTTTTACATTTGCTGAGGAGTGCTTTATTTCCAATTATGTGGTCAATTTTAGAATAAGTGTGATGTGGTGCTGAGAAGAATGTATATTCTATTGATTTGGGGTGGAGAGTTCTGCAGACGTCTATTAGGTCTGCTGGTTGCGGAGCTGAGTTCAGGTCGTGGATATCCTTGTTAACCTTCTGTCTCATTGATCTGTCTAATATTGACAGTAGGGTGTTAAAGTCTCCCATTATTATTGTGTGGGAGTCTGAGTCTCTTTGTAGGTCTCTAGGGACTTACTTTATGAATCTGGGTGTTCCTGTATTGGGTGCATATATATCTAGGATAGTTAGCTCTTCTTGTCGAATTGATTCCTTTACCATTAGGTAATGTCCTTCTTTGTCTCTTTTGATCTTTGTTGGTTTAAAGTCTGTTTTATCAGAGACTAGGATTGCAACCCCTGTTTTTTGTGCTTTCCATTTGCTTGGTAGATCTTGCTCCATCCTTTTATTTTGAGCCTATGTGTGTCTCTGCATGTGAAATGGGTCTCCGGAATACAGCACACTGATGGGTCTTGATTCTTTGTCCAGTTTGCCAGTCTGTGTCTTTAATTGGGGCATTTAGCCCATTTACATTTAAGGTTAATATTGTTATGTGTGAATTTTATCCTGTCATTATGATGTCCGTTGGTTATTTTGCCCATTAATTGATGCAGTTTCTTCATAGCATCAATGGTCTTTACAATTTGGCCTGTTTTTGCAGTGGCTGGTACCGGTTTTTCCTTTCCATGTTTAGTGCTTCCTTCAGGAGCTCTTGTAAGGCAGGCCTGGTGGTGACAAAATCTCTCAGCATTTGCTTGTCTGTAAAGGATTTTATTTCTCCTTCACTTATGAAGCTTAGTTTGGCTGGATATGAAATTCTAGGTTGAAAATTCTTTTCTTTAAGAATGTTGAATATTGGCCCCCACTCTCTTCTGGCTTGTAGGGTTTCTGCTGAGAGATCCGCTGTTAGTCTGATGGGCTTCCCTTTGTGGGTAACCCGACCTTTCTCTCTGGCTGCCCTTAACACTTTTTCCTTCATTTCAACCTTGGTAAATCTGACAATTATGTGTCTTGGGGTTGCTCTTCTCGAGGAGTATCTTTTTGGTGTTCTCTGTATTTCCTGAATTTGAATGTTGGCCTGCCTTTCTATGTTGGGGAAGTTCTCCTGGATAATATCCTGAAGAGTGTTTTCCAGTTTGGTTCCATTCTCCCCATCAATTTCAGGTACACCAATCAGACGTAGATTTGGTCTTTTCACATAGTCCCATATTTCTTGGAGGCTTTATTCATTTCTCTTTACTCTGTTTTCTCTAACCTTGTCTTATCACTTTATTTCATTAATTTGATCTTCAATCACTGATAGCCTTTCTTCTACTTGATGGAATCAGCTATTGAAGCTTGTGCATGCTTCACGAAGTTCTCCTGCCATGGTTTTCAGCTCCATCAGGTCATTTAAGGTCTTCTCTATACTGTTTATTCTAGTTAGCCATTCCTCTAATCTTTTTGCAAGGTTTTTCGCTTCCTTGCAATGGTTTCGAACATCCTCCTTTAGCTCAGAGAAGTTTGTTATTACTGACCTTCTGAAGCCTACTTCTGTCAACTCATCAAAGTCATTCTCCGTCCAGTTTTATTCCACTGCTGGCGAGGAGCTGTGATCCTTTGCAGGAGAAGAAGTGCTCTGATTTTTAGAATTTTCAGCTTTTCTGCTCTGGTTTCTTCCCATCTTTGTGATTTTATCTACCTTTGGTCTTTGATGTTGGTGACCTACAGATGGGGTTTTGGTGTAGATGACCTTTTTGTTGATGTTGATGCTATTCCTTTTCATTTGTTAGTTTTCATTCTAACAGTCAGGTCCCTCAGCTGCAGGTCTGTTGGAGTTTACTGGAGTTCCACTCCAGACCCTGTTTGCCTGGGTATCACCAGTGGAGGCTGCAAAGCAGCAAATATTGCTGCCTGATCCTTCCTCTGGAAGCTTTATCCCAGAGGGCCAGCCGCCTATATGAGGTGTCTGTCGTCCCCTACTGGGAGGTGTCTCCCAGTTAGGCTACACGGGGTTTAGGGACCCACTTGAGGAGGCAGTTTGTCCATTCTCAGATCTGTCCATTCTCAGATCTCAAGCACCATGCTGGGAGAACCACTGCTCTCTTCAGAGCTATCAGACAGGGACGTTTAAGTCTGCAGAAGTTGCGGCCTTTTGTTCAGCTATGCCCTGCCCACAGAGGTGGAGTCTAGAGGCAGTAGGCTTTTTTTGAACTGCAGTGGGCTCTGCCCAGTTCGAACTTCCCGGCTGCTTTGTTTACCTACTCAGGCCTCAGCAATGGCGGATGCCCCTCCCCTAGCCAGGCTGCCATCTCACAGATTGATCTCAGACTGCTGCGCTAGCAGTGAGCAAGGCTCCATGGGCGTGGGAGCCACTGAGCCAGGTACGGGAGAGAATCACCTTGTCTGCCAGTTGCTAAGACCTTGAGAAAAGCACAGTATGTGGGTGGGAGTGTCCCGTTTTTCCAGGTAGTCTGTCACGGCTTCCCTTGGCTAGGAAAGGGAAATCCCCTGACCCCTTGAGCTTCCCGGGTGAGGCGACACCCCACCCTGCTTCACCTCGCCCTCCATGGGCTGCACCCACTGTCCAACCAGTCCCAATGAGATGAACCAGGTACCTCAGTTGGAAATGCAGAAATCACCCGTCCTCTGTGTCAATCACGTGGGGAGCTGCAGACTGGAGCTGTTCCTATTTGGCCATCTTGGGAAGTTCTGGAGTGCCTTTTTCACTCCAGAACTTTATGCAAAATACACAACATTTTCCCTAACATCCTCTTAGTTATACCCAACCCCCCAACACACACATTATCAGAGCCACCTTGGGAAATATCACTCTTGTCTTTGCTTTACGGAGTAGCAAAAGGAAACCCAAGATGACAATGGTTTGCTCAAGTTATAAAGAGGCATAGGAACTCTGAGTATGTATATATTCTTATAAGTTAAATTTTAGCTAGTTGAGTCTATGTCAAATAAACCTCTTTTGAGAGAGAGAGAAAGAAAATGATAGTAAAATTTGGTTTGCTCATAGCTTTATATATTAATGTGAGACTCAGAGAGAGAAAAAAATATGAGGCTTTTGCCTCCCTTCACTAAGCATCAAATAAGCACAAAGATGCTGATGAATGTGACGTATGTGATCAAAATGATGCAGGTGGTCAAACCAGAGGACCATAGGTGAGCCAAGCTTAAAATCATGAGACAAGTCAGATTAGTGCAGGTTAAGCTGCATTAACAGTCAACACCAAAATCTTAGTCACATAACACAATGAAGTTTATTTTTGTATTATGCCTCATAAATAGCAGATGCCCATGAAGGATGTTATTCTATGTTATCTTGCCTCTGGGACCTGGGCTAATAGAAATAACAACATATGGAACATCACTGGTCATAACATCAGTGGGAAGAGTGCTGTGAGGTCTCACAATGGCAATAAAGTTTCCCAATTGGGAAATGATGCAAGTTACTTCTGCCCACAGCCTATTGGCCATTACTAGTCACATCCCTCTGTCCAATGGCAAGGGGATTGGTTAAGTGTATGTCCTCCCATAATTCCAGGAAAGAAGAAGTCTAGATATGGGTAAACAGGAGTAGCCCCTACCACCAGAATGAAAGCAAAGGCAGTGAAGAAGAATGGTGAGCTGGAATGCTATGGCATGGCAGCCCATCTGATCTCTTCACCTGGAGTCATCTCTACGATCTCCTAAAGGTTTGTGTCTTGGGCTAAGTTTTTGGCTAAGAGAACAATCCTTACAAGAACTTTGGTATTCCTAGAACACTCAGATTACACTCAGATAACAGTTAGGGCAAATAATAGGCTAACCAAAAAAACTTAAAAGAAAAAGCTAGAGAATGAGATGTACGTAGAGAGATTTGAAAGACTCTGACATATTTCCGAGAATCTGGACAGCTACACGCATGTGTAAGGCTGTGTGCATACCCAGGGCTGTGAACATGCTCAAAAAAGACTTAAGAAGGCACCAAGTTCTCACCTCTGTCTAATCTTGGGGCTCTGTGCAGGCAGGAAGTAAAGGCTAAGGCCAAGTTGTAAGCTGCTTTGTTGAGTGTTGAAGGTATGACCCAACATGCACAAAATGCCCCTCAGCAAAGACTGGAAGACTTATTAATTCCAGACATTAAAAAAATCTGTCTAGTTATTAGCTGACCGCTAATCTGAGCAAAGACTTTAGTGTTCATGCATGACAAAGAATACAGACTGTACATAATTAGTTCAGGAAAGTCACTAAACGAACAACAAAACAACAAGTAGCAATAACAACAAATCCTAGAGAAGGGAAAGAATCTGATTTCCAGAGTTGTCATGTTATATTATTTCAAATATCTAGTTTTCAACAAAAAATTATGGACACACAAAGAAATAATAAAGTGTGGCCCATACATTGTGGTGGGGTTGGGGATGGGAAGCAGTCAGCAGAAACTGTCTGTACCTGAGGAAGCCCAGATTTGAGCCTCACTAGACAATGACTTTTAATCTGTGATTTTGAATATATTCAAAGCATTAAAAGAAACCATATCTAAAGAACCAAAGTCTCACTAAATAGAGAACATTTAATGAAAGGATGGGAATTATTGGAAAAAAGCCAAATAGATATTCTCAGGTTGAAAAGTACAATAACCAAAATAAAAAACTCACCAGCAGGACTCAACAGCACATTTGAGCAGATAAAGACAACAGGGTGAAAATAACAGGCATCTTGTGTTCCCACACTCTATTCACAAACTCTGCAGAACTTGTTGAGAGTTGGGAGGTCCCACACAGCTGCAATCTCCTCACCAACTTCCTCAACCTTTACAAGCAGAAGTCTAGAAATGCACTGGAGAATCATCAGAGAATACCTACATTTTAAGTCAAGTGATGAGAAAGTTTCAGTGATGGAGGGTGGAATGTTATTCCACAGTTAGCTATTTGCTTACGTAACAGATTTGCTTGTTTCTTCTCTGGATGTGGGGGCAGGACAATCACTGGAGAGGGAGAAGAAGACAGAGACCAATGAGCACACACTCTAAATGTGTCCAGGATGTTTGGGTTTCCCATGAGTCCAATGGACATGAAGAAAATGTACTTGGGTTTGGGCTATTGCCCCACCCATGATGGCTGCCTATTGGGTGAGGGGTCCCTGGCAGCAAGAGGTTGTGTGGTCCACCACCAAAGCCAGTCTTTGAAGTGGGGTCAAACTGAAGTGCATCTTTCACGTTTGAGAACTGTGTAGTGGAAAGACCCATCCCAAGGGACTTCTGGAAAAATACTTCCATGAGCTGCAGGACAGAGCAGGCGTTTTGTTTATGTATGCACAGGGCCTCTGGGGAAGAGCAGCAATAGTCAACAGAGAGTTGACTACAAAGGTACCTATTTTATCAGAGTTGTCTGCCCCCAGGCACCCCTAACCCTGTTCCTTCTCCCTAAGCCCTTACACTAAATAAAAAGAAAGAACCTGGAAGAGGACAAGTGAAAGAAGTGGAAAAAGCCCTCTCCCTATCTAAAACCCCTCAAGCCAAGGCCTAGCACTGGGAGCCCAGAGGAGGAGTTCCTCCTAAGCAGAATATGGGACTGAAGTTTTATAATGGACTGAGCTGGTCAATTTCAAATTGAAAATAAGCAATCAATGGAAGGATCTGCCTGGGATATCTTTGGAGAAGAAACTGGCAGCCAGACAGAAAATGTTTGAAGGCAGAGGTTTGGAGAAAAAATACTCTTGTCATGTTCTATAAACCGGTTTCACATAGATATCATGGAAAATATTATACTGAGTGAGTACACAGTCCAAACAATTGTTTGTGTTACTGTTTTGTATCTTAAACATACATCCACTGTGTAACCATGAGAAATGTTGAGTTCTTCTCTTCCCTATGCCTCAGATCACTCTTCCAGAAAAATGAACTGGTTTTACCAAATATTCCCTAAGAAGTAACTCAGTAACTCTTTGCTCTTTCTTCAACACAGTATGCAATCATTGTATATCAATAAGTAATTCAAGTAATCCAATTCTTACAAGTACCCTGTGAGTAGGTAGGGTAGATATTCTTGGTCCCTTTTAAGATTAGGAGGATCAGGAGGCTTACAGAGGTCAAGTGACTTGCCCAAGTTGCACCAGCTGGTGAATGGCAGGGTGAGGACCATGAATCAAGCCTCCTAACTCAACAGCATCTCCTCTTCCTAGTAAACTACATTATTTCATGCTTAGTTAAATTCGTGTGCATGCCATCCAAAATATTTTCCAAAATGGTATTTTTATCTCTTAGTATTTTGTGCATTGTGAGGGGATTATACTTGTGAGCAAAAAAAGAACATTCTGCAAAGGTTTCCTAAGTGCTGGAACAGGTCCCTGGTCGTGATAGAGGGGACAGTGCTGCATGTTTTTCCTGTCTGAAGGGCCTGAAGATGTGCATCTAGACTAGCCAAAAAAAAAAGTCAATGAGCTTCAGGAACATGAGACACCTGCAAAAGTTATCTAAGAAGTTTCCTCCAGTTGGGCTAACATCAGAAGGAAGTGAGTTGGTCGATGACCTAACAGCAAGATCAAGAAGAGAAATGCTGGAATCTTTCTTGAATTTACCTTCATAAAAAACAGCCCCTCCAATGATTTCTAGGTTTAAATTTTGTCCAAATAGATGGTGTTGGAGGATGACAGACCTTCAGACTTTTCATGTGACAATATTTGTATAAAAGCATTTGGAATCATGTTTATTATGCTGAAAATGACATCCCAGGGGAAAGTGCATGTTTCTTTGGATTTTAGATCTACAAGCATCTACCATTATGTGAGACCAGCTCTTATTTACACAAAGGATTGCTTTCCAACCTTCTGTCCACTCAGAATTCTTGAAGCACTCCATTACATTATTTTATCATGTGGTCATGTGTTTTGGGTTACCCTCATCATAAACTACAGCTGCATGAAAGAACTGTGTACCCATCTACTTTAAACGTAATAAAATCTTACACATATAAAATAAATTAAACCATCCTATTGTGGTACATGTTTATTGTGATGATAAGAGGTGGGTGGGGGGCTCGAGTTTCTGTGTTTTTAGTTTAGGACATCAGGCTTTGGAAACTTCCTGGGAAGTTGTCCTCTCCAAAGAAAAATTTACTAGGACCTTGATATGGAAAGATTGAAATGATTAAGTGGGTCTCTAGAGAGAACAAAGAAGAGACCAAACTGATCATGAGGCTCCATCCTCACCCTTTCCTTCCCACTGCTGATGAAATCTGCCAGGTGCCTCTATGCACTGACTGCCTCACCCAGATAGGGGCTAGCTTGTCACTGATCCCAGAGTTGCTCAGAACTGGAAATGTTTTTACTAAAATAGATTTGGAACTCATAGATTCCCTGAACCTTCGATCCAGAATCTACCTTTAGGGCATTTGGTAAAAATAAGAAAGGGATAGAAGAGATTTTTCCAGGGAACAAATAATCAGGTCCAAATATACAGTTTTCTTGGATCATTCAAGCCACTTTCATAAGTTTCATGTGCCTCGTATGGACCATCAGGTAGTATTTGATTAGTAATTTAAGTGGCTTCCAACCTATCTTCTTTCCCACAGTATGGAAAAGATGGTTTTCTATGAAAGCCTATTCCTTCAACCTCTGCCAACATGCATGCGCACACACACACACACACACACACACACACACACACACACACGCATACACACCATTACCAACGCCAACACCACTACAGATAAATGCCTGAAGCAGTGACTTCCTTAGAACACTCCTATAAATTTATCTGTCTCCTCAGAAAGATTGGACACCATTATCTGAGCACACATATATTTGCCTATACAATATGCTTTTATTAAAATTCTTTATGTGACATTACACTTCAAAGAATGGCATGGTATAGATGTAGATGAACAATGGGAATGAAATGCACCAAATCTCTGAAAATGCTGATGACTGGCTGAGTCTTCAGTAACTCTACCCTGCTCGTGTTTCTGGGATGAGTTAGTCTGTGTTCTTAAAAGTGGAAGTGTGTGCCTAGCTGAAGAGGGGACAAAGGGAGCAGGAGAAAAATCCTTTCATAGGACAATTATTACTTTGATAAATGTGAGATATAGGACATGGAAACCTTAAGGCACCTTTGCGGCTCCCTTTTCTCCTGGGAAAGAGAAATGCATCCCAATCTAGTCACCAGGAAATCCTTAAATATTACCAGTTGCTATTTACCACAGACAATTGATAACATGAAAGCAGCTGAAAATTTGCTGCATTGAACAATTTTGAAAATTGTACTTTTTCAATTGGCCTATACTTAAGGACAAACAAAATTGAAAATTATTTCATCAATGCCACTTAGAGTAAAACACACGCACATACTTTAAAATACATTTAACTCCTAATTATAAATATATTCATAGTAAGCATTCTAGATTTTCTTGGCTATAGACCAAAGAAAGTTAACAACCACTTTTATGTAGAATAGTTTATCCAATGTTAAAATAAGACAAATATCAAAACACCTCAAAGGTGTTTGATGAAATCACAAGGAGCCCAAGGGAAGACTGGTTGGTGTCACTTTGGTGTATGTTTGTGCATGCATGCAAGCACACATACACACATGCTCATAAAAAATTTGCTGATGATGGGACCTGTATCGACTCATGGAACTCTATTCTGGGGGGACAAATATGCAGAGAAATCTTGACCCTCACCATATATGAACCAAAGACCCAGAAATTACAGCATTGCCTCAGGGATTGGCACAGATGCCTTGAAGCTTCTAGTTGGAATTAGAATGTACCTTCCAAAGCACCAGGAAATTGCCACTTCACCTAGATTCTGTTGGATTATGTGATTCTTGGCACCTTAATTATTCTGAAAACTTCACACCATCTTTGAAAATCAGTTTCAGAATTCAGAGATGGGTTGCCCTATATATAGTTGCTGACAGTCTTTGACAAGAGCCGTAGCTATCAAATAGTTGAGAGCAACGATTGAAAAGTGTATTTGATTATGCATGTGTAGAAGTTAACAATAAATGCACATGTATTCTAAATATATATATATTTATAAATTACATACGTGAACCAGAAACCAATACATGTTGTGTCTTATAAAACATACATAACAGAATAAACATGAAGTAAATAGATAATATTTTGAAACGTGCTGCTCACCGTGATAACATCATCCTATGGGAAGGCACAATTCCCTCTTAGGGTACAGTTTGTATAGAATGGAAATAGTTGTTAATACATGCTGTATGTGAATTTCTTGATAACGTTAATTATTTGTGGCTGAGTTATCTTTGACTCTGAATAAAGAGTCATAATGTGGCTGATGATGGCCTACTTGGAGTAGGAAAAGAGTTGCTTCTGACATTTTCTTATCACTGACTTAAGATTGCAATAGTAGTACTTCCTCAACCCGTGGCTTCCTTATAGAAAAATTTCAAAGCCATTGGTCCATTATGTGAGGGTTATTCAAGTTAAAATTAGATAATATAACAGTACAATACATTGCAATACTACAGAGTGGGGGTGACTATCTGATACACGGGCCACATATAGGGTTTCAATGTAAAAATGTAAATATTAGTGATGGGGTTCAGGACACACTACCCCAAAATATGGCACCTTGACATTTGGAAAAACAGCAGAAACAGGGAAGACACTCTCATCTTCCCTTCACCGTTCTCCCGTGAATCAAGTTGTAAGACCCTAGTGCGAGAGGTTTCCTCTCTGTAGGAAAGAAACTATACCTGAAGGAAAGGAACATCCTTTTATCTGAAGACACAGGGATGCAGAGAAAAATCTGAACAAACAAGTCTTGCTAAATTCCCCCCAGTTTATTACCATTAGATCATATCCTTTTGTCCTCCAATCATATTTCTCCATGACTGTCCATTCTCTATCAATCTTAAATATACAAATATGCAAGTTTACCTATTCTGAGCCTTCATTTCTGAAGGCCCCTGTGTTATGTAAAACTTATATTAAATAAATTTCTATGTTTTTTTCTTGTTAATAATCTAGTTTTTTGTTATAGAAAACTGGCCACAAACCTAGTGATGGAAATCTTTTCCTCCCCTGTTAGCAAAGTTTAATTTCTTTCTTGTTTTCTAAGTAAAAATAAATACAAACAGAAGTTCTCATCTTTTTTCCCTAAACTCCAATAGATTATCTTGCTTGCCTTTGGTAGTGCACATACTCCACTTTGGAGATCAGGGATTTGGGTTCTTAAGGACTTACAGGATGTGCTGTTTATCATCAAAAGACAGCTCAAATGTCCCCTCCCCAGAGACATTTTCCCTTACAGTAGCCTCCCCTCTGGCACAGACACAACCTAGCATATCACTATTACCATAACATTTCCCATTCTCTGGATTTACATTGTTTGTATATTGGCTCACCTTCCTATTGGTGTATTATTTCTCTCTCATTCCCCATTAGAATGTAAGTACCACAAAAGCAGATGCCTTATCTGTCTGTGTCACCCCTGTTCCTTGACCTGGCAGGTAGTTATCTTTTTGATTACTGTAAGTTTTGTTGGCTGGCCATTTACTTCATTGTCCTCAGTACAGTGGCATGGCAATGACACTTTATGGTGCTAAGAAGTACAACTTGGCCGTCTTCAAACTTTCCAATTATCTTCTCAGTTGCTGAAATGAATAATCATACATCATAGTTGGCTTGTGAATTAGGGGGAGAATTCGTAGCTTCCACCACAGAAACCAAAAATTTTTCTAGTTCCTATCTTGTAAAGGGCCAAACTCAAAGCTACTTAAGTAAAAATTATATATAGGCTAAAAAACGTGTTTCTTCTTTATTAATTTTGAAGATGAGATTATATGAACTATGAAATTATTTCATAGAGCTTTCCAAATCACAAAATGACATCTGAAACCTAAACCATTATAATCATTACTACTGAAATACTCGTTTTCCTTAACTTAGGGAAAATAATATGTATTTAAAAAATGGTATGCAATGAATATAGGACTATTTTTGAGCACATTCTCTACTTCAGTAATTTTACCTGTATTAACCATTTTAAGTTCAAAAAATTTAAGCCTTTTGAAGTGCTTGTGTTTATTTCCATTTAAAGACATCAAGGTAACAGAATGTTTCTCAGTTTTGTTATGGCCTCAGGAGAAAATTGAAAACACCCATAGAATACTTTTTAGTTTTTAGCTTTTATTTCCATCATTTTTAATTATTTATAACAGCAAAGACAAAGGTTTTTAAATTTTTAAATAATTATTTAATAGGTGTGGTAGGTAGAATAATGGCCCCCAAAGATTGGAGTAGGCCCAAATAAAGGCCTCTCATCCTAATCTCTGGAACTTATGATTATGTTACTTTACATGGCAAAAAGGACTTTGAAGATGTGATTTAGTTAAGGATTTTGAGATGGGGAAATTATTCTGGATTACCCAGGTGGGCACGGTATAATTAAAAGGGTCCTTGTAAGTGAAAGAGGGAGACAAGATAGTCAGAGGCAGCAGTATGAGGATGGAAGCAGTGTCAAAGTGATGCAGTGTGAGAAAGACTCAACCAGCATTGCTGGCTTTGAAGATGGAGGAAGGGGCCATGAGCCAAGGAATGTGGGCAGGCCCAAGCAGCTGGAAGAGCCGAGGAAACTGATTATCCCCTAGTACTTCCTGAAAGAGCACAGCCCTGCTGACATATTGATTTTAGCCCAGTGACATCCATTTGAACTTGTGACCTCCATAAATATAAAATAATAAATTTGCTTTGTTTAAGTCACTAAATTTGTGGTAACTTCTTACAACAGCTATAGGAAACAAATATAACCATAATTTTAGAATATGTACTTTTAAAAAACCCATCAATTCCTCAGTATAGCCTCTCACATTTAGCTCCAGACAAATTTTAATGGCTGCAAAGTAATCTAGTTAGAACTCTTGAAATCTGAGCTTTACTAATCAAAGAATCATTTTAAATTATGCAAACTGGATAATAATGCCAAGTCCTTGTGTGTGCTGTTTATAACTCTAAGTTCATATGCAAAAAGACACCTATTTGACACAAAGCAATAGTTATATCATAAAACACCTGAAGGGTCAGTTCAAGCCTCCTGTCTCTTGGAAACTAAGCAAATAGGATCAGGCTCTGTAAGGAGTGTGTGCTTGATATACGTCAACAGACTAACACAAGAGACAAGGATATCCAGGAGGTGGTCTTTGAACCTATATGTCTTTCCTGGTTTCAGAGTCTGATGCTTGGCTGTCTGAAACCTATTCCTGAAATGAAAACTGTGAGATCACATATCCAGCATTGTTTCTCAAATAGAACTAGAAATAATAGCCTAAGAAATGTACCATCAGCTGGAACTGGAAAGAATTGTGATACTTGAAGAGACTTAGCACTTGGTGGACTATGATTTTCTATCAATCAAGTCAAGCACTGCTACCCAGTCTTCACTACAGAGTGCACCGGAAAGAATGATCCAGCAGTAAAATGCTTTATGAACTATCCATATGGAAACCATTGGCAATAACACATCCTGGCATATGGTAAGTGACGTATATACACATAAAAATAAGAACTGTAAACATTGCAAGCTATTTAATAGTGAAATCATATTCTACCCCACCACTATCTCTCCAACAAAACACACCAAAGAGTCCCCCCACTCTCTGCCACCTGAGACCCCTAGCAGGAATGGTTATGCTCAGTCATTGTTATTATTCAGGGTCTCAAAAGAAAGCAGATGGCACACTCAAATGAGTTTACATGGAGAGAGAATAGTGAACTTTTTACAGATGGTTGGGCAGGGCTAAAAGACTGATGAGGAATGGGGTTAGCAATAACGGGAAGCTGCAGCTGCCACTCCTAGGTCTGAGTGGGCAAGAGAAGGGAATGTCCGTAATGGCACCAGAAAGAGCTAGAGCTCTGGAAGTGGGATGTCTTAACAGGAGCCATAGCTATAGCAGAATGCAGTCACTGGCAGAACCACAGCAGGGAGGAAGTGGAAAGGGTAATTACCATGACCTCTTCCTCCGCTCACTCATCTGTCTCTTGCCAGAGCTTCCTCTTGGCCAAACCCAACCAAACTACTTACCACAGCTGGTATGTAGTCTAGATGATACAGTCCATGTAGGTCTCTCTGAGAGAGACAACTGGGTGAAGGTGGATGGGAATGAATGGAACACAGAGACTATCTAATACAGTTTTTTTCAATTTAGCAAATATTTTAATGAGCATTTATTGTGAGCCATGCTGTCTGTTAGATGCTGAAGTTGGAGGTACTCTGGTTTGCCTTACGAAACTCAGATACTACCAGGAGAACACGGATAAGTAAACTGGCAATAACAATATGATACAACAAAAACAGAGTATTATGGAAACACTTAAAGGAGCTAGCCCATACTTAAGAGGTCTGTGAAAGCTTCTAGAAGAAAGTTAAATCTAAGCCAAAAAAAAAAATGAAGAATTCATTGGCCATTGCTGACTTTTACTGAAGACTGTTGAAAGCGCTTTGCTCATTGTAACACATTTCATCCTTCCAAGGACCCTATGAGTCAAGATGTGTTATTAATCCTCGATTTAAAGATGTGGAATTTGACATACAGAGACATGACTTGCCCAAAATCATATGGCTTTTAATTGGTGAATTCAGGTGTCTAACTCCAGAGCTTCCCTTTTAACTACTACCCTAAAGGGAAGGAGATTTCTAGATAGAGGGAACAGCCCAAGATAAGGCCTTAAAAGAGCACAGTCTGTACTGAAAACTAAAGATTAGTCTGATTGACATAGAGAAGGTTAAGGAGCCAGGTGAAGTGGAGGAATAAGATTAGAGGCTGCAGAATAAAAACAGATCATACAAGGCCCCACAAACAGTGTTGCAAAGTTTTGATTTCAACTCGAGGACAATGGGAAGCCCCTGGAGCATTTTTAACCAGGCAAAATAACACGTGAATTTCAGTTTTCAAAAGATCATTTTACAATGTGTAATGAAAAAATCAGGACAGTCACATGCATCAAAATATCACTCTGTACCCCAATACATATATATAATTATTATGTGGCCATTAAAATAATTTTTAAAAAAAGAAACATGAAAGATCATACTTTAGGAATAAAGACATTTCAGCAAGAAAAAAAGAGACCATTCTAGCCATAGTAAGGAGAAGGTCTTGAAGTGGGCCCAGATGTGAGACAAGTAGAAGAGTTCAGAGACTGTGACACATAAATCTACATGACCCAGCAATTCTAATCCTAAAGTGAAACATAGAAAAGATTTGTATGTGTGTGTTCACACCAGCGTTAGTCATAATAGCCAAAAAATGAAAACAACCCCAAATGTCCATCAATGGGTAAATTGTTAAATAAAATGTGGTCCATCCATACAATGGAGTATTATTCAGGCATAAAGAGGAATGAAGTACTGATTCATGTTGTAACATGGATGAACCTTGAAAACATTATATTACATGAAAAAAAGCCAGTCACAAAAGGTGGCATATTATGTGATTCCATTTATATGAAATACCCAAAAAGGCAAATCTAGAGAGACAGAAAGTAGATTAGTGACTGCTTGCAGCCTGAGGAAGGGAGAAATGGAGATTAACTGTAAATGGACATGAGAAATCTCTTTGAAGGTGTGCAAATGTTCTAAAACTGGATTAAGGTGATGGTTGTATAAGTCAGTGAATTTACTAAAAATCATTGAAATGTACACATAGAGGGGGTAAACTTTATGATATGTAAATCACACCCCAACAACCTTTACCAAAACAAAAACCAAACAAAAACAAAGAGGCTGTTGTAGTACTGTAGGGAAGACAGGATGGTAGCTTGAACCAAAGAGAGGGCAATAGAGATGAAAAGTAAAAGAAGTGATTGAAACTGGTAATGCCACTTGTGTTTGTTAATAATCACTCAAATATTTCCCACCTTGACCAAGAGGCTTTGAGAGAAGGACTGTGGTTCTTTGCCATTCTGGTGTTGGATGTTTGTTTTGTTGGAAGACAGATCTCCAGCTTTGGAAGAGAGGTTATTCCAGCAGGCAACGACTTCAGATTGAGCAGCAGCACTCTGCTGATGACAATGCATAGAATTCTTGCAGAAATATTTTCTGGCATCAGAAGGGAGGCTTTGAGAATTAGCTCAATATTTTGTACTAAACTTTAAGAAGGCACTAAGAACAAGTGTACCATGATATTTATGTCAAATATGACTGTCTTCATATTTGTCAATCAATTTTCCAAAACAAGAATAAGAATATCTGGGTTCTTGAGTTAATATGCTTTTCCACATCAAGTACAGTGATATTTGGTATCCCTTGAGGAACGTCTGGGTTGCAAGGTTCCCCTAAGGTAGCTTTAGAGCCAAGAAAATGTCAATGATCTTTCTGCTTTCCCCTCGAGCCACAATAAAATCCAGGCTCTGATTAGTTGTTTGGGCGACACCTAGTCTTGTTTTGATGGAGTTTGGTAAAACAAGTAAGAATATCCATTTTTCCCAGGCCCGTGAAATGCATGCAGTGGTAAGAAAAATGGGTTAGACTGTGTTTCCCCTGCCAGGACATAGAGTTCTCCATGTAGTTTGATATCCCCCAAGGGATGGTCGAACCTTTCAGCATATGGTTAGTTAATCTATCTTATGCTAGGTTATCAGTGGGGCAGTTGAAAGGTCAGAAGCCACAACAAAAACATGAGAAGTCTGAGCTTGGAGCTCTGAATTGTAGGGTGACTTTTAAGAATTTGGGACGGGGGCGAGACACGTCTAGGGAACAGTAAAAAGGGGAGCACTCTTAGGGTATTGTTTCTTCCCTGCTCTATTTTGGCAGCTTTTCTCTCTGTCTGCTTGTGTCAGAATTATCTGCCTTTCTAATATAAAATTTACTCTGGGTACTTACATTTCTGCCACCTGGTAGGCAGATGTAGTGGAGTTCTGTCCCTAGGAAATGTTCTCAGTACATCACCAATTTTAAATTGAGACCTGGGACACTTGATTTAAAGCGAGATATTTCTTCTGGTTAAAATATCGTGAGCCAACAATCTAAGCTAAGAATTTTTTATAGAGAGGAACAAATATTTGCCAGCCCTCTAATATAGTTTAGCT
Source organism: Homo sapiens (assembly GCF_000001405.40). Lineage (NCBI taxonomy): Eukaryota > Metazoa > Chordata > Mammalia > Primates > Hominidae > Homo > Homo sapiens. The sequence continues at coordinate 10,856,489 of NC_000023.11, read as the reverse complement.
GTGAGGCTTAATAACACAGGCAAGTTGGGGTGGCAAGAAGGAAGCTTTTGCGTCAACTGCTGATCAACACATCCTCTCAGTCGTGTCACATGCTATTCCTGTACCCTTCAGAGTCATCCATGGAGCACCTGAGAAAATTCCTTATTTATGAAAGTTGTTTTAAGTTCTACTTTCAATGTTTTGTATTGAAAACAGTCATATTCTGTTGCCCTTTAAATAAAGAAAACTGAGAGATGACATATTAAACTTAATAGAGCCTCATTTTCTTTCTTATCCTTTTAATTCCTTATAAGTCTTCAAATTGCATTGTTTTCTTTGACAATAACAAGACATATTTTTAGCCAAGGCACTTGGGAATCAAATGAGCAAACTGAATTCCGTACCTCCTGATAGAGCACTGAGTTGAATGCAAGCTAAAATTGGATTACTGGATTGTTATTAAGAGAAAAGAATTAAGAGGCAGATGGGAGCCAACCCAGATTTCTCATGCTGGGTTTGAAGACCTTGAAGCTTGAAATAACACATCTTGGTTCCAAATAAACCTATTAGGAAATTACCAAGAGTAGATAAGCATAGAATGTTATGTTGAGAGGACTTTGTCGACAACAACATTTGAAAATTTGGACACAGGAACTTACAGAAACTTGAATCACGGTGAGGAAGCACTTGAGAGTGACTTGGAGAACTCTTCTTTTTGTGTAGAGGCATAATTACTTATATTCCTTTGTTTAAATAATGACTACCCATTTACAGCATAATGCATTTACTTTATGGAATTTCAGACATGATTTAACTAACAGGGAGCATCAGTGAAAATATATTTTTGGTAGCAAATTCAGGAGTAGACTCTATTTGTTTCAAAGGATAAGAGAGGTTCTTCATTTTAACTCTAGGCTGAAACACTAATCTTTAGTGTTTGTAATTAACTGCTTTTCTTAAACAGTAGGGTGTTTGTGGAAGCCTAATTTTTCCTGAGGAAAAATGATTGATTCCTATAGTAATGAAAATAAAACGTAAATATTGCTGCAAATTTTATGGAGATCTTAATGAAATATTATTAAAACTTCATCTAAGTATAGATAAAAGAGATTGTTTACTTGAGAAATTCTGTTGAGAAAGAAGACACATGTAAACATGTATGCTCGTCAGATTATTTTTTAATAGCTGTCAGATGTCAGCAAAGTGAAATGCATGAAGTTTAATATCTGTTCCTGTCTAAATAATTTTAAAAGTAGCCTATATAAGAGCACATTCTTTTTGAAGTAACTCTGCTAGATCCCAAGAGAGTTTAGGGAGCATTGAACTTTAAACTTTAGTTATTCTGATGGAGGAAAACAGTTCTAGCCACGTGGCCAGAATTTAAACTGGATGGAGAAATTGGACGAAGTCGTTGGTTAGTTTCAGGATACCTTCTAAAGAAGAGGCCAAGAGCCAACTAAGAATCAAAAGGAAAGTCAACATCCTGAATCTCACCGAGATAAAAGTTGAAAGCTGCAACGGAGTCCAGATCGTGGGTTACAGCTCCTTGCTGAAGGCCCTGATCTCTCAAATGTGCTCCTGCATTATCTACACTAGTGGTTCTACACTAGGGGCGATTGGGCCCCCCAGGGGACACGTGGCAATGAATGGAGACGTTTTTAGTTGTCACAATTAAGGCAGAGACTACTGGCATCTAGTGGATAGAGGTCAGGGATGCTGCTCAGCAAGGAATGATCCCGCTCCAAATGTCAATAATGCCAAGGTTGAGAAATCCTGTTACATAGCCAAGAGCATGAGGGGCTTGTGATATGACATCAGTATAACGAAATTCTAGAAATGTAACCAAAGTGTTGTTTAGAAAATTAAAAGTCAAGTCAAGACCTCATTATTGTACCCCCTAAACTGGGAAATATGCAACCATGACCCATACAGAATTTAATTCATAATATCAACCAAACTGCCAAGATTTTTATCATCAGTTAACTGATGTGACATTGTATAAATTAACAATCACCTCATATGTGTGGAAAATGGTGTTGTGTGATTTATCTTGTTTTAGTTTTACTCGAGAAAATCCATGGTATATGCTTCATAGCCTTAATTATCATACAGGTTTAATAATGTGCATTCTTATATCAGTAATTCATTCATTTGTTCATTCGTTCATTCAGTAAATAAGTTAACATTAATTGAATACCAGCTAAGAAAATTTTCTGCCTAAGTCCTATTTTTACCAAATTTTTTATAGCTGGTTTAGAAGATGATATTCCAAAGCTTCATATATATATGTATATATATATATATGCATGCCAAGTTAAAGATATTTTTTAACTATATAAAAAACCTTAAGAACTGTACTTTAAAATATTATTGTACATATTGCATAAATCCCACAGACTCTGAATTTGTTGTATGAGATGGCATGTATTTTTTTAAAAGCAGACATGTCAAATACAGCATTATAATGAATTCTAGAAATAATTATTAATATTGTTTTATAAACCACAGCACAACCTCATCTTATACAGTCTGTTGGCTTTTTCTATTTGCATGATGTGGAAGGTGTATATTTCTAGCCCTTTGCAAAACATTTCAAATATGTACTGAAATTATTAAGAAGCTACCCTGAAAGAAGTTAACATCTAGAACTTCGAGAAGGCCAACTTTCATAGATTTGTGAAGCCAGAATAGGTTTCCACCTCTGTCACTGGCTTTGTGTGCTTGGCCAAGTCAATATATCCTCCTTGAAAACTGTTCCTTATACACACACACATGCACACAAATACAAAGTTTAAATCCTATTCAATGCATACACATCTACATACATATATGGTTTACATTCTATTAAATGCACATACACAAGTATGTATAAACATTGTTGACAGTATTTATTATATGCATACAGCACACACATAAATATATATGGTTTAAATTCCCTTCAACTCTCATGCACTTATGGCTTAAAGTCTATTCATTATACATACATATGTATACATGGTTTAAATACTGTTCAATGCACATGTATATTTCTATATGTTTTTAAATCTATTCATTATACACACACGCACACACAACTTAATAGTATTGCCTTTGGAATTAGACTTGCCTCCTAATTCCAGTTCTCTCCACATATTAGCTGTGTGGAAGCTTACTACTCTGAGATTCATTTTTCTCATCAGCGCATGTCAACATAATCCGGATACCTTACCCCAGACATTTAAATAAAAGTACATAAAACATGATGTATGATGAGCACAGGGCCTCACACATATTAAATGACATTTTTTCCCTTTTAAAAACGAAAGTGTTGGGGTTTTGCAAAAGACAGGCTGGTACCTTAACGGCACAGGTTAGTGTATTAATGTAGAAATAAGACAATGTCTGAGTAGTCCCTGAACTCTCAAGTGGAAGCCAGCGTTCCACTACAGGATGTCTAAAAAGCGTAACCAAACTATGCTTGGACCAGGCTGGCATCAGGACAAAGACTCTCTAGTCTAGTGGGGTGGGGCACAGGTTGTCAGCAGGTGGTCATTATTTCAATTTAGATTGGTGGGAGTGTGGCAATTCAGGGCAGGCCATCCCCTTAGAATCAGTGTCTGAGTCAGAATAGTGGGCCTGGCCTGTCATACAGACTCACTGAGAAATAGCTCAATTTCCACAGATAGAGAATTGACATCTAGAATGATCCATGCTAATGTATAATTTAGAGAAAAAGAACACAAAGGGAATATGCATCACCCCTATGAACTATTCTATTTCATGTCCCTCTACACCAAGCACGTGACTTCCATTCTGCAGAAGAAAACAATACAACTCTTACTTAGGGTAATGTCAGCTGCTGTAATGAACAGTGACTTCACAGCACAATTGTTCATTTCTTGCTCACATTTCACTCCTGTGCAGTTGGCCAACAAGAGTGGAGGAGAAATCCACATAGTTGCCTGGGACCCCAGGCTCCTTCAGTCCAGAGACTCCTTTAGTCCTATGCCATCACAAGGGCCTCAGAGGCCTTTTCTGTGTTCTCAAACATCCAGCCAAGGATGAGTGAAAAGAGAGTTTCAAAGACCATGAGGGAAGCTTCAGCAGCCAGGCCACTTGCCACAAGCTGACTCCATTCCCTGGCCTCGCTTAACTGCAAGGGGCTGGGAAATGTTTAGTGTTGTGCCCAGGAGGGCTTGGCAAGTACATGCCAATGTTTCTGCCAGAATAACATTTCAATATCTGAGGAAAATGTGATGGAGCTTGAAATAGGATAGTATTTAAAATCAGCTGTGTAAATTGTGAAATAGATTCTCTTTATATTGTGATAGGGCAAAATTTACATTTTTTGAGAAGAAACTAAAAATAATCAGAACTCATGAATTCCATAGAGACCCACTCTTACCATGCCAGTTTACCCTCCCTCTTTCCTACCCACTTTTCCCACAAACCAGCTCCCCTGAGATGTTGAGGTCAGCTTGGGGATAGTGAGCAATTGACTGGTAGCAGAGAGGGGACTGAAAGTAGTGATAATGGCTATCTCCAAGTTCCAGACACTATGCTAACTTACAGCATTTGTTATGAAAAGGACACAGCAGAGACATCACCAGAGCCCACAGTCTTGAACTGTTTCAAATCCATTTCCTGTCAAAAACCCAGCTGGAATTGTTGATTCCTTCTATTAATTATTCTTCTAAGTTAGTACTTCACTACTTGGTCATACACAAAAATCATCTGGGATGCTGTTAGGTCAATTAGAAGCAACCTAACAGCATCCCAGATAATGATTCCCATTGATCTCCTCCTCCTAGTGTTCTCGCCATTGTGTAATCCATTCCTTTGAATGTGAATGGGATCTATAACTTGCTTCTAACCAATAGAATATAGCAAAGGTAATGGAATACACTTCCCTGATTACATTACTAAGATTGTATGCCCTATCTTGCTAGTAGAATCTCTCTTGCTGGCTTTGATAAGGCAAGCTACCATGTTGGAGAGACTCACCTGATAAGGAACTAAAGACAGTCTCCAACCAATAGCCAGCCAGGAACCTAGGCCCTCAGTCCAAAAGCGTTGAAATAAGAGGGGTAAAAGACAACAAATATGGTGCAGTGTATACTGCTCAGGTGATGGGTGCACCAAAGTCTCACAAATCAACACTTAAGAACTTACTCATGTAACCAAATACCACCTGTACCCCAATAACTTATGGAAAAATTAAAAAAAAAGAGGAAAAAAGCCCTTAAATAACTAAATTCTACCAACGACATGAGTGAGCTTAGTAGGAGATCCTTCCCCAGCTAAACCTTCAGATGAGACTCTAGCCCCAACTGGCTACTTCACTGTAGCCTTTATAAGATCCTGAAGCAGAGGAACCAGCTAAGGTGTGCCTAGATTTCTGACCCACAGAAACTGAAATAATAAATTTATGTGTTTCAAGCTATTACATTTGTGGTAATTTGTATGCAGCAATAATAGCTATTACACATGCTTGTTAAAAATCCAGATTCCTGGGTCCTAGCCACAGAATCTGTTTAGCAGAACTGGAGAAGGACTTGGGGATCTGAATTGTTCACTATCTCTTCAGATGATTCTCATGTACCTGGATTCTTACATCTAGACAGCCTTGCCAGAATATTACATAAATCAGCCATATTATTTTTAGTCCCAACAGAAGTGATCTAAGTTATATTTTAGTGATTTTTTTCTCAGTCTATTATAAACCAGATCTATATTTGTTTTCTCTTGCTGCTATAACAAAGTATCACAAATCTAGTGGCTTAAAACAACATAAATTTATTGCCTGATAATTCTGGAGGTCAGAATTCTGAAAATGGTTCTCACTAGGCTAAAATTAAGGTTTCAGCAGGGCTGATTCTTTCTGGAGGCTCTAGGGAAGAATCTGTTTGCTTGCCTTTCTCAGCTTTTAGAGGCTGCCCACCTTGCCTGGCTCATGATCCCCTTCCAGCAATCATCTGCTTCTATCATCACGTCTCCTTCTCTGACTCTGACCCTCCTGCCTATTTCTTTCCCATACAAAGGCTCTTGTGATTACACTGGGCCCACCATGATAATTTAAGATCATCTCTCCATCTCGAGATCCTTACCTTGATAATATTTGCAAAGTCCCTTTTGTCAAGTGAGGAACATTCACAGATCTGGTGATTAGGACATCTTTGGGGAAGGGGGAAGGCATTCTTCTGCCTACCACATGACCCCTTGAATAAAATACCTATATTTTTATTTTTTTTTTAAAGACAGGGTCTCACTATATTACCCAACTTGGACTTGAAGCCTTGGGTTCAATGATCCTTCCACCTCAGCCTCCCGAGTAGCTAGGACTACAGACGTGGACCATCGTGCCTGGCTAAAATATCTATCTCTTGGTGCTAGTAAAATGGTTTCCTCTTTCTCTGTATCATGCAAACTATGTAATTAGTCTTGTTTTTCTTCCTGCCTTAGTTCCCATGGCTCCTGGAGCTAATCATTGTGTTCAGTTCTAATGACTTTGCTGTACTTGTTTTCTAAGCAACTGCTTCTCTTGGTTTATTATGTTGTTCTTACTCTTTTATCCTTATTTTAATGGTTCTGTTTAGTTTGTGTCAGTTATTATAAATTGATTTTGAAACATAGCTAGAATATACAAATCCCCACATTTAGGCTTAACCCGTAAGTCCCTGATTCCTAATCTCTTACTTTCCAAGGTTGCTTGTCAATGAAACATTTTCCCCACTTGGTGCCTGGACTTCCTTTCTTCTATATTTCACTCTACCTCTCCTTCTCTGTCCTTCTCACAACCATCCCTAGCCCTACAAGCCATTCAGTCATTCACCAATCTAGTTGTGAATTTCCCTCAAGGGACTGTGGGTGAGGAGTTCACCTTCCACCCATTGGTAGATTCTGCTAAGGTCCCTTATGCTGTGATGGAGGAACTGGTCTCTGAACCCTTGGTCAGCCTGCCCATGGAAGAAAGACCTTCTGAAATGATTTCAAATACACTGGGCTCATTAAAGTATTTAAACAAATTACCCTAAAAACTCCCATAATAGCCACACAGTTCAGGGAGACAAACAATATTATCCATGTGTTAAAAGAAAAATACTGAGTGAGTCAAAGAACGCAGAGAGAGAGCTATAGATTCTATTTCTCTGAGAAAATTATCTTAGTTTTGGGGTCTTAGATGACTTAGATGGATGAATCCCAATCCCGGTTTTCCATTTCATCAGTACATCCCAATTATTGTTAGAAGCGGTTTGACAAAATAATTTTGTTAGCCTAATTAAAATATATATTTCAGATACCACATTTTGGAATGGTCAGAGGAGCAGACAATGTAGTGCAAACTTAAGAAACATGATGATTAAAGTGTCTGTCAACATTATTTTAAGTTAAGCATATATGTGCAGTTTAACAAATTTTTATAAAATGAATAACTGAATTGGCACTCTCTCCTTACACCCAAATATATCTGTGCCGAAAAACCACCTCACATGCCCTTCAACAAAGATTTGCATAAGCCCCTTATCTGTCATCTTTTTTCATCAAATTCTAAAAACATCTAAGTTGGATTCTTCTTATGTCATTTATCATCTGTATTACATATATACACTTGTACACCACACATACATATATATAATTAAATATTAGTAGTATGAGCAGGCATATAAATGTAATACATTTGTAGCATTAGTTATCTGTGTGTAATTATTTTCTTCCTTCCCCTTCAGGCTCTGAGATGTATAAAGGCACAGTGAATTCCTGAATCATCCTTTGATCTTCCACAAGACTCAGTATCACTGATTAACTACAATTTGAATATAGTTCATCACTGAAGGAATGAGTGAGTGAATGAGAAAGTGAGCAAATGAGGCCGTGGAGGTCACTTAAACCAGGGATCAGGTTCATAGAGGTCACCCAACACAAGATGGAATAGTCAAGTAAACCAAGTTTACGGAGTTAGACAAAACTCCATAAGGCAAGGTCAACAAAGGCAGCTCTGACGGACTGTTCAATCCTGACTTTAGGCTGATGCTGGTCTCTACTCTGTCTTCCTCCTGAGAGTAGGGGGCCTGGGGGCCCTTAAATAATTGCTGGTGTTAAAAGGGAGTTCAATATTTTCAAGCATACCTAGCTTCTGTTTGAAGAGAGACAGGGTAGAAGAATTACCTGGAAGGGATAGGGTACACACTGCCACCTCCATTGCTATAACGTTTTACTCTTGTCAACAGACTTTCACATATATGCTCTTGAGTCAAGCACAGGAAGAAATAAATTTTGCTGCTGAATTTGAAGCAATTGGCCATGGAAGCCAGTCTTCAGGGGCATTAAAACAAATGCCTAACAAAAGTTTATTATAAGGCACTTGCTCCACCTGAACTCATTTCATCGTTAGAAAAAAATCTAAGAAGTAAAAATTAATATCCTTCCCTTTTCACAAGATGATGGAATCAAGAGCCTTAACAAGTTTTAATGGCCTGCCAAGGGTCATTTGTCAACTTCTGAGTCTAATGTCTATGTTCTACTCATGACATGGCAGTTGTGGTATAGAGGGATCTGATACATCATGAAAATATAAACCCACAGATTTTGATTCTAAGAAAGTGACCCAAGTTGTGCTCATTATGGTTTTGCTTAAAATTAAAGTTTAGATTGAAATGATACCAGTTACGTGTTCTTAAAAACCTGCCATGATTTACTTTAGATGATGATTGAGGACCTACTGTGTGCAAGCCACTGGGATGAACATCTTATATATAGTTTTTTATTTCATCCCCATAGTTATCCTAGAGACAGGCATGATTCCCTTCTTCTTACAAGTGAAGAAACTAAGGCTCAGAAGCATTGAGTGACTTGCTCCAAATCATAAAATTAGTGGTGGAGAGAAAATTTAAAGACAGGTTATCTGGTTCTGGAATCTACACTTTTACTAACTGCTCTCAATGGCCTCTCCTTAGTATTTGTGCCTTCATTAAACAAAATGTTTTGAAAACTTCCAGTGTGCCAAGTACTCTTTTGGGTGCTGAGGATATAACTATACAAATGTGAGTCATCTTTTGAATATGCTATTCTTCAACATTTTTGGACTTAGCTATTTTAATAAGTTCTATACTTGTAGGAAGTTTAAAACTTATAGTCACATCATTAAGGTGCAAAAATACATTATTTCTCTATAACTAAACTCAATTGAAGCCACTGTTTCCACTTAGCATAAGAATTGTTTGTTAATTCAATGAAAAAGGTCACTTCTGGTTCAAAGTGTGGTTCATTCAGAGCTTAAATCCAGCCAACTTGAGAATTTCTCATCTACTGACCTCTGCAGTTATCCTAGGAAGGGTGGTCTGAGTGTGGGGAGGCAGTGAGGGAAGGCTATTTCATTGGCAAAACATGGGTAGAGGTGGACTAGACAACACACTTGATCTTCATCCCTGCTAATTTGTTTCCCACCCAGGCCCTGCAATTCAGCCTCATCCTTTCACTAGCCCCAGACTGAAATGTCCCACTCATAGCAGCCTCTGGGATGGGACCCTTTGTCTAGAGTAACACTACACACACCTTTTAGCAGGTTCCCAGCTCTCAAGTTCCAACCACTCTATCCACACCACTTATGGTGACACATGAACACCTCCAACTGCCTTCTCATCAAGGAGTAGCCAAGGAAAACTTGGAGCCAGCCAGCTAAGACCTTTTCTTCATTTCTGCTCTGCTCTGGCTGCCCCCTATAGGGGCAGGGCATCCCACAAAGCTATCTCTTCCCAGTCTTCCATATGGGACGTACAGCACAACTCTCTTTGCTTTCAGAAACCAAATCTTGTTGGTCCATTTTTTAAAATTTCTAAATCATCTGGGGCTCTGACTGTTGATATTTAAAGAAAAACGTTTTAAATTCAAGAAAATCCCATTTCTCCCTCAAAAAATCCTAGTTCTTATATATCAAACAAGCTTTAGTTTTGAGATTATTATGATCTGCTATGGATTTACTAACTTAATTCAGTAAAACAATTAAATGTTGTCTGTTAATTTATGACATATTCTAAGCAGTATCTGAAAGCAGTGTTCACAGAAAAAGTTGGTTGCCACCAAGGATAATAGGTAGAAGGCATATTCTCCCCTAGAGAATATGTATTTATTACATATTATTATAGTTTATTATTATATATACTACCATAGGTAATGAATGCTACCAGCATCTAGTGGGTAGTAGTGAGAGCCCAGGGATGCTGCTTAGCATCCTACGGTACACAGGGCAGCCCCCACCCCCTCACGCACACACACACACACAAAACAAAGAATTATCTAAAAGGTCAGTAGTGCTGAGGTTGGGAAAATTTGAGATAGTTAAATGATAGATATACATGGATAGATACATAGATGCATAAAAATAAAGCTAGATATGGTCTAAGTGTCAAACACTGTGATAGGGAGAAAATAACCAGGGCATCCCTCATTGACAGCTTAACTTAACCTAAAGTCATTATGTGTCTTCAAAACTCAGAATTTCAGCCCTGTTTTCAGCCTATGTGCAAACCCAATTCTTTATCAGGAAAAATGAAGTTCGGCTTCTCCCAGGATTTATTGCCTTTCTAACCAGCCTGCTTTTATTGGGGTCGGTGGGGGGAGTGTAAAACCACCAAAACATGCATTTCTAGGTGAAGTTAATTTTCTGAACAGAATACATAGTTCCTAGCACTGATAACAAATTCAGCAGGCTTAATCAGATTCAGATTTGGTATGCTGTTTCAGTGGAAAAAGAAAACAAATCTAAGAGGGCACTTTAGACCTTTGGCTCTTATTAAAGAGTTTATGTAATTTGCCACATTAAAGTTTAAATACAAGCTCATGAGAACTTCACATTTAAGATATGAAACTCATTCAAGAGGAAATATGCATCCCCCTGAGATGTCTCCCAGATCTATCTCCCTACTCTCCCAATTCCAACCCAACAACCATTATTAAAATCTCAATCAGTTTCTAAATAGAGATTTCTTTCATGTAATATAGTATGTGGATTCTGTGATAAATATCAATAAAAGATTTTGAGGCCTGGGTATAAGTATTCCATCCATGAAGTACATATTTGGACTGACTTAGGGCACACACTAATCAAATACCTTTGATTGACTGTTAATACCTCACACTTAACCTTGTCTAGACTATCCTGATATATAGTTAATAGTGTTTCAAGTTCCTTTTTCGAAAACACCATAGAAAATGTAAGTGAGTACACACTAGTCTGCAGAAACGCCTAGCATATGTTAATTGCAGTTAACCGTGGGGTTCAATGATCAGGGAATCTTCTGTGAAATACTGGGACTCCTTTTAAGAGGAGACCCTCTGAAGATTTTATATGTACCACTGTGAAAACTTAAACTAAACCTTACAGATTTTTTAAACAATTTTTTAATTTGCTTCCCATTATATCTATTCCAAGGTAGACCAAAAACTAGGTTGATTTCTAAACAGAAGTGTCTATTAGGAAGAAATCAAGGCCAATTCTAAATGTGTCCTTCTGGCATTGGGACGCTAGACGGTATGGGTTTCTCAAATAACAACTCCATAGCGCATGACAGCTTTCAGTGTCAAAAGCTTGGTGGTCAGTCTTTGCAAAGGCTCCTGAAAAACTTGCTAACCCAGAGCTGTTCATTTACACATGTGCAAACCCTTCCGAATCACATAGAAAAAAAATACCTAACATTTTAAAATAGAAAAAGGCAGAAAAGTTTCTATACTCTAGTGTATGTTTCCAACCTATGTCAAGTTTCTCATTTCTTTTACAGAATCATCCTTTTCTCTGATTTCTATAGCCTGAGATAATAGCAGAGTCACATAACAAGGCCATTGAGCTCTTAACACCTTCCTGGAAACCTCCAGTCTATTTCTGTATCTGTCTGTTCCTCTTTGCAGGTCTCTGTCTCTGTGCCTCTGTCCTTGCTTTCAATGTATCTTTTCTCCATCTTATTTTTCTTTCTGTTGCCACAAGGTAAAACTAACTTGGTATACTGTTTGGTTGTTCTTGTGTGTTTTTTTTTAAATAACCTTTTAATTTTTGAATAACTTTAGGTTAATGAAAAAGTTACAAAGAGAATGCAGAGAGATCCTGTATACCTTCAATTGACTACCCTTAACTTACATTATGTGGTACATTGGTCACATTAAGATAGAACTTCAATACATTACATTAAAAACTCCAGACTTTATTTGGATTTCTCCAGTTTTTCCACAAATGCCCTCTTTCTTTCTTTCTTTCTTTCTTTCTTTCTTTCTTTCTTTCTTTCTTTCTTTCTTTCTTTCTTTTCTTTTCTTTCTTTGTGTGTGTGTGTGTGTGAGACAAAGTGTCACTTTGTCTCCCAGGCTGGAGTGCAGTAGCACAATCACAGCTCACTGCAGCCTCTACCTACTGGGCTCAAGGCATTCTCCCACCGCAGCCTCTCCAGTAGCTGGGACTATAGGCATATGCCACCATGCCCAGCTACTTTTTGTATTTTTTGTGGAGATGAAGTGCTGGGATTATAGACATGAGCCACCGTGCCCAGCACACAAATGTCCTTTTTCTGTTCCAAGATCTCATCAAAGCTACCACATTGCATTTAGTTACCATGTCTCCTTAGGCTCCCCCTGAAATGTGACAGTTTCTTGGTCTTCTTTTCATTTTCAAGACTTTGACAGTTTTGAGGAGGACTAGTCAGGTATTTTGTAGAATTTCCCTCCAATGTAGGTTAATCTGTTGTTTTCACATGATTAAACTGAGGGTATGGGTTTGAGAGAAAAAAAAACTGGCAGTGAAGGGCCTTTCTCATCGCATCTAACAAGGGTGTATGCTACAAACATCACTTATCACTGGTGATGTGTTCTTGTTTTTTAGTATCACTAAATGCACATTGTTTTTAATTTTAAAATGAGGCTGGGCGCAGTGGTTCACGCTGTAATCCTAGCACTTTGGGAAGGCAGCGCAGGCAGATCGCTTGAGCTCAGGAGTTCAAGACCAGCCTGGGCAACATGGCAAAACCCCATCTCTACCGAAAGTACAAAAATTAGCAGGGGGTATTAGGACACAACTGTATCCCCAGCTACTAAAGAGGCTGAGGTGGGATGATCCCTTGAGTCTGGGAGGTCAAGGCTGCAGTAAGCCGTGATCGTTACCACTGCACTCACACCAGTGTGGGTAACACAGTTGGAGCTTGTCTCAACCAAAAAAAAAAAAAAAAAAAGAAAAACGAGAAAGTGGAATGTTTTCTATGTTTCACTAAAACATAAATTTGAAACTCTTTCAACCTTTAAGTAAGCTGCTTTTATCTACTTTAATATATGAATGTGTCTCTGACACATAGAATTTACCCAGTATTATTTGTTGAATGAATATCTCTATATCTGTCTCCATCCTCATCTATACCATGGATCAAGCAGAGTCCGTGAGTGGCAAACAGAAATTGTAGGCTGCCTAGATGCTAAACCATTTGAGAGTCCAACCACTGTTATCAATTTGGCCTTTAAAAAGTTCATTGAAAATAACTTTGGAAAACTGCGATATATTTTCATCTTCCTAAAAGACCATTCTAAGTTTTCATTTGGTTTTGATATTCAACTCTGATGTTTTAAACAGTGCTAATGAAGTGAGAAGTAAGCATATAAGAGTTAAGAATTACAGACCTTGGGAAATGGGGTGTTGCTTTGGAATTATTATTGGAAAATTGCTCATTTTCATTGCTCTTTGAAGATTTTTTGACCACGTGGTTATTTGCCATCTCATTAAATAAGAAACGCTCAGCGACATCATCTTAGGCCATTTGGCCTAGCCAAATGGAAAGAGGCAGCCATTTAGGAGATTTGTTTTATTTTCTCTGTATCTTGATGAGTTTTCATGCTTTACCCAAAGCAGTGAGTTTTACATTGCTGAAAGACACAATTCAAAGATGCAAAGTAAAGTGAACTGTTTAAAAATTCAGCTTGCTTTATTTTGCAAAATGTGCATTCACTCAAAGCTAAGTGTAAAAGGCCAAAATAATTGCTAGCCTGTGTCGATGGCACTGGTGGCTTTGAGAATGTTGTGCAGGTAAGTCAGCCTTTCTTGTGCCACTCATACAGAAAACGTATTGGCCACTGCAGGGAGATGAGGGAAACAAGGCTGACCTGAGGGAATAAGAATTTCTTTTACTTCCTATTTCTTCTACATTATTGTTAATTATTTTAAACTATGTTGGCACTTTGCTAGTAATTAAAGGCCAAAAATCCCTTTTTGGAGATTTTGCCTTTTTTGTGGAGAAAGGGGGAAAATCTGTAATGCTAGTCTTTTGTTTTGAGAACTAACATTCTTCCCTAAAAAGGTACAAAATACCTTCTCTCCAAGGCTGACAATGAGTCCAAAATACAGATAATAGATCTGTGAAGGAAATATGAACAATTTCTGGCCTTTGCTCCTCTTTGGGTTCAAAAGATATTAAGAAAACTGTGACGTGAAGAGCTTTTGCAAGGAATCAAACACCTAAAAATCACTATAAAATAGAATTTCAAAAATAAACTCCTCAGGACAATTCAGATACTAAAGCAAATTTGGAGTTTGGGTACTTGCACACTGAATTGCAAAGGAAAGGTTTCTTAAGATAAGCATTTGTGTTTCGAATTTCCCCCACTTGGCTCTTTATGATAACAGCTTTCGTAAATAGCATAGCAGTTGAAACATTTATTATTGGAACAGAAATGCAATTACATGCAGATGTTGTCCTGTGATTCATTGCTTTGTGCTACATACATTTTCAAGCTGGAGAAAGAACAAGCAGGTCATCAAGTAAATGCTGTAGGCTGGGCTCCACTTATTCTCCTGACTTGAGTTATCTAATCTCTCTTGTGAGTGTTGCCACAATCTAGGCCTCCGTGGCCCTCCTTGGCAGCCTGTTTCATTGTGCAATTACTCCAACTACCGTCAAAAATTTCTTTTCATCCAACATAAATGTTCTTTACTTAATCCAAACCTGGTTCTTTCTCCAGCATTCCTGATCCAAGGCATATAAAATGACTGCCACATTTGTTTTGTTTTTCAAGTTTGTCATTGTTTTCTACTTTTCATCCAGGTGAAATTTGGCTGTTTGGTTTTGTTTTTGTTTGGCAATGAATGAACTCTGTTAGTGCCAGATAGTGATAAGAGCTATGAAGGAAGTGAAATGGGTAAAGTGACGTGGAACTACTGCAGGTGGGATGGATGGCGAGGACAGCAATGTCAGTCATGGCTGCCATGGGCAGCCTCCTACCAGAGAAGACGTTTGCATAAACTCTGAGGACTGAGGCACTAGCAGTGAAGACGGCAGGTATATTCGTTTTCTATGGCTGCTGTAACAAATTGTCACAAACTTGGTGGCCTAAAACAGGCCCAATTTATTTTCTTACTCTTTTGGGGGTCGAAGTCTAACACAAGCCTAACTGAGCTAAAATCAAGCTGTCAGCAGGGATATGTTTTTTCTGGAGGTTCCAGGAGAGATTCTGATCCCTTTCATTTACCAGTTTCTAAAGGCTGTCCACATTCCTTAGATCATGGCCCCTTCCTCTATCTTCAAAGCCCGAAATGTTTGCTGCAGTCTTTCTCATATCACATCACTCTGAAACTGATTCTTCTGCCCCCTCCCCACCACTTCCACATTATAACAACCTTGTGATGACATTGAGCCCCCACAGATAATCCAGTATAATCTTCTTATGAGGTCAGTTTTTTAGCAACCTTAATTCCATCTACAACCTTAATTTACCATTGCCATGTAACATTACATATTCACAGGGTCCAGTGATTAGAATATGGACAACTTTGGGAGGTAATGATTCTACCTACCACACCAGGGAGAGCATTTCAAGCAGTGGGAAGGGCATGTGCAAAGGTCCTGAGGTCTGAACAAAATGGGTATGTTGGAGAAAGAGAAGGAAGGCGGTGGCTGGGCACAGTGCTATCAGATTAGTTTGGAGGGGCTGGCAGAGGTCAGATTATGGGGAGCTCTCTGGGCAATGGTAAGAAAACTAGATTACATTCTAATTGTAGGAGGATGCCACTCAAGGTTTTAAGCAAAGAAGTAGCATGATCTAATAAATATTTATTTATTTATTTTTATTTCAATAGGTTTTTGGGGAACAGGTGGTGTTTGGTTACATGAATGAGTTCTTTAGTGGTGATTTCTGAGATTGTGGTGCACCCATCACCCAAGAAGTGTACACTGTACTCAATGTGTACTCTTTTATCTCTCACTTTTCCTCCCACCCTTCCCCACCGAGTCCCCAGAGTACATTGTATCATTCTTATGCCTTTGTGTCCTCATAGCTTAGCTCCCACTTATGAGTGAGAACATACGATGTCTGGTTTTCCATTCCTGAGTTACTTCACTTAGAATAATAGTCTCCAACTCCATCCAGGTTGCTGTGAATGCCATTATTTCTTTCCTTTTTATGGCTGAGTAGTATTCCATGGTGTGTGTGTGTGTGTGTGTGTGTGTGTGTGTGTCACATGATAAATAGTTTTTAAAGGTGACTTTGGCAGCTCCGTGAAGAATAGATTGTAGAGGGGCAAAAGCAGAAGTAGGGAAGACAATTAAAAAGCTATTGTAACAATCTAGTTCAGAAGTTCTCACTCAGAGTCAATTTTGACCACTAGGGGACACTGGGCAATGTCTGAAGATAACTTTTGGTTGTCTTGACTTTGGGTGGGGGTGCAATTGGATTGTCATCTAGTGGGTAGAGACCAGGGATGCTGCTAAACATACTACAATGCACAGGACAGCAACCTCCACAACAGAGAATGATCCATTCCAACACAGTTGAGGTTAAGAAACTTGTCTAGGCAGGAGCCGATGCTATCTTGGACTAGGATGGGGTGGAGGTGGTGGTAAGAAGTGGTCGGAATCAAGATTCAGGAACATTTGGACCAACTCACCCATAACTATGCTTCAGCTTTCTGGCCTTTATCTAAGGAGGGAGATGCTATGGGATTAGCTGCAAACCAGATTGGATTGGAGAATGTAAGGCTATGGGAACACCTGGGGAAGGGAAGGAGAAATGGCATATACAGTGCTGGGCTTTCCTTGAGGCAATCCAAAAGACACACCACAGGACTTCCATGTACGGGCTATGATATTGTGTTTGTTACTCCATTCATCCTCACTTTTCTAACGAATATCTCCAGGCATTGCATTCCTGTGTGCTTCTTTGTCCCAGCTCCTAGGTACTTTGGGTTTATCATAATCTAGGACTGTGAACACCAGGAACCTGGGTCCTAATTTATTCTCCATCACCACTAGCTTGGTGACATTACAGAATTGACCTAACCTTTCCTCGTTTTCTTTTTTACCTATGTTTAATGAAGGCGACATTTGCTTTATTGACCTTGGCTAGTATTGTGACTTTTCTTCCCTTTAATTTCATTACTGTAATTATTCTCTAAGTTCTATTATATTAATTTCATCATTAATATCTTTCCCAAAAAGACAATATAGTTGAGAAATATTTGAAAAATTGACATGGTAAATTATATTTTGGATGTATTTCCATGACATTTTCAAGAAGTACATATTCCAATTCTTTTGCAATATTTAATAAGGAGACTGGTGTATTAACATTTTTTGTTAATTTAATTTAATTTAATTCACTACTTTATTCACTAGCACCTGTGTGGAAACAATATTAAAGGAATCTGAGCAATAGGAAAATGGCCAAAATAAGGCCTTTCCTGCCTTCTAGGCAGTTTCAGTCAGTTTGAGTCCCTTACCATTCTGAGACACTTTGTATAATGTAGAGAGCAGGAGTCTGCAAAGTATGGCCCAGGTCAGCTGTCCAGTTTGATAAAGTCTTATTGGAATACAGCCATGCCCGTTCATGTATGCATTGTTTATGGGTGCTTTGGATCACAACAGCAGAGTTGAGTAGTTGAAACAAAGACACAATGGCTGGCAAAGTTGAAAATATTTACTCTCTGGCCCTTTGCAGAAAAAGTTTGCTGACCCCTGATCTAGAGCACTTAGTCTTTAGGAAAATTCTTTTTTTCACTTCTGAATGTGCTCTGATTTCTTATTTCTTAAAATGTGGATCCCCAATGAAGCAGTATTCTGAGAAGCGCCTATTTTCCAGTGCATTCAAGATTAAGACCACCATATTTTTAAATATATCCCAAGAGCCTTTATAAGTAAAAGTGCTAAACTGCCAGCCTATATTCAACTTGCAGGCTAATGTTACCTCAATATAGTTATTTTCTTCTAACATATATTTTCTATACGTTTAATTCCAACCTTCTATTTATCTCTGTTGAACATAAGCTCCTTTCTTAATGTCATTTTAATCCTACTCTTCAAGGTCATTTTGAATTATAATAGAATCCTCTGAGATGTTAGTTATCCAATTTGGCACCATCTGCAAATTAAATCAACTTGTCTTTTATTTCATCACCCAAGTCACTAATAGAAGGGGTCAATTAAGCAGGCAGACTCAATACCCCTTATGGCATAATGACTGGCATTTTAAGTTCAGAAATGACTGATTAGATCCAATTTCCCTAAGAGCAGAGACCTAAAGGTGGACTCAAAGATTATCAGTGGTTCCAGTGGAATCTTGAGGGAAATAGTAATATTTAGAAAGGATGTCCTGGACAGCCCACTTTGGGCTAGACTTTGCAGAACCTTGCTCTCTCTTGACATTATAAGTGTCCCAGAAGAGTAAGGTACTCAAATTAACTGTAAGGCCCTTTTATAGTGCTTTCCACACAGGTGCTACTGAATAAATTGGTGAAATAAAATTAACTTAGCCAAAATGTTACTCTTGTTCAGCTGGCTGATTTGTCATAGCTGTTATGTAAACATTTGTCATGTATCTTGATTCTCCTCTCTTTCTTTGAAGTTAAGCAGAGCCAGAGGAATTGCTTTGGCCAACAAGAGGCTAGTGGAAGTTTAACAGTCACTTATGGGGTAAAGTTTTGAAAATCCAACACAATTCACCAAATCCCTGTTTCCTGTGTCAGCAGCCTGGGTTCCTGAGTGGCTATGGATAGGTGCGCCCTCCCTGTTGGCCTATGTAAACATGCGGCGTGAGCGACAGATTCACTTTTGTTGTTTTAAGCCACTGAGATTTGGAGCTTGCTTGTTACCAGAGCATATCTTTATTTATTCTGACTGATACAGCTACTGAACATTGGAACATTTTTTCTAGAAAGCTTTATTAAAGCCAGGGATCATTCTTTATCTCCGTGTATCTTTTTCTGTGTCTATCCTTCACAGAACCTCATTCATAGTATGTACCAATTAAATGTTTCTTGCACAGAAGTGAATTAATAATAGATTGGGTATCTGATAACTGATTACAATATTTAGGAAATTTTTCTTATGCTTTTCCATCACTTCTTTATGTGCAGAATGAATAAGAAAAATCACTCCATTGTCCATCCAGCTTCCTGAGCATCTTCAAGATGCTTTCAAGTTGCATCTAATTGTCCTCCTCAGTTGTTAGATAAAAGGACATTGTCATGATACGGCTGATGCATCAAGTTTTACTTTCCCCCAGTATTTATCTGATTTGGCTCAGCCCGGGTCTACCCAGTCTAATCATGGTAAGGTCCACCTCAGGTTAGTAAGAGTAACTTGCACTAACTACAGTGAAAGCTGTTGCTTGGACATCATTCATTTATTAATATTGCTATATTTATATGGAACTTCAATTAGACATTCTTGTGTTGTGAGAAATTTAGGAAAACATTAGATTTTCACATCCCATAATATAGATATACACAGTCTTTTCTGTAAGACTGTAAGCTCCATGAGGGTGGGGAACGTGCCAAGCTTCTTTATGGCGTTACTCCTAGGATGTAGCAGAATGCCTGGACCATAAGAAATGTCAACAGATATATGAAGAATGATTGAAATGAAATCTCCTTAGGTACTTTCAGAAATCTAATATGTTGAGCCATTTTCACTTCCACTGGCAGGTGAAGCTCAGAAGCATTATGTATCCAAGGTCACACATCCAAGAGATGGAACTGGAATTGAAATATCTTTGGACTCTAAGTCATCTGCTCTTTTTTGGCTACTGTGGTACACTCAGGGTGCATAGAAATAGTGAGCTTTCTGGAGTCTGATGCAGTGTGTTTTAAATTGTAGCTCAACTACTCATTAGTTATATATCATTAGGAATTTCTAAACTCTATCCCCTGATGTTTTCTTCAAACCACAATGATATTTTCTCCCCTTCAAATAGGTCTTGTATTTTATTTAGTTTCCCATAAGTGCTATTTTTTGGCATGGTGTAATTATTTAGCTGTAAGTACTCTTTCACTGGGGTCCTCTATGGTTAGGTTGAATTCATGCTGCTTCAGTGATCCAGACTTTCCCAAACCATTTCTTGAGGCCTCTAAAATGGATTTAGCAGAGGATTGTATTTCCTCTCTGAAATATGCTACTTTGAGATCCAAATTTCATTTTGACCTTCCAATTCAACAGTTATAGCCTATGATATTTTGTGTTTAAAGCCTAAATGATTGTTTGCTTAGAATTGTAAGAACAGGCCAGGCACAGTGGCTCATGCCTATAATCCCAGCACTTTGGTAGGCCGAGGCGGGAGGAACACCTGAGGTCAGGAGTTTGAGACCAGCCTGGCCAACATGGTGAAACTCCATCTCTACTAAAAATACAAAAAGTAGCTGGGCGTTGTGGCAGGGGCCTGTAATCCCAGCTACTCAGGAGGCTGAGGCAGGAGAATTGCTTGACCCCAGGAGGCAGAGGTGGCGGTGAGCCGAGATCGTGCCACTGCACTCCAGCCTGAATGACAGAGCAAGACTCCATCTCAAAAAAAAAGAGAAAGAAAAAAAAAAGAATTGTAAGAACAAATTTGGAGGCCAGCTTAAGGCATTTAGAGGTTTAGCCTGCCCTGGGAAAAAAAAATGCATTCTTTGTCTTGCAACAACCTGTTAATAAAGTCTAAAGTTTCTACATAAACAGAACTTACTTCAGTGGGAATTATGAGGACACAAAGAGTGCAGATCATAAATGGACTATATTAGTGAAAGCCATTTACCTAGCATGGTACAGAGTTTCATTTAAGATTAATGAAAACCCAGTAAGTAGAAAACACTGATATTCCTTCCAGTGGAGGAATCAGGATGAATCTTAACTTGATACAATAGAGATGTGAGTACTGTGAACAGAAAAATGTGTGCAATATTTGCCAAGTTATATTTTCATAATATTTTATAACCCAAATTTATATTCAATAAAAATACACTCTCTATCTCATTTTATGATCTTTCTGGAGACATTTAAAGGGAGTCATGTTAACAGTAAGTTATGACTTTATAAAAAGTATTTTAATAAGTTTGTATATTGCATTTAAATTCTCTGGACATATGATTATTAAAAATTATATTTGAAAATGGAAAATTGCCATTTTAATGTTCTTCTGTCTCTTAAAGTTGATTCTATTTTGGGAAATGCTATTGGAGTTAAATTCTTTATCTGGGGTTTTGGATTTGCCAAAAACTGATCATGAGACTTTGGACCAATCACTTTATCTCTGTAAGCCAACTTTATTATTGTGAAGAGGAAATACTACACACTTCACAGTGTTCCTGCAGAGATAAGAAGAGAAATTGTATGCAAAAGTTTTTCCCAGTGGAAATTGCTATTCAAAAATAGTTACCCTTCCTGGCAGTGCAATTTTTGTTCCTTACTCATCTCGGCAGAAACTTTTTGACATTGGTTTGTGTTGGTGCTCACTTAGGTGGCATCAGAAGATTCATTATCTCGCCTGTCCTAAACAGAGACCTAAAACAGCCTTGAGCTGTTTTTAATAAGGTTGTCACTACTCAAGGAGCAGTCAACCCATGGATGAAATAAAAACAAGTGTTTCATTTTGAGATAGGTCCTTTTTAGCAGACAATCTTCATCTCTAGTACACAGGAAAGTCTCAAGTCTCCATATTGTCTTCAGTGGAATTGGCTAGAATTTTTTAAAATTATTACTTTACTAAGTAGTAGATAAAATGTAAGGGGAAGAGCTATAGAGTTCTTTTGAAGATATATTTTCTTATCTTCTTAAATCGAGGAAGTTGTTTAAAAATGTTTACATACAAGTATGCAAATTCGCAAGTCTTAGATTTCTTTCCTGAAACCATCAAATAACACATCAGCATGTGGGCTTAGGAGGGTTGTTATTGGAATAGATGTCATTATCTGTCATTTTGCCCATCAAAAAATACAGTAGCAATTACTGCATTGTAAAGGGAGAAAACGCAAAATGATTGTATTGCATTATCTACCAAAGGCCTGGGAAAGTTGAATAACTATTCGTTACTATGCTCAAATAAGGATTTGAGCCTTATTTGATGGAGGTTTATTCACATTCTCTTTCTGTCACATGTTCTATTCACTTCTTTGAAAATAATCTCAAGTTCAATTACCCTGGTTTTAAAAACATGAAAGACAACTTATAAAATGTTACACTTTTTTCCCCTACAATGCCTTCAGATAATATGAGGCTGGTCACAGCCCATGATATAAAATACTAACTGTTGACTCACAGTCACACTACAAGGGCCAATTTTACAGACTGCCAGGATAAAGATGATTTTAATTAAATTGCACAAATCCCTTTGTACTGCAACCAAACCCCTACGCAGGCTGATCAACTCTGAGCCATTCTGGTGTGTATAGAGTTAACCAGGTTACCAGGATTCCTAGTTAACTTCTTTCACCAGGAATGCAATTCATGTTTACCTATATAAGGAAACCTGTTAGGCTGACCTGAGTTTGGCGGATTTTTGCGCTGACTGAGAGGCGTGTAAGCACACACCCTGGAGAGGGGGAGTGATTCCGAGCTGGACAGAGCAAGCTTCCTGAACGCCCCAGCCATTCAGCTGATCCGAGGCAAAGAGCCGGCACTTGCCCCAGCCCAGCCTGCTTGAAGGACCTACAGGTTTGTCTCTTCCAGATCAGAACTGAGGAACAAAAACCCCCATCCTGGGAAAAATGGGGAAGCTGGTGAGTCTTACCACTCTCTCTCTGCTTGCTTCTGCTAAGTGGCACGCCTGTCTGCTCTCACCCAGGAAGCAAAGTAAGAGGCGTTGCTCAGCCTCTAACCCCACAGCTCCTTCCTGAACAAATACAATGCTTTGCGAATACCTCCAGACAACTTTTTCTGCCTGTTTTGCACACCGAAAATCCACAGAGGCAATGATTTTTAGCACTTTAGACATTCCAGAGAGTGTTTTTCCTAGGCAAGCGTTTCTATACTGTCGTGATGAGCAAACTTTCTCATCTTTGTTACACTCTAAAACAGTGGAAATTAGCCTTGGGGTGCTTTGTGAGGAAGGCTGAGTCCCCAAGGAAGTGATAGTAAATCTAAATGGGGTTTTTAAAACCACAGGCAGTGTGATATTCTGCAAAAGCGTAATTTGTCACTAAAAAGGCAGTCTGAAGGTATCATTTTTCATTCACGCAGCAGCAAAATCCTTGCATCCTGCATATGTAATAAAGGACACCTTCTGAGACACTGAGGAAAAATAGAAGCCGAGCTGGCCTCTTTGTTCTAGACAATGTAAAGAAACTCGCTCTTGCGTTTTGACAAGGAGCGTATGTCTATTTATATATATGGCGAGAACGGTGAATAAAGGCTTTATGTCAAAGGTATTGTGGTCAATTGAGTTAAAATCTGGCTATATTCTATATGTGTACAAAAATCTCAATCTGAATGTAATTAAACATGGAAATGTGAAAGTGTTTAACAGACTTGCAGGGAAATTTTAATTATACTTGGGAACAGCCAATTGTAAGAGACAACTGGGAAAGGAAAAAAAATGTTTCAGCTGAGTTCTGGGGCATAGGTAAAACTTTTGCAAAGAAAGTCAATTTTTTATAGCTGTCAAAAGTGATTTGGAATCAGGTAAAAAAATTTATTTTTATTTTTTCATGGTGATGTGGTTTTTTGAGTTGAATTAACTTGGATAATTGTGTTGAATGATTTGACTGCTCGTCTTTCAAAGGAATACTGTTGTTTTCTGTCATATACAGACTTTATCCTGAGTTTTGGGAGCAGGTTTGTGCTACTGACTGCAACAAGTGGCACAAAGACTCAATTTCAGATTTCTGATATTATGAAATTAATTGCTTAAGTTAATTTAAAGAAAAGTAATCAGTGCAAACAAGGAGATTTGAGAAAATGACCACGTTTTTAAAAAATGCAAGTCATAGTCCATTCCCTAGTGAGACTATTGATTTCAAACAGGCATTGGCAACTGCCTAGTCATAAGGACAAAAGCTATGGCCAATTTTCTCTAGGATCTTTGACTCTAGAAAGCATAACTTTCGCAAGGACACAGTTTAAATGAAACTTGTTCACCTCTGTGAGAATGAAACATAGAAAAGCACCGTGTATAATACAATAGACACTTTAGTAAATAAAATTCTTAATAGCACAAGCCGCAGAACAGAAGGGACAATGCAAATGTTTTAAAGTTTATCTTTTCAGTGCTGCTCAGAAAAATATGAGTCTTGACATTCTGTTGCTGTCGATGGGAGTCAGCAACCCAGGAGACACAAAACACTGTTTTAGAATATACAGTTAATAACAGATGGTTTAATACCAGGTTTTCTCACCCTGCTGATGAGATGGCCCCAAGCCAAATCAGCCAGCACGTCTGCCGTTTTTCCTGTGAGTTGATATGTACATAGTTATTATACACTAATTACACTAACAGCCAAGGGAATATATAACCAGAAAGACAGATAAGTCTCCTGGGGTAAGGAGGGCAAGGGGGCGGTGTATGCATAGGGTTTTTGGATCTCATGTTTAGAATTATCCTTGCCAGTGGCATATGAATTACTGCAGATTACTGGGAGTCTCACGGCTAGAATCTACTCATCCCCGGCTCCTCAGCAGCCTGTTTGGGGGTAATAATATTGTTTATGGTATTTAACACTTTAGTATTAACAAAGTTCCAGGAGGATTCCTTCTTAAAGATTAAAGTTTTTCCAGTGTCTGAACTAATCCTCCAATTAAAGACAGTTAGGACCTATATTGTTGCATTGACCCTTTTCAAGTCACAGTACTGCGTGCTTGCATGGAGGGTTTAACCAATCGGCAGCCTCCGTAGATCTGCAAGATGTTAGTAGGTGCCCTGGTTAAAAGAGGTTGGAAAATACTGGACAAAAACAAACAAACAATGGGAAATAGGTCTTCTCAGAGCCTTAATATGTTCATTTATTAATACGTGTTTTGACTCCCTGAGAGAAGTATAGTGTGCACCATATGAAGTATGGTTTGCTGCAAACTTACTTGATGGCTCATTTCTAGGCTGATCATTTTGAGAAACATTCTTTAAAACAAAGCTTCTCAATGGATGGACCTCAGAGCACTGGTAAATGATGAGTGGGTTGCAGACATACCCAGCTGTTAACCCCTCTTGGCACATGGGCCATCAGGCTGTGGCTGGCCTGAGCTGATCCCTGGAAGGTTATTTCTGGATCACATAGCTTCATCAGTTTACCTCCATATATGGTGCAGATTGCATCAATTTCTCTGTCATGATGTGCTAAAGTTAGGAAACTGCCTTTGACAATCTAGGCCCAGAATATTGATCAAACCAGTCAAAATACCCCAACACTGTATTAACTTGGGCCTGGGGGCTCATGCAATCATGAGAGTGTTAAGGCCCTCTACATGTTATCCAGTTTGTCCTCTTTATTTTATAAAGAATTTAATGATGTGTTCTATAATGTGTGTATGTGTGTGTGCTATTCTATTCTTAGAAGTTTCCTGAACAACTGATGGCAAAGTGCTTCATGGAATCCTTTCTAACATTTGGTTATTGCTTATACTTCCCTTTCTCAAACTGCTATCAGGGTTTGTTTGGCTGGGATTCTCCCACCACTAATATGGCTTAGTCCAGGGGCGATGGACATAAAAGAACCTGGCTTTAAAGGTTATTTGTTAAATTCAAATCCTTTTCTTGGGCACTGTACCAAATTTGTACACAGCATTTCTATCACTGGTGAACTTTCTCTGGCTTCCTCTGCCTACCATTTGACATCGATTATCTTTCAAAAACATTTTTTGCATTATTAATTCCTGTTACATTCATTCAGCAAATATTTATTGAGTGCCTTTTGAAGTCCTATGCTAAGTACTCTGGAGGAAAAATGGGTATATAAGAGACAGATGAATTTAAACCAAGTCTTCATGCAATGGATAGCATTTCTGCAAAGAGAAATCTCATTACCTGAATGGTGCAAGATGTGAAACATGATTTGCTGCAAACTTACTTGATCACTCACTCTTTTGCTAATCGTTCTCTAAATCAGAGCTTCCCAACTGGTGGCCACAAAACACTGGTGGGCAATGAACAAGTAACTGATACGTCAAGATATTCATGCTTTCACTGACCAGATGATCTCCATGTCAGATAATGCCAGGTAGATGCCAATAAACTTGGTGTGCTTATAGAGGAAGGACCACTTGATTCTCCCTGCAGAGCATCTATAAATAACTGAGAGTTGGATGATGCCAGTTTATATTTTGTTAATGTAATTTTCAAAACCACTCTCTTTGGGGTTGTCAAGTATTCCTGGGGTGCCACATGGAGAAGAGCTATTTCCATAGTACTAGGTAACTTGAGAGCTTTTATAATGGCTTGTAATCACTGGAAATTATTAGCGTACAAGTTTCGGTAACAATTCTTATAAAGTAGGCAAGAGCAGCTGCCATTACTTCTAAGGTCATACCTGTAAGGCTTAGAATTGGGGACTATGAATTAATAATGAGTTTGCACCAGTAGGATTTTCCAAGTACCTAGGGCATTAGTAAAACCAATTTAAAATATATTTATATTTGAGGAAAGGTTAGCTGGTGAGGTGATAGTCAGGACTATGACTTCTAGTTAAATGTAAAAGTACATTTCCGTTTTTAAATTAATTGCTTGCAATCACATATAAGGGAATCTTCTGTGAATGAACCTTTCAAAGACATTGAGTTACTATAAATATTAATGTCAATGGTTCATTTAATGTTATTTTTATTTTAAAAGAAAATAAAAATGGATTGCTGTGCTTTGGGGAATATAGCATTTTCAGAAATGCATGGTACATAATAGCTGAAGCTGCATAAAGAATGGTTCTAACTGTGTGTGAGTTGAGTATACTCACACTCTCTTGTGAGTTGCTCTTCACTTGTCTAAACTTGAGACAAAAATGAAATTAAGCAGAGCCTCCTCAAATTGACAGTTTGAGTTTTAACACGTGACAGAATTGGAATTTTGGTCAAAGAGCCTGAGCCAGAAAAGGCTGAATTATTTATAGCTATTGTTCTGCAACAGAGGCCTTGATTATTTTAACCAAAATTATTTCTCCCCCTGAGTATCTAATTGTGCAGTTATTTATATCTGTACTGACACACTCATCATGTATTGCCTTGGGGGAACAAAACAGCATATAAACTACCAGAGAACAGATAACAAGTTTACTCGAACTGATATCCTTGGCTCAATGTTAAGAAACAAAAGAATGGTAGTGTTTCCCAAGTTTCTTCCAGAGCAATGAATGGTGGGTTTGGCCAAGACATTTTAAACTTCTCAGGGATTCAATTTCCTCATCTATCGATGGAGACATAAATACACACTTCATTGGACGGTTATGAGTATTGAAAATGGTCATGTCTGTGAACGTACCTGGCACAATGCTGGGCATGAGGCCAATCAGTAAATATTGGCTGGATCTGAAATGGGTGGGGATAAGTTAGGCACATCGTCAAGTAAACAATTCAGGGGTTGAAGAAGTAGAAGCAGATGCACACTGGTGGCCCTTATGTAATTTTGCCCACTCAATGATTTAAAATTTGTGTTTCAGTGAAGCATGATATACCTTCTAATGTCTTACACCATGTCCTCTGTTTATTGGTGTTACCTGTTTGTCCCTTGTAGGTTTTTGTGTTTGACACCCTTGCTCTAAAGACTTCTTTCTTCTCTAGCAATCTACGTCTTCTCAATGTAGATTTCCCCCTTTTAAGGTGTTTTCTCAAAAGTACCGTATTTTATAAAGCAAAAAAATACTCACTTCATACTTATTAATTTAACAGCTTGAAATCTTTTTCACCAGCAATGGCGGGAGGAGCTGGGCTAGCAAATTCATTGGTAAAAGCCACTTGCCCCCCTAGATTACCCTCAGACCCCAGTCTCTTTCTCTAATTCCCCATCCACCAACACCCTACCCCAGCAGAATGTAACATTTAATCTGATGTGGCGTCCAAGATGTGGAGAGAATGTATCCCATGCGCTAACATATCTTGGCAAGAGTTCACTCTTTGCTAAGGCAAGTGGGGGCCATATGGTGTTTGTGTAATGAGGAAGCAGGGCAGCTTTATCAAAGCGTAGATCAAATGGCTCCCTACTTCTGACTTATTTTTATTGAATCTCATATATGATCGATTATAAGATTCAACGCTAAGAAAGAAAAAATTCTTCCAATTAATCTATAACACAATGTTTTCTTAGCATTTAAATATTTTATGCTAAATTTATTGAAATAACTCTCTAACAGAGAGTTATTCTCTTTTAGATAGAAATAACTCTCTAACAGAGAGTTATTGGCTGACTATTATTTAGACTGATTATTTAAAAATCATATGTCTCCCCCTGTGCATAAATAAAATGGAAGATATAGGTGAGATAAACTTTTAAGAAGCCTTAACTTTTCAACTGAGTCGTTGTATCTGTGCTTTTCTGCACCGTGCCGACATACTTTGGGCCAAAATGCAGCATTTTTAAATAAAGAGCTTCTTTCTCTGCATTTCTACTAGAAGGTGATGATCAAGACTATATTCTTTCCACAAATGGGCCTACAAGAGAATGCAGTTGTCCATTCATAACCCAAGGAATGCCCATCAAGTCACTACACATCTCAGTGAGCTAATTATTTAACACTTTAAACATATGCCTACAAATGCATTAAGAACCAGCGCGCTTGGTGGGGTCCATAGTCTCCTGGGTATCTGTCCGGACAACTTTCTGCCCCAGTACCACCTGAGCCTTGAGAGGATCTCTCTCTCAATCTCTCTCTCTCTCTCTCTCTCTCTGGCTGGTGGGCGGGGTGGGGGGGACGGGGGGAGCAGGAATCTTTCCTCCTTCCTTTTTCTTTGAGTGGTTTTACCAGGTGTGCAACTTCTCTTCTCCTAACAGGCAAGGCTTGTTTTAAAATAATGCCTGTAGCTCAAATGAACTGACAACAGTAAGAACTACTATGATCAAGAGAGTTCATGGGCAGGCATTGACAATTATATCACAACTGCAGCCTGAGCAGCAACAAATGTAAGATACCTCCCAATATCGGCTGGGTTAAACTGGGAAAGAATTTCCCCAGAGAACTCATGAAATAGGGTGTATCTTCCCCATCTCATGAGAATGACTAAAACATCAGCATTAGAGAATGATTTTGTTGTCTTTTAAGGCATCAAGAGTCTCCTAGTTGAAATCAAATGACTTTAGGGAGAACAACATTTGTAGTTGCCATATTTACTGCTTTGTCATGGATTTCTTTCCAATTAAGACTAAGTAAGAGAGCAAAGTCCCATGAAGATGGGACAAGGAAAGGGATAAGGATGAGAGTAGAGGAATGGAGAGAGGGCAGGAAAAAGAGAAAAAGAAGAAAGAGAAGCTTTACATTTGTTCAATAATATTTGTCAAATGCTTTCTCTGAACCAGGCATCATCCTGTGTGCTAAGGCTAAAGTGGAACCTGCATTCAAGTAAATAACAGTCAAGTGTAGGAGACAAACATTGATGAAATATCACACAGACATGAGTAAAGGTTCACCTGGAATAAAAGCTATAAAATGGAGGTATATGTTGCCATGTGATTGTACTAAGAGGATGTAGCTGATCTGCTACAGAGAAAGGCAGAGAAAATTTCCCTGAGAAAGGATTGCTTGAGCTGAGAGCTGGACAGAAAGGACTTGAGGCAGTGTGTTTTCAGGGGTAGGAAATGGCCAGACTCTATGAGGGAGTTTTCAGCAAGGGATGACATTGGTCTTTTGAAAAGTTCACATTGGCAGCAACCTGGAAAATATTAGGTTGTTGCAAAAGTAATCGCGGTTTTTGCAGTTAAAAGTAATTACAAAAACCATGATTACTTTTGCATCAAAATAGTAGAGCAGATTGGAGGGCCATCAGAGTCAACGTAGGTGAACCAAACAGGAGCCTTGGAAAGCAAAAATAATATCTGCTTGTACTAATATCGTGGTGGTAGAGATGAAGAGAAGTGGATGGATTTCATTTCTATTTTAGAGAGGTGAAATCGAAAGGAGTGGATGATGCATGGGGCAAGGGAGATCATGAGGGACTAGGTGTAAAAACAGACTCTCAGGAATTTGATTCACATATCTAGAAGGATAGTGGTGTAGGGGACAATGAAAGTTGGCCTGGTTTGGTGGAAGGGAGTAACCTGATTGAGTGGAAAAATGCATGAGCTTTGAGGTGGAAAGTCATGGTGTGGGTTCAAGTCTTAGCTCATCCATTTAGTAGCTGTGTGATGCTAAGTTTCTCTGAATCTCATCTTCCCCATCTTTAAAAATTAGGTCATAAACACTCACCTCAAGAATTTTTGGAACAATCAAATGAGGTCTACGTGAATGAAAATCACTTCATACATGGTCAAATGCCCTACATGTGAGTTACCATTATAACCCACAAATTCATCAGCAGTAAAGCCTGGAGGGAGAAGAGCTATTTTCAATAACTTCCTGGGGTGGGATATGAGGGTCTTGACAGCCAAGATCTCTGTAAGTTTACCTAAGTGAAGTTTTCTCCTTGTTGATAATGTACAGGACAGCTATTAACTTCAGTTGTCTGGCGAATTCTTTCTATTTCATTCCAACCCCCTTACCCCCTCCCCTCAACCTGGATTAAGGGATCCCAAATAGGAATAAGCTACATTGCTTTTCTCAGCTGAGATCCCTTATCATTTCTAAGAGGACTATAGGATTTAGAAAATTGTAACCCGAGAGTTTGCACTAACAGATGAGCACACTCCATTAACTTCACGTTCCCAGTAGGGTTTGGGTGAAGGTTTTGCCATTCCGTTTTTCTAGCATCAATTTAGCAAGAGCATTTTATATGACATGTGTAATTCCACTACCCTTGAGTGACCTCAGCGAATTCCTTTCTGGCTTCCAAATATTCTCCCATTAAGGGGAGTCATTAGGCAGTGAAAGCTGCAGCCATAGGGTTAGGAAAACCTTGGAATGGGCAGGTGAGGGGGAGGAGGAGGTTAAACCTTGTGGAATCAAGGTATTAGCTTCCCTTTGTGCAGGTGTTGCATTATAGGATCTAAGTCATTACCAAAATTTATATCTTCTTGCCTTGTTCCTTGTCTTTCCCTTTGTTCTTGGCACACATTATGTAAGTCTCTTTATTTTAGAACTGAACTGTATGTCTACGGTTTGGGCGTATGTATGTATTAATAAAACCACATTTATCTTTCACTGAATTCTTAAGAAGCTTAAATTTCCCATCAAGATCCTATTCAGTTATCTAAACACTTATGTTCCTATAGAAAAACGTGTGGGAGAGAGTGGGAGGCAACCCATTTTGTCATTTCACTTGTGTAATGTTTGGGTGGAAGATTGAGAAGCGTTTGTATGAACTTTCAGATAACTAGATTGCACTTGCTTCTCAGTGTGCATATTTAAGATTTTACTGTATGCACCCAGATTGGGATTTGGGTGTATGGGAGGGATGAGGATGGAAGTGGAGTGGAAGCTGTTATCTGAAAAAAAAAAGTCCTAGCCATGTAAAGACCTTTCTCTTTCCACTACTTTCCCTGCCTTCGTAATTTTTCCTCTACATGACCCATGTTAGCACAAATGGATTTCAAGACAGAAGTGCAATTTTTTAAAAGTCCATTTTAAATCGGAATAGTATGTCCCAAAGGGACTGCCATTTTCATTTCATAAGGACCCACTTGGCTGTGGCTTTGCTGAGTTCAAAGCAGGAGCACTTCATAGAAACTTCTGATTAGTATGTGCAGTAGTAATTGCTGCAAGCCTGGGTGTTTTTGGAGTCACAGTGCAATAGAAGGAAGGGAGGGCTACAGTGTCAAGCCAGAAAATGAGTTCACCTTGTCCATGAATATAGTTACTGCCAATAAATCATTTGCCAATAGTTTGAAGATAATGAAGGAACCTGGCAGAATGATCCAGAGTGAAGG
Organism: Homo sapiens; assembly: GCF_000001405.40. Lineage (NCBI taxonomy): Eukaryota > Metazoa > Chordata > Mammalia > Primates > Hominidae > Homo > Homo sapiens. The sequence goes on along the minus strand of NC_000023.11, from coordinate 10,824,344 downwards.
TCCCAGCAAAGAGAAAACATATCAAACATTACAATCAATGAAAAATGGTGAGAATTTCTGTTTCCAGACCCCCAAATAAAGCTCTTGCAGAGATAAAGATGTGAGCTTTGCACACCATCAAGCCTTCTGGTCTGTTTTTCCTGTTCAGAAAGACTGAAATTAGGGAGAAGGAAGGCTTCTGCCAACAGACTGTAAGTCATAAATTAGTTAATAAAATCTGTCCTGTGTTATCTCTAAAACAGCCTATTTTATATATATTTGTCTATTTGGTTTATTTGTTTCTCTGCTTACCCAGGCTGTATTTTGGTAGCATAAATCAATATATGAGTTTTAGACTATGCAAAAGTTTATTTATAAATGACCTGCCTTCTGTGAATAAAATAATATGTTGTGTATATGTGTGTGTGTTGTATATAATTTATTGCTATTGATCAATGTTAAATTTAAATTTAAATACATAATACTAATGAGTCCAATGAAATGTGCATATTGCTATATTCCAAAATAAAAGAATTAATCTGTATTGTCGCTTCCAAGACCATTTCATGGCTTGTGTAGTTCTAGTAGATTATTTCCATGTATTGGTGTTAGTACAACCAGTTCTTGTTTTATTTACTGGGGTCACTATCAATGATAAAGCAACACTGTTCATATTTATATACATTTCTATGTACATTTTATTTATATATATTATATATGTATTATACACACGCACACATACACACACACATGCAACTGTATGTGTCCATTTGAACGTTTTTCTATTTTAAGGAGGGTAAGCTTTAATTATTTTTTACTTTTTTTGAAGTTAGATGAAAGATATAAGAAAATAAAATGTCATACTTCTTTTTAATCTTTAACTTTTATTTGAAGTTCAGGGGTACATGTGCAGGATGTGCAGATTTGTTACATAGGTAAACATGTGCCGTGATGGTTTGCTACACAGATCAACCCATCACCTAGGTATTAAGCCCAGCATGCATTAGCTATTCTTCTTGATGCTCTCCATCCCCCCACCTCCCCAACAGGCCCCAGTGTGTGTCGTTCCCCCATAATGTGTCCATGTGTTCTCATCATTCAGTTAGCATGTATAAGCGAGAACATGCAGTGTTTGGTTTTCTGTTCCTGAATTAGTTTGCTGAGGATAATGGCTTCCAGCTCCATCCATGTCCCTGCAAAGGACATGATCTCATTCCTTTTTATGGCTGCATAGTATTCCATGGTGTATATGCACCACATTTTCTTTATCCAGTCTATCATTGATGGGCATTTGGGTTGATTCCATGTCTTTGCTATTGTGAATAGTGCTGCAATGAACATAAGTGTGCATGTATCTTTATAACAGAATTATTTATATTCCTTTGGTTATATACCCAGTAATGGAATTGCTGACTCAAATGGTATTTCTGCCTCTAGATCTTTGAGGAATTGCCACACTGTCTTCCACGATGGTTGAACTAATTTACACTCCTACCAACAGTGTAAAAGTCTTCCTTTTTCTCTACAACCTCGCCAGCATCTGTTGTTCTTTGACTGTTTAATAGTTGCCATTCTGACTGGCATGAGATGATATCTCATTATGGTTTTAATATGCATTTCTCTCTTGATCAGTGATGTTGAGCTTTTTTTCATATGTTTGTTGGCTGCATGTATGTCTTCTTTTGAGAAGTGTCCATTCATGTCCTTTGCTTACTTTGTTTTTTTCTTGTAAATTTGTTTAAGTTCCTTGTAGACTCTAGATATTAGACCTTTGTAGGATGGACAGAGTGAAAAAATTTTATCTTATTCTGTAGGCTGTCTATTCACTCTGATGATAGTTTCTTTTTCTGTGCAGAAGCTCTTTAATTAGATGTCATTTGTCAATTTTTGCTTTTGTTGCAATTGCTTTTGTCATCTTCATCATGAAATCTTTGCCTGTGCCTATTTCCTGAATGGTATTGCCTAGATTTTCTTCTAGAGTTTTTATAGTTTTGGGATTTACATTTAAGTCTTTAATCCATCTTGAGTTGATTTTTGTATAAGGTATAAGGAAGGGGTCCAGTTTCAGTTCTCTGCATATGGCTAGCCAGTTCTCCCAGCACCATTTATTAAATAGAAAATCCTTTCCGCATTGTTTGTTTTTGTCAGGTTTGTCAAAGATCAGATGATTGCAGGTGTGTGGCCTTACTTCTGAGTTCTCTATTCTGTTCCATTGCTCTATGTGTCTGTTTTTGTACAAGTACCATGCTGTTTTGGTTACTGCGAAAATGCCATAATTTTTTAAGATCAAGTATAATAATTTACAAGATAAGTGGAAGACCAGAGAGGTCAGGGGAGAAAAGAAAAGAAAAAAAAATGAGAAAAAAAAGATCAGCAAGAGATGTTAGAGGAAGGGAGGTCCCAAAGCAACAAAAACCTACTGCTTTCTCCAGCCAAGCCCATCTCCCATATATAAACAAAAGCCCAGCAAACAAACAGGTGCAGGACTAAGGGATCAAGAAGAGGCAAGCCACAAATTGCTAGAAAATATTGGAGACTGAAAGAGAAAGAGAGAGAAAGGAAGAAAACAAAAGAAAGGGTGAGAAATATGTTTATGGGGAAATGCTTGCAAGTTAAAGAAATCAGCAAAAAGGATAAATAAAGAAGAAAGTAAGAAATGAAAAGTAAACATTAACAAATCAAAAAATAAGAAATGAGACAAACACGGGCATTGTGTTTGAGCTGGTGGATGCTAAAAATATATTGTTCTTTAGGTATCTTTACGAAAGGAGGAGCAAACAGCACAAAAGTGAAAGTGGGCAATTAGAAGAAAGCAAGAATAAGACAAAGGGAGTGTTGTTAGTCCACATGCCAAAACAGCCAGCCAACGGGTGAGTGACTTAGTACTAGTGTCCTAGTAGGGTTTTTCCCAGTGAAACTAACCCCTGAAGATGACAAGGCTGTTTTAATCTTTGTAATTAGTCCTATTCCACAATAGTAGTGCAAGTGCAATTTTCTTTTTAAATGTCCCCACTTGAAAAGGCTTGAGTGGCAAGAATCTGGGCCTTCTAAGCTGTGAGGTGTTCCAGAAAAGGTTGGCTCTCCCTACCTTAAAAAAGATTATTCTTAGGCAGTGAATGATAGCTTGGTGGCCTAAAGAGTTAATCCCCACAAATGTCTTCTATACTTCCAGGAGTCATTTATTGAATGAGCAGTATCTGGCTTAATATTTATAAAAATGCTTTAAATTTCTCCAGAAGAAAGGTAAAAGGCCATAGTATCTGGATCCATTCCTACTGTCAAGCTTTACAGAGTACCCAACGCTTGAGTTGGTAACTGCCAGGCTTACAGCTTGCATGTGAAATTTCAAATCCAGTCTCTTGTGAGTTTGGTCTTGCTCATTTATTTTTACTGTGATTTTGCTCATAATAACTTATGTTTACAATTCAGCAACCCAAGGAATTGTTTTTATGACAAATTTTCATGTTATAGTCAATCACACATTTCAGGCCTGTTTCAGAAAATGAGTTTGACACGGTGTGTTAGTGATGAATTATTAATTCTTACCTGCAGCAAAGAATGATGCTCAGAGTGGTCGGGGAATGCTTACAAGTTGTTGACTCAAAGTTATACAGCTGTATTTAAAACTCCAGTGGGCAATTCTGAAGATGGCAAACTTTACTTTGATACAATGCCACAGCACCTCCATTAGTGCCCTGGTTAGAATGCAAACATCTGCTTGCTTTTATGTCCATGTGTTACTTAAGATGGTCTGTTTCTTTATGACGTAAATCACTGGAATCTACTGACTATTTTTAAAGTCTCTTTTAGTGTTTCCCTGAAATGATCACTCTATATGATTGTTTAATAGATAATTGGCCCTGTAGGTACACAAACATTATAAAGATCATATTTTCTGCTTTCCTGATCTTTTCCATAGATGACATTATAACAAAAGTTCCTCGGCCTGCTGCAAAATGTGTTGTCTTTCGGGACTGTGTGAATCATAGATTCACATTAACACATTAGGTCAAAAGAAACTTCACATTTCCAGTGACTGAATATAAGACTGCTGTTGTTTGCTCACTGGCTGTAGCTTTATGGATTTGCCCAGTTCGGTTTGCCCTGCCAGGGTCTGCTCTTTCCTTCACTGCTTATTTATCTCTCCCTGGCAAGCTGCTGAACAATCCATTTGCCCTCCAGGCTGTGCATGTGTCCAGCACAGATAAGCTTTAGGACAGCAAAGACTATCACTTTAATGTCAATGGACTGCATTTTAGGACTCCTTGATGGGTGATATTATCTAACTGTTAGGGTAAGTGAGGGCTTGAGGCCAATGGGGCTGCTCAAGAACATGAGAGCCATGAAACAAAAGCTTGGCCTATGGAAAAAAGAAAACCCATCAATTATGATCCCAGATTTGAGAAGGGATTGGCATATGGTATAATGAATAGAACAATGTCTCTCCTTAGCCCACTGATTAGAAAGGCTTGGGGAGACATGCCTATACGTACTGAGTCCTATAGCTTGCGGAATGTTACAAAATAAGCCATCTGGAAGATTACTCTCATAGTCAATAAAATATGGCTCTTACTCAGGTCCTAGGATTGCATATTGGCAGGAAGTTTCCAGGGAATTCCCAAGAGAAGAATATTGGAAGATGATAGTTTGAAGATTGTGAGGGTTCCTGAAATTTGCCAGAAAATTAAGACAAGAACTAATTGGGAGACTCCAAGAGACCAGAAAGAACAAATATGGAGGTGTCAGGAAGTAATGGTTTTATTCCACATAGCATCTATTTGTTTCTTGCTCTCTCTGGGTCCTGACTATTGAATTTATGAAAATTGAAGGAAGGAAAGAGTGTGTACCAAAGGGAAACAATTAGGGGGAGGTGAGGATAAAGGACATCCACTGTCTCATGACTGGGGAGATAAAAATATGCAATAGAGAAATGTGATGTCTTCGGTTGCAATAAATTTAACAATTGCAATGCAACAATTAAGAATATAGTCTTTCTCAAGTTACAAATAGATGGGTATGCATAAGGGAGATAAGTTACAATACAAATTAATTTCATTTAATTAGTTGAAGAGACTAGATGAGAGGTCTTCAAACTTTCAATACTTCTAAGTATTATTTCTCTCTCTCTCTCTCTCTCTCTCTCACTGTCTCTGTCTTTCTCACGCATGTGCACAGAGAGAAAGAGAGACACACACAGAAAGAGGGAGGGAGGGAGAGAGAGAGAATGTGTACACATGTACACACAATACAAATTATCCCCTCATAAATAAACCAAAATAAAATCAATGTATATATGTGTTGCTTCCCATCCCAGCTAAGGAAAGGTGTAGAAAATAACTCTGGTTTTCACACCCCTCAATTTGCCATGGCCACCATCACTAGCTATTGAATGCCCTGTGATGACCTGCAGAATGGCACAGAGGTTAGGAGGATAAACTTTTGAGCTACACAGACCTAACTTAGAATCTCTACTGTGTCACTTGTTAGCTGGACTTCCTACTCCTAACACTTAACTTCCTAACCTTGGTTTCTTTCACCACCTGCCTCTCAGAGTCATTTGATAAGACTAAATTAGAAGAAGTATGTGTAGTATTCTGAACAGAGGAAGCACTCAATAAATGCTGGCTAATATCATCCCCTCCCAGCTCTTTGAGGGTTATGGCTTAGTATTTGATAAACCTGTGAACCATGGAACTGTCACTCTGAAGGACAAATCTGGCAAAACACACCACCTCTAGGGGAGAGGGTGCCCACCAAAAGGCTTTTGAATTTGTTGCTTAGTACTGCTTCCACTCCAAATCACTCAAAGTTGTTTAGACTTCCTTCAGAGGCCTGTGGACTTAGGCAGGACTTAAGATGTCTTTGTTAATACAGCTAATGAAAAACACTGATAGCATGTAGAAACAATGACCTGCCAGAGTTGAAGGTAGACATTTACTTTCTATCACCTTGTCCATTTAATTCATAATTGACAGCTTTATGCCTTCAAAGAATCATTCTGAGACTGGATGAGTCTGAAGCTTTGCATGTGAAATACTGCTCAAATGAATTTGAATTAACAGTACTAAAATAGTTAGTGATTTCAGGCAACCATTGTAACGTGTTGACTCAAAACTAACTTTTAAGAGTTTTGTCTGGAGACAAATTCTGTGAAAAATGCTTAAACAAATTAAACACAAAGTTAAAATTTATTTGGAAGATAATGTTATACTCAGTCCAGTTTTGTATGTACTCTTGGATCAGAAACATGTTAGTCATTTAAGAAATATATATGTCCTGAAGATGTTATTTCGATAGAGCAAAAACCCTAATCAACAACAAAATCTTATTCTTATAAATATACAAAAATGGCAGCAATATAGAATGAAAGAAATTAATATTTGTAGCCATTTTCTCTTCTTGTCATTCTCAAGGAAATGTCATTTTGATGGAAAAGAAAATCATGTTGGCCAGGTGCGGTGACTCATGCCTGTTACCCCAGCACTTTGGGAGGCCAAGGCAGGCGGATCACCTGAGGTCAGGAGTTCGAGACCAGCCTGGCCAACATGGCAAAACCCCGTCTCTACTAAAAGTACAAAAATTGCCAGGCGTGGTGGCGCACGCCTGTATTCCCAGCTACTCAGGCGGCTGAAGCACGAGAATCACGTTAACCCAGGAGGCAGAGGTAGCAGTGAGCCAAGATCACACCACTGCACTCCAACCTGGATGACAAAGCAAGACTCTGTCAAAAAAAAAAAAAAAAGAAGAAAGAAAGAAAAAAGAAAAGAAAGAGAGAGAGAAAGAAAGAAAGAGAGAAAGAAAGAAAGAAAGAAAGAAAGAAAGAAAGAAAGAAAGAAAGAAAGAAAGAAAGAGAAAAAAAGAAAAGAAAGAAAATCATGTTGAAGTCATCCATTGAAGTCATCCTAGGGTTGACTGTAGGAGTTTTCCAAACTCCTACTTCATTGCTGAAGTCTACCTATCATAAACATATCTAATTTTGCTTTATGTTCCTCTTAGATTCCAAAGCACAGACAAATGATTTGTTTGTTTTGCTGAAAGGTGGATTATAAAACTTGAATCCCTCTGTAATGTTTTATAACTAAGACCACTGAGGAAAACACTTAGCATTTCCCATCCTTCATATGGGATATGTAAAAATTAAAGAGCACAGATCATCCTTGCTAAGTTATCTTAGATTCTTGAGCACAGATACTGTGTTTTTCCTTCACACATATCTGATCCTTCAAAGGTGCTTATTTGTCATTTCCACCTTTCTGTGGAAGTGCCAGATACTCTCATTCATAGAGAATAACTAACAAGGCAGATACACCTAAAAGTTCAACATCAAAGGGCTTGAAATATCCTACCTGAATGTCGGAATTTGGATCATCTAATGAGCCTGTGTAATTTGGTTTCTTAACTAGAAAATTTCAGTAAAAATGCTGGGGCCCACTGGCTCACCTGGCTGAGTATCATTGCCTCTTTTTGCCTTCATTGTTCCATGACAAACCCTTTTGAAAGGAGGTACATCTGTCACAGGTACCTTTGTTCACCCACGAACCTCCCCAAACATGCTCTCAAGTTCCATTTTATAGGTAATGATGTTTCTTAAACAATATTCAAAATGGCAATACTAAATTACTTTTTCCCACATGTACATGGAAATAATGTCCATGGTAAAATTATTTGGACTCTATGCAGTAACACTAAAGGTGCAATTTAGTTGGTTGTTGTTGTGCATCCAACAACTTTTGTGAACCTATTGTATTCAGAGAAGTCAGCTGCATACTTAGGGATAGTGAGAAAATCTTCGGGAACCCAGCACAAACAAAACCCTCATCTTCTCCAACCTGTAAGTGCACTGTTTAGTGGAGGGCAAAGCAACTGTAATATAAAACACAATCCATTCATTTGTTAAACAACCATTTATTAGACACCTATTTATTAGGCTATGGAGACACACGTTTCCTGCCTCCGAGGAAATTACAGTTTGATAAAGAATTTTAAATAGGTGCTAAGTAGAAGCACAAACTGAGCATTTTCATTAGAAACAAACAGTGAATGCGTGAAGAAAGTTACAATCTGCTGAATGTCAGAAATAACAACTCTGGTTTATGTTTATATCAATATTGGCCTCATAAAGACTGTGTAATTGACAGAAAGGGGCTGGAACTATTTTGTTGGTTGAGCTTTTATTATTATTATTATTAATTTATTTAAAAACTATGACTTACTTTTCTGTTATATACTTGAAATTAATTCTAAAGTGGCTTAGTGAGCTTCAGAATCTCCGAGTGAGAGCTAGGAAAGAAGCAGATTGGTGGGCCTCAGTCACAGAAATTCATTCAACCATTCTGAGAATGAAGCCTGAGAGTCTGCACATCTAACAAGTTAGCAGGTGATGCTGATGCTGTTGGTCCACAGACCTCCCTCTGCAGCACTGGTTAAAGGTAGGGACGGATTGTTGTAATGGCTCCTAGATTCTGAGGAGGGAGTGAAAGATGGTAGGATTCCTGCACTTCTTGGTCATGGCCAGTAGACTGAAGAAACCAATTGCTAAGTCTAATGTAGAAATGAAACAAACTCTTCTTTGGACCATTTAGAAAACGTGTCAGGAAAGGCTTTAGATTTGAGGAATTGTAATTTATCAATACTAGTTCAACCCTCTCTGATCAGTATAGTCAACTTGTTAACCACACAGCTGCATAACCCCCAGGGGACTGATGAAAAGTGTCACAGAGCTTTAGGGTTTCCAGTTCCCATAGTCACACTGGAGAAATATTAAACATTGTTTGCATGTTTGCACTTTGCTATTCCTTGTCACTTGCCCATGCTGTGAGGCAGTCTCAAGTTTTGAGTGAAGAAGCCACGTAAGACTCCATTGAGGAAGGCTGTAGCTAGGACATGTGAGCTCATGACATCCCTAAGAGCCAAGTAAACCATTTTCTTTCTTCCATAATGAGAAACACCATGTCGTTGGCTGCTTCTGTCTGTAATTTCACTGGTGCAGCATGTTTAGATGTGAGCACTAATGGAAGACAAGGAAGAAGTGATTTCTTGTTCTGGCTCAGCTTGCACTGACCATTCTGTGACTTATGACTGACCCTTTGGGGTCAGTTAAGTTCTCTAGTGTAGAGTTGCTATGTCTATAAAATGAGAATGCAAGATGGCAGGGAATTTTTAAAGAGCTGTTACCACGGTGTCATTTGTTATAGGGTGTGTTTTTGTGGTAATGTTAAAAAGGCATATTTTAAAATATGTGCAAAGGGAATATTTAAAAAGTAATAAATATGAAATGAAATTACCATATAGACCAGAAATTGCACTTTTGGGCATTTATCCCAGGGACATGAAATGTTCACAAAAAACCTGCACACAAACATTCAGAGATGCTTTATTCATGTTAGCCTGAAACTAGAAACAATCCAAATGTCCTTCAGCAAATGAAGGATTAAACCAACAATGGTAATCTTTACCATGGAATGCTATGCAGGAATAAAAAGGAATTAACTACTGATACATGCAACAACCTGGATGAATCTCCAGGGGAATATTCTGAATGAAAAGTCAGTGTCAAAAAATTACATACTATATGATTCCATTTGTGTAGCATTCTTGAAATGACCAAATTTTAGAAATAAAGAACAGATTAGTAGTTGCCAGGAGCTAAGGATAGGGGGGCAGGAGGGAGGTGGACATAGTTATGAAAGGACAACACAGGGATCTTTGCAGTGATATAACTAAATATGTGCATGCATGCGCACACACACACTTATGCACACACGCACACACACACACACACACACACACCAGTACAAGCAAAACTGAAGAAATCTGGACAAAATTGGTAGATTATTTTGCAAAATGTTACCATAGGGGGAACCTGGGTGAAGGGTGCAAGGGGTCTCTATATATTATTTCTCACAAGTGTGTATGAATCTACAATTATTTCAATTGAAATTTCAATTAAAAGAAAGTTTTTTTAAAAAAAGTAATAAGGAATTTTGTTTACTGTGAGTCATTCTGGTGGCCAAAAATTGTTGTTAATAGGATTTAAAATGTCAAGCTATATTCAGTAGTTTTTCACTAATTAATTATCAACAGATCTTCTTGTCTACTTTTGTAAACCTTCTGAGAGTAAACCATCTAACATATGGGGAAAAATAAAATAAAATATGATCCTCTGGAGCAGGGATTGGCAAACTATGGCCTGCGGGCTAAATCCACACTGCCCACCTCTTTTGTATGGCCTGTGAGCTAAGAATGGTTTTTACATGTTTAAATTTGAAAAAAATTTTAGAAGGAAATAACATTTTGTGACAAGTGAAAATTATACAAAATTCAAGCTTGAGTGACCTTAAAGGTTTATTGGAACACAGCCACACTCATTCATTTATGAATTATTGTCTGCAGCAGCTTTTGAGCTACAACAGCAGAGTTGAGTAGTTGCGACAGAGATTTTTCTGACTCATGAAGCGGAAAACATTGACTACCTGACACTTTAGAGAAAAAGTTTGCCAACCTCTGCATGAGAGGGATAATTTCCCAGAATTTTCTAGGTTAAGAGGGTCCCCCATTGCCACTTGGGTTTCCTAAAGTAGTTCTGATGAGCAATTATCTTGGTTTCCAGGCATTCCCTGAGAAAAATGAGGAAAATGATGCTAGTAGGTCCAGCATAAACTCCACAGGAAAATGCCCTGAGTACAACTGCCTGAATCAATAGCATGTGTCTTGGGTTGTTCTGCTTGTATACTCTGCACTTCTAGCAGAGGCATCCATCACACTTTACAAACTCAGCCTTTGGAGCACAGGAAAGGATGTGGTCTAAGAGTAAGGCAGACTTGGGTTCAGGTTCAAATTATCACTTGGGTATTTGCCAGCTATGTGACCTGGGCCAAGTTACCCATCTTTCTGGACTTTGTTACCCATCTTTCTGGACTTTGTTTACTCTTCTTTAGAAAAATAGAGATAATTACACCCATTTGCAGTGGCATTGAGAGGATGTAATGAACTCCTATGTCAAGTGCCTGGCATGTAGTAGGCAGGACCCAGCAAATGCAAGTTCCAGGATGGGAGGCCAATCATTACACTGTTTTTGTGTCTGGGCTCTCCATGCTTCACATCCCTCAATCTAACTCGGGAATCTACAAAGAGGCATTGGAATTCTTTCATAAACATCACTCAGGCTCCATTTTTGCACTTTCTCCATAAGTGTCTATGGAGCATTTTTTTTTTCAAAACTAGACCATCTTCCTGCTGCCTAGACCTCTCCTCCAAGAGACCTGAGTGAAGGCTCTGACACAATGGAATATAAATCAAATTATTTTCCAATTATAGGATGAACTATGTCTTCAGTGCTGGGAAAAACCTGCAGATTGATGTTATCCCAGTAGACTCAGCACTAGTCTCCGAGAATAGGCCAATTCAGGTTTGAAAATGTTTCTGGGTTTTCAGGTTCTAAGACAACCTTTGCACTGAAATCATACAGTCTGAAGGGAAAACACACAGGGAGAGTGGCTTGCCAGTTCATCATAGATGAACGTTCAATCCAAAGTGCCCTAACTTGTGATTAACTCTCCACATTGGTTCAGTGGAGACTTGGGCATGCTTCTCGCCCAATTTCTCTCAGGCCAAGTCAGACTGGCAGCCGGAAGGACAGTATTTCATGCTGTACACTCTCTGGAACGGACATAAAGTCCAGTCTCAGATGTCTTCCTCAATCTGGGCCAGGCAGAGCAAGAATGGAATGACTCGCATGCTGGTGAAGACATGTGTCCCTGAACATGACTTTGATCCCTCATAGAGATGCTTAGATTTTTAGGATGCTGATGTTCATCTAGTTTCTGATCTAGGAAGATATTGGCATCACTGAAAGAGAGAGAGGGACCAAGGGAGAGAGAAAGAGAGAGAGGAAAAGTGATGAATACTTTTTTCATCAGGTTGAGTGGGTAATTTTAGAGTCTGTCAATCTTTTTGCTTAACAACCTTCGCTTAAATTAGTTTCTTTGTCATTTCTCTTTCCTTTCCACCTGTCTTAAATATGTGGCAGCCTATCAACCAGAAGAACATAAGCACATACATGTAATGAGCCAATACATATTTTTTCTGTGTGACCACCCAAGTTTTGTCGCCTAGAGATAAATGAGACTTATGCATTCCCACCATAGCCTGCCTCCCACCGCATCACCCTGTCAAAACTGCCCCCAAATAATGTGGCTGATGACTTCCTCATGGCCAAATCTATTCAGCACTTTAGCTTTTACTGTACTTGACCTCTCACTGATATTTTGTATTGCTTTGTTCCGATATTTCTTATGGCATTGATTCCCAGATTTTCAAATTTCAGGGACTAATGTTATTTTTTAATGGCAGAAGTTAATATGGGTTGCCAACTTTAAATTAACCATTAATGACATAACAAAAAAACCTTCTTACCTCCAAAATATCAAAAGAATGGACATTTTGCCATCAAAAAATATAAGAAAGATGTAATCTTGGGAAAAAGGACGGCCTTTTATAGTAAATTAATTTAGCTTTATGAAAAAATGTATTAAATTGCCTACATTTTCTTCATTTCACTACACCTTGTTGGAAATTTCATCACAGATCAGTCCTAGTCTGATCTTACATGATTCTAAAGTCCAATCCTGGCAAGGCTCTCCTTCTCCATCTAGCTCTTGTCTACCTTCTCAGCCATATTTCTCACCACTCACCTTCATGAATCCTGGGCATCAGAATCACTATCAATGAACATTTCTCTCTTCCTCTGGACCTGACTCCTTAATAAGCACAAGAACTGTATCTTTGTCTAGTACCCAGCATATGGTCAATCTTCAAAAAACATTTGTTGACCTTTCAACTCAGTGCTTGAGAGCCAGACAACCTGAGTTTGAATCCCAGCTTCTCCACTTACACACTGTGTTAGCAGACAGAAGTGTCTCAACTTCTCTGGTTTCAATTCCTCATCCGTAAAACAGGAATTAAATGGAGTCAATGTGTTAGTATTTATGCAATGCTTACAACAGTCTTTGGCTCATAGCAACTACTATACAAAGTGATGGTTAAAAAAGCAGAAATGAGTGTAAAACCAAATTACGCAGTCAAAGGCAGCAACCCGAACTGCACTCAGTAATTTTTTCATGGACTATGCCACTGGCCATGGAGAAGGACAGATACAGAAGGTGTCTGAATGAGTCAGTACAAATACATCTCAGATGCTGGAAGAACAGCTCAAAGCCACACTGAAAAGATGATGACATTGTTGTCATAAGCTAGAGTCATAAGTGACCTCAGAAATCTCTTTAACAGCAACCCTGACTGCTGGCCATCTTGCCTTTGTTTGAATGCCCCCAGGAAAAGGAGATCATCCCCAGAAGGATAGCTCATTCTACTGATAGGGGGACCATACAGGAGGAAAAAATGCAAAGGGCACAAGGGGAATTGTAGAGAGGGGCATCATACAGAGGAGCACCACAGACAGGGACACTATAGAGAGGGTCGGTATTATAAAAAATAATAATAGAGAGGGATATCAAAGAGGGGTGTCAGAGAGGAGTACATCATAGACAGGAACGTCATAGAAAAAAGCATTTTAAAGGGTGGCTTCCAAACAAGCCCACAATGAGCTACCACTTCACACCCAATGGCATGGCTACTATCAAACACACACACACACACACACACACACACAGAGAAAACAACAAGCGTTGGTGAGGACATGGAGAAATTGGAACTCTATGCATTGATGGTGGGAATATAAAATTGTACAGCCACTGTGGAAAACAGTTTTGTGGTTCTTCAAAATTTAAATATAAAATTACCAGATAATCCAGCAATTCCACTCCTAGGTATACACCCAAAAGAATAGAAAGCAGGGAGCAGGGACTCAAACATACACTTGTACACCAGTGTTCACAGCAGCATTATTCACAATAGCCAAAAAGTGAAAGCAACCCAAGTGTCCATTGACATATAAATGGATAAATAAAATGTGATATACCCATACAATGGAATTTTATTCAGGACCTTTAAAAGAAATGAAAGTCTGACACATGCTACAACATGCTATAAAACTTGAAGACATTATGCTAAGTGAAAGAAGCCAGGCAGAAAAGGACAAATACTGTACGATTCCACTTACAAAAGGTCTCTAGAATAGGCAAATTCATAGAGATAAAAAGTAGAACAGAGATTACCAGGAGCTGGGGGAAGGAAGAGTGGGAAGTTCTTGTCTAATGAACACAGTTTCTGTTTGGGATGACGAGAAACTTCCAGAAGTACCTAATGATGGTTATACAACATTGTGAATGTACTTAATGTCATTGAATTGTACACTTTAAAAGGGCTAAATGGTAAATTTTACGTTATGAATATTTTACCACAACTTTAAAAATACTTAAAAAAAAGAGTGGCTTCTCAGAGAGGAGCTTCTTTTTTATTTTATTTTATTTTATTTTTATTATTTTTTTATTATTATACTTTAAGTTCTAGGGTACATGTGCACAACGTGCAGGTTTGTTCCATATGTATACATGTGCCATGTTGGTGTGCTGCACCCATTAACATTATATTAGGTATATCTCCTAATGCTATCCCTCCCCCCTCCCCCTACCCCACAACAGGCCCCAGTGTGTGATGTTCCCCTTCCTGTGTCCAAGTGTTCTCATTGTTCAGTTCCCACCTATGAGTGAATGGTGTTTGGTTTTCTGTCCTTGCGACAGTTTGCTCAGAAGGATGGTCTCCAGCTTCATCCATGTCCCTACAAAGGACATGAACTCATCCTTTTTTATGGCTGCATAGTATTCCATGGTGTGTATGTGCCACATTTTCTTAATCCAGTCTATCGTTGATGGACATTTGGGTTGGTTCCAAGTCTTTGCTATTGTGAATAGTGCCGCAATAAACATATGTGTGCATGTGTCTTTATAGCAGCATGATTTATAATCCTTTGGGTATATACCCAGTAATGGGATGGCTGGGTCAAATGGTATTTCTAGCCCTAGGTCCTTGAGGAATCGCCACACTGTCTTCCACAATGGTTGAACTAGTTTACAGTCCCACCAACAGTGTAAAAGTGTTCCTATTTCTCCACATCCTCTCTAGCACCTGTTGTTTCCTGACTTTTGAATGATCACCATTCTAACTGGTGTGAGATGGTATCTCATTGTGGTTTTGATTTGCATTTCTCTGATGGCCAGTGATGATGAGCATTTTTTCATGTGTCTTTTGGCTGCATAAATGTCTTCTTTTGAGAAGTGTCTGTTCATATCCATCGCCCACTTTTTGATGGGGTTGTTTGTTTTTTTCTTGTAAGTTTGTTTGAGTTCGTTGTAGATTCTGGATATTAGCCCTTTGTCAGATGAGTAGATTGCAAAATTTTTCCCCCATTCTGTAGGTTGCCTGTTCACTCTGATGATAGTTTCTTTTGCTGTGCGGAAGCTCTTTAGTTTAATTAGATCCCATTTGTCAATTTTGGCTTTTGTTGCCATTGCTTTTGGTGTTTTAGACATGAAGTCCTTGCCCATGCCTATGTCCTGAATAGTATTGCCTAGGTTTTCTTCTAGGGTTTTTATGGTTTTAGGTCTTACATTTAAGTCTTTAATCCATCTTGAATTAATTTTTGTATAAGGTGTAAGGAAGGGATCCAGTTTCAGCTTTCTACATATGGCTAGCCAGTTTTCCCAGCACCGTTTATTAAATAGGGAATCCTTTCCCCATTGCTTGTTTTTGTCAGTCAGAGTGGAGCTTCTTAAAGCCAGCCTCTTAGAGGATGGTTTCCTAGAAATAGATATAATGAAAAGGAGCACCATAGGGAGGTGTACCATAGGGAGGTGTACCATAGAGAGGGGTCCATAGAGAGGAGCACCATAGAGAGAGGCACCAGAGAGAGAAGCTCCATAGAGAGGGGTTGCCATAGAAAGGAGTGCCATAATGAAGAGCACCACAGAGAGGGGTGCTAGAGAGACAAGTGTCATAGAGAGGGACAGCATAGATAGAGTCATCACAGATTAAATGCATCATCGGCTCATCACAGATAAGGGCATCGTACAAAGGGACATCATAGAGGACCATTACAGAGAGGGACATCATAGGAGGAGATTCAATGGTTATCAGATATCATTTAATCACAGAGAAGGACAGCATAGGATCATTCTAGAGAAGTCTATCAGACAAGGACATCTTAGAGGCTTTCACCTCAGCCTCTCCTGTCTGGACATGAGATTGTGAGCTCCCTGAGAACAGAAATGGGTCTTATTCATCTTTGTATTTCCAACATCTGACACATGTGTTGGCACCTGACAGGAACCCAATCTTGTTTGTGGAGTGAATGCGTGTATAAGCATTTCTTCTACATGCAGTCTTTGAAGAATGTAGAACCTGTTACCCCTTTCTTCTGTTCTGCAGACTGAAGTAGCCTAGTTCTTGTTAAAGTGTCCAATGTGCTGAATGTTTCTGGCCTCCCCTATCCTAGGAGACCTGGATACCCACTGGTAGTAGGCAGAAGTTCTAGGATGTGCCTCCAAAAATGTTCCACCTGAATCCCTGGAACCTTTGAATGTTATGAGGTAGTACTCCCATGATTATGTTAAGGTATACAGCACAGTTGACCTTAAAATAGGGAGATTATCTGGGTAGACACCATCTGGTCTCATGAGCCCATAAAAGCAGAGAACATTTTCTGGCTGATGGCAGAAGGGGAAGTCATAGAGATTCAAAGTGTGAGAAAGATTTGATGTACCATTTCTGGCTTTGAAAATGGAAGAGGTCATGTGCAAGGATGGAAAAGCAGCCTGTAGGAGCTGAGCAACCCTCCACAAACAGAAGCAAGGAAATGAAGACCTCAGTCCTACAACTCAAGGAGCTAAATTCAGTCAACAACCTGAGTGATCTTGGAAGTGGATTCTTTCCCAGAGCCTCCAGGTAAGAGCCCAGGATGGCCAATATTTTAATTTCAGCCTTATGAAACCCTCGGCATAGAACCCAGTTGAGCCTATCCAGACTTCAAGCCTACAGAACTGTGAGCTAATAGAAAGTGTTTTATTTTGCTAAATTTGTTGTAATTTGTTGTGCAGCAACAGAAAACCAATATGCTATTTGTCATTGTCTTTATTTAAGAGTTCCCAGAACTAATTTTTTTTTTTTGAAACAGAGCCTTGCTCTGTCACCCAGGCTGGAGTGCAATGGCATGATCTCCACTCACTGCAACCTCCGCCTCCCAAGTTCAAGCAATTCTCCTGCCTCAGCCTCCCGAGTAGCTGGGATTACAGGTGCCTGCCACCACGCCCAGCTAATTTTTTGTATTTTTAATAGAGACGGGGTTTCACCATGTTGGCCAGGTTAGTCTTGAACTCCTGACCTCAGGTGATCCACTCACCTTGGCCTCCAAAAGTGCTGGGATTACAGGCGTGAGCTACTGCACCCAGCCTTCAGAACTAATGTTTTAAATGAGTATTCTAATTAAATGTTTTTTTTAATTCTGAATAGGAAAATAATTCCCTCCCCATCTTCCCTTTAATTTGAGGAAATTTTACTTTCTTATTTTAGCTCATTAGTTGCCATTCAATTAGTTGAAAGGAATATTTGCAAATGAACTGTAGTAATGTTCGTAGTTACCAGAAAGGAGCAGTTGTTTATATGTTTCTAAATTGTTTCATACAATAATATCTGACTGATAATGTGAAAAACTTAAGTGCCCTGATAGAAACACATTTGGACAACTGGAGCTGTATAACTCTAGATTTATAGATCTTTCTAGTTGAGAAGAGTGTAACTTATTCATAAATTTAAAATATAGTAACATCAGAAACATCTGGTTTTCATTCCAAAATGTAAAGAGCATGTCAGTCATCAATCCCGCCCTCTTAACAAGAAAAAGGCAGAACAAACTGAAAACCAATGACTTGTCTTAGATCCTTCAGAGAATTGAGGTCATAGTACAAACTGCCACCCCAGAAACTGCACAGGCAAGCAAATCCAGAGAATATAGATCAGTTTACCTGAAGCAGAAGCCATTGGGCCTAATAGCAGTAGGAACACTTAAATAGTAACTTCGATGAATTTCTGGTCACTAAGTATGGACTAGCTTTAGTAAGTAGTTAAAAACTACTGCTGAAACTGGATCGCTTCCTTACACCTTATACAAAAATTAATTCAAGATGGATTAAAGACTTAAACGATAGACCTAAAACCATAAAAACCCTAGAAGAAAACCTAGGCATTACCATTCAGGACATAGGCATGGGCAAGGACTTCATGTCTAAAACACCAAAAGCAATGGCAACAAAAGCCAAAATTGACAAATGGGATCTAATTAAACTAAAGAGCTTCTGCACAGCAAAAGAAACTACCATCAGAGTGAACAGGCAACCTACAAAATGGGAGAAAATTTTCGCAACCTACTCATCTGACAAAGGGCTAATATCCAGAATCTACAATGAACTCAAAACAAATTTACAAGAAAAAAACAAACAACCCCATCAAAAAGTGGGTGAAGGACATGAACAGACACTTGTCAAAAGAAGACATTTATGCAGCCAAAAAACACATGAAAAAATGCTCACCATCACTGGCCATCAGAGAAATGCAAATCAAAACCACAATGAGATACCATCTCACACCAGTTACAATGGCAATCATTAAAAAGTCAGGAAACAACAGGTGCTGGAGAGGATGTGGAGAAATAGGAACACTTTTACACTGTTGGTGGGACTGTAAACTAGTTCAACCATTGTGGAAGTCAGTGTGGCGATTCCTCAGGGATCTAGAACTAGAAATACCATTTGACCCAGCCCTCCCATTACTGGGTATATACCCAAAGGACTATAAATCATGCTGCTATAAAGACACATGCACACATATGTTTATTGCGGCACTATTCCCAATAGCAAAGACTTGGAACCAACCCAGATGTCCAACAATGATAGACTGGATTAAGAAAATGTGGCACATATACACCATGGAATACTATGCAGCCATAAAAAAGGATGAGTTCATGTCCTTTATAGGGACATGGATGAAATTGGAAATCATCATTCTCAGTAAACTATCGCAAGAACAAAAAACCAAACACCGCATATTCTCACTCATAGGTGGGAATTGAACAATGAGAACACATGGACACAGGAAGGGGAACATCACACTCTGGGGACTGTTGTGGGGTGGGGGGAGGGGGGAGCGATAGCATTAGGAGATATACCTAATGCTAAATGACAAGTTAGTGGGTGCAGCGCACCAGCATGGCACATGTATACATATGTAACTAACCAGCACATTGTGCACATGTACCCTAAAACTTAAAGTATAATAATAATAATAAAATTAACAACAACAACAACAAAAAAAAACTACTGGGAGCCTAATTTCAGTGGGATCCCAACATTTTCATGGGTTTTACCTCTAGGATTCCCCCCACAAGGTTCTCATGGTGAAGATTAGAAAAAATTTACTTAGTGCTTGGCCAGAGCAAGAAGGAAAAGTAACACTTTGGACATATGAAAGTAACCATTTTGAAATAAGCCCAGAGCATTGTTTACAAAAGAAAGAATCAGTAACAAGGGAAAAGAATTTACCAGAGCCTTATCTGACTTGGTAGAAGAAAAATTACCTTATTCCAGCCCTCTGTAGCTTTCCTGTCTCACCTAAGAGGAAAAATAAAAGCTGAGAGTCACTTGTGAAGGTCACAGCCCAGGGGCACAAGCATAATAAAAGATTAAGACCCAATCATAGGATTATAGAATGCTTCCCCTCCCCCTACATCCTATAACCACATCAACAGTGCTCCTGTATAATGACAGTGAATTACAAGCAAAATAACGGAAATACTCAAACTCGATTTAAGAAGGAGTTTCTAGGGAAACGTAAAGATACAATGGGTGAGGGAGGACAAAGATAATTGAGGAAATCTAAGCCTATGACACCTACAGCTACAGCAAACAGTAAACATGCATAACCCCTAGCCAGATCAACATAAAACTTCACACTAAAGGTTTATTTATGTACCTCAGTTTCTATTACCCAATACATCATGCCCAGCTTTCAACAAAAAAATTACAAGGCATTCTAAAAGGCAAGAAAAACTACAATCTGAAGAGATAAAGCAAGCATTAGAACCAGATTCAGATATGGTAGACATTTTTGAAATTATCAGACTGAGAATTTAAACTAACTATGATTAATATGCTAAAGGTTCTGTTAGAAAAAAATAGACAATGTGCAAGAACAGATGGATAATGTAAACAGAGAAATGGATATTCTAAGAAAGAATCAAAAGGAAATGCTATTATAGAAGCCACAAACACTGTAACAGAAATGAAGAATGTCTTTGATGGGTTCATCCACAGACTGTACATGGCCAAGAAAAGAATCTGTGAGGTGAAAGACATGCCAATAGAAACTTCCCAAATGGAAATGCAAACCAAAAAAAGAGAATTAAAAAAAGGAACAGAATATTGAAGAACAGTGAGACCATTACAAACACAAAAGGTATAACATACACATAATGGGAATACTAGAAGAAGAATAAAGAAGGGAGTAGAAAAAAATACTTGAATATTTGAATATTTGAAATAATAATGACTGAGAATTTTCCAAAACTAATAACAGGAACCAAACCACAAATCCAGGAAGTTCCGAGAACATGAAGCAGAATAAATACCCAGAGTCTACACCTAGCCATATCATATTCAAACTACAGAAAACTAAAGACAATACCAAAATCTTGAAAATATAGTAACAGCTGGCCGGGCATGGTGGCTCACGCCTGTAATCCCAGCACTTTGGGAGGCCGAAGCGGGCAGATCACAAGGTCAGGAGTTCAACACCAGCCTGACCAACATGATGAAACCCCGTCTCTACTAAAAATACAAAAATTAGCCGGGCGTGGTGGTGCATGCCGGAAATCCCAGCTACTTGGGAGGCTGAGGCAGGAGAATCGCTTGAACCTGGGAGGTGGAGGTTGCAGTGAGCTGAGATCAGGCCTCTGCACTCCAGCCTGGGCGACAGATCAAGACTCTGTCTCAAAAAAAAAAAAAAAAAAGAAAATATAGTAACAGCTATTTATTATGTATGAAGCATAATATAAGCATCTTACTTATGTCACTTAATTTATGTATAAATCTCTCTCTCAAGAACTTTATATTTATTTATATTTTTGCTTTCTAAAATATCTCTATGGTTGTTTTATTTTTATTTTTTATTTTTATAATTTCAACTTTTAGATTCAGGGAGTATGTGTGCAGGTTCGTTGCATGGGTTTATTGTGTGACACTGAGATTTGGGGTACAAATGATCCCATCATTCAGATAGTGAGCATAGTATCCAGCAGGGATATTTTCAGCCCTTGCCCCCATCCCTCTCTCTCCCCTATAATAGTACCCGGTGTCTATTGTTCCCATATTTATGTATATGTGAACCCAATGTTTAGCTCCCATTTATAAGTGAGAACATGTGGTATTTGGTTTTCTGTTCCTATGTTAATTGACTTAGGGTGATGGCCTCCAGCTGCATCCATGTTGCTGCAAAGGACATAATTCCATTCTTTTTATGGCTGCATAGTATTTCATGGTGTAAATGTACCACATTTTCTTTATCCAGTCCACCATTGATAGGCACCTAGGTTTATACTATGTCTTTGCTATTGTGAATAATGTTGTAATGAACATACATATCCACGTGTCTTTTTTGTAGGATGGTTTCCTTTCCCTGGGATATATAACCAGTAATGGGATTGCTGGGTCAAATGGTAGTTCTCTGTTAAATACTTTGAAAAATCTCTAAACTGCTTTCCACAGTGGCTGAACTAATTTACACTCCCAACAACAATCAACAGTTTATAAACATCCCCTTTTCTCTGCAGCCTTGCCAGTATCTGTTGTTTTTTGACTTTTTAATAATAGCCATTCTGACTGGTGTGAGATGATATCTTATTGTGGTTTTGATTTGCATTTCTCTGATGGAGCATTTTTTTCACGTTTGTTGGCCGCTTGTATGTCTCTTTTCAGAAGTGTCTGTTCATGTCCTTTGTCCATTTTTTGATGGGTTATTTGTTTTTTTACATGTTCAGTTGTTTAAGTTCCTTATGGATTCTGGATATTAGGCCTTTGTCAGATGCATAGTTTGTGAATATTTTCTCCAATTTTGTAAGTTTGTTTACTCGGTTGATAGTTTTTGTTTGTTTGTTTTTGTTTTGTTTTTAGTTTTTTATTTTTTGAGATGGAGTCTTGCTCTTTCGCCAGGCTGGAGTGCAATGGCGTGATCTCGGCTCACTGTCACCTCCATCTCCCAGGTTCAAGCAATTTCCCTGCCTCAGCCTCCCAAGTAGCTGGGACTACAGGCGTGCACCACCATGCCTGGCTAATTTTTTGTGTTTTAGTAGAGATGGGGTTTCACCATGTTGGCCAGGATGGTCTCAATCTCCTGACCTTGTGATCTGAAACACCTCAGCCTCCCAAAGTGCTGGGATTACAAGCATGAGCCACCGTGCTGGCCTCGGTTGATAGTTTCTTTTGCTGTACAGAAGCTCTTTAGTTTAATTAAGTCCCACTTGTCAATTTTTGTTTTTGTTGCAATTGCTTTTGAAGACTTAGCCATAAATTATTTGCCAAAGCTGATGTCAGAAAGGGTATTTCCTACGTTTTCTTATATAATTTGTAGAGTTTGAGGTCTTACATTTAAATCTTTATTCCATCTTGAGTTAATTTTTGTGTATGATGAAAGGTGGGGGTCCAGTTTCATTCTTTTGCATATGGCTAGCCAGCTATCCCAGCACCATTTATTGACTATGGAGTCCTTTTCCCATTTTTTTCATTTTTGAAGGACATTATATTTATCCCCATTTATAGATTATAAAACAGAGAGTCAGGAAGGTTAAGGCTACCTGGTGAGTAAGTGAATTGACCAGAATTCCCAAACTCAGGGCTACTTAACCCCAAAGGCTGCATTGTGATTACTGAGAAATAGTGCTGATGAGACCTCACTTAGTATAGTGAATAAGTTATGGACCTTGGAACAGAAAGTTATAAATCTCTGTATTTTGTTTATGAAGTTTAAAGCTGTGATTTCTATTAGTATGGAAATTGTCAAACAGTGTCATTTCTATCTAATATTTATATAATGAAATTGATATTGAACACAAAGGTCAATCCGTAAATGAAGAAAGAAATAAAATCAAACAAATAGAAGTATTTTTTTTTACTTCCACATAAGCTTTGACTACTTTTTAAAGCCAAGGGAAATAACATAATTTCTTGTACTACTAATGTAATTGGGCCAGAATTTTTTTTTTTTGAATCTGAGTCCTGACTATCCATTCATCAAAAAATAAAAGCTCTGTAAAAATAGAAACTTTCTAACTCAAAGAACTATTCCTGATGATGTAGCTGAGTCAAATAGAGCTCCCCTAACCAGCCAGAATACCAAAATGGTTCCTGAGGGAATAACTCAGTCATCTTCTAGTTTTACATCTCTATTTAGGCTGGAATTCTCTCTAACCCCAGCCTGGCTAAATCAAATTATTTCTAAAACTCCTGTCACTCAGTATGTACTTGCTCTTTGTTCATTTATATTAATTTATTATATCTACATATTAGCTCACTGTTTCTCTGCCTGGTGGTTGCACTCTCTCTGTTTTATGCATCTAACACAGAAATTAGCAAAGGAATTAGGCCCAGGGAACAGTGTGTTCACGTGTATTGTTTTTAGCCAATTTTCTACGTATAATGTAGTAGGAGAGTTGAGGTATCTGTCACCTCAAAAACTAGCATCATTATCTTCCATGGGTCTCACACTGGTGGCTACATGTGGCAAGCCAATTGCCTTTTTGTGGGGTCCTTTTATTAGTTGTCTACTGCTGCAAAATGAATTGTCCCAGAACTTAGAGGCTTAAAATATCACACATTTATTATCTCTCAGGTTTTGTGGGTAAGGAATCTGGTCACAGCTTAACTGCATCTTCTGATCAGGGTCTCACTAGGCTGTGATCCGGATATCCACTAAACCTGGGATCTCATCTGGAGACCTGACTGGGGAATAACGTGCTTACGAGCTTACTCATGTAATTGTTGGCAGACTCAGTTCATTGGGGGCTGTTGGGCTGAGGGCTCTATTTCCTCACTGACTGTTGCCCAGAGACCACCCTCAATTCCTTGCCATGTGGGCCTCTCCAACATGCCAGCTTGCTTTATCACAGCCAGCTAGGGTGAGAGTCTGCTAGTAAGATGAATGTCACAATGTCTTTTGATGAATTATGGAAATAAATTCCCCTCAATGTTGCCATGTCCTATAAGTTAGAAGCAAGTTACTTAAGGGGAGGGAAATACCAAGTTGTGAATACTAGGGAGGCAGGGACCATTTGGTGCCATCTTGGAGATATCTACCACAGCATTTATAGTGGTCTGAAGGGTAGTAGAATTAGGGAATTTTGCGTCTTGTTAATAAAAAAAAAAAAGACTAGGAAATCAAAAATATTTCTAGAGCCAGAAATGAGTTTAAATCCCTGCTTGGCTACTTCTAATAAGTCTAGTTTTGGGTAAGTTTCTTGACTTCTTTAGGTCTCCTTTGGGAAATTTCTTCTTTGGGAAATATGGGAATAAAAATATTGGCTTTGCCTAGCAGTTGTAAGTATATAGGAAAAGTACCTGTTGGTCTCCCACATAGTGGGTGTGAGTGTCTACTGCATGTTAATATCCCTTCACCTCCCTTAAGGCTACATTGAGATCAGCCTGTTAGGTATCTCAACCTTGCCATAAATCTCCTGGAAGTTCTAGAAATATGTTAAGTTGTCATGATTTTTGTAATATCACACCAGAACCACACATTGATTAGCCCAGCATTCATTACATGATTCATGGTTTCCAATCATGATATTTTCATAAAATAAACCAAAGGACTCGGATCTGGCCTTATAGTGTCATAAGATTTTTCTGCTATCCTCATGCCATGGCCTATGTGCACAAATAGAAATCTAAGTTGCCTTCCAACTCTAAAGTATTTGTTGTCCCTCATTACATTCTGTGTACTACACAGTAATTGATTACTTTGTCTAAACTCAGTACTACTTCCTTTAAAACAATTTTTGAGGACCATTATGTGATTAAAAGACATTCTAGCCTGCTTGTCAATTATTTGCTTGAGGTGAAAAAAACGGAAAAAGGACAAGTGAAATTCATATTTGAGCTGTCTGCAGAAACCAAAGTAGCATCAGCCACGTACCAGTAATATTAGCACTGGTGGCCTGCCAGGTGAGGGGGGATGAAAAAGGTTGTGCCTGAAATGAGTGTTGATCTGATGCCCTCAACTCCATGCTGCTTTCTAATATTAGACATTTTAGAAGGTTGATTATAACACCAATAAGAACTAGACATAATAAGAATTTACTCTATACATAAAAATTCCAATGACAGTCAACATGAAGAAGAAAAAAAATTCACCCACAAATACCATCATGGTGACAAAGAATCAAAGATCCATCTTCTCTTACCCCAATATGTGGTGTGTCTTCTATTTGGCCCCAGGATAGACTGAGAAACACAAAAATGGATAGCTGTCATCTAATAAATGCCTGTTAAATGATGGTGCTTACAAAAGACAGTCTCTAAAATTCCTACAACAACCATACAATACAGACGCTCTTGCTTTCTTTTTCTCCTTCCTTCCCTTCTTTTCTTTCCTACTTTCTCTTCCCTTCTCTTCTCCTCCCACTCCCTCTCCTTAGAAATATAAATAAGGGGACTGATGAGCTCAGAGTGGGTAAAGATGTCCATTGCCACACAGCTGGCTAGTGACTTCACAGCCCAGAATTTTTCTTCTTCATCTTTCCGACTTGAAGTAGAAATTCATGGAAAAATAAATTTAATAACAGAAGCAAAATGGGGTGAGAGATCAAAGTGCTAAATTGCTGTCACAAAACTGGGTAGAGACTTGAATCAATAACAGTTAAAGGATTCTGATGAGACATTTCATAGGATATAAAGCAAACTAGGAGAGAGGAGGGGAGCATCAATACATGCCAGACGCAGTTGCCAGACCCTTAGGCAATCCAAAATAATGAGCAACATATCTGCTTTTGATAGGCTCCCAGTCACGTGGACAAGGCAGAGTAGTCAAAAGATGTTTTAATGCAATGTGACAAGTACTATAGCAAAGATATGAACCTAGTGAGGAACAGAGCAGAGAGAGGAATCCTGCAGGGACACATTTTGGGGAGTGGAGCTTTGGAGAATAATTGCTCTGAAAAGAGAACATGAGAAACCCTACAGGTCACAGACACAGTTTGCAAGGCCCCATCAGCAATGCCCCACTGCAAATGCAGCAACCTGCCATGCCCGCTTTGGTCTAAGCATTGATAACAAAATGGAATAACTGTTTCAGAACAGCAGCAGCTGAGTTTGCAGCTCTGTGACTGTACTTGAAGTCACTTTCAAAGCCAGCCCCCTACTCAATGCCTGCTCTCTGTTCATTTAAATAACAGAGATAATAAAGAACAGCTGATGGGCAAAGTCTGGAGAAGAAAACAGGATTGACTGGACTGCACTGGGGAGATTTTTAAGGAGTAACAATGCATCGAACGTGGGTTTTTGCATGTTTGCTTGTCTCATGGAGACAGCTTGTTACCAACTATATTTGGTAACAAGCACTACTGTTGACTCATGATTTCCTTAATGCCTTAGTATCTATCATGTATATGTTTACTTTGACATCAGGGCATGGAAAGTTCTATTCAACAATTCCTGGGTCTAATTTCAGTAGTTCCATTCTCTGTGACCTCACAATGGGAGCCAGCAGCCTTCCATCTTGTGATGGTGACTTGCTCTTCTAGGTGGAGTGGGAGGAGCACCGACTATGTGCTGGGACAGGGCTGGCTTCAAGGTCTGCTTCAGCCCCTTGCTGGCTGCATGACTCCGGCAAATCACTTACTGGCATTTGTTGTAATGCACATACTGGCATTCATTGTAGAATTTCTATTCTGGTGGTGATAGTCAATTGGTTCTTTATGCAAACGGAGGTGATATCAACACTGAAAATTCTGAGTGAATTGTTAAACTCTGGTGAATTGCTCTGTGAGTGGTTAGGCAAAATTGAAGAGGACTGCTCTGCTGGACAGGCCCAATTTATTAGGCCCCGCTCTAAATATGACTTTTATCCCCATACTTTTTAAATAATTAGCTTTTGAACTATTTTACATCTGAAAATAAAAGACAGAATATGGTAAATATCTGGCTTTCCCAGATATTCAATATGTAGTACTTTGAATGGATTAATTTATATTAGGTCACTTTAAAATCAGCACCCAAATTTTTGCAAAAAAAATATGTTGATAGATGTATCTTTGTTTAAATGGGGGCCCAGGGTCAGGGGGTAGAGACAACACCACACTTTATTCAAGAAGTTTTCAAATCATTAATCTTCCTGACTTATAACTATAAGATACTCATTATTTATGATCAATTATTTTAGAAATCACATGAAAGTTATTTGGAAGCATTTAGACACCTTCTCCTAAACTAAGTTCGTAATGTCAACCTGCCCCCCAAGCAATTGTTGAATTCATTGATGGGAGATATATAGAAAAGAAGTGTGTTCAAATTGTCATTAATAAAACCTCAAAAGGCCCCTTCAAGCATAGAAAGGGGAACCCAGACTTTCCACACACTCCACCCTCCACACTTGTGGTGAACCATATTGTTCTTAGAGAAGAATGCTAGGTACGCACCTACCATCTCGGATGAAGCATATTCTTTCTGGCCAATCACCCTGAACAAGGCCTAGTTTGGGTTTTATTAATAAGAAAGGCAAGATATTAAATAGATCACAAGGTGCAAGCTACTAGTAGAGGGTATAAAGCAAAATCACAAATCAGATTGATGGACTGTGGTGACTGTTTTTCTCTTTGGCCCAAACAAAAATGCGGGGCCTACACAAAGCACTTTATTAACCTATCAAAAAAAAAATCATTAAAAAAAAAACTGAAAAAAAAAAACTGAATTTTCTTCTTTCTGTAAACAGCCCTTAAAAAAATTATGCCATTCATGTCAAATACGTATCTGGTGTAAAATCAATAACCGTAAAATACCATACAAGAAAATTTTGAAAGCAAACAAAATCACATTATACTGTGACTATGCCATACAAGTGTGTCACATTGGCCAGCTTCCTGTACAATGTCAAAAATCCATGCACAATTGTTGACAGCTTTTAAAATGCACTTTTTCAATTAGAATAAAATTATTCCTGGGCAAATAATAAAGTTTATGAAGAACAAACTTTTTCTAAATCCATGTCAGCTTTACACAAGAAGGCTGATGAAGATTTATGGCAGATTTCTTGCTTATTCTTTCTTCCCACCAAGTGCCTCTTGGTGAGCAAACTTACAGCCTCATTCTTCCATGGGAAAAACAGTGTATAGAGATTTGGTTGCTGGCCTGTACCAAGTAAAGGCAGATAAGAAGTTTTATGGGTCACGAGATTTAGACTTGGAGGATTTGCTCTTGGATTATAACCAAGGCAAGGGAATGAGGCAGTTGGAACACATTTTTTTAGGTTGTCTTTATAGATTGTTTGCTGATTAATGGCCTTTTCAGAGTTGTAAAATCTTCTAAGGCCAATGCCAGGGCTAGTTCTGCTCTTGCTTTTGCTATTCTAAATACATTGTCATTAAAGTTAGTTATTTTAGCAAAAGGCAGAGACAAACGACTTGTTTTTTCATTGGTTTCCAACTAAAACCAGCTCTCTTCTTTCTCTTTAAAGAACTCTTCATACAAATATTATGATCTTTAAATGTCTGGTTTGAAACCAGTTTTAAGATTGCTCCACCAACTGAAAATAATGCCGAGTCTCAGAGGCAATTATTTGTAGGCCCTGGTTGTTTTTTAAAGAAGTGTAATCTTGGCATGCAATGCTGGATGAAAGCATAAAATTCTATGATGAATGTCAGGGAGTCGTCCTATAAGAGCAATCCTGGCCTTGTGGCATTTTAGCAAGACACTGAGCAACATCCACCACTCAAACACAGCAACAAATGCTAAAAGGACAATAAGTGTCCATTCTGGGTTGACAAGTTTATAGTGTCCAAGAAATAAAACGTGGCAGAATATGTTGAAATACAAAAATAATTAGAGTATAACCTGATCTTTTTTCTTAGCTTTTCATATCACAATGTTTTGAACAGTGGTTTTCAACCTTGAGGTGGTTTTTCTTTCCAAGGGACATTTTGCAATGTCTGCAGGCATTTTTGAATGTCACATTTTGGGGGGAGAAGGTGCGATGCTCCTGGCATCCAGTGTGGGTGGAGGCCAGGGATAATACTGCTCAACATCCTACAATGCACAGGACAGCCCAGACACAGAGAATTATCTGATCCAATATGAGAATAGTGCCTAGGCTGAGAAATCCTGCTCTGGAGTCATCACTGAGTCCACAGAAAGTACTAATTATGGGGAGATGGGGTGTGGATATGTTTTCATTGGCTCAGTATATGTGTAAATTAAGAAAAGGTCAGAAGCTTGACATTTTTCACCTTCCAGTCTCTTAATGGATCAACTGTTATTTTAGAGATTAAAAAGGAAAAAAAACACCCTAGGTAAGTAATGAATTTATAATGCAGTCATGTCCTTTCTTGTTCCTTGATCTGCTTCCAAAGAGAAAAGAAAGGAAATCGTCCACAAACTGAAGTTAACACTTAATTTTGTGCTTCGGTTAATTAAACAGAAAAAGAATGGCAGTCACCATTTAGGGAAGGTAGTATCCATGTCTTAATTATAGATTTCCTCAAAATGCATAGTGCTCTGGGCAGTATTGGTTGCTCTGAGGTGCTGGTGCAAACTGTCATCACACTTTGTGATTTATAGGGTGTGTCACCTTCAGTCACTCAGTTCAAGTTCCTTAGCTCTGTGCTTGCTGACTGGTTTCTATGTGATGGTTGATCTTGTGTTGTGAGCAGCTGGTTTCTCTTAAATGCCTGTGTCTATGTTTGCTACATTTCTATGACAATTTGTTCACACCAATATAATTATGACTGCATTAGCACTTGCCCTGTAAACCACATGATTCAGGGGTTTATGAGTAGGTAATAAAAACTCACTTCAGGCTGAAACTTGTCTCAGACATGGAACCTTGGGGGTGGGGACAGTTGTAAATGGTCGGTATGGGTTAGGGCCTTCTGAAGTTTGTGGTCATTAGTCTCATTTATTGTTACCCTTCTACAGAGCCAAGACTATGTGCTGTGGGATTTATATCTTTCATCATTTAGCAAAACACAGGACCTTTGCCAAGTTTCATCAGCATTCATTAATTCTTTCAACAAATATTTGACTGCCTATAATGGGCCAGGGGCAGGTGAACAGCCCAGAGTTCATGTTCTCATACAGCTTCTATTCTAGTGGACAGAGAAGTGGCAGGGAAGGAGGGAGCAAGAGAAGGAGAAAGGGAGCAAGGCAAGAAGGGGAGGAGGAAAGAAGAGAAGAGGAAGGGAGGATGAGATGGAAGGAAGAATATCAGATGGTCAGAGCTTTACAAAGGATTAAAATAGAGTGAATTGTGGCTACTTTAGAACAGTAGACAAGGACAGTCTCTGTGGAGGTGACCTGAATGACAAGTCAGCCATGTGAAGGGCATGCCAGGCAGAGGCATGAGCTAGGATGCTCCTCCAAGGCTTGATGGACAGGAAGGCCCATAGGCTGGTGCAGAAAGGGCAAGGGCAAGATATGGCCCATGTGATAGCCAATGGAGCTGGGGCCTCTAAGCCCTTCTAAACAGGGGTTAGGAGCTTGGTTTTTTAAGGAGGGGAAGGGCATGGGCTGATTTCAGTTTTAAATAGATCTCTCTGGCAAATGTGGGCAGGAGAGGGAGCAGGGAGACCAGTTGGGAGGCTATGGCTGAAATCGGGATGGCGACATTGTGAACTTGCTTGCAGGGCCTCATTTGCAATGTCCTTTCAGGGAACAGAAAACAGCTGAGGAATGTCCAAGGAGTGAGGTGCAGGCTGATATCCTCCTCCTGCTAGAAGCACCATCCACGTGAGATCGCTGAGATCAGAAGGGATGCATGGCCTTTGCCAATCAGTTTGCTCATCTGTAAAATGGGCTTTATAATGCATAATCTGCAGAACTGTGGCAAGGATCAGCAATGTATGAAAAGCTCCTAGTCCACACCCAGCAATAATCATTTGATGTCCAAGCAAATCTGTTGTTAACTCATATAAGCAGATCAGGTGTCCATGACTACTTTCCACAGATGTGGGAAGGCAAAATATTACCTTTTAATTGCTCTCAAGACATAATAGAACCCATTTTGTATTTGAATTGATGTATATGGAGCTATTGCAGTTACTGAAATAATTTATTTTTCAGCTGCTCTTCAGTTTCCAAATCTTCTTAGCTCCTATTTCTCTCTTGCTTCCCACATTTGTAGGACTTTTAATATGCACTGCTTCAAACTGCCTTCCAGAAAGATAGTGCCAAATCGTATGAGAATGTCCTACTCCTTTTTTTAATTGAGATATAACTCACATACCATAAATTCATCCTTTCAAAGTGTACAATTCAGTGGTTGTCTAGTATATTCACAGAGTTCTGCAACTATCACCACTAATTAATTCAGAACATTTTCATCACCCTATAAAGAAATTCTGTGCCCATCAGCAATCACTCCCCACTTCCCCGTCCCTAGCCCCTGGCAACCACTAAGCTGCTTTTTGTCTCTATGGATTTGCCTCTTCTGGACATTTCATATAGATGGAATCATACAATATGTGGCTTTTTCCATCTGGCTTCTTCCATTTAGCATGTTTTCAAGGTTCATTCATGTTGTAATTAACTCCTATTTTTGAACTATATATTTATTTATATATTTCAAAATAGGAATTTGTTTGCATAGTAGTTATAGTAAGTAGAACATTCTACCAATATGTGTTATTTTATCACAAGGGAGAATATGTGTTCGGTCAGTCAGAGTTTATTGATTTATTCTCATTACCTTATTGGATCTTACAACTATAATATTCTCTTTTAGGTACCACTGCAGTATTACCATCGACGGTTTTCTTTTTCCCATTTGTTTTGGAGCTGTCTCCCTTGTTCTTAGTTCATTTTTTCCTTTCCTTCTTTCTAGTCTGGTGCAGGGCTGGCATACTGCAGCCCACAGTCCAAATGTGACTTGCCACCTATTTTTGTAACCAAAGTTTTATTGGAACATGGCCATCCCCATTCATTTACATATTGTCTATGTCTGGTTTTACATTAAAACAATAATGTTGACTTATTGCAACAGAGATCATACGGCTCACAAAGCTTAAAATATTTATAACAAGTTTGCTGATCCCTGGTCTAATGTCTGACTGAGGATAGGACCTCAGTGTTTATTTGGTTTTAATCAGAATGATTTGTGTCTCATCCTGGCTTCTCTGGGCTGGGGCCGCTCACAGACAGAACCATGAAGATGATGAAAGCATTTGTTAAAATAGCACTTTTCCTCTATATGAGAGGGTAAAAATATTATTTCAATGAAAAAAAGTTAGAATATTTTTAATATTCCAAGACTATTGGTAAATGTAACTGTTACCTGAAGTATTGCAAATATCATATTGTAAGCACACACACACATGCACACACACACACATGCATACCACCCAATGACACATGCATGTGTATCAAACTTGATGGTGGGTAAATTACTTAAACCTTCCTAAACTCAGAAATTTCTGGGTTCCAGGAGCTCCAGCTACAGGCTTCGGTGATTGTCCCGTTTGGACTCCCGTTATGATCAGGACCCACATGTCTGGAGTCTTGTAGTAAACACCAGTCAATTTTTGTTATTGTCTCTTCTGCTTTTCTGCCAGTGCCAACTGCCCCCTTTTATCTGGGCTGAGACGTTACCTCAAAGCAACCTATTTGGCTTGGATGCTTCTTTCTTCCTTTCCTCTTCAAATTTGAGGGGCAACAAAGACTTTATGGTCATATTAGCCATCGTGTTTTCTAAACAAACTTGAAACATGGTCTTGTTTAATTTTTTCTATTTCCAGATGCCTCCCTTGTAAACCTTCCCCCTTTGATAGCAACCTCTGTATTGACCTCCTTGTAGCCCTGGCTCATGTTTCCCATGTGCCCCATTCTCTTTACATTCTCATCTTCCCCACCAGTCTTTGAGCCTTTGAGGAAAGAGACTGTTTTCTTTTCCCATCTGTGCTCCCAATGCCTAATGAAGAGTGTGGTACTCACAAGGTGCTGAACAAATGTCAGTTGAATGCCTGCATGCGTGCACTTAAAACTTCAAGAATTTTCCTTCATATATGCTGTTGTATTCACCCATAACTTCCTTATATTAACATTGCTTTTAAGCAATAATTTATGAAAGATCCAGATGTCTATCTTCAGCAAGGATATTGCCTACCCTTTCATCCGTCCATTCAACTGTCATTAGCAAAACAACTATGTTCCCTGTAAAATACACAAAATTGTGCCAGGTCAGGTGACAGATACTACACAAAGAATCAAAATACAAACACACGTATATATACATTTATAAAATATGATAAGAGCTCAGAGGGAAAATGATTTGGTGTTGTGGAAGAATCTATATGAAGAAAAACTGATTTAAAATTGAGGAATGTGAATGTTAGGGTGTTGACTGGAAAAGAAAATTCAGTTTAGATGGTTCAAATGAAAATTTGTTGATGAAGGGGCTACTTTCAGAGGTGGGTCAGTGTTAAGGGAACACAGGAGAGATGCTGACTTGCCCAGAGACTTGCATCAGCTGTAGGAATAAGGGAACAGAATGTGGCACCAGGGCTTACTGAGAGCTGGAGTCCTGGTACTAGTGGGAGGAACTCACTCCCAGAATGGCACCCAAGTAGGAAAGCGGATGAAAATACCTGGATGTCCATTACCTGCAGCCTTCAGATTTTTTACCAATGCTGCCTAATGGCCAAACCCAACCTAGAGCCAAGCAGCAAGGGTGCTGGAGTCACACTGACACATGGGGATGGGGCACACAGCAGGGGAGAGAGGGGTGGAAAATGGATAAGGAAGCAGAGCACGGCCTGGGCAACATAGTGAGACCCCATCTCTACAAAAAATTAAAAATAAAAAAAATTACCTGGGCGTGGTGGGACCCATAGTCCCAGCTACTTGGGAGGCTAAGTCTGGGAGGTTGAGATATGATTGAGCTGCTGCACTACTGCCTGGGTGACAGAGTGAGACCCCATCTCAAAAGAAAAGAAAAAAAAAGAAAGCAGAGCAGGAAAGGAAATGGGAAGTTAAGAAAAGCCTTTTTAGGGTGTGATATTTAGGTCATGATACGAAACATAAGAGTTTAGTGGTAGGGGGAGGATATTTCCAGTTAGAGGGAACAGACTGTGTGGAATCTCTGTGCAGGGAAAATGATTTGGGGATCACTGTGGCTAAGGCAAGGTGAACAAGGTGAGAGGATGAGGTAGGCAGGGTCCAGGTCATCGATGCCATGTAGTTGTTGAAGCAAGTTTGATTGTTATCCCCAGAGCAGTGGGGATCTGTTAAAGAGGGCTGAACAGGAGGCAATCTGATCCTGGTGTGCAGCAGTCTGGAGAGAAACAGTGAGGGCTCAGTCAAGGGTGGGGCAGAAGAATGATGAACTCGTTCCCCTATAATGTGGAATCCCCCACCCTACCTACTTAGGTATTATTAGGCCACTTCCAGAAAGATTGCACAGTCATGTGTCACTTAACGACGAGACTGCGTTCTGAGAAATGCATCATTAGGCAATTCTATGATTGTGCGAACATAGAGTGAACTTACACAAACCTAGATGGTGCAGCCTGCTACACACCTAGGCTGTATGGTAGAGCCTATTGCTCCTAGGATACAAACCTGCACAGCATGTGACTGTACTGAATACTGCAGGCAACTGTAACACAATGGTATTTGTGTATCTAAACATAGAACAGATACAGTACGAATATGGTATATAAGATTAAAAATGGTACACCTGTAAAGGGCAGCTCTATTGTAATCTTATGGGAACATGTCATATATGCAGTCCCTCACTGATCAAAACATTGTTATGTGGTGCATGATTGCACTTTGTCTTAATTTCACTGACAGATGTAAAATAAGATAAGAGCATTTATTCAAGAGTAGATTACTTACATTTTTAATCTATTCATTGTCATATAATTGTAAATTCCTCTGTAGTTTAGCCAGCATAGACTTTATTTATTTATTTATTTATTTATACAGGGTCTTGGTCTGTCACCCGGGCTGGGGTGCAGTAGCGCAATTACGGCTCACTGCAGCTCTGATCTCTAAGGCTGAGGCAATCCTCCCACCTCAGCCTCCCGAATAGCTGGAACCACAGGCACGCACCACCACACCTGGCTGATTTTTTTTGTTTATTTGTTTTGTGTTTGCTTTGTTTTTGTTTTTTGGTTTTTGTTTTTGTTTTTGTTTTTGTTTTGGTAGAGACAAGGTTTCACCATGTTGCCCAGGTTGGTCTCAAACTCCTGGACTCAAGTGATCCTCCCGCCTCGGCCTCCCAAAATACTGGGATTACAGGCGTAAGCCGCCACATCCGACTGAACTTCTTTATTTAAAATCTGGAAAGGATGATATCCTTAGCAAACGATTTCTAAACCTTGGCACTACTGGCATTTGGGGCCTGATAATTCTCTGTTGTGGGCTGTCCTTTGCCCTCTAGGTGTTTAGCAGCATTCCTAGCCTCTACCCATTACATGCCAGTAACATCCACCCCCAAACTATGACAACCAAAATGTCTCCAGGTATTGCTGAAAATCCCTGGGTGGCACAGTACCCCACCCCCACCCCAGTTGGGAACCACTGCAGTTTGGCACATACAATGGTGTTGATTTTCTTTTTGCCACGTGGGTTTATTATTTTGCACCTATTTTCCCAGGGATTTGGAATTCCCTGAAAACAGAGATGGTGCTTCATTCTTCTCCCTGACTGCATTTGCTATGAACACAATAAGCAACATATTAGGAGATCAATACATATTTGCAGGAAAAGTGAATGAACAATGAATAGATCTTAAAGGTGACACAACCATGAACATGGGATTAGGATTCAAGGAAACTTAAGTCATTCTCTCACTGGTGATTACTCTAATTAAGGATAAGATCACTAGAAAGAGTATGGAAGGAAGTTATTAGAGACTTTCCAAGCTGCATAAAATATTACTATTTTATACATAATTTAAATAAATCCATTACACTTTACAAAGTCACTAATTGTCTGGATTAACTTCTCTAGTCAGATTCTGCTAATCAGTTTCTCTGATCTGTATCTCCTTCAACTGAGGAAATGTGACAGCTGACATCTGAGCTTTTGAACCAAAATTTGGATCAAATTCTGGCAACCTGGGTGATATCAGCCAAAAGGTATAACATGCCTGAATTTCAGTTTCCTCATCTGTAAAATGATGATGGTGATACCTATTTCACCATTAAATTAAGAACTGTGATAATGAATGTAAAGGGCAAATTCTAAACTGTAAAGCATTATATCAACATTTATTATCATTAATAAGAGTCAATCAGAGGTCATTAGGGAGTCCTGTTTGATTTTTATGTCTTCCTTAAAAAGTTGTTTATTTTTTTAAGTTGTTTAACTTGCATTTATACTACATTTTAGGGGGGGAAATTCCTGTTAGGAAGAAAAGTGGTTTTTTGCCTTTCTTTAGATAGAAGTGGTTTTTGGGCCGGGTGCAGTGGCTCAGACCTGTAATCCCAGCACTTTGGGAGGCTTAGCCGAGAGGATTGTTTGAGCCCGGGAGACCAGCCTGGGCAATATAGTGAGATCTTGTCTCTATTTTAAAAAGAAAAGAAGGAAAAGAAGAGAAGAGAAGAGAGGAGGGGAGGGGAGGGGAGGGGAGGGGAGGGGAGGGGAGGGGAGGGGAGGGGAAAGAGAAAAGAAAAGAAAAAAAGAAAAAACAAAAGAAAAGAGAGTGGTTTTAATTTTCTTAAAATAATTCTTTTGGTTATGCAAGTAGTACGTGGAAACATTCTTATTATACAATATTCAAATTTAAAAAAATATATAAAGTAGATTCATTTAAAAAAAATAGATCCCTCATTACCCCCACTATTACTACGCACTCAAGGGAAACCAGTTTTAACAGTTTGGTGTTTCAGTTAATTTTATATGCTTTAACATACATTTGTTTTTAACATAGCTAGGATTATGTATTTTCTACTGTGGTATCTTTTTTCAGTCTTAAAAAATTTTGCCATCATTTTCTAATAAATGGTAGGTTATTGAGATAAATATAGTGTCCCTTTTTTAGACTTACCAGCCTATTCCTTGTCTAAGTTAACTGTCCACAATAAACCTGTATCTTTTCCTACTGTCTTAGAACAGTTTGAGAACATCATATGTGTTGTGTGGACTCTGGGAGCTTGTTGAATTACACTTGTATTTTTCTATTTTTTTTTTTTTACTTTAAGTTTTAGGGTACATGTGCACAACGTGCAGGTTAGTTACATATGTATACATGTGCCACATGTGCCATGTTGGTGTGCTGCACCCATTAACTCGTCATTTAACATTAGGTATATCTCCTAATGCTATCCCTCCCCCCTCCCCCCACCCCACAACAGGCCCCGGTGTGTGATGTTCCCCTTCCTGTGTCCATGTGTTCTCATTGTTCAATTCCCACCTATGAGTGAGAACATGTGGTGTTTGGTTTTTTGTCCTTGTGATAGTTTGCTCAGAATGATGGTTTCCAGCTTCATCCATGTCCCTACAAATGACATGAACTCATCCTTTTTATGGCTGCATAGTATTCCATGGTGTATATGGGCCACATTTTTTTCATCCAGTCTATCATTGTTGCACATTTGGGTTGGTTCCAAGTCTTTGCTATTGTGAATAGTGCCACAATAAACATACATGTGCATGTGTCTTTATACCAGCATGATTTATAATCCTTTGGGTATATACCCAGTAATGGGATGGCTGGGTCAAATGGTATTTCTAGTTGTAGATCCCTGAGGAATCGCCACACTGACTTCCACAATGGTTGAACTAGTTTACAGTCCTACCAACAGTGTAAAAGTGTTCCTATTTCTCCACATCCTCTCCAGCACCTGTTGTTTCCTGACTTTTTAATGATTGCCATTCTAACTGGTGTGAGATGGTATCTCATTGTGGTTTTGATTTGCATTTCTCTGATGGCCAGTGATGATGAGCATTTTTTCATGTGTCTTTTGGCTGAATAAATGTCTTCTTTTGAGAAGTGTCTGTTCATATCCTTCACCCACTTTTTGATGGGGTTGTTTGTTTTTTTCTTGTAAATTTGTTTGAGTTCATTGTAGATTCTGGATATTAGCCCTTTGTCAGGTGAGTAGATTGCAAAAATTTTCTCCCATTCTGTAGGTTGCCTGTTCACTCTGATGGTAGTTTCTTTTGCTGTGCAGAAGCTCTTGAGTTTAATTAGATGCCATTTGTCAATTTTGGCTTTTGTTGCCATTGCTTTTGGTGTTTTAGACATGAAGTCCTTGCCCATGCCTATGTCCTGAATGGTAATACCTAGGTTTTCTTCTAGGGTTTTTATGGTTTTAGGTCTAACATTTAAATCTTTAATCCATCTTGAATTAATTTTTGTATAAGGCGTAAGGAAGGGATCCAGTTTCAGCTTTCTACATATGGCTAGCCAGTTTTCCCAGCACCATTTATTAAATAGGGAATCCTTTCCCCATTTCTTGTTTTTGTCAGGTTTGTCAAAGATCAGATGGTTGTAGATATGCGGCATTATTTCTGAGGGCTCTGTTCTGTTCCATTGGTCTATATCTCTGTTTTGGTACCAGTACCATGCTGTTTTGGTTGCTGTAGCCTTGTAGTATAGTTTGAAGTCAGGTAGCGTGATGCCTCCAGCTTTGTTCTTTTGGCTTAGGATTGACTTGGTGATGCGGGCTCTTTTTTGGTTCCATATGAACTTTAAAGTAATTTTTTCCAATTCTTTGAAGAAAGTCATTGGTAGCTTGATGGGGATGGCATTGAATCTATAAATTACCTTGGGCAGTATGACCATTTTCATGATATTGATTCTTCCTACCCATGAGCATGGAATGTTCTTCCATTTGTTTGTGTCCTCTTTTATTTCATTGAGCAGTGGTTTGTAGTTCTCCTTGAAGAGGTCCTTCACATCCCTTGTAAGTTGGATTCCTAGGTATTTTATTCTCTTTGAAGCAATTGTGAATGGGAGTTCACTCATGATTTGGCTCTCTGTTTGTCTGTTATTGGTGTATAAGAATGCTTGTGGGTTTTGCACATTGATTTTGTATCCTGAGACTTTGCTGAAGTTGCCTAATAGCTTAAGGAGATTTTGGGCTGAGACGATGGGGTTTTCTAGATATACAATCATGTCATCTGCAAACAGGGACAATTTGACTTCCTCTTTTCCTAATTGAATACCCTCTTCTGCCTGACTGCCCTGGCCAGAACTTCCAACACTATGTTGAATAGGAGTGGTGAGAGAGGGCATCCCTGTCTTGTGCCAGTTTTCAAAGGGAATGCTTCCAGTTTTTGCTCATTCAGTATGATATTGGCTGTGGGTTTGTCATAGATAGCTCCTATTATTTTGAGATGCGTCCCATCAATACACTTGTGTTTTTCACAATGGCACTATCAGACAATCTAAAAATTTTGAAAATACAACTCGTAGGCCAGGTGCGGTGGCTTACACCTGTAATCCCAGCAATTTGGGAGGCCGAGGCAGGCGGATTACCAGAGGTCAGGAGTTCAAGACCAGCCTGGTCAATATGGTGAAACCCCGTCTCTACTAAAAATACAAAAATTAGCCGGGCGTGGTGGCATGCGCCTGTAATCCCAGGTACTCGGGAGGCTGAGGCAGGAGAATTGCTTGAGCCCAGGAGGCGGAGGTTGCAGTGAGCCGAGATTGTCCCACTGCACTCCAGTCTGACTGACAGAGTGAGACTCTGTCTCAAAAAAAAAAAAAAAAAAAAGAAAATACAACTTGTAAGAGGAGTTGGCATTGATGTTAGTTGGTGAGTTCCCATAATGAAAGGCACATAGAAAACCGTCAATTGTATTTGACATTCAGGTTTTCAAATCTCATATGAATGCTGCCATTGCCCATTGTTGGAAAGTAACATACGTTTCCCATTCACTTTTGTGTGAAGGCATTGTGAAGTGTAAGTTCTTTGGAGTTCTGTATTTGTGAGTCAGTGTGGGTATGTAATCCCTATAAAAATCTAATGAGGTTTATTACACTGATGGCAGAATATACTTAATTATTAACCACCTTAATGTTTGGTTTGGTGTGGTTACTTTCATGTATTTTAATTTTATAGCTATGTAAAAACGGGATAAAGTAGAGAACTCTGAAATAAAGCAGAATGAATTGTATTTTATTCTTTTTATAAAAAATAAATATTTTTTATTTGTAGCAAAATATTGATCTATTTTGAAGTCAAAAATTTTTCATCCAGTTGATGGGAAAGCTGCTTTTATATCAGCAAGAATATCTTTCTGCCAATAGGAGTGCCATTTTTTTTTTTAAAAAAAAGAGCTACAAGTCTGTTTTTAATCTCACATTTAGTTAAGGAACAATTTTGATGGAGGTAGAGGATTGCCAAAGGAAAATGCTTTCCTGC
Organism: Homo sapiens; assembly: GCF_000001405.40. Taxonomy (NCBI): domain Eukaryota; kingdom Metazoa; phylum Chordata; class Mammalia; order Primates; family Hominidae; genus Homo; species Homo sapiens. The sequence goes on along the minus strand of NC_000023.11, from coordinate 10,783,792 downwards.
TGCTAAAGAAATGATGAAGCAGGCACTGTGTTTATTTTTATAACAATGTATTTTGATCCTGTGACAAATGTTTCACCATAGCTTTAACATTTTTCCTATTCTAAACTAAATTGTGTATGTTAACATTCTGATCTGTCTCAACTTCTAAGAACACTAGGATGTATTGTTGGTGTTGAGGACTTTTCTTTCTGGTTTCCTGTACATTTAATTCAATTACATGGTTGTTGGGTGTCTCGCATTTGCAAAGTACCAGCTAGATGCTGTTGCGTGATAGAAGGACAATTAAGCCAACAGCTCTCCATCTGGGGGAGGCAAACTCATCCCCAAGTAACTTAGGTACAAAGAAGAGCATAATAAGTTCTATAAGAGAATTAGAAAAAAAGGTGATGAGGAAAACAAGGAGGGAAGTAAATTTAAATAAGGATGGTCCTGCAGGTCTTCTTGGAAGAGGTGAAAATAGAGATTTACATTAAAAAATGGATAAATTTAATAGACTGGTATGAAAGTGCGGGGGTTGGAGAACAAATATTCCTAGATAAACTGAAAATCTTGAAATACGGCACCAAGATGACACTGTGGCTGTCTATTTAAGAATGTAGTAATGGGAACAGAACTCCCATTACTGTACTGTCCAGTATGGCCAGCCACTAGCTGTCCAATATGGCTATTCAGATTTGAATTAAATTAAATACAGCTAAAAATTCAGTTTCTCAGTCACGCTAGCAACATTTCAAGTGCTTAATAGCCATCAGGGGCTAGGGAGTGTCCAAGAAGTGGTGGAAAGATTGTTGATCAGTGTATCTCAAACTTTAGCATGCACCTGGAGAGCTTGTTAAAACACCAAGTGCTGGCACCTACCCCCAGAAATTCTGTGTATGTAGTTCTGGGGTAGGACTTGCAATTCTGCTTGTCTAACAAGCTCCCAAGTGATGTTGATGCTGCCGGGCAGGGCCACAGTTTGAACAGTGCTTCCCAAATGATTACTGTTTTAAATTTTTGATTGATCATATACTGATACATATATTTTTCAGCAGTAAAAGTAAATTACTAGAAAAAGTATAAAAAATTATTTTAAAAGCTACAAAATTTTAAAACTATATTACTAGATTCAACAGCTGCATAATTACATCTCAATAATATAATCAGAACAAATGTGGGAAAAAATAAAAGAATGCCTAGGAAAGTTTCTTAATGACTACTCCCTATTTCTCTATGTATCTCCATCATGAACCATACCAAGGGGTTCACTGACCACACTGGCCCATGGGCTACACTGTTGTAATCTGAATATCGGCCTGAGGATCCTGCACTTCATGCTGTTGGTAATAGCAATTCCTCGCATCTTTTGAGGAAGAAAATGATGTAATCTAAATCATAGGAAGAGAAACAAGGTGGCAATGGAGAGAAGTAACGAAGAAAGGATGCTGCCCAAGCCAGGGAGACCAATTCCAAGGCCATGACAAAATCCAGGCAGGAGGAACTAAGGGCGGCAGACAGGAAGGGTCAGATGCCAAACACATTGAGGTCATAGAATTAACAGGATTGGGCAGCTAATTGGATGTGGGGTGTGAGGAAGAAAAGAGATTTCATGATGACTTGGTGGTTTCGATCCTGAGCAATTGACAGGGTGGCAATGTCATTAACCAAAATATGAAATTCAAGAAGCACCTGAATCACTTTACGCTGAGATGCAGATGCAAATTCTTTTGTTATCCCTGAGGCCGAATTTATGCTTCATTCATCTGTGTGGACTCGTGTTTCAGAGGTGTACTTTATAAGTCATTGTTCCACACACAAAAAAGCATCCTGATGGGTGAGTGACTCATACACAGATTATTTGCATGTGAGATGGGCATTTAAAATGGCAAAGATAAATGATTTTCGAGCAATCCAATGTACTGTATTAGGAAAAGTACTGTACTACTTGCAGATATAGAAGTGGTCCAGAGTTCTTAAAACACCTTTAGAGCTTTATAGAACAACTTAATCTTTTGATATTTTGAAAATGTACTATTGCTTTACATATGGAAAATCATATCTCCAAGAACAACTAATAACACTAATCAAACATATTGGAATGTATTACCAGTGATCCAAAAGATCATCCTAAATACCACTTCTTTACATGTAGAGGTGTAGTGATGGAAGTCATTAGAAAGCTGCTATTTTAAACCCACAAAAGCAAATGTGGGTTTGAAATTACCTTTGAACTTGACAAGAGTTATAGAATATTTGGGGACTTCAGCAACAATGAATTAATGTCATATGATGCACTAGAAAGACTCTGAGAAATATTCTCAGGTCACTAAAATGAATTTGCTGTTTTTCTTTCGTGTTCAATATCCATAACACATTTATCAAATTTAAACCTACAAACAGCAATGTGAGCCCTCTTTCTTTGAGGTCACCATCTTAAGAATATTATTTTCAAGGAGCCTGCACATCACAAGGTATACTCTGGGGATATCACTTCCCTAGGTGTTTGAGGCAAATTCCCATGAAGCTAGGAAAGGAGATTTTATTTCATATATAACTCTTACTCCTTACACTTTTTTAAAAGTGGAAAGTGCATTCATTGTTCATTTCCATCACTGAAAACCCACATATTCACAAACTAAAGGAGATTTGATATTTTAGAACGTCATTTTGATTAACTCAGGCAAAAGCTTGATTCTCTTTTTCCCCTTCACTTATTTAAGCCACTTCAATTCTTAATTCTCAGCTTAAACTGTAAACCAGGGGTCCCCAACCTCCGGTACTGGTCCATGGCCTGTTAGGAACTGGGCCACACAGCAGGATGTGAGTGGCAGGCCAGCAAGCATTACCGCCTGAGCCCTGCCTCCTGTCAGATCAGCTGCAGCATTGGATTCTCATAGAAGTGTGAACCCTATTGTGAACTGCGCACAAGAGAGATCTAGGGTGCGCACTCCTTATGAGAATCTAACTAATGCCTGATGATCTGAGGTGGAACAGTTTCATCTTGAAACCATCCCCCTACCACCACATCTATGGAAAAATTGTCTTCCACAAAACTGGTCCCTGGTGCCAAGAAGTTTGGGGACCGCAGCTGTAAACACACAATCTGGTGTAAAGGAACTCAGAAATGCATTGTCACTTCTTTCATCTGTGTTTCTTTGAGTCTGGTTGGAGTCATTGCTTCTCTTCTTCCCAACTCTATTTAAAAATATACTCCTGGCTGAAATTAATGTTTCAACAATTAGTTTAGCTTAACTCCCAAAACAATTTAAAAGATTTATCTCTCTATTTAGGACTAAGTGCCTAGATCAAGCTTTTTACTTCTTTCTGATGCTGCCTGCAGTGTATACAAATACAATCCCTACTTTCAATTCTCCACACCTCCACACCCCTCCCACCATCAGAGCCCTGGTGATGGATAGAAATTAATGAGATAAATTCTGAAAGCCACAGGATGGAGAGGATATCTAATTTTCTCAGCTAATGGACACTTGAAAGACTATTAGGAGCTGGGCTCATGTTATGAGTACATGAATAAAGAAGGGCTCTCTGGCCTGGCATGGTGTCTCATGCCTATAATCCTGGCACTTTGGGAGGCTGACACAAGCAGATCACCTGAGGTCAGGAGATCGAGACCAGCCTGGCCAACATGGTGAAACCCCGTATCTACTAAAAATACAAAAGTTAGCTGGGCGTGGTGGCCTGCACCTGTAGTCTCAGCTACTCAGGAGGCTGAGGCAGGAGAATCGCTTGAACCTGGGAACCTGGGAGGCGGAGGATGCAGTGAGCCAAGATCACACCACTGCCCTCCAGCCTGGGCAACAGAGCAAGACTCCATCTCAAAAAAAAAACAAAGAAAAGAAAAATAGGACTCTCTAGAAATTGTTGCTCTTAAAATTGAGGCTTCCCGAGAGCCCAGTCTTGATCCTCACATTTTACTATCTTTACCCCTCAGCCTGCAACATGCTCCAATAACCTCCAACTTCCAAAATAAGCAAACAAGCAAGTACTCATATACCTCTTCCTCAATCCTTCCAGCTTTAGCCCTGTTGCTCACCCAGCTTTCAAGAGAAATCTGGTTGCATTCTAGAAATTATGGACTATCATTGTCTCCACTTCCCCTACCTTCCATTCACTCTTCTACCTTATCTGGCTTTCATCCCACAGCTTTACTGGAGCTACTTTTGCCCACATTATTGAAAACCTGCCATATTGTCCAATCCAATGTCCTCTTCTCTGAGCTTTTCCCAACTGACCTCGAAATAGACTTAACTTTTCTGACAATTCCTTTCTATCTACCTCACCCAGGTTTTTATTATATGGCCTTCTCAAAGTTTCCTACCTCGCCAGGCGTGGTGGTTCATGCCTGTAATCCCAGCACTTTGGGAGGCCAAGGCAGGAGAATTACTTGAGCCCAGGAGTTCAAAACCAACCTGGACAACACGGGGAGACCTCGTCTCTACAAAAAGTTATCCAGGTGTGGTAGTGCATGCCTGTAGTCCCAGCTACTCGGGAAGCTGAGGTGAGAGAATCCACCAAGCCTGGGAGGTTGAGGCTGCAGACAGCCATGATCACACTACTCTAGCCTGGGTGACAGAGTGAGACCTTGTCTAAAAAAAATTAAAAATTCCTTCCACTTCTTGGACTGCTCTTTCTCATTTCTTTTGCTTACCATTTTCCTTTGTGAAATTATTTAAAGTTGCTGTTTTCCAGGGTGTGACCCCAGCTGCTTTCTAGTTCTTGCTAGAACTAGATGGAAGGTGATAACCCCTTCCATCCCCTTGGCATCTGCCATGACCTATGTGCTGCACACTCTGAATTCAATATGTTTTACTCTCGTTTGGTTTGAATTCCAAGTGGGTACACCACAGGCACTCAAACTCAACATGTAAAACTTAATTCTTTATTTCTCTGTTTGCTCTTGTATTAGTTTCCTATTGACACTGTTACAGATTAATACAAATTTAGTGGCTTAAAACATAACAAGAGATCCAAAATAGCTTGGCATTACTGCCTTCCTTCTGGATGCTCTAGGGGAGAATCTGTTTCCTGGCCTTTTCCAGCTTCTAGTGGTCACCTGTATTCCTTGGTTCTTGGTGCCTTCCTCCATTTTCAAGACCAACACTAAGGTGTCTTTAAATCTCTCTAACTACTGCTTCTGTCATCATATCTCTTTCTCTACCCCGACCTTCCTGCCTCACCCTTAAAATACCTTTGTGATGACATTGGGCCCGCCTGAATAATCCAGGATCATCTTTCTATCTCAAGAGCCTTAACTTAATTACATCTGCAAAGACCTTTTTGCCATGTAAGGTAATGTAGGGAAGAGAAAGAAATCCCTTTTCCTTCTACTCTTTTCAATTCCAGGCTGGGACCCTGTTACAAGAGACACATTAACAAGAGATAAACAAACAGATATTTATTAATATATATATATCTCATATATACGGTCATGCACCATATAATGACTTTTTGGTCAACAATGGACCACATATACGATGGTGGTCCCATAAGATTATAATGGAGCTGAAAAATTCCTATCACCTACTGACCTCATGGCTGCCATAATGTCATAGCTCAACACATTCCTCACGTGTCTGGGGTGATGCTGGGTTAAACAAACCTGCTGTACTGCCAGTCGTATAGAAGTCTAGCACATACAATTATGTACAGTACATAATACTTCATAATGATAAGAAATTATGTTACCAGTTTATGTATTTATTATACTATGCTTTTTATTTTAAAGTATACACCTTCTACTTATTAAAGAAAAAAAAGTTAACTGTAAAACAGCCTTAGGCAGGTCCTTCAGGAGGTATTTCGGAAGAAGGCATTATCATAGGAGATGACAGCACCACGCATGTTATTGCCTCTGAAGACCTTCCAGCAGAACAAGATGTAAAGGTGTAAGACGGTGATATTGACGTTCCTAACCCTGTGTAGGCCTAGGCTAATGTGCATGTTTGTCTTCATTTTTAAGCAAAAAAAGTTTAAAAAGTTAAAAAGAATAGATTTGGGAAGCTGAGGCGGGTAGATCACGAGGTCAGGAGTTCAACACCAGCCTGACCAACATGGTGAAACCCCGTCTCTACTAAAAATACAAAAATTAGCCAGGCGTGGTGGCACATGCCTGTAATCCCAGCTACTCAGGAGGCTGAGGCAGGAGAATCACTTGAACCTGGGAGGTGGAGGTTGCAATGAGCCAAGATCGCGCCACCGCACTCCGGCCTGGGCAACAAGAGTGAAACTCCGTTAAAAAAAAAAAGAAAAGAAAAGAAAAGAAAAGAGCTTATATAATAAGAATATAAAGAAAAAAAGGCCTGGTGTGGTGGCTCAAGCCTGTAATCCCAGCACTTTGGGAGGCCGAGGCGGGCGAATCACGAGGTCAGGAGATCGAGACCATCCTGGCTAACACGGTGAAACCCGTCTCTACTAAAAATACAAAAAAATTAGCCGGGCATGGTGGCGGGCGCCTGTAGTCCCAGCTACTCAGGAGGCTGAGGCAGGAGAATGGCGTGAACCTGGGAGGCGGACTTGCAGTGAGCCACAATAGTGCCACTGCACTCCAGCCTGGGCGACAGAGAGACTCGTCTCAAAAAAAATAAATAAATAAACAAACAAATAAAATAAGTACGTAACTTCTCCAGGCAGATTTTTCCTCAGTGAAACCTTGCCTCACTCCCCAGGTAGACTTGACAGCTCCTTTCTCTGTGATCCTGTTGCTCCTTGTGTGTACATTTCTTTGCCCTAGAAATAACCTCGTTGCAAAGCCTTTGGCTATTTCCATATGTATTTATTTCCCAGAGATTTTAGAGAGAAGGAATCACGTACCTTTCCATCTATGCATTCCCAGCACAGAGGAGTACAGTACATGGCAGATAGTAGCTGCTTAATATATATAGAAAGAGAGTAAATCATTGGAAGTAAGCAAATAAGCTGGTATACCAGTTGCCACATTCTCCACCTGGAAAACTTAACTCATTTAACTGTTTATTTTCCTGTTTTCTTTTTTTTATTTTTAAAACTTTTTTAGAAACTGGGTCATGCATTGTCGCCCAGCCTGGGACTACAGGAGTGCACCACCATGCCCAGCTAGTTTTTAAATTTTTTGTAGACACAGGGGTCTCACCATGTTGCCCAGGCTGGTCTTGAACTCATGGACTCGAGTGATCTTCCCACCTGAGCCTCCCAAAGTGCCAGGATTACAGACATGAGCCACCACACCTGACCTCTTTTTCTGTTTTCTTATCTCTCATTCTGGACAATAAACTTAAAGTTAAGGACTGTGTCTAGTTTATTGTAATGTAACCCCAAAGTAGCATTTAGAACACTTTAGGTGAGCAATAATTGTGTGTGGTTGAATTGGATGCCTTTTTTCATCACCGTTGCAAGAACTTAATTCAAATAAAATGAAATAAAAATTGAATTCTGATGAGAAGCCTGACATTGGATATTCTGACTGTCCTGAATACTGGAATAGGCATCAAGCCTTCTACACTCTGTCTGGATTCTGTAACTAACTTGCTCAGAATGACCTTAGATTAACCACTTAATGTTTTAAAATTTCATGACTTTATTTTAGAAACTTGCCTGCCCCTACCTTGGCATATTATCAAGATCAAACAGAATAGTGGTATTATCAAGATCAAACAGACAAAAAGGCACAAACTGCTACGTAAGAGCAATTTATGGTTATGATTTTGCTTTGAACAAAATGGTGAATTGCTTTTTTTGTGAGTTAAGACTCTTAGAAACCTCTCTTCATGCTGATGGAGCAGGAATAGAGGGCAAGCCTTAATACCTTTTTATGATCTGGATAGTACCTATAGGAATTCAATCTCTTCTGTCCAACTGATGCTTGTAATTCATGGCTAAGTATTCAAAAGAGAACAGGCTCCCTCTGTTATCTACCTGGCAGGAGCTGTTTGTGTAGGAACCTGAGGTTTAAAAGCCTTTGAAACTATTACTGATTAAATTAGCAAAAGAAATGCCTTTGTCCCTGAGGTCACCTGGTTTTCAATCAATCTTAATATATATGCTGACATTCTTGGGTCTCATTACCCACAACAAAGAATCCATAAGATTGCTGATCTTCAGGAAGGCCAAGGCTAGCTTGTAGGGTCCCATTTATTACAATCCCTTGACAGGTGGAAAGAATCTTACAATACCTCTGTCTGATGCAGGGGCTTCATTAATGTCTGTGTTATTCTATTTTATAATGCTTAATGCTATGCTTCCATTATGAGGTTTCTCAATGTGATATCTGAAAACAAATAATGCATTCATGACTCAATTAATGAACATTGGATTTGACCAGTACATAAAAATACATGGATACCCACTGTTTCCTTTCCCCTCCTCTCTCCAATGCCAAGAAGCAGCTAAAACTCATCTGATTTGTTTGGTCTTTGGTGTCTAATGTGGAGCAGTGTCTAATGTGAGGTTTCTTGGCCCATCTTCCTCCTTCTTTCCAATCCACCTTGCCTTTCCCTTCCCACCCAATTAACTCTTCTTGCAGCCCAGTTAACTATAGACATTTGCTTCTCATATGCATCCTTTCCAATCACATTCTCTTCTTCATTCTTTTTCATTTCCAACTCCCTTCTGGTGACCTTTAATAAAAAACCTTTATTTGTGCACATTCTTGCTCCCTCTCCCCCTCCATCTCCCCTCCCCCTCCTCCCTCGCCCCTCCTTTATCCCTCCTCCCTCTTTTTCATTCTCCTCACTCCCATATTCATCCCCTGCTTTACTGCCCAATGCCATTCAGGATCTCCAAAAAACCCACTGATTATATAATTTGCTTCTTATTACAAAACAAAGCATTCTAGAACTGGAGAAAAACTTTAAGATTATCCACATCAAACAGAAGAGGAGTTAGAATCACTTTATCAAAGAAAATAAATGCTATTGAGATTTGAAGTGGACTTAGATATAATAAAAAGCCAAGAACGCCAATCTTGAAAACTCTTGAAAGTGCTTAGAAGCCCCCTTCAGAATTTGACGAAAGACTTTGACTACCTCCATATTTTCTTCTGATGAAAGCTGCTTTTCCTGGAGTACCAGAATTCAAGGTACATTAATTTTAGAAAGTATTCCTGATATATTTTATTTTGCTGTTTTTCACAATTTTGCTTTTTATTTTCTCACAGCAAAGGCTAATTTTATTGTTACTTGTAAGCTGGCTGTGAAGGAACTTTTTAAAATAATGATTTATAAAATATATATTAGGATATACTGCAGCACCTCTGTGTAGTGGCATGGGAATACAAGTGCCATATCAGTTTGGTTAGCATAATCAATACTTATTAGATATGAGTTATCTGTCAAGCATAGGGTTAGGGTCCTAGGTTTCTCTGTAAGAAGTTAGGTTAGAGTCCCAGACAAGCAGAAGCTGGGTTAGAGGTCTGGGCTTCTTTGTTAGAAAGGTACCTGCAGGACTGGAAGATTTTTCATGGCTGTTTCTTTTGAGTAGGAATTTACTTCCTGACTACCTGGGCTGAAAATTTTTTTCTGGCACTTTGTGAGGTCTCTCTGTTTTCTTTATCTGATCCTTCATCTCCCATAGGAGCTTCTCAATTGACTGAGCCCCCTTTCTTGAACCCCTGCTCACTATATGCTCCACCAACTCTGTCCACCTCCTTCTTGTTGGTACAATTTTGCTGAGGGTAATTTGGAACTTCAATAGCCTCTTTGGGAAACTTAAGATCTCCTCAAATTGGCACCTCTAAGACCTCTTCTTTCTTGTTACTTCTGTTCCTCCTTCTGAAGGAACTTTTAAGAGTGACTCTGAAACTCTTGAGCAAGTTTAGCTTAATTAGAACTTACATTTAAGCTTCCAAGATGGATCTTCCCAAAGACGAATGCTCATTTAGATATGGAGGTTCCAGAGTGTACATTAATAATCACTCTTGGAGTTCTGTATCTTCTTTATTATTTGCATTTCATGCAACATGTGTTCCCTGTTCCGACCAACAAACTTAAACCTCTACTCTTGGCCTGTATGTGAGCTGGACCTGCTTATGGCCTATATCAACTTGACTCTTCTTTTTTACTTATTTTTGCAGTGGACTAAGGTAGAAGCCGCATCCTTGATTTGACAAGAGGTTTCCAGTAAAGCAGAGCAGACTTAACTAATACATAACAAACAATACAACATAATTTACAAAACAAGATAAAATGTAACCAGGGGAAAAATCTAGTACTTAGGTTCAAAAAAAGATCAGCTGCACAACAGCAGAATCAGAGAAAGTTTGATTAACATCAGTTCTAGTGAAAAATATGTGGCAGTATCAGTGGAACGAAAGCTAAGATAAGACACATGTCACTTGGGAACCAAACAGGCGCTGCATTAACAGAATTATAGCACTAAAATGGAAAATACTAAATCTGCTCTTCTCTTCATTGGTCAGAACGCAATGGTTAAGGGAAGAGAGGTAAGAAATAGCCAGATTTGAAACACACAAACTCACACATGCACACACACATAATGGCTCTGTTAATTCATCAAAGGCAATACATAAATTTTCTGATTTATTTTTTAAATGGCATTTAGAGTGTTCCAAGGACTATTTAAACAGCTTTAACAGAACTATTCCACCTTAGTATCTGATAATAGGTTACATGTGCATTTCCTATACAATCTATTTAATAATTAATAAAGCACATTAAATACATTTAGAACTACATATTTCATTATCAATAATCATATCAGAATTACTTTTCAGTTTAAACTAAATTTTTAAAATATTTTAATGTACTTTCATTTACAGTTATCTTTCAGCATTTTTAGAAGTTTTAACCAATTTATTTTTTTAATCCTTCAAGTCCAATTTCATACTTATAGTTAATATATTTTAAAGATGAGCTACCACTCATTTAACCCTTCATATGTCCCTTCTGGCCTTCCAAACTCCCTTTTCACTACTTTATATGATTTTACCTCTCATGTCAAATCATTCAACATATCTCACCTACATATGTATTATACATATATATTTTTTATTTATACATATATGTACAGATATATAATCAAATCATATGATGGAATTGTTTTAGCAATTTGTTGCTTTTTGCTTTTGAATTTAAATTTAAATATTTAATATAAATTTTAACTCAATTGTTATTTAAATTCTTATTTATTTGATCTATTTTTGAATTTGTATTTAAAATTTTACTTGTACTTATTTAAGTTTAATTTAGTTTAATTTAATTTCTATTTAATTTTTTTTCATTTTTTAAAAATTTTTTATTTCCATGGGTTATTCAGGGAACAGGTGGTATTTAGTTACATGAGTAAGTTCTCAAGTGGTGGTTTGTGAGGTTTCAGTGCACCCATCACCCAAGCAGTATACCCTGCACCCAATTTGTAGTCTTTTATCCCTCACCCCCTTCCCACCCTTTCCCCCTGAGTCCCCAAAGTCCATTGTGTCATTCTTATGCTTTTTGATCCTCATAGCTTAGCTCCCATTTATGAGTGAGAGCATACAATGTTTGGTTTTCCATTCCTGAGTTACTTCACTTACAATAATGGTCTTCAATATCATCGAGGTTGCTGCAAATGCCATTAATTCACTCCTTTTTATGGCTGAGTAGTATTCCATCATATATATGATGAAATAGATATATATACACACACACATATATACATATATATACACACACACATATACACACACACCCCACACTTTATTTATCCACTACTTGATTGATGGCCATTTGGGTTGGTTCCACATTTTTGCAATTGCGAATTGTGCTGCTATAAACATGCGTGTGCAAGCATCTTTTTCGTATAATGACTTCTTTTCCTCTGGGTAGATACCCAGCAGTGGGATTGCTGGATCAAATGGTAGTTCTACTTTTAGTTCTTTAAGGAATCTCCATAGTGGTTGTATTATACATTCCCACCAGCAATTTTTATTCCATTTAAACATTTAAGTTTTAAAATTTTTGGATTGCTTAATATACTAGGAAATGACTAATAATCAATTAAAAATAGATAAATGTGGCCGGGCGCGGTGGCTCATGCCTGTAATCCCAGCACTTTGGGAGGCCCAGGCAGGCGGATCACCTGAGGTCAGGAGTTCAAGACCAGCCTGGCCAACATGCTGAAACCCGATCTCTACTAAAAATACAAAAAAAAAAAAAAAAAAAAAATTAGCCAGGCATGGTGTCAGGCGCCTGTAATCTCAGCTACTAGAGAGGCTGAGGCAGGAGAATTGCTTGAACCTGGGAGGTGGAGGTTGCAGTAAGCTGAGATTGCACCACTGCACTCCAGCCTGGGCGACAAGAATGAAACTCCATCAAAAAAAAAAAACATAGATAAATGTGAAAAAATAGAAAGCGTCGTTTAAAACCATCCAGACAGCAACAGAAGAAATTGAAAAAATCCTGTTACATATAAATACCAATTTGAGGGGATGCAAAAATAGTTTTCCATATGAGAAGTTTATACTTCTCTTTTGCCAGACTTTTAGCATTTTTAGGATTCTTCTGCCTACTCTTAATTTACCTTATTTTGAGAAACTATATATTAGTCACTAAAATACAACATTCCACTTAAAACAATTAAACCTACAATAGGTAGACTCAGTGAATTTGGCTTCTTGCAACATTTGCTTTTGTCCAATTGGCTTCCTTGCCTGAAAGCTAGGTAGAAATCCTACTCTAAGGCTTTCAAGTATAAAAAGAATCTTTTTTTTTTTTTTTTCTTGAGACAGAGTCTCTCTCTCACCCAGCTGGAGTGCAGTGGCTCGATCTCGGCTCACTGCAAGCTCCGCCTCCCGGGTTCACGCCATTCTCCTGCCTCAGCCTCCCGAGTAGCTGGGATTACAGGCGCCCGCCACCACGCCCGGCTAATTTTTTTGTATTTTTAGTAGAGACAGGGTTTCACCGTGTTAGCCAGGATGGTCTCGACCTCCTGACCTCGTGATCCACCCGCCTCAGCCTCCCAAAGTGCTGGGATTTACAGGCGTGAGCCACCGCACCCAGCCAAGTATAAAAAGAATCTTAAGGAAGATAGTTCTGAGCCACTTTCCACAATTTTAAGAACAGATAAAAATAAATAGCTAATTATAATAAAATGAAGAATTTAGAGGAGCTGTGCAGATTAATTTCCCTCATAAGGAACACGAATATGAGGCACATGATTGATGAAAGGGACATTTCTCCTGGGTCTTAAAACTAATGGACTACCTACGTAAACACTAGCCTGTGATGAGTTTAGTCAGAAAACTATAACATATTTTTCAATAGGTGATCTTCCAATGAATAGATAAACTTTTGCATGCCTTCTTAAGATGGTAAAATTAGTTCCCTGGTATATACACTGGACTCACCTTCTGCATTGCATCACCTCTCTGAGATTTGCCCAATTTGGGGTCCAAAGTGCAAATGACCTCAGTCCCCTCCCAGAACAAAGGACTCAACAACTTGGCATCCCTCTGAAACACAGAGTGAGGAGCCAGTGAGTGAAGCCATTGTGTGAAGCAGGTCCTCAAAGACTAATTCAATTTGAAGAAAGAAAATTAAAAACAGGATAGAGTGTTACATGAATGGGATCAACCTTAAGATCCTTCTTCATAAGCCAAATCTCACTGTTTTTAGTGTGTTCTCCACATTAATTCATGTAGCAGTGGCAACGTGCAGTTTGCAGTCTGAGGGAAGAGATGAGGGCGGACCCTGGCTGACATGTTGCCATAGAGATGACATTTGAGCTTCTTTGGAGTGGCGAATCTGATTAGTCAGTTCAGCGTTTCCCCTCATTTCACTTCATTACACAGGAAAAGAAACTCCTAAAAAGACTGTTTCATGTGTATTTGTATTTGATTAAAATATAAATATTTTTCCTGCCAATTCATGGAGGGAAATGGCAGGACAGTCAAAAGCTCAGCAGTATCATCTCAGCTAAGAGCTTACACAAAAATCCGTTTGCCCTGATGCCACAATGAATTGAAACATGAAACCAACAAGTAGAAACAAACAGCATACTTCATGCTAGAGTAGTCGTCACTCAATTATCCTTGCCTCCTTCTGTCCAGGCGGTATGAAGCCTCGGTGCAGGATTCAAAGTCTCCAGATATTTGCCTTGATTTGTTGGCCAGCTTTAGTTAATCTTTTTATTGAAAAGAACAGGAGTGGGAAAAGAAAATGAGGGAGTTAAACGTAATCTTTGTTTGCTTAGAAATGTGTTTGTTGATGGCCAAGCCAAATTGAAGGTATTTTTCAGTTCTTGTGTGCTTCTTTGAAGAAAAGAAAGAAAAAAATGGGTCCCAGTGGAAATGGGAAATGCTTTCTCATAGAAGGAGCTTTGCCATCTCTGTGTTTCCGAGGGCATACAACAGTCTCAAGGCACAGAGGAAAGAGTGAGGACAGAGCTTGCTTCTCCCATGTCTCCCATCTAATGCCTTTGTTTGGTGGCCCTGATTGAATAACACGTATTAGTAAACAGCCAGTAGATGGCACTATATGGTTTACTGCCACATAGAGAGCCTACTGGGCTTTTTTTTTTGTTTGGGGTTTTTTTGTTTTGTTTTTTGTTTTGTTTTAAGGCGGTAGGATAAAGAGGGTTTAGCTCTTATTTTCAGCTTACTAGCCTAAGAGCTATCTGACTATCAATTCTGGCTGTTATAAAGTGCCATCATGGGTTATTTGGATACATTTTCTAAATAGGCAGAGCAGGAAAGAAAAAAGTAAAGTAATATGCCTCTTTTAACAATTGCATGTCATGATATTGTGTAGCATAGTCTTGGTATCATTTTCAAGTTTTTGTAAACGATAGAAAATTAGACAAAAAAAGTAGATTCCACACTTTCATGTCCCCTCCTACATGTGTGCACACCCATTCACACATCACTGTTGGACAGTTCTCAGAAGTTTGTTGTCTCCATATACTTTGTTTTGTGGCACCCCATTACTCATTTGCTCAAACAGAAAAGGAATTCATGGAGGTTTGGAGCCGTTGTTATATAAAAACTGGCAAATATGGTGGAATATACCCTAAGAAACTAACAGAAGGGGAAGAATATATAAATAACCCTGCCGGAAATGTCCTCCAAAGTTTATGCCCTGGATGGAGAGTTAACACTGCCCCCAAGGACCAGTCCTGGCCATTTCACCACTGGGGAAAGTGTTCTTTCTCTAAAAGTGAGGAGGAGAGTGAGGGTCCTTTCAGAACTAATATTCTTGTATTCTGTTGAATGGTAACTGAGCCCCCATTGTTTTATCTGCCCAGAGCCATAAAGTCCTTTGTCCTAGAGGTAAATGAGGCATGCAGAGTTGGCTCCAGAAATCATGTGACTTTGGAACCAGTGACACAAGATGATAAGATAGGGACTGATTCTATATCCTCAGCATCCTACTGCACATTGAAAGTGACACGCCCTTCTGACACATCACCTTTGTTTAATGAGAACATTATTTCTTGATTGCCAAAAGACAAATTTAGCTGTTATTCATAATTTTTTAAATGTCTAAGACTGGCATTCTTATTTTCTTGTTCTTTTTTTTTATTTAGAAAGGGCTATTTACAGTTATATAGCCTTTAAATCTACATTAATTTATTATGATTATAAAATCAAGATTTTCCTCAAGCTTTTAAGTTCAACTTAAAAAAAAGTTTCATTTTTCTGCTTATATTAATAATACCAGTATCTTTTATATATAATAAAAACAACTCGTTTCACAGAGGGTTTTGATTAGAGTTAAATTTGAACTGAACAATTTAAATTCAAACAATTGCTCTCATTTATAAACTTAATTAGCAAAAATTCTTTATACATGTTAGTGTACATTTATAAAGTCAATATATTCAGTTTTCTGTTTAACCATTCAAGTATCTGTCTAGCTGGGCAAACGTACAACCCACACAAGCAAATTCTTTCTAGAAACGTAAACAACTTTTATAAATCTAATAAATACATTGATTTATTCAATAAATATGTATACTTAATTTCATTACTATTTAAACATTAAATATTTCAATTTATTACCATTAAAACTCTTAAATATTTAGATTTTGCCATTTAAACTTTTAAGTCTTCTAGCTTATTAAATGTTTTAAATATTCATACTTATTGAGA
Source organism: Homo sapiens (assembly GCF_000001405.40). Lineage (NCBI taxonomy): Eukaryota > Metazoa > Chordata > Mammalia > Primates > Hominidae > Homo > Homo sapiens. Next base: position 10,767,735 of record NC_000023.11, on the reverse strand, counting down.
GAATTGAAAGGTCACTTAAAGAGTCCAGTATTATTTACCAAACAGTAAAATCCTGTTATATTTTTCAACTTACAATCACAAGCCTAAAATCAATTTCACATTTAAAATTGAAATCAAGGCCAGGCGCAGTGGCTCATGCCTGTAATCCCAGCACTTTGGGAGGCCGAGGCGGGTGGATCACGAGGTCACGAGATTGAGACCGTCCTGGCTAACATAGTGAAACCCCGTCTCTACTAAAAATACAAAAAATTAGCTGGGCGTGGTGGCGGGCACCTTTAGTCCCAGCTACTTGAGAGGTGAGGCAGGAGAATGGCATGAACCTGGGAGGCGGAGCTTGCAGTGAGCCAAGACCACACCACTGCACTCCAGCCTGGTGGAGCAAGACTCCATCTCAAAAAAGAAAGAAAGAAAGAAAGAAAGAAATCAAAAGGCTAATACATTTAATCATTTGACAAATATTTATTGACTGAATGAATATGCCCATTTTCTAATGAGCCAAAATCTCTTAAACATTAAAAATGTTTTCAATCACATACCCAGTTTGTCCCTATGATTACTAAATGTCTTTCTAAATTTAAAACAAAAGAGTTAGCCCTATGAAATTCATTTATTGCCTGCATTGAATTTCCATTACAGGCTGACTGAGGATGCTAACATGGAGCCTTATGGGTTAGATGCTTAGCCTAAAATGTGGGACATAGAGGCTGCTCTCACCCAGGTTGTGTGCCCTGAGCCCCAGAAGACATCTTCGTTTTAGCGTCACTGTGTCAACATGTGAGTCCAAATCCAATTATTTACCCAACTATTTTTCTTTTTTTTTTTTTTTTGAGGCAGGGTCTTGCTCTGTCACCCAGGCTGGAGTGCAGTGGCATGATCATGGCTCACTGTAGCCTTGACCTGCTGGGCTCAAGCAGTCCTCCCGCCTCAGCCTCCTGACTCAGGCACATGCTACCACACCCGGCTAAGTTTTATACTTTTTATGGAGACGAGGTTTCACCTTGTTGCCCAGGCTGGTCTCAAGTTCCTGGCCTCAAATGATCCTCCAACTTCTGCCTCCCAAAATGCTGGGATTACAGGTTAAAGCCACCATGTCCAGCCCTACCCAGTTCTTTAATCTGATTTGGGTTGAAATAAGTCAGCTTTCTTCTTATTGTGTTTTTGGCAAAATATTTTAAGAAATTTTGATTCTTCTCATCTGCCTCTAAATATAATTTGAAGTCATCCCATTGTATTCTGAAGAAATCTCAAGTCCTTGTTTGGTTTGGTTCTGTGTCTGCATGGAACATTCCCACATGACCACATCAGCCGGATCCTTGGATATGTTGCTCCTATAGGGAGGCTTGTGCTCTCCAGTTCACCATAGACCACCACCCCCAGCCCCACCCTCCAGGCCAGGCTTGGCGATTATCCTGTGCATTGTAGGTTGCAGGATCTGTAGTAGTCCCCTACATATCCTCTACCCACTAAATGATGGTAGCACACCCTCTCCAGTTGTGACAAAAATTTTGCTCCTGGTGAGCTTGAGATGACCAACTGTCTGCCCAAGACAGAGGCAGAGCCGATGGGGCCTTTGTGGCACGATTGTTGGTCTTTTTCTTATGTCCCATCAGTACCCTCAGGGCTGCACCCTGCCTGTCTCCCCTTGGGTGTTTGAGTGTATTCTCCCTGCTCAGACCCTAAGGCAAGAGGTTCTGTTTCTGAGATTTGAGCTTCATTTTGGTTTTGGTTCTTTCTTTCTTTCTTTCTTTCTTTCTTTCTTTCTTTCTTTCTTTCTTTCTTTCTTTCTTTCTTTCCTTTCCTTTCCTTTCCTTTCTTTCTTTCTTTCTTTTTCTTTCTTTCTTTTCTTTCTTTCTTTCTTTTTGTCTTTTAGCATCCATGATATTAGACAGCATACTTCCTAGATGAAAGAGTTTTGTGTCAGCTTTTAGCTTTTTATTAACAATTGTTACACAAATTCTGCTTTTAAAAACATCCGTTTATTTTCATATGGTATTGGGAAGTGAGCTTTTAAAAACAGTGATGTTTCTGCACATGCTTATTGTTCAAACCAGGACTCCAGTTTCACATGAATTTTTTGACTCACTCTTTACATTAACAGTGATAAACTAGAATTTTTAAAAAGCCCACATTGGCAACATTTTTGGCTATAATGGTTTAAAACCAAAAATAATAAAAATATGAGCAGTAAAAGAAAAGAGCCTTAAAAACTGTGAATACAGACAAGCTAAAAGATGAAAGGAAACCCCATGGCTTGATCAATCGCATGCTACATGATAAATCATTTCTTCTGGAAGACAGAAGGAACCTGCATTGTGCCTCACAAGAGGAATATACTGCAAAGTCTAGCTTTATCTCTGAATACCAGCCTTTGAAATTAAGTACAGATTAAATTACACCATAAAATCAATGTCACACTGTGAGATTGCTGAAACCCATCTTGGTAAATGAAACCTTTTTAATGATGAAAACCTGGAAAAAATTCATCTTGAGCTAGTTCACTCTGCAGAAGGCTTAATGCTATCATGGAGGTCTTCACAAGCCATTCTCCAACATCTGCACACCAAACTGGGCTCACACATGAATACTTCTTTAGCATGTCTGGGCAGCTGGGTGAGTGTGAACCTGGAGAGTGTGCGTTCCTTTCCCTAATATTTTTCTTATGGGCTGAGCATGTTAGTTAGCCAGTCTCCACAAGAGTGAACCACAGTAATTATTGGGTTTGTGTGAGAGCCTGTTAACATGATGAGGGCTAAATAAAAATGGTGTATGAGTATGCCTTCATTATAAGCTTTCAGAAGCCAAGGAGAGGTTCTACAGAAAAGTCCGTGGGAAAAATATATATTACCATTGATATTCCTGTTGATTACTATTTAGAAAGCAAAAAGTGTATTGTCCAATATGGTCACCAACAAAATAGGATGGCATAGCATGCAAATAGGTGGAAATACCATTACATGGGTGCCACATAGACCCAATGTTGACATATGTAGAAATAACAGAATGAAAGTCCTACAGAGAACAATTAGACAGAAATTAAATTAAACCAGCCTGCCAGGCAGAATTTGTGCTAAGAAATTCTGTTCTGTAAATGTTGAGAAACTTCAGACCATGAGGATAGATACAATAAATAAAATCTAACCTTTGATTATCATACACAGAGCTTTAAAAAAAATTCTAAGGTTTAAAAGATAAACCCAAGAGATATTTACATGAAATGTAAATATTATATTAGGAACATATTTGAACTTTAGTGTGGCTAATTTTATTTTAATATCATCATTATTTTTGTCTTAGAGTTTATTGTTTATACCAGCTGTCGGTGAATTATAGAAAACAGCCATGTAACTAGTCGTATGTAGAAACCTGAAACTGGATCCCTTCCTTACACCTTATATAAAAATTAGTTCAAGATGGATTAAAGACTTAAATGTAAGACGTAAAACCATAAAAACCCTAGAAGAAAACCTAGGCATTACCATTCAGGACATAGGCATGGGCAAGGACTTCATGTCTACAACACCAAAAGCAATGGCAACAAAAGCCAAAATTGACAAATGGGATCTTATTAAACTAAAGAGCTTCTGCACAGCAAAAGAAACTACCATCAGAGTGAACAGGCAACCTACAGAATGGGAGAAAATGTTTACAATCTACCCATCTGACGAAGGGCTAATATCCAGAATCTACAATGAACTCAAACAAGTTTACAAGAAAAAAACAAACAACCCCATCAACAAGTGGGTGAAGGATATGAACAGACACTTCTCAAAAGAAGACATTTATGCAGCCAAAAGACACATGAAAAAATGCTCATCATCACTGGCTATCAGAGAAACGCAAATCAAAACCACAATGAGATACCATCTCACACCAGTTAGAATGGCGATCATTCAAAAGTCAGGAAACAACAGGTGCTGGAGAGGATGTGGAGAAATAGGAACACTTTTACACTGTTGGTGGGACTGTCAACTAGTTCAACCATTGTGGAAGACAGTGTGGCGATTCCTCAAGGACCTAGGACTAGAGATACCATTTGACCCAGCCATCCCATCACTGGGTATATACCCAAAGGATTATAAATCATGCTGCTATAAAGACACATGCACACATATGTTTATTGCGGCACTATTCACAATAGCAAAGACTTGGAACCAACCCAAATGTTCATCAATGATAGACTGGATTAAGAAAATGTGGCACATATACACCGTGGAATACTACGCAGCCATAAGAAAGGATGAGTTCATGTCCTTTGTAGGGACATGGATGAAGCTGGAGACCATCATTCTGAGCAAACTATCACAAGGACAGAAAACCAAACACTGCATGTTCTCACTCATAGGTGGGAATCGAACAATGAGAACACTTGGACACAGGGTGGGGAACATCACACACCGGGGCCTGTTGTGGGGTGGGGGGAAGGGGGGAGGGATAGCATTGGGAGATATACCTAATGTTAGATGACGGGTTGATGGGTGCAGCACACTAACATGGCACATGTATACATATGTAACAAACCTGCACGTTGTGCACATGTACCCTAGAACTTAAAGTATAATAAAAATAAATAAATAAATAAAAAGGGCAAAAAAAAAAAAACCAGCCATGTAAATTTCTATACATATTGTCTATGGTTGCTTGCATGTTACAATGGAAGAGTTGCATATTTGGGATAGAGACCATGTGGCCCACAAAGCGGAAAATACGTACTATCTGACCGTTTTCAGAAAAAGTTTGCCCACTCTTGGCAAAATCATTTGACAAGCCTATCTAAACTAAGATCACTTCTGTGGCTACAACATAAAGGAAAGTAAACGTCTTGCTGTTGTCATTGCTTCCTACACAGTGGATCATGGGTTTAAATTAGGAAGCATCTCACTTATATCTGATACTTATTTGTGGGATTTTATGGAGGATAGGGGAGGGAAGAGAACATATTTAAGGAATACGTTTAGTGATCTGCTCTGCTTGATTTTCCTTCAAAAGAACTTTGTGTTTAGAGGCCAGGCACAGTGGCTCACACCTGTAATCCTAGCACTTTGGGAGGCCAAGGCGGGCGGATCGCTTGAGCTCAGGAGTTTGAGACCAGCCTGGGCAACATGGCAAAACCTTGTCTCTACAAAAAATACAAAAAATTAGCCAGGTGTAGTGGCATGTGCCTGTGGTCCCAACTACTTGGGGGGCTGAGGTGGGAGGATCACTTGAGCCCAGGAGGTTGAGGCTGCAGTGAGCCGATATTGGAAAAAAAAAAAACACACAACAACAACAACAAACTTTGTGTTTGTGTTTGGAAATGTGTCCATAAGATGGAAATGTGTCCATAAGATGAAACTTGTGTCCAGAGCAGTATAAATAGCTCAGTGGGTCTTTCCATTTTTGGTAAATCATCCTTTTGGACCCTGGGCAAAAAGAATGGTAGACTTTATACTTGAATTTTTCAGAAGGCAAGGAAAAGCGAAGAGTTATATAAGTAAAACCGGAAGAAAATGAGCAAAACATTAAAAGAAATAAAAGAAAAAGGAATACAAATAATGACCCAAGTATTAATAGACTTTCTCTCACAGATTGTACTGAATAAAAATAATAGCTAACATTTATTTGTTGTTCTGCCATATGCTGGGTAGATCACATACTTTATCCATGGATTCCTACCCTTCAAGGTAAATATTGTAATTATTGTTTTACAGATGTGCAAACATCGAAGTTCTGAAAGATAAGGGAATTTTCCCTCTCTATAAATATAGAGTCATCTGGCTCTGTAGTTAAAGCCAATCTATTTCTATTATGATTCTCCTAAGATTATACTGAGTAATATTAACGTATCATTATATCAAATTTAAAACTAAGCTAATGAAATGAACCACTACCAATCAATGCTGTAAACCAAACCCACCTGATGGCGACTTAATGCTGTATCAGTTACCTAATTCCCCATAACAAACTACCTTCATACATAGTGGCTTAGAAAAACTATCACTTATGTCTCCCAAGTCTACCAATCAACTGGGTGTTGGCTAACCTGGGCTTGGCATGGGGAGAGCTTTACTCTAAGTCCTTGTCATCCTCCTCTTTGTATGGACAGGCTAGCCCAGGCATGTCCTTCTTATGGCAATAGCAAATTTGAAAGAGAACAAGTGAAAACACATAAGACCTCTTGAAGCCTTGGTTTAGGATAGGTACACTGTCACTTCTGCTTCATTCCATGGGCCAAAACAAGTCATGTGACCAAGACAAGGAGCAAAGAAGTACACCCTGCCCACAGTGTACTGTGGCAAAGGGCTGAGATACAGGGAGAGGTGAAGGATTGGGGCCAATCTTCCAGCACTCCAGTGTACTTGGTCAGAGAACAAAACTTTATTGGTACCCAGTTGAATACTGCATCATTGATTAAATTTAAAAAGGCATAAACATTTGAGGAAAGCAGCATATTCTTCACCTATAGAAAATTCGTTAGTGCACAGATGTGTGTGTATGTGTGTGTGTGTGTGTGTGTAAAATGAAGGAGCTGAACATGGGATCTACATAGTTAGACTCTCTTAACAATTTACTTAAATGTATTATTAGCCTTACATTTTGGTAAAAGGAATCATCTCCTTGCTGTCTGTTGTTCTGAGTGAGAGATAATGGTTGATATCAGCTGTGTGATAAGATAATAACTTCCTGCTGTTCTAAGGCACTCATACAGTCATTAATAGAAAATAAAGTAATAGCATAGAAAATAACATGATAGCAAAGCTTAGACAATTCATTTCAAGGCGGGAGGTATGGATTGGTTTAAATATTCTATAGATTCTACCCAGCTGGAAGAGCAAGCAAGATAATTACGGACTTGTCACAGTGATTAACAGACACTATGGCAATGATGGGGTTTTTCCGTTTTGTTTTTGTCTTTGTTTTGTTTTGTTTTTAGAGGCAGGGTTTTGCTGTGTCGTTCAGGCTAGAGTGCAGTGACATGGTGTAATCATAGCTCACTGCAGCATGGAACTCCTAGGCTCAAGCAATCCTCCTGCCTCAGCCTCCTGAGTAACTGGAACTACAGGCAGGCACCATAACATCCAGCTAATTTTTTATTTTTGGTAGAGATGGGGTTTCCTTATGTTGCCCAGGCTGGTCTCAAACTCCTGGCCTCCAACTTCTGCCTCCCAAAGTGCTAGGATTACAGGCAAGAGCCACTGCACCCCGACCTTGTTTTGTTTTTTGAAGACAAAGACAACTCCATATTAATACTTCCCCTCGCAAGTTATACCTATGCAAAAGCATGTTTATGAGATGTTTGTGGGGACAGTATAAAAAGGAAATGTAAAATTTTCATTTTCTTTGCTATCTGAGACATATCCAAGAAAATAAAAGGCATTTTACAGTTTTGGCATAAAGAATGTAAGTGATATTACATTCTTATATCTTTAGAGAGAGGGGGATTCAATTAAGCAAACCAGCAGAAGAATGAAAAGAGAAACGTGAGCAGTATATGCAGTAACCATTGCAGAATTGGCACAATTGTAGATTTATAAAAGGCAGTGTGCTCTCTTACTTCCCCCCGAGTGCAAGCCTTCACCTGCCCTTGACTGACTATCCAGGACATTGTCAGGCACTGAGCATTGATCTATCACAGGTGTAATTTGTGATCGACTTGATGCAATGTGTTTAACTCCAAAATCAGATTGGTTGGAAAAAATGCTTCTCAGAACGGTATGAGGATTTCATCAACAAAGTTTATGTGTACCTGGAAGAGAGGCTTGTGCAAAGCTAGCAGCGACTATGCGAGAGAGTCCGCTAGGAGAAGATCAGTGTCCTCAGGAGTCAGCGGACAACTCCAACCCAGATTCCCATTTGGCCTCTTCTTGCCTAATGTATCAAGCAACTGAATTCACTCGCTTAGAAAATTTTTTGTATCTGTTTGTAAATTGTGCTTTACAAACCACACAGGCATTTCTTATGCTAGAGAACTTGAGTGCTGAATTGTCCCTGAAAAGAGGAGTTGAGAATGGGAACTTGTGCAAATGAAATGGGTGCAGATTCCTGTATGGGGCAGGCAACACAGTGATGTAAATGACAGAGGTGGCTAAGAAACAAATGGGGTTGGGGGAGTGGCGGAGGGTGGGGTCAGAGGAAGACCAGGGAGGCAGTGAAGAAACATCAGGGCACTCCCTCCCCGTCCCCTAGGGAGAGAGAAGTCACAGGCGCTCCAGGTGAGCAGAGGAAGAAGCATCCTGCTGAAAGTGGCATCACAAAGGGGAAGGAAGGAAGATTATCTCACCCGTCACTGGCATAGATCACCAGAAGCGTTTCTCATCTCACTTCACTTTGGGAACCAGATTTGTGCGCCTATGTGATCCTCTTTCCAACTCCTTCCCACTGCAAGAGAAAGTTCTGAAAATAATTAGAACCACTTGGCCCACTACCAAGAGGCCCCACATCAAAGTTGTGCCTCAGCCCTGCGTCGCCAGCATTTCCTCGGTCTCCTTCAAATGTGAAACTGTTATGCAAAATTGAGTAACAGCACTCGCTTAGGACTAAATGTCTTCAAAGTCTCATTCTATGGCAATATCTTATCACAAATCTCCAAAGTGAAATTACTAGCAAGATTGCATGAGTTCAGCTATACCTTCAGTGCGTAATAATAGCATACATGCGTGTTGTCAATGTCCATTGAAAAAGGAGTATTTTCTATTTGGGACCTCCTGATAAAGGAATTAGTGTTTTACAGGATAAAAGACTCAAAATAGGAAAGTTTACACTGTGGGAACATAATCATTTGCCTGCCGGTGAAAAAGCAATAAACTGTGTTCAGATTTTAAATTGTTTGCTTCATTTGCTTGTTAAATTGATATAATTTCTAATTTGTATTCTTTAAATTTTTGCAGCTTTTCTTGAAGCTTACAAACAAGACATAAAATCCCTTTTAGTTAAATTTGGAGGAGAGCAACACAGAAAAAGTACTATTTAAAGGCCGGGCGCGGTGGCTCAAGCCTGTAATCCCAGCACTTTGGGAGGCTGAGGTGGGCGGATCATGAGGTCAGGAGATCGAGACCATCTCTCTACTGGTGAAACCCCGTCTCTACTAAAAATACAAAAAAATTAGCTGGGCGTGGTGGCGGGCAACTGTAGTCCCAGCTACTGGGGAGGCTGAGGCAGGAGAATGGCATGAACCTGGGAGGCGGAGCTTGCAGTGAGCCAAGATCACGCCACTGCACTCCAGCCTGGGCGACAGAGCGAGACTCCGTCTCAAAAAAAAAAAAAAAAAAAAAAAAAGGAAAGAAAAGAAAGAAAAAGTACTGTTTAAAGACTGGTTTCAAGAAAACATGGAGTCATTTGGAGACCTGAAAAAACTCTTTGTCAGTGGCCTACAGATTCAGATGAGGGTAATAAGGAGAACAAATAAACCTATTTAGAACAAGGACACTTTCTATCTGTCTTGATAGACAAACTAGTTTTAATGCAAAATATAAAGTGAATTATGAGGCCAGGTGCAGTAGCTCACACCTGAAATCCCAGTACTTTGGGAGGCTGAGACGGGCAGATTGCTTGAGCTCAGGAGTTCCAGACGAGCCTGGGCAACATGGCAAAACCCCATCTCTACAAAAAATACAAAACAAAAAAAAAAAAAAGCAGGGCATGCTGGCATATGCCTGTAGTCCCAGCTGCTTGGGAGGCTGAGGTGGAAGGATAACTTGAGCCTGGGAAGTGGAGGCTGCAAAGCGGAGATCATGCCACTGCACTCCAGCCTGGGTGACAGAGTAAGACCCTGTCTCAAAAATAAATAAATAAATAAATAAATAAAGTGACTTATGAGACCAATTGATGTACATTAATATGGTTTAAAACCATTATTAGGATTAATAAAATTTTGAGTTGTCTTCAAATCTGTATTTAAATTATTAATTTTTTCTGGTACATATTGAGTTAGTAAAAATAGAAACCCCCCTTTATAAATAACTACGTTGTTCAGAATAGCACATGTAAGCAGAACATTTATTTCTTTATTTCGATAGAGTTCCATTTCCTGTTGAAAAGTAAAACCCAAGAAAAAGAACATCCAGCTTAAACTATGTAATACTTTAAAAAGTAAGAGTTCAGATGTAAAGTTTCAATAATGAAAAAGTTCTTTTCTAATGAGATAGTTTCAGAAATACTTAATTTAATCCAAAAAAAATGACTTTTAAAAATTCTCCACACTTCTTGGAACTGCATGCATAAACCTCAGCAATTGCAGCAAGTATTCATTTTAGTTTTCATTGATGAAACAACTTTTCAAAAGATGTTCCATCCCATTGATCTTGCACATGGAGATCATTTAAACCCCGCTTTGGAAAATTTTCCTAATGATGCTTGTCAATATTTTCCTGATGGCAATGCTAGAAATTTCACATTTTGCCACCACTTTCATCTGCAGGTGACAGATGCACACATCCATTATGTGGTCCAATAAAAGAGAATCATTTTCATCTGTCAACTCGGTAATCCAATTTCAGCAAACCTAAGCTGTGCTAGTGCAGTGTGTTGGATCCAAGTGTGATCCTTGCACTAGCAGCAGCACAACCTGGACACTTGTTAGAAATGCAGATTCTCAGGCCCCACCCAGATTTACTGAGTCAGGAATTCTGACGGGGTCAAACCCAACAATCTGTTTTGGCAAGCCCTCCAGCTGAGGCTGATGCCCAAGTTCAAGGACCACCATGCTAAGATGTCTGGGTGCATGCAGGGAGCAATGAAAATGCTATGGAGACTGAGACCTGGTGCTCCTGGTATTCATGTCATAGAGGTGATTTTAATTTGGGAGGTTTTCAAACATGGTGAGAGCACCTTCAATTTCTTAGGACAACAGAGAGGTAACATGGCAATGCAACTTGGGTCCAATGCCCGGGAAAGTGCTGGCAGCCTTTGCAAGTGAATTCTGCACACTTGTCATTTTTAGCTTATCTGGAAATCTATATATGCCACCTGAGCTTTCAGCCCACAACATAAAGGCCTGACTTTATATCTGATGAATCCCTCTTCTCTGCAAAACCTGTATGTTTTCTTCCAGGAGAGTACATTGCCACAAGTGTATGCTGCATTGTTTTTCATGTTCTTTCTCTGTGTGTTTGAGTGTGTGTCTATCTCCCCCTTCTGATGCATACATAAGTGACTGGACACGTAGCCTTGACCCGAGCTTGTGTGTGTGACTTCACATGGTAGGAATGTCTGTGAAGTGAGGGAGTTGGACTGGAGACTCCCAAAGGTCCTCCCTGCTTGGAAATGCTACAAGTCCACATGCCCTACACGATTGTACTTGTCTTTCTTTGTTCACTGTAATTTAGCATATTAATTAGATAAAATCAATTCAAATACTCCATTCGAAATGCTCTCAGAATTAAAAGCTCCTTATGAAATTGCCTACTTTGCTCCTAACATGCAATGTCTTTATTTCTAATTTCATTGCTCGCTTGTGTATGATTACATTACACTTATCAAATAGAGAAACTTATTTGAAAACACTTGCATAAATAAGTAGCATGGGATTTTTTTCTCCTTCCAAAGGAGCTTAATTTATATGGACTATAGAAATGCCCTGTCATAAGTGGCCGTATGCTATATGCTCTTAATTTTGCATGTCCATATGAAGCTGTATGTGTGCATATACAGAGAAATGTGATTATGTCCTGGATATCTTGTTCATTTCATTTCTTAAGGTGGTGTCATGTCACCAAGAAAATTAGTGATAGATTCACATCACAGAGTAGAATTCTATTCATTAGATATTTTTTGCAAAGTGCAGCTTCTTTTCTTGCTTCCTCATAAGTTGTGAGCATGTGGGCGGGCAAGCACAGGAAAGCATTTAGCAACAGAAAACAGAAGCAAACTGTCTCCTTTCCACCAGTTTCCCCACCTCAATTTTGTTCTCATATTTCTTTACTTCAGTGGGCCATCTCTGACATTCTAAACTTTCTGGAACTCTTTCTCAGTTCCCCGGGCTGTTCTTCATATGCCTCTGTTTCTCTGAAGGCTATAAAGAGATGTGCTCACAACAGGCTCCCAGGAGTCCATGGGGAAATTGTTGACATTCTTTCCCGCTGAACTAGGTTGGCTCGCTCCACATTTCTTAGTTCATTTGGAATTCCACAGCTGCCACCTGAGCTTTTATGCTGTCGATAACGACCCCTGGCTTGGGGGGTGGTGAGATTCTGTTTTAGTCATGCTGTAGTCTGCCTTTTACCAAATGTCTTTGCCATGAAGTAGGGGGTAAATCTGTTCTTTTTCTTATGCTTCTCGAGGAATGACAGATAACTCCCTTTGCTACATGAAAGCATCATCTGACATTTAATTTGTTTGGTTTTTACAATTCATTTTTCCATTCTCATTGCCAGGTTAGTTACTATCTCCCATCAGCAACTCTTGAACAACAACAAAAAAAAAATCTATATACGGGAAAATGAAAATGTTTCAATATTCTTCAGTTTTTCTACTTTTGTTACTGTTCTAGAGAGGGAGGTAGATTTTTGTTTTCTGCAATCTTCTCCGTGAATCACTTTTACTTCTCTATGTCTTAACAGGGGACATATTTGAATTTGGACTTTGCTTATTTTTCCAAAGCATCTCTGTTTAAATCATCAATCTACAAACAAACTTCAACCACAGTCCAACTTATAACTAGCTAAATAGGATTTACACTAACGTTTTCTTGCTTATCCCCTTATATCAATGTCACTGTAGGATTACTTTTTCAAACTTTTCCTGCAAGTTCTCTGGAGTTGGACTGTTGGTATGAGCAACAGCCTGGTAAAAATCACATATCTTAGAATCAAACTTATACGAAAACATATTTTAAGGGTAATATAAAACCCAACATTTTCATATGTTTAGTGACAACTTTGAATTTAGCTACCTAGCAAAACAATAAAAATAAGAATTATGTTTAATATATTTTGCAACTAAATAATTACTGTTTTTCAATAACGAGACTTTTCACTTGAGGTAATGTGAACTTTCCAAGGGAAATGTTCCCTAGACCCTAGACTGATCATGGAGATTGCAGGGCCATAGAAAATGGCCCTCTGGTCCCACACACCCGGCTAATCGCATCACCATCATACAGTGCACCTCGCTCACTCGGGAAATGAAAACAAGATAAAGCAGGAGGGAAGGCTTAATTGATCTCAGTCTCTCTCTGTTTGGGAAGTGTTTATTTTAAAAGATAAAATTTCATTTCAGGGGGTCTTACGAGATAAAATTCAAATAGAAAAATTGTCTTCATTGCTTCAACAGTTATGTTAAGGTTATTTACAACAGCATTTTTTTCCCATAAAATATAGCAGAGTACATTTTTCAGTGAGAAAAGCTAACATTTGAACCCACAACGTCTGAAGGTATTCTGTACGTTTTATCTCTGGTGGCAGCTGATGTACCAGCAGGCTGACAGATGACAAAAAAAACAAAAAACAAAAAACAAAAAAAAACTCTCTTGTCTATTCTTTTCTAATAAGACAATTCAGTGGAAATAAGAGAACTCACCTGATCCAAAAATGTCTTCAGTTCAACAATATCTCTCTTCAGGAATTCAGCACTCAGGCAAATATTTTATTTGCCCTCATAACAAAACAAAAACAAAAACCAAACCAACCACTCTGTTCTTCTGAACTTTTGCCAACTTAAATATCTCTTTCAAACCTTCTCTATCTGCTTATTCACATTAAGCTAGAACTACACCATTTGTACAGCTTTTCAGGAGATTTGTGACAGGTCTGAAAAGGATTTGAATTTTTTACTTGGACTTTTGACAACTCCCACTACAGAAGTTATTGTCCAGGTTATGTGGCTTAGTAGCCTAAAACTTCAAAGGGCTTCGCTTAGTCAAAATTACTTAAATACCCTATTTTATTATTTTTATAATTGTAGCTTTTAAAAAAGATTAATACCAATTTTCAACATGCTTTTAGCATCCAGTTTGCCACCTACCAATACATGCATCACTATTTTCTAGATGTGGATATTTTGGGGACACGATATAAAAATATTTTACAACTTTTTTGAATTTTCCCCAAAGTTCATTTTCAAACTCCAGGCAGAGAGAAATGTTTCCGAATTAGTCATTTTTAAAATTTTTTTGAGCAAGCCTATCTTTTCCCAACATTGCATTGCTTTTTATCCTGTGAGATTTTAAACACCTTTCATTTAAATGTTTTTTTTTTTGAAGTGTGCACTGGATGTGTCTAATGAACAGTCCTTGAAAACAGAATCACCTTATTTATAAATTCAATTCTCTTTCCATTCATATGAGGAACTTTATCCTTCCTCAGGGCATATATTTAATAACTATTAATGAAATCTGAAATTATATATGAGCACTGAGACCTGAATTTGCTACTCATTTTTTTTTTCCAGTGGAAATTTCATAAGGGTTTTGGCATGGGAACACAGCAGGCATTTAAGGCAGATGGAATAATATGGTTGGCCACAATGGCTCCGAAGGAATCATAACAGTTTATAATCAATAATTTGCTTACTAGGGAAGACAGTCTTTTCAGCCAAATCAGCACATAGCATACTGTTCATCCTCCCAGTTAGACAGCCGACTACTGCCACCGTTCTGCAAGCCTTTGATTCCCATGGATTTACATGTGCAAGCTGGGGGCTCAGTGCTCATTTGTTTTGTCTTTTAAGATTTCAGTTTCCACCCTCCCCTTTTCACATGTCTTATTCCAACTTCCCCTTAAAACTGCAGAAGCCATTTGAGCAAACAGGGCCACAGGGACCAGATTCAGCAGGCACCCTGCCTTCAGAAAGAGGCAGGACTTCCCGAGGAGGAGGGTCCATCTCAACTGGTTTTAGGCCAGAGACTAGACGGAAGGGGATTTGCACGACAGGTAGGGGAAGGGCCTTTAGAATTTCAGATGTGTTGTAACTGGGCAAGTTAATTTCAGATGTGTTATAACTTGAAATTAGAAAAGTCATTTCAAGAATTTTTTTAAGAGAAAACCATAGTAGGGTCAAGACTCTGAGAGATGAGGTAAGCAAGAGAGGTAGAAAAACCTGTCCTCACCTAATAGGCTACACTACAGAGCAACGTCACCCTTGAGTACCAGTTTCCATGCAGGGGATGGAGAAATCTGGAAAATAAGGAGGCCAAGAAAGAAGGTATCTAGGCAGTTGGCTTCCATGGGCTCTTGCAGGATTCTAGGCAAATAGGCTATTTGGGGCTATCTACCAGATTGACAATGCTTTATCTACCAGAAAGATGGCCCTGTATTTTCTCATTTAATCCTCTCAACAGTTCTGTGACACAGGTATTATGATTATCCCATTTTTTAGGTACCAATGTGAGGCACAGGAACTCTGGGTAACCTGCCTAAGGTGTCATAGCTTTTAAGAATTGAGTAGGATTCGAAGTAGGTAGACTGACACAAGAATTCGCATGCTTGCCCCCTGCACTATACTTCTTACCTTGGCTTCTTTGGAGTAAAGAAAACTATTTCCAAACTCTGCTGGTATGTGAAGCAAGTTTCCTTACAAGAGAAGCTCCCTGGCTTCCTATGACTTGAGGAGAGGAGTGGACACTGTGGAGAGGTGAGCATGTTAGTCTGTTTGCATTGCTCTAAAGGAATACCTGAGACTAGGTAATTTATAGGGAAAATAAATGTATTTAGGCTCACAGTTCTGCAGGCTGTACAGGAAGCATGGTGCCAGCATCTGCTTCCAGTGAGGGCCTGAGGAAGCTTACAGTCATGGTGGAAGAGGAAGGGAGAGCAGCCATGTCACATGGCAAGAGAGGGAGCAAGAGAGAGAAGGGGGAGGTCCCAGACTGTTTTAAACAACCAGATCTCATGTGAACTAACTGAGCAAGGAGTCACTTATCACCAAGGGGATAGTGCTAAGCCATTCTTGAGTGATCCACCCGCATGATCCACCTCCTACTGGGTTCCTCCAATATTGGGGGTCACATTTCGGCATGAGATTTGGAGGGGACAATATCTAAACCATATCAGTGGGTGTTTCTTCTGAAACCTTAAGAGGGGCCAAAGAGGGCAAATGCTGACAGTTGACCAAAAATGGGGCTTGAAATTTCCTTTTTATTTCAGACAATGAAGACCCTTTTGTGGTTTGGTTGATTGGTGTTGTTATTGTTGTTGACAAGGTCTCCTCCTCTGTCACCCAGGCTGTAGTGCAGTGGCATGATCTTAGCTCACTGAAGGCTCAACCTCTTGGGCTCAAGCGATCCTCCCATGTCAGCCTCCTGAGTAGCTGGGACCACAGGCATGCCCAGCTAATTTTTGTATTTTTTCATACAGACAGGGTTTTGTCATGTTGCCCAGGCTGGTCTTGAACTCCTGTGTGCAAGTGACCTGCCCACCTCGACCTCCCAAAGTGTTAGGATTACAGGCATGAGCCACCATGCCTGGCCAAGACCCTTGTTTTAAGAAATGTCTAAGTGAAACAGTGTACACTACATTGATATTTTTTATAATTTTCTTTTTTCTTTCTTTCTTTTTTTTTTGAGATGGAGTCTTGTTCTGTCACCCAGGCTGGAGTGCAGTGGTGCAATCTCGGCTCACTGCAATCTCCGCCTCCTGGGTTCAATTGATTCTCCCACCTCAGCCTCCCGAGTAGCTGGAATTACTGGGGTGCGCCAACACGCCCAGCTAGTTTTTGTATTTTTGGTAGAGACGGGGTTTTGCCATGTTGGCCAAGCTGGTTTCGAACTCCTGACCCCAAGTGATCCGCCTGTCTCAGCCTCCCAAAGTGCTGGGATTATAGGAATGAGCCACCAGAACCGGCCAGATATTTTTATAATTTTCTGATAAGATCACAACAACAGAATCAAGCACTATTGTGATACTGAGGACACAACCCTCTGCCCACCCCACATTCTAAATCGTTTTATTTTCCCCTCAACGTGTTCACAAATATGCTTCTAAATAAAGACTCACACCTCATCAGCTGTCTTGGATTACTCTAGTCAGGGCAACACCAAATGTAGGTCTATAACTTCAGATTTTCGTGGGTAGCAAGTCTGAAAATGGCCGTAGACTTGAGAATGTTACTAGATTACTCAGCAACCACATCCTGATATTGATGGCCGGGAATTTATTTTATTTTATTTTATTTTTATTTTTTATTTTTTATTTTTCGAGACAGAGTCTCACTCCATCACCCAGGCTGGAGTGCAGTGGCGTGATCTCAGCTCACTGCAACCTCCTCCTCCCAGGTTCCAGCAATTCTCGTGCCTCAGCCTCCCAAGTAGCTGGGATTACAGGCACGTCCCACCATGCCCAGCTAATTTTTGTATTTTTAGTAGAGACGGGTTTCACCATGTTGGCCAGGCTGGTCTCAAACTCCTGACCTCAAGTGATCTGCCTGCCTCAGCCTCCGAGAGGGCTGGGGTTACAGGCATGAGCCACCATGCCTGGGATGGCCAGGAATTCATAATGGTGGCTTAGAACAAGCAGCAGTTCCTTCCACGACTCATCTCCTTCTGATTTTTATATATCAAGGTCTTTTTTTTCTAAGCTCACATTAGAGATTAGAGTATGAAAACTTCTGTGACCACTCAGGAGGCTGAAGAGTAGCTAGTTGAATCTGTAGAAGATTCAAATACCAGCCAGTTACAGGAAAATCACCCAGGTGCTTGCTAAAAAATGGAGGTTCTTGGGCCCCTCCTCAGATCAGTGAAATATGAATCTCCGGGGTGTGATCTTGAAATGTATAGTTGTAAGCAATGAATCAGATGGTCAAACTGCTTTGGGAACCAGTGGGTAGAATATTGCTCCAGAAGAGTCTTTGGCAAAATAGCTTGTTTATCTTTGATATAGTTTGGATATGTGTCCCCGCCCAAATCTCATGTTGGATTGTAATCCCCAGTATTGGAGGTGGGGACTGGTTGGAGGCAACTGGATCATGAGGGTGGACTTCTCATGAATGGTTTAGCACCATCTCTTTGGTGCTGTCCTTGTGATAGTGACTTCTCTCAAGAGCTGACTGTTTAAAAGTGTGTGGCATCTCCCTGCCTCTCCCTCTTTCTCACTTTCTCACTCTCACTCCTGCTTTAGCCAAGTGACGTGCTTCTTCCCCTTTGCTTTCCGTATGACTGTAAGCTTCCTGAAGCCACTCAAGAGGCTGAACAGACATCGGCACCATGCTTTCTGTACAGCCTGTAGGACCATGAGCCAATCAAACCTCTTGTCTTTATAGGTTACCCAGCCTCAGGTATTTCTTTATAGCAATGCAAAAGCAGCCTAATACAATCTTCAATCATCTCTTGTGTCATCTTGGCCTGGCCATCTGTGTTCCTAACAGTGCTGCCCCTCTTTCTTCAAGGTGAGTACTAAATTTCGTGTGCACATAAACCATCCTGGTAAAAGGCATGCTCTGACTCAGCAGGGTGGGGTTTGAGGTTCTGTGTTTCTACCAAGCTCCCAGGAGATGCTGACGCTGTTGGTCCATGGGCTATATTTTGAGCAGCAACGTGCTGGTCTTCTCCTCAGGCTCATTCCTTTCTAGTGATGACATCTCTGCTTGGCCCATTTGTGCCTTACTCTTCCATGTAGTGTCTGCAGTTTATGAGTGTCTTGGAAACAAAACTCTTTTAGGTCTTGTCAAATATCAGGGAAGAACCTCCTTGATGGAAATTTCAGACAATGTTGGAAGAGAGGATAGGGAGATAGTGGGCTATTAACAAAGGCATTTCTGGCAATTAAGATATACAAAGCACTCCACACTATGCAGTGCAGCTATGCACAAGGATGACCTTAGAACCTTCCAGAAATAATATACCCTGAAGAAATGAGAAATATACATCATTCCAGAGCTGGCTGCAGAGAAGCAGTAGAAAGAAGGGATCCTTAAAATAGCAGTACCAAAGACTATCTTGCCTTATGACAGCATTTGTGTGTGTCCCCCCATCCATGATACTAACATGCTTTCCTAGGTTTCCCTGGCACAGATTTAATTAATGGGGTTTAAAGTACTAGAGGTCAGACCCCTGTTTAGCTTACAACCCATTATCTACTGCACACAGTAGATTAAGTTATTCTTCTTTGGGATGACATCGCATACATGCTACACAATCACCAATGCGTATATTGATAACCTTGAAATTAGTTTTACATCTCCCTGAACCCTATTTTGTCTTCCATTCAATCACTTTATCATAATGATTATAGTTCCTCCTAGCTTTTGGGGTCGGATTAATTCATAACAATAAATTTCTCAGGTGATGACTACCCAACATTACAGTTAATTCATATAACTTAAGAGAAAAGTTTACCTCAATGCAAAGACATCAACAACCTATAAATATGCAGTTATCTATAGCTCAGACCTTTTCCTGAGTTGGTTGGAATTGTATATAAATCTTTAATGTGAGCAATGTAGACTTGAACTATCTCGACTTGTTTCATTTCAGACTCCACAAAGTATACCTAATAAATCAAAGGTGAGTTTTCACATTTAATTGTTCTCTATCCTGTGGAAGAGTGCTGGGAATTGAACCTAGCCCTGCTGCTGCTGACTCTGTGTCTGAGCATCATGACAGCCTGCTAGATGGGCTGGGGCCTGAGAACAGTAGGGTTGCTTCGAGGGAGGCCCCAGGGACAATAAACAGGAGAAAGGCCAGCTGGGTGGGAGAAGCTGGAGCCAGTTGTCAACAAAAATATATTAGTCCCAGGACAGAAAGACTATATAAGCTCCTAATGATTTGGGCTGCTAGCATCTCATGAACCATTATCATCTCCAGCTCACTAAATGGATCCCAGAAGATTGAAAATTGACATGCCTAGAAAAAAAAAAGAAAGAAAGAAAGAAAAAGAAGTCCCTCTTATTTCCCCTGTATGATCAGACCTAGTGTTTGTAGCTTATGGTTTTGAAGGAGCATAGATATAATGTGAGGAATTTTTAGAAGGCATGTGTAATCTTAAATGCATAAGCATGTCTTTTCATAAAAGAATTTTCACAAATTTGGGGTTGGAAAGAAGGAACACGTAATGAGTGGATTCTAAATACACACAACAGGGAAGTTAATGAGATAGGAAGACTTCCATTCAGAAATGAGTTCAAGGCATAGGAGAAAATTTTTAAAAACACACAACACAAATTGTCATTTATTAGGTAAATGGAAAGTTATGTCTGCAGTAAATTAATAGGCTACGACAAAGATGAATTTGAGATCACAAAAAGACCTAAGAAAGTTTTCATGACTGTCTCAAATAGTCAAACCAAATAGACTTCTAAAAAATTAAAACATGTGAAATAATATTCAAAATTGATTTCAAAAATCACCAATCATTGATTAAGTTTATTACTCATATCCCTTCCCCTGATTAAGAAAATGTGTGTATCACTTAAATGAGCACATGAGGCTGTAACTTTGGAAGGGTTGCTCTCCCTTGAAATTCACAAATATTTGAATTGAAAATGAGCTGTGAATGTTTTTGAATCCTCTGACTCATAGATTTCTATAGAACTCATTTTCCAGCTGCCACGGCATGAGCTCTCACTGTCATGCTAATCCTCATCAGTTCTGTCCTCAACTATTATGATGGCCTCAGACTGCTCTTCCTTCGTCTAGTCTCTCCCCCATCACATCCAGTCTTCAACCTGTCTTCATGCTGACCCCACTAACACATAAATTGAACACCAAACTCCCAAGTTCCAAAGCCTTCAATGGCTCCCCTCCCTCTGCGTAGCTGGGTATCAACAGCGTTGGCTGTGCAACCACGACTCTCTCCCAAGCCATTTCTTCTTTCCATCACCTCTCACCTTCTCCATAGCAACTCACGCTATTTTCATTTAGTAAATTTTGTCTTGTCTGTGGAGTGATGGAAAACTTGTGACTACCTTTGTAGGTATCGGAATTCTCATTAGAGAAGTATTTTTAATAAGCTACTTATTAAAGTAGCTTTTAAGCTACTTTATAATAGTAATATACATAATATATATTATAATCGTAATATATATAATAATAATAATACTTACTTATTAAAGTAAAGTGGACTGTGAGATCCAAAATGCCTGTTCAAACAACAAAAATCCATTTCTAAACCACTGGGCATAAGACAAGTGGAGGAACAGGTTTTGCCCCTAGATGGACAGAAGATAATTCTTCTCTGCCTCATACAGAAAAGAAGAATTTGGATTCCCAAAGGAGTCTATAATGGGAAACCAGAGTGTGTGGCTAGGAAAATGGTGGAAGGCTGCAATTTGACAGACCAAAATCTTCAGAAAAGACTCCTAAACTCAGGAATGTGAGTTAAGGTATGTGAATGATTTTATTGGGATAGAAATTGAAGGTGCAGAATTTCAGGCAAAAATCAAAAAGGCAATGGTCGAATGTGCATGTTCCAGAGAGCTGAACAACCTTGGAAATAGAAACCCACTGGAATTTCCCAGAAATCTTGGTTTTGGATTTGCACAAGCCTAAAAATTGGTAGTGGGTGTGGCCATAAGGTATCAAGTCAATTGTATTGAGATCTCGAGGAGTACAACAGCCCTTAGCTATGTCTGTTCCAGAAGAAGGTTAAGGCTGCTACGTCAATACATCTTGTGTTTTAGTCACAATCCACATTGTCTCTCTGGCTCTTCCCAAGCATACTCTGCACTTTCCCACCACCTTGACTCCTTGAGCATAATTATCTCTGCTCAGGAATGCCGCCTCTTCTCTACCCAGTGAACAGTCAAAACCCGTATCAAATATTAGCTCTTTCGTGTCTCCTTCCCTGGCCTCCTCCCAGACTTAAGTCATCGTTTCTTCTTCTGGGATTTCATTGCTCTCTTAGTTCTCGTCTCTGGGTCTGTTTCGGTGAACAGACTCTGAACATCACAAGAACCGTGGTTGTAACACAACCCAGTGTAACACACAGAAGATGCTCAATATGTTAATTGATGGGCTAAATCTTTGATTCAACCCCCTTCTTTACATGTGTAGAAATGACCCCAGTCACAACACCAATTCTTCTCTGCCCCTCTAGGAAAATAATAACAATTCTTCATACATTCTCAATGTCTCTACAGTTCACACATGTCAAAAGATGTGATCTTCCCAAAAGTGCTGTAAACACACATGGAAAACTCCATTTTTACCACTTCTTAAAGGGTTGCTACAAACATAACGCTCTGCCTTTAACTTACAAGTGGCAGAAGCAGGGCCAGAACCTCATCTTTGTAATGCTTCTGTTGAGCGCTTCTCTTTTTACTGTTTGCATTTAATTTGGTGAAAACTTGGAATTCTTTACAGCTAAGAATGAGGCCATTTGGAGGCTGGAACATCTAGGCAATTGAAGCAACTTACTTCTGTGAGTCAGATGGTAGGATAGGGTGATGTCTGCTTGTCAGCAATGCCACTCGGCTGCAGATCACCACTCCGCAGTCACACTGTGCCCCCTTTCCTGCATCCTGGGCATGCCACTTTCTGTGGGGCTCAGTTAACAAATGAGGTGGGGAGAAGCAGCTCTTCCAAGAATTTTTTCATCCAAGCATGAGAGAGGAAGAATGATTCTTCCCCACTCAATAGTAATAATTTAAACATTTATTAAATCTTCTGTACCAGGCACTGTACTGCATTTACATGCATTTTCTCATCTAAACATCCTCTAGATCTTTGCGAGGTGAGAACCAGGATGGTCCTGGAGAACTCAGGAACTGGAGTCAGGTATTCAAATGACCTTAAGAGTTTCATTCTTCCATTTTTGCATGTCTTTACTTGTCACTGTCATTCTCTTCCTCTGTAGTCCAGCTTTATCCACTGATAGGAAATGTGGTTAACAGTAGCTCTAGCAGCTTCATCACTGGGAAAAAAGTGTTTCCCCTGGTCATACTTGAACTTTTATTTCAATCTAGTTTTTAAATCCCAATGGCAGGATTCTGATCAGCCTGGTCTGAGTCATTGTCATCCATTGGACCAATTACTGTAGCTGAAGTGGAGTGGGTTTTGGTGGGAGTGTTTGGATTCTCACTGGCAGACCCCTCTGGAAACATATGTTGGCTAGGGATTTCCCTAAAATTAAGAGAGGGGAGTCTGTTGCTAGTAGACAGGGAGAGGTGGCGTCGGGCTGAAAATAAGCATGCATGTAGGTTACATTATTCTGCCCCTATTAAACACAATGAGGACTCCAAGGCTTAAGGAGTGTATGTAACTCACCCAAGGTCACCAACTAGAAAGATTAGGACTTGCACCCAGACCCCAGAGACTGCATTATGGACTTCTGGGCTGTGCTGATCATGTCAGTGGCATAATATGTCTATATTATAGCTATTTGGGGGCTAGTTAGCTCACTTGGTCAGAGCTAAGCTCCCTTTCTCCTTTTGTTGAGGCTCATTAAGTCAAGAACAGGGTGATAAATTAATTCACAGGACCCAGGTCTTTCAAAGAAGAGCTGTCAGCTACCAGGTGAGCAAGTAGCAGCATGTGAATCATTCCTAATCCCAGCCACCTTCATTACTAGTAGAAAATAACACAAAGCATGCCTTTTCCCTCAGGGCACCTGTAGCACCATCTCAGTGTGCAAAGGGCCTCAGGCTTTCATTTCCCTTTCCAGGTCTTCTTACATTTTCCCTAACAAGACTGCCTTCCT
Source organism: Homo sapiens (assembly GCF_000001405.40). Taxonomy (NCBI): domain Eukaryota; kingdom Metazoa; phylum Chordata; class Mammalia; order Primates; family Hominidae; genus Homo; species Homo sapiens. The sequence goes on along the minus strand of NC_000023.11, from coordinate 10,744,195 downwards.
TTTCATTTTACCCACAGCAGTGGCCCCTGCTGGGCCAGGAGGCAGAGCTATCATGGCCGATGTTATCACAGCTCACACCCCCTCTGGCCATTATTAAGGGGCAGCCTGTGTTCAGTTGCATGTTTCTTAGCAACCACCATGAGCCATGTCCTCTCCTTTCATTTGCGTCTTCCTTCTCTAACCTAGGGGGCAAATTTACTAAGAAATGAACCCCTGCCTTCTCAGATTTCTAAGCCATGGAAACCAGAAAATTGACAATGATTGCATTTTCAGTCTCAAAATGATGACCAATTTCAAGGGTTGGTGGGGTGCAGGGCGGGGGTGGAGCAGAATCCTTTTCTTACATACTGGCAATAGCTTTGCAAAGCATGTGTGATTTATCGCATGTGTAAACTCATCTGTAAGGAAATTGATTTAAACTGAGATTCTTCATAAGATCAAACATCTCTACTGCGTTGTAGCTTGCTGAAAGGCTAGACATGCATTTAAGCCTAAACATTTAAAAACATGAAGACTGCTTTCTTACAAATTTCTGTAACAGCATTCCCCTAGCCTATTTGCTTTCATATGGTATGCACTCAGTACAGCTCTGTTTTAGAGGAAGCTTCCCAAGACAGATGCTTAATTCTTATAAGCAGCCAATTGCTTGTTCCCATTCCATGTACATGTGAATAAATAACTCCACACTCCCTGCCCTAAACACAGTTGTTAAGATCCTGGAACATGGAACAAAGGCTAGAATTCTTTATCCCATGAAGCGTAGACTCTTGGCTTTAATTTGTATTAATCTGGTTTGGTTTGTTTGCTTTTGTTTTGCATTTTTAATGCCGCCGTTTCGTATTTATCTTTGGCCAATGTGTTTTCCCCCATCGCCACCACATTGCCATAATTCAATCTTGTTTTGTTTATGGCTATAGCCATTGAGGTTGTTCATACCTATACACATTTGGGAAGCTGCAAAATAGTTTATCACATGGTGTTCCCAACGCAGATCATAAAAACAACCACCCAGCCCAAGAATCAGCCGCTGTAACGCATCATGTTCCTTCTAAGCCACAGCGGTATTCTTCTGTCTAGACGCAGTCTGTTCTCTAGAACAGATGACTGTAATCGAATATGTCAGTTTGCAGGGAAGACTTGCTTCTAATGAGCTTTTAATTTCAAGTAACAAAATTTAGCAAAATGCAAAGATAGCATATTGTTTAAAGGAAGACTTTTGAAATGGATGTTTTTGACTTGGCTCTAATAAGCTGTTGTGCAACCGTTCCCCTGAATGTAGTCTGAAAGAACCAGAAAAGTCGAGTCTATCTCATTGGTTTGAATGCCCCCAGTAGGCTTATCTGTAGACCAAATATTCAAACACACTTGGTTTTAGTTCATTTGATAGGTTGAAGTTAATGCATTAGTCATGGAGACTGCCAAAATCAACCAATTGCTCCAATGACTGGATATTTGAAATGCAACAGGGCCACTTATGTTAAGATGTTATGTAGTCTGTCTCATAGACTTGTGAAGAAAATAAGTCTAATTTTTCTACTGAGAATAATTTGTAAGTATTTGAAGAAATCAAAAAGTTGAGGATAAAGTATCTTGCCCTCTGGATGTTTAAACCACAAGCAATTTCTCTTTTACCATTTAAAGTGTTTTTAAGATACTAACAAAGAAAAACCATAATAAGATATTGCAGAGAATTGTCTTTCTTTGCTGTTTGAGAAAAGCAGATTTAACTTGGTTGGTTGTTAGAAGGGCTAAACTCTACCTTCTGAAGTAAGCACATAGTACCCTTGGTGCAAATATGTAGAAAAGGGATTTTTTTTCAATGTAGTTTGTTTTCATTAAGACCCTTTTATTGATCCTATCTTCCTCAAACTCCCTTTCCTCCATATTCCCACTTTCTGGCCACAATCCTGAATGCCATGTGAAATCATTACTTTAGCATTAATCTTTGATCTTTATTAAAATGCAATTCTGGAAATGGGGAGGTAAAATATGATCATCTCATGTCAGTTTTTATAACTGTAGGTGCTGGAGTTTCAGACTCCTATCTGAGATTGGGAATTAATGAATACAGAAGGCATAAGGAATATGAGGGCATTGAGCCAAAGGGAGAGGTGGGGCGAGGGAGGGGCTGTGGTAGCAACATGAACAGAAAAGGAGAAAAAGGACCTGAGTTGGAAAATTGAGGTCTCCATATCAAATTACTCTTATTTCAAAATGTTTCCTAGGTTTGCTTATTCCTACTGATTTTTATTACCAAGAGCTTTATAGAAACATAATATACTTTTTTATTACTTTAAGTACAGCTAGTTTTAGCCACTTATACCTCCAGACATGCCACTCAACTGTGACCTTGAGTATCATTTATTCATAAAGTAATTTTCTTAGAATGACGAAGCATCTACATTTCCTAAATTACATATCACTAGTTATTTTTCTTGAGACATCACTTTATATGACTCATTTTACAAGTTTACAAGTTGCTTCTTTACTAGAATGTTTCCCCGTCCCCAACAGTGGAATTAGTCTTCTACTTGGTTTAATTTTATGGTGTTCCTGCTGCAAGCTCAGCAAATTATGAACAGTTGTCTCCTTTCCCCAGTGGACAGGCATGGGACAATTGCCTTTCTCCTCTAGGTTCTTAATAAGTGGAAAAAAAAAAGATTGTTTTCAAGGACTGAAATCTTCTTTCTTTTAACCTAAGAAGGAAAGAATGTATTTAAAAAAAAAAAAAGAGGGGAATGAAAAGAAAGCATGCCCTCGTCCTGTGTTGTTATCACTTACTTAATTCAGGGTTCAGCCGAGAGCCCAAGGCTACTGTCTTGATCTGCACTTCCTGTCTGCACACAGATCCCTGGTGTATAAGCCTCTCACGATCCTAAAACATTTCCAGAATTTCTCCTTGCTCTGACCCTCTTAGTGTTGAAAGTGGTAGTCTTAATTTATTTCCAAAGTCTATCTTTTCTCTCCAAATTAAATAACAGTGTCATGAAATGCTTCATCTTCTAATGTCCTATCAGCAAAATCCTAGCTTTAATAGTCCAAGGTTATCTCCTGGGCTTTAGAAATGTAAAGGCATTACACAAAATTGATGTTGACAAAGCACAGATACTCCTTTGCACGATCACAATGAAACTTTTCTCTTTTTTGCACATTTCCTGCAAGCCAAGCTACATCAGTTGCTAATATGCTTGGTTCCACATGTCACACTTGATTTCTGATCCTTTTACCCACTTCTCAAAAATGGTTAGGAAATATTTATATGGATTTCTTTGGCTAGACTTTAAGATAAATTACTTTTTGGTGAAGTTCTTAATCCTTTTTTTTTTCAAAGTGCCTGATCTCTTAGAGCAAGCTTACAAACAAAAGCCCACAAGCAACATCCTAGACTAATGTGCAAGTTAACACTGAAGAAGAGTTAGAATCCACGCCTTGATACAATAATAATAATAAGTGCAGGTGGGGAAATGTCTATAATAAGAACTTTATATATATGAATATATTCAATCCTAACAACAGCCTTGAAGAAAATATTATTATTAAACCCGTTTTACAGTTCAAAAAAACTAAGGCTGAGAAAGGAAAGAAACTGGTCCAAAGTCATACTGCAAGTAAATGATGGAGCAGGGATTTCATGCCACAACTCAGTAATTAATCACTGTGTTGCAATTCTTTCTCCTTTTCATTAGGCTCTGTAACTTGTCTGGGGACAAATTAAGGTTGTAAAGTTCAGTTTACTTTCCGTCAGTCATATGGCATCACCAAGCCACCTCTGGTGGAGTGAGAAAAGCATGGTACTTCAACATCGGAACCCCTGATACTGGTCCCTGGCTGGATCTTCACTTCTTGAGTTCCTGTTTCCTTATCTGAAAAATGTTATTAATATTCCTACCTCATAGCAATGTTGGGAAAATTCCACGTGGACGTGTAGCCAACCCCAAGTCATATGTAGAGTCTGAAATACCACATAAATGTAAAGTAACATCTGTTCATGTATTGGATTTTCTTCATTTATCTTTCCCCAGATGCTGTATTGCATCCCAGTTCGCAAAAAAGAAAAAGAAAAAAAAATGTGATGGTGCTATGGTTCTAGAATATCTTTAACTTATGTGCCAAGGGAACAGAAGATTTATTTTCACATATATAAGCAGTTGTATAAACATTTTCTAGATCAATATATCTTCTTGGGTTGCAGTTTGGAGCCCTGTCTGACAGGAGGTCAATGCCTACGCTTGGGGCATTGAAAGTATTCAAAACAGATGCAGCCCATTCTCCAAGGCCTAGCCTCTGGCTAATTCTTTTCTGAGTTCTAAAATGTTGTGGCTACATGCTCACAAAAGAGAGTCTACATTTTGGAGAAGGGGGACAGCACACATTACACTTCACCTTAAACAATGCCCCATTCAATTCGAATTGGTTTTCTGTTTCTCCATGGTGTCAGGACACTCTTTTCCCAGTTATTTTTAAAATCTTCATCACTTTACATTTTCACTCTTCCATTGATACATTTCCATAATTTTATCCTATTGTAACCTCCACATTCCACCCAACCCATTGGCACTTCACCAAGAGATGATTGAATCATTCCAAAGCCCAGATAGTTCCCTGATATTCTATGAGAATATTTGCTGGAAAGTATAAAATTTTAGCTTAATCATTTTCTTTCATTCCCAAATTTCTTGTGCTAATTCCTTCTGAGAGCAGATAGGAGACATTCTACAAAATGATGAAGCTCTATGATAGAATTTTTCCACTGGACTAGAGAAAAGGCTCTTAATACACATAGGCCTATTTTAAAAATCAATACCAGAAAAAGGTTTAAGTTAGATGGGATCTTAGAGATAATTTGTTCTCACTTCTTACTTACCATTCCTCAAGGAAGGCAGTGATATAGCTCCTTTCAAATGCTTTCAGATACAGGGGATCCATGCCACCCACACACAGGACACACACAGGAACAGCATATCTAATTGTGCCATCTCATCTCCCCAACTGCCCTTCCCCAATCTTCTTTTTGCTCTCTGGATCTTCACTCAACAAATTTATTCAACCAATTGACCCGCTTCTCAACACACACCAGGTTTTCTGTTATTCAAAGAAGCAAATGTTTTACTTTTCCTCCTAACAAAATATCGCTTGAATCAAGGAAGGTGCTAGTATGAAAGCAAAATAAAACAAAATAAACCTTGGTACACAGGATGAGAGTTTAGGGTTTTTTCTTTCTTTCTTTCTTTCTTTTTTTTTTTTTTGCCTTTAGTAGAAAATTGCTATGCTGTGAGGATGAAATCCTAGTATCCACCATTAACCAATAGATAGAAAAAGGGTGGATGAAATAATGAAATTAGTAAAAATAAGTTAGAAAAATAACTTAGGGGGAAAAACAGACCTGAAACTATGTCTGCCAGATAAAATATAGGACACCAACTTCAATTTGTGTTTCAGGTAAACAAATAACTGTAGTATCAGTATGTCCCAGAGATTGCATTTGTTTGTCTCTGCCACTCTGTTTCTCCTCCCCCTTCTTATTTTACCCCCTCTTTTTAGAGTTTCTCCCTTCCTCTCTTTGCATGGGATATACTTATCCTAAAACAGTATTTCTTCTACTAAAACTTTATTCATGATTTATCTAAAATTCAAATTGAAGTGGGCATCTGTATGTGTATTTGCTAAACCTGATAATTCTAGTTGAAATGCCCACAGGCTGCCTAGAGAAAAAAGACCCCAGACGAAGAGTCCTGATCTCAGAGCTGTTGTCATTTGTTTTTCATGACTGGGTCTTACTCCTTCCTGGGTGGGACCTCCTTCTGTTTACCAAAAGGAGATGGTGTGACTGTGACCTTAGGAAAGGCAATGAGAACTGCTGTGGGTGGCTCTGCTTTAGGATTACAACCTCTACTTTCCACCCATGCCCTCCCTGGCTTTACTGGAGCATTTCCTGTTATGTGTTTGTTCCTTCTTCTGGAAACCTGAGCCCTAACAGAAGAAGGAAAACATAATGTTTTTTACAATTCATTAACGGTGCAAGAGGGCCCTTGTGCAGAGATCAGAAAGGCAGCCAGGTGATTAGGGGGATGACCGCTAACTGTCTGAGCCTGGCCCTCTGAGATTTGCATTTCTCGAGAGGACCAGCCCCCGGGACTGATGACAGGGGTACCCAACCTCACAGTACTGGCCATGCCAATGCTGCTCTGGGAGGCTGCTCTGGGCCACTGGCTAAGCTGCTAGCAGGGTCCACACAGATGTGCACAGCCTCCTTCTTTCTCATCTTTTCTATCCCCCCTTGGTCTCTGTCATTCGGCACCTCTCTTCCTCTTTTTCCATCTTCCTCTTCTTTAAGAGTATTCTTGTCTCCTCATCCCTCTCTTAATTTTATTTCTGTCTCTCTGGTCCCTTTCTACTTCTGCTTTCTTGCATCCCTCTTCTCCCATCTTTTTGCCAACCCTTTCCCTCCTTTTTCTTCTCCAGCCTTCACTTTCCTCCCTCCTCTCTGACACCCTTCCTTCCACTCTATCCCCCTTCTTCTCTCTTCTCTTTCCTTCTCTCCTCTGCTTTCTTTCTTTGTCCTCTCCCCCCACCCCCTTTCACTTTCTTCTTTCTCCCTCTCTTTCCCACCTGTCTCATGCATTCCCATTTTGCATCCTATGTAGTGAATACTACGGAGGTGCCATTTCTGAAACTGTGACATGGACCTTCTGTGATATTTGCTCTTCCAGGCTCTGGCATTGGCCGCGGCCGGCATGTTTCAGCATGGGGTTGGCCCAAATCTATGAATCAAACATGGCAACTGGGGCAGCAAGATCCATCCAAAGGGAAGGAGATTTGAGGATACAAAGTACTGAGTCTTTGCTAGCATCCCTTGAGCATAATAGTGCCTTGTTTTTCAGGGACCTGGTGTATATATTTGATGCATAGGCTTGGTTCTGCAGAAATCAATTTTGCAAGAATTGAGAAAATTTGTCAAATCACTCTCATCCTTGGAGCTTATGTTTGTTCCTAAGCATATTTTTGAAGGGGTCAAAGTAAGGTTTTCATTAGCTCTTTCTAACTTCTTGATTGAGAATGAAAAGCAATATTCTAAGACTATTTCCCAAACCTTGAGAGAAAATACAGAGAGTTTTTATAAGAATGTGCGTATGTATTTGTGTGAGAATACACACACACACAATGTAAATACAATAACTCTATAAATGTACTTCCACAAAAATATATCTTATATATATAAACTATACATGTGTGAATCTATATTGTGCACATACACATACAAATCCTCAAAAGCCTATGGTTGTATATAAATATCTAATTATATAAAGAGAAGGTTTAGGACATTATCATGAACCATGGTTAGGGATAAAAAATGAGGAATTTGAGCATTTCTGATTTTATTTAAAGATACTGTGCCACCTCTTGGTTTAGGTTAAGTTAGATTTAAGCACTTTCATTAAAAGTAGCTCTCACAAATAGGTGAAAAAGGCAATAAGCCATAGCTCAAAGAATCCTTTAGTTAGTATAAGGAAATGAAGGTAGGCCTAGCACAAGCAAGAAAACTCACAATCTAGAAGTTTGTAAGTTCTTGTCATTAATGGACTAAGTCTACATGTCAACATGTCTCTTCCAATGCCTGCCATGTATCCAAGGGCTGAAGACAGCCTAGTGACCTTGAAAATAACACTCCCCTCATCATCAGACCCAGACAAGTATAAACAGCCACATGTTTGAGTCTCTTTGAGGCAGGGGAGCTGCAGTATTGAACAACAACAAAAAAATATGGCATATGAACATCCTGGAGAAAATGTTTATTTGCTCTTTGCAAAGAAAATCTCAATAATAGAGATAACTGTGAAGTGTTGCTTCAAAAACAACCCCTCCCATCCACTCCCCCAAAACCCTCAGATTTCAAACTCAGTGTGAGAATAGTAGTTAAAGATAACAATTTTACTCACTCCTGTAATCCGAGCACTTTGGGAGGCCGAGGCGGGCGGATCACGAGGTCAGGAGATTGAGACCATCCTGGCTAACACGGTGAAACCCCGTCTCTACTAAAAAATACAAAAAATTAGCCGGGCGTGGTGGCAGGCGCCGGTAGTCCCAGCTACTGGGGAGGCTAAGGCAGGAAAAAAATATAACAATTTTAGATTAAAGATATCATAACTAACTCTTTGACAACTGATTTGAATTAATATACAATATTACTCCATGGTAGAGGCTAGGAAAATGTCAGAAGTTAACACACTCTGACAATGTACCTTCAAAATTATAAATAACTATATAGGCTGGTGCAGTGGCTAATGCCTGTAATCCCAGCACTTTGGGAGACCGAGGCAGGGGAAAATATTTTAGAAACTTAACCAGGATGTGGTGGCACATGCCTGTAGTCCCAGCTACTCAGGAGGCTGAGAGGGGAGGATCACTTGAGCCTAGGAGGCTGAGGCTGCAGTGAGTCATGATCATACCATTGCACCCCAGCCTGGATGACAGAGCAAGACCCTGTCTCAAAATAAATAAATAAATAAAAATACATATATAGAAGTATATGCAAGGATTCTTTGTTTTTAAAGGCAGAATATTTTGAAGTTCGAAGGATAAGAAATTTAAACAAAACTTCAACTTGATACTCACTTATACATAAAATTCAACAAAAATTCCCTAACCTTGTTTAGAGACAACAGATAAAAGATTTTCTTTTAGTGTAAGAAAAAAGGCATATGACACAAACAACAAGAACAAATTAAGAAAGAGAGAAACTACGTTGGGTTAAAGGCTACTACCTTACTGTGTAGTGTGTTTAAAAATCCCTATAGGCCAGGCACGGTGGCTCACGCCTGTAATCCCAGCACTTTGGGAGGCTGAGGCAGACGGATCACCTGAGGTTGGGAGTTTGAGACCGGCCTGGCCAACATGGAGAAACCCCATCTTTACTAAAAATACAAAATTAGCTGGACATAGTGGCGCATGCCTATAATCCCAACTACTCAGGAGGCTGAGGCAGGAAAATTGCTTGAACCCGAGAGGTGGAGGTTGCAGTGAGCCGAGATTGCGCCATTGCACTCCAGCCTGGGCAACAAGAGTGAAACTCCATCTCAAAAAATAAAAAAATAAAAATCCCTATTATGTCTAATCGACTCTTGGTAGAAAATAGGAGGGAAGAGATACCGAAGGGAAGTCAGTTTTGTTAGCAATTGACTCCTGAGCTTGCTCTGTTGAATTTCAAAAAGCCAGGCAGTGACTGACAATTCATCACTATGAGAAAGATGCAGCCAAAGCCACTCCTGAGCTCAGAAGAACAGTCTAGGAATCACCAAAACATATTGAGGGAAAATTGACATAAGATGAAATGCACAGATCCTAAGTGCACAATTTTATGAGTTTTAAAGAATGCATATGCCCATGTACCGACAGCCCCAACCACTAGGACATTGTTATAACCCCAGAAAACTTTCTTTGTGTCCCTTCCTTCTCACTTTCACCACCATAGACATGGACTCATACCTATCTACTCTTTGTGTCTGGCATCTTTGGCTTGGTGTGATATTTTCAGATTCACCTATGTTGTTGCCTGAACCTGTTGTTTCCTCCTTTTTATGGCGCAATAGTATTCTGTTATATGAAACTACCACAACTGGTTTAGCCATTCACCTTTTTTTTTTTTTAACTTTTATTTTAGATTCAGGGGTATATGTGAAGGTTTGTTACATAGGTAAACACGTGTCATGGGGGGTTGTTGTACATATTATTTCATCACCCAGGTATTAATTAAGCCCAATACCCAATAGTTTTCTTTTCTGCTCCTCTCCCTCTTCCCACCCTTCCCCCTCAAGTGGACCCCAGTATCTGTTGTTTCCTTCTTTATGTTCATGAGTTCTCATCATTTAGCTCCCACTTATAAGAGAGAACATGTGATATTTGGTTTTCTGTTCCTGCGTTAGTTTGCTAAGAATAATAGCCTACAGCTCCATCCATGTTCCCGCAAAATACATGATCTCATTCTTTTTTATACCTGCATAGTATTCCATGGTGTGTATGTACCACATTTTCTTTGTCCAATCTACCATTGATGGGGATTTAAAATAATTCCATGTCTTTGCTATTGTGAATAGTGCTGCAAAGAACATTTGCGTGCACATGTCTTTTACATTCACCTTTTGATGGACATTTGGGCACTATACAGTTTGGGACTGTTATGAATAAAGCTACTCTACACATTTGTATACAAATCTTCGTGAGGACATATACTTTTACTTCATTTAGGTAAATACTTAGGAGTGGAATTTCTAGATCACAGCATAGGTATGCATTTGAATACAGCAGAAACTACAAAACCAATTTCCAATCTGCTTGTACCATTTTACACTCTCACCAGCAATGTATGCAACTTATTTTGGTTGCTCCACATCCTCACCAACATTTGGTGATAACAGTCTTTTTAATTTTTGCTATTCCAGTGAATATGAAATGGTACTTTCTGTGGTTTTAATTTACATTTCCCTGTGCTTATTGGTAATTCATATGCCTTCCATTAAGAAGTTTCTGTTCACATGTTTGCTCGTTTTTATTGAGTTGTCTTTTAATTATTGAATTTTAAGGGTACTTTATATATTCTATATCCAAGCCCTGTGTCAGATATATGTGTGTATATGTCTGTGTGTGTATGATAGTCTTCCCAATATTCTTTTCAATGTATAGCTTGCCTTTTCATTTTTCAAGTGTATTTTGATAAGCACAACTTTTGAATTTATAATAAATACAATTTTTATTTTTTCTTTTATGTTTATTACATTTTGCACCCTCTCTAAAAAAAATTTTCCTGCCCTATGGTTGTGAGATGTTTGCCTCTGATTTTTTCTAGAAGTTTTCTAGCTTTTGCTTTTAAGTTTAGGTTTATGATCTATCTCAAATTAATGACTGTGTGTAGTGTGAGGTAGAGGTGAGGGTTCATTTTTTACTCAAATGATTATCTAGTTATTCTAGCACCATTTATTGAAATGATGATTCTTTTCCCCATTTAGTTACCTTGGCCTCTTTATTGAAAATCAACTTACCGGCCGGGCGCGGTGGCTCACGCCTGTAATCCCAGCACTTTGGGAGGCTGAGGCGGGCAGATCATGAGGTCAGGAGATCGAGACCATCCTGGCTAACACGGTGAAACCCCGTCTCTACTAAAAATACAAAAAATAGCCGGGCGCAGTGGCAGGCGCCTGTAGTCCCAGCTACTCGGGAGGCTGAGACAGGAGAATGGCATGAACCCGGGAGGTGGAGGTTGCAGTGAGCGGAGATCGCGCCACTGAACTCCAGCCTGGGCGATAAGCGAGACTCCCTCTCAAAAAAAAAAAAAAAAAAAGAAGAAGAAGAAGAAGAAAATCAACTTACCATGTATGTGAAAATGTATTTCTGGACTCTATTTTGTTTCCTTGGTCTCAATCTGTCCTTAAGCCAAAAATAAATGATGTCAGCTACTGTCATGTTATAGTTAGTTTTTAAATAGAGTAGGATGGGTTCTTTAACTTTGTTATTCTGTTAAGGATTGTTTGGCTGTTCTAATTCTTTTGCATTTTCACATAAATGTTGGAATCAACTTGTCAGTTTCTACAAAACAACTTGTAAAGCTTTTAATTGAAGTTGTATTGACTCTATAGATCAATTAGGGGAGAATTGACATTTTAGCAATGTTGAATTTTATAATCCCTAATCATGGTATATGCCTCCATTTATTTCTACCTTTTAAAATATCTCTCAGCAATATTTTATGGTTTTCAATCTACATTTTGCATATCTTTAGTTAAATAAATTATCCAGTATTTCATGCTGCTACAATAATATAGAAATACAAATGATTTTTATATTAATCTTGCATGCTGATGTGTTAAAATGTCATTAATAGTGTAATTATTTAGTAGATGCCTTAGAATTTTTCATATAAACAATTACATAATTGTTTTTAAAAAGGTTAAGCTTATTTCCTTTTAAGTCTTTTTATTTGTCACTTATTTTTCTTGCTTTATTGCACTGACTATGGTATATAATGTTGAACAGCAGTGGTTAGAGCAGACATTCTTGCCTTGTTCCTGACCTTGGAAGAAAGTATTCAATATCTCATAATAAAGTATGATGTGAGCTGTAGGTTTTCCATAGATGTCCTTTACTAGGTTGTTAAAATTGCCTTCAATTCCTAATTTACAGAGAGTTTTATATCATTGAGTGTATGTTGAATTTTTTTTTTTTTTTTTTTTTTTTTTTTGTGATAGATTCTTGCTCTGTCGCCCAGGACAGAGTGCAGAGTGCAGTGGCACTATCTCGGCTCACTGCAACCTCCACCTCCCGGATTCAAGCGATTCTCCTGCCTCAGCCTCTTGAGTAGCTGGGATTACAGGCATGCGCCACCAAGCCCAGCTAATTTTTGTATTTTTAATAGAGACGGTGTTTTCGCCATGTTGGCCAGGCTGGTTGTGAACTCCTGACCTCAGGTGATCTGCCTGCTTCGGGCCTCCCAAAGTGCTAGGATTACAGGCATGAGCCACCGCCCCCAGCCCTAATTTAGTCTTTTTAAATTAGCTACCTAAGGTGTAAACTTAGATCATTGATTTTAAACTTTGCTTCTTTTATAATCATTTAACTCTATAAATTTCCCTCTAAGAAGTGCTTTAAGCTACATCTCACAAATTTTGATATACTGAGCTTTCTTTTTCATTCAGTTCAAAGTATTTTCTAATTTCCCTTGTGATTTGTTTCTGCCGATATTCATTGACTACCTTACTTGACATTAATACAGCCTGCTAATTTTCTCATGCTGGGTATTTGCATGATATACCTTTTTCTATCTTCGTTTATTTAACCTATTTTTATCTTTATACTTTAAGTCCATCTCTTGTACACAGTGCAAAATTAGGCTTTATTTTGTTTCGCTTTGCTTTTTATCCAGTCTGACACTCTCTGCCTTTTCACTGGAGTGCTTAGTTTCTTTATATTTAATGTAATTGTTGGCATTCTTAGGATTAGACCTACTGCTTGGCAATTTGTTTTCCATGTGTCCCCTCTGTTTTAGATGATTTTTACCCCTTTATTGCTTTCTTGGGAGAATAACAGACAGTCACAAATAATTACAAATATTCTTTTCATCTCAAATATTTTCAAGATTTAAACTCAATTATTTTTTCTGTGCTGCTGTGAGCTTGAGACATTATATACATTAAAGTTATTTTAATCATATATAGATAACACAAATTTCCATATTAAGGGATAGTAATAATTATAAATTGTTATTCTGATTTTAGTCAGATTTAAATTATCTAATTTCCAATAAGATGTGATTTCTTCTCAAAAGTATCTGATCTTGCCGGGCGCAGTGGCTCACGCCTGTAATCCCAGCACTTTGGGAGGCCGACGTGGGCGGATCATGAGGTCAGGAGATCGAGACCATCCTGGCTAATACGGTGAAACCCCTTCTATACTAAAAAAAATACAAAAAATTAGCCGGGCGTGGTGGCGGGCGCCTGTAGTCCCAGCTACTCGGGAGGCTGAGGCAGGAGAATGGCGTGAACACGGGAGGCGGAGCTTGCAGTGAGCCGAGATCGTGCCACTGCACTCCAGCCTGGGCAACAGAGCGAGACTCCGTCTCAGAAAAAAAAAAAAAAAAAAAAAAAGATGTATCTGATCTGAAAGGTTAGTTGCGGTACGATTTGAGTGATGGGATACTATTTGAGTGATAGTTACACTGAAAGCCCAGACTTCACCACTACACAATATATCCAAAACTAAACTTGTACCTCTTAAATTTATACAAATTTTAAAAATACAATGTTAGTTTGTCAGAAGCATTTTCAATCTTCTTGATCTGGGCATCACATACTTTGATTTGATGCTTTTTTCTTATAAAAGCAAATAGCTTTTAAAATTAGATCTTGATTTTTATTTCGATACACTTACATATCCTCATATTCTTCTTGTCATATACAGATCAAGTAATTTAAATATTCAAAAATTGGGCATCCAGATTTGTATTCAAATCTATACTCTACATAACAAATACATCTACTAGGTTAATTGTATTGTATTGTGTTAACTGTAAAATATAAGAATTTTATTTATTTATTTATTTATTCATTTATTTATTTTTTTTTTTTTGAGATGGAGTCTCGCTCTGTTGCCCAGGCTGGAGTGCAGTGGCACTATCTCGGCTCACTGCAACCTCCGCCTACCAGGTTCACGCCATTCTCTCGCCTCAGCCTCCAGAGTAGCTGGGACTACAGGTGCCCGCCACCACGCCCGGCTAATTTTTTGTATTTTTAGTAGAGACGGGGTTTCACCATGTTAACCAGGATGGTTTCGATCTCCTGACCTTGTGATCCGCCCGCCTCAGCCTCCCAAAGTGCTGGGATTACAGGCGTGAGCCACCGCCCCCGGCCAAGAATTTTTAAATCTTTAGAAACATCTAGAGTCTCTAAAGTACCATTTCTAGAAATGAAAGAAGTCCTACTCTAAAATCTATTTTGATTATTTTAATGAGTTCATGTCTAAGTTCTATAACATTAATAGAGAGTACTGCTTTGAAATTAGCATTTTAAAATGACCAGTTGAGTGGTTTAGAAAAGTCCATTATTTTATAAATAATCACAGAAGCCTTTTTCCAAGATGGATTCGAGTACCATCTGGATGAGGCTTCATTATTATAGCTTCATTTATAAAATTAAAGGATGAAACGTTTAATTTGTAAGTGTATTTTTTTTCCTTTTCAGAAAGTCATAGAATGATATATTTGGATAGGCATGTGATTGCTTTAATTTTTGAGCAAATTTTCAGTGTATTTTCCCTTTAGAATCATGACTTAAGTAAGGATTAGCATTCGGTAGCCAAGGTTTAAGAATGCACCGTGGATTTACCGTGGCAGACACGGTTTTGGAATTTAATTTGGTCAGCCTCTGCTTTAGCAGGACAAAGAGAGAGGAAGGTGATAGCATGCCTTACATTAGCTGTGTTGGAAATGTGACCCTCTCCTTTAGAACGGCTCCCAGTTTGTCTGCAGGAGCAAGCCCCTGTGACACAGGAGAGCAGTCAGGAAAGGACAGTGAGTGAGCACGGATGACAGAAGTGTCTGTGCCACCCATTCATTAGGGACTCACAAAGGGGTATAGAAATTCTGGGCTTTTGTGGGGATTGAGAAGTTCCTATCAAATGTCTGTCGGGTAATTTAATTACACGGGCATGGTAGGAATGACACAGTGGTTACATTAATAAACTGAAGCATTAAAGAATAATAGCCCAGTTATTGCTGAATTATGGGAAACACGCTGCCTATTCATTGCTGGTGATATTAGAAGGGAGAAGGCGGGGGCTTCCTACTTTATACTCGCAATGCATAAAGAAACAGTTTCTTGCCTTTCCAGACCTGTGGAAAACCGGGTAGAGGGGAAGGCCCAAAGTCACACCCAATAGCATAAATCTTGCTTTGTTTAAGATGCTTAAAATATCATAAGCTAACTCTGTTTTTATGGTGCTAAATAAAATTGACTTGGGCCAGACATAGTAATGAGCATGTGCTGCACAAACATCTCCAAATAGCCTTTCCAACGGATCTCATTCCTGATAATTTCCATTTGTTGTCCTGCTCCTCTTGTTAATGGAAGCCATTTTATAGGATCACAGGCTACTAGCTTAGTAGTTTTAAAAAAGTAGCCTATTAATATAATAGAAGCAAACATTATTTTTCATTCTCACTCATCCCTCTGGCAGACTGGAACAAAATGCCTTTTTCCCTCCTGCAGGAGCGGGGGAAAAGGAGCACACATTTGATTTCGTATTATTTAACAATAAACGTTTATTGAACTGTGTCAACACTGTTCCAAGAAGTGTGATGTGGAAGGAGGGGGAAGAGATGAAGATGAGCTCCTGCTTTCAGATTCCAACAGAGAAAGTCACAGCTCAGCAGCTGGCCACCCACTCCCATGGAACTCAGGAAGATCTTTCTGCCTAAACTCTTGTAGGTGCCATATTGCAGCCTACGTTTTTTCCTGGGGGGGGAAAAGTTGATGAGTTTTAAAGATCCATCCACCTCTAAAATTCTTTAAGCCTATGAAATATTTATTTCTAGGAGACAATAAACACTTCACTTACACAGAAACACTTCACTTACACAGAAACCAGTTACCATGTGCAGAAGATGGTCCAAAGAACCACTCAATAATACAAATTACATTTTGTGCTTTGGGGTTTTAAGAAAATATTTCGGAATTCAAGTTTGAACAAGTCAACTAATAGAATTTGAGGTGGCAGATCACTTATTTTCTTCATCTAAACTAGAGTGTTACGATTTCATGGGCAAAATACAAAGTTGAAGTGTCCCTGATAACACATAGCAAGCTGCACATTTCCCAGGAAAGGCCAGCACTGCTTATTCTCACAGAAGTCACCCCTGCAAGGGTTCTTTAGATCAGTGGTTCTCAAATTGAGCATTCAAGAGCATCCCATGGAAGGCTTATTAAAATGCAGGTTGCTGGCCTCAGAGCTCAGATTCAGTAGAAGTCAGTTAGAGTCTGGGAATCTGCATTTCTATGCATCCTTGCTCTCTCTCCCTCCCTTCCTGCTGCTACTGCTGGTTCAGGGACCACACTTTGAGAATCACTGCTTTGGATATTAGAATGATGATTCTCTCAAGTCTTGAAAAAAAATTGCGAAGTTCCCTCTAATTTAGCAGAGTTAAGACAAATGTTTCATTTAATTTGCATCTATACATAGCTCTGATGGACTAATCCTTTATAATTCAAAGGGAAGAATTTAAAAATCATAATGATGAGGCTGGGCACAGTGGCTCACGCCTGTCATCCCAGCACTTTGGGAGGCTGAGGCGGGAGGATCACCTGAGGTCAGGAGTTTGACACCAGCCTGGCCAACATGGTGAAACTCCATCTCTACTGAAAGAAAATACAAAAATTAGCCGGGCATGGTGGCAGGCACCTGTGGTCCCAGCTACTTGGGAGGCTGAGGCAAGAGAATCACTTGAACCCAGGAGGAGGAGGTTGTAGTGAGCTGAGATTGTGCCATTGCACTCCAGCCTGGGCAACAAGAGTGAAACTCCGTCTCAAAAAAATAAAAATAAAAAAATAAAAATCATGATGAGATAGAAACAGCATGGGTCTTCATTCTGCCATATAACAGAGACATTACATAAATGGAGATTTGACTGAAGACTTTGTTCTTTGCTTCAGCTCTTCAGAGCATTCCATCTGAATCAAGAAAGTAGTCTTGGAATATTTGCTAGCTGTAGCCCTTCCCAGTCCCACTTTGTCATACGCCACAGGCAGAAAAGAGGAATGCAATCTTTGCCCACTGATTCCTGTGTAGCCACAAGCTTCAGAAAGAGTTTAGTCAGCAGTTCATGGCTCCTTGGCCCACACTAACCACAGTTTGGCCACCAAAAATGTGGGTCAGCGAGTTGCCAGAATGCTGAAGTATAGTGGTTACAAGGACCAGGACGCTCAAGTTGGAAACATGTGATACCACCACAGTTCTTAAGATGGGAAATGAGGGCAAAGGTAAACCCTGCTGTTCTTGGACTTGGTTCTGTTATGCCATCCTTTTCTAAAGCCAATTGTCACTCATACAATTTTATTTTGCTCTCATAAATTCTGCCAGACAGTAGTTTCATTCAACCAGGACTGGCTATAATTTTTAGTCAGATGTATCTCTTATTCTGTTTTTTTTTTTCCTCAGAGAAAGAAACACTCAACTAAATTTTATGCTACAGACTGAATACCTAAAATCCCCAACCTTTTATCTTAACCTGAGTCATAAAACCTGTACCGTCAGAAATGCCTCTTTTTTTATTTTGATTTTCTCACAAAGCACATGTAAATAATTTAGATTAAATGTTTACTGCTTTGCCCTCACAGAGAATTAGATGTTTAGCTTCTGAAAATAATAAAAGAAATTGTTGTTAATTATATCATACAGAGTGTGCCAAATTTATCAATTTGTAAAGAATGACAAATCCTGCTTAGTTGATATCCAGAGTGTGTCTACTTACTGGGTCTGATGTAAATATCCAGTGAGAAATCTGGCTTAGATAAAATAAGGCTAAAAGAAAAATCTCAGAACGTATAATTTACTATATGTCTTATTTACACAGCCTTACCTACCATCAGACGCTTAAAATACATAGTGGCTTTTAAAAGAAAAAAACTTCTACCTTGTTCCATTAGAATTGAGGAGGCTTAGGTCAAGAAATATAGAACATCTTAAGAGTAACTATGAGACAGTGAAGGAAAGAAAACTTATTTGGGTACTCAGCCAAGTTTATTGTCTGTATTATTTCTTTTGTGCACCAAGTTCTTCTTTTTCTTTCTTTCTTCTTTTTAAGACAGAATCTGACTCTGTTGCCTAGGCTCTAGTGCAGTGGCACAATCTCAGCTCACTGCAACCTCTGCCTCCCGGATTCAAGTGATTCTCCTGCCTCAGCCTCCCAAGTAGCTGGGATTACAGGTGCACCCCACCACGCCCAACAAATTTTTGTATTTTCAGTAGAGACGGGGTTTCACCATGTTGGCCAGGCTGGTCTCAAACTCCTAACCTCAAGTGATCCACCTGCTTTGGCCTCCTAAAGTGCTGGGATTACAGGCGTGAGCCACCGTACCAGGCCTTTTTTCTAAGCATATTGACCCTAAGTATGTATTGTGGTTATGTTCAGTAATGTACACAGATTTTTTTTAATTTACTAATCTTTTAATATAGAATATGTAACATGGCCAATATCTTTTAAAAGTCAATTTAAAAAATGGTTACATGCAGTTTTTTCCCTCGGGAAAAATATATTTATAATTTTTAAATCATATCTTAGAGAATACTATTGTGTTCTCTTTTCTTTCATCAAAACCGAATCTTTTAAGGGGAGTGTTTACTGGGAAAGCCCTTGGGGAAATTGAGAGATGCAATCTTCACCTAGCGGTACAAAGAAGTATAGCTTTTGACTGGCACCTGATTTTATTCACTGAGCTTCTTTAGTGCTCTGAAGTGAACACAGTTGGATTTCTAGATAGGAATTTGCTACTCTTAGTGTCACAGTGACATCATTCCTGGGAGGAGAAAAAAGTGCTGTTTTCTTCTGTATTCCAATGACATAATTGTCCCTCTTTGCAGGGAAATGTGCAGTGCTACAGTTTTGGAGTTCAGACCCATTGTTCTGAACTAATAACTATAAGGCTAGAGCATAATGGAACAACACCTTTAGAAAGCTAATACCCCCACAGGTTTCATCTGACATCTTGAACGAGGTTTGCAGAGAGACACACAAATTGAACCTGTCCCCAATTTTTAAAAATTCGCCCTCATTCTTTAGAATCTAAAGTATTGCAGAATACATTGTACAAATCAATCCCCAAACAAATGGTTTTCTCCATGTTGAGTAAAAGAGCATTGGAATCCTATGATTAAAACCTCAAAATCAACCAAGGTAACTAAGATAAAACAGTAAAACCACAAGGTGGGCCAGATGGCAAAAAGGAAAAGCTCATCTATTTATTTTATTTATCTTTCTATTTTTCCAAAGAGAAATAAGTACTTAAAAATCTACTTGAAAGTCCCAGCTCAAGTGACACCCCATCCAAGAGGCATTTAGAGTTTTTTCCGGTTGGGAAAGATCTTGCCCTCATCCTCTAAACTACAGAGAATCCAGGTCTCTTTTATTGAATTACTATAGTCAGCTGCATATGCTATAATCAATTCTCATCATTCCCATACATGTCTTCTCTCCTTTCTTAGATTATAAGCTCCTTCAAGATGAACATCATACTTTAGATAGACATCACTGGCTTCCCTGGAAAACCCAGCATCTTACTCTGACAACACTCAAAAACAACATGCTGAGGCCCAATGGCTCACACCCATAATTCCAACACTTTGGGAGGCTGAGGCAGATAGATCATTTGAGCCCAGGAGTTTGAGACCAGCCTGGGCAACAAGGTGAAATCCCGTCTCTACAAAATACAAAAAATTACCGGGTGTGGTGGTGCGTGCCTATAGCCCCAGCTACTCGGGAAGCTGAGGTGGCTGATGCTTGAACCCGGTAGGTTGAGGCTGCAGTGAGCCGAGATAATACCACTGCACTCCAGCCTGGGCAACAGAGAGAGACCCTGTCTCAACAAAATAAATGAATAACAATAAACAGATGTTTCCCTAATATCTTACAGAGTAAGATGCCACTGAAGATGGTCCAGCCAACAGTATGCTTTTGACTAGAAGTGCAATTAGCATGCAATACATGGCTACAGTCTCCTTTTACTGCCCTTTAGTTATTTTTTAGCTACTTTAAGTTACAGATGGTTTAAATATTTCGGCTGCGGATCCAGAACTGGTAAATGAAGTAAGAAACTACATCTTTAGCTGGGCGCGGTGGCTCACGCCTGTAATCCCAGCACTTTGGGAGGTCGAGGCAGGCGGATCACGAGGTCAGGAGATCGAGACCACGGTGAAACCACGTCTCTACTAAAAATACAAAAAAATTAGCCGGGCGCGGTGGCGGGCGCCTGTAGTCCCAGCTACTCCGGAGGCTGAGGCAGGAGAATGGCGTGAACCCGGGAGGCGGAGCTTGCAGTGAGCGGAGATCGCGCCACTGCACTCCAGCCTGGGCGGCAGAGCGAGACTCCGTCTCAAAAATAAGAAACTACACCTTTAGTGAAATAGTGCAGTTTTCCTGAACTTCCTGAAATGACATTTTAAAAATCGATATTTGGCCTTACTATGCATTTCTAAGGAGCCAAGGCATGTCAGTGTGGTGTGTACTTTTTGTGACAAATTCCTTTTATGATTCTTAATAGCAAAATTACAGAATGTCATATGGGGGCTCAGCCTCATAGCATCTTTCATTCTTGAGTGAGGCTTGTTTATGCAAGTCTGCAAGAGGGGAGCTCTACAAAAGGAAAATGGGAAGGCAAAGTCGGCCCTGGAAAAATTCAGCCGCTGGAAATGTGGTCTTGTCCAGATAGTGAGAAAATAATTGTCTCCAGGTTTGATGAAGGGTTTATAGCGCTAACATTTTAGGATGAAATACAGCTGGTTTCAGATTCCACTGTCAACTCAGAATCAAGCTAATTTCATGTGGTTTGGGGTTTTGTAACTACTTTTTTGCAGAGTACTTCTCGGAACTTTTTGTTCCAGAAACACCCTTGACATCCCTCCACCAGCACCTAAAATTACTTCAGGCCCAGTAGAAAACTCACTGGGTAGCATTACTGACTCTTCCCAGCAGAGGGCACCATTATACCTCCATCGGTACTGGACGTACCCATAACTTCAGCAAAGAGGTTCTTTAAATTCTCAACCATGAGACACAACCTCTCTGATAAGAAAAAATAGTAATAATAACAAACCTAGCAAGAAAAAGATACTTAAACTTTCTAGAGGCAGCAGCTTCTGCAGTTCCGACCGGGGCTCCCAATGTCAGCAATTGCAAGAGAGGATTCTGCCCGGAAACTTAAATTTCAGGACATGATTTGGCTTGGGTTTCTGATGGCCTCGTCTCCCTTTGTTCTTGGCCATTTCCTGAGCTAGTTCTTCAGTCATCTCAGAAATTTCTGCTGATATCATAAACACACACATCCATAAACTAGTCTGTGATAAAATACATTTCAATTTTCCTCTTGAAGGCCGATATTCATTAACCCAGCAATTTAAATGACGGGATGTTTCTCAACCAGGGAAGGTATTTTTTGTAGCTTTCATCACTGGTTTGGTTGGGGAGAAACGATTGACTAATTCCTATTTGTCTTAGATTTTTGCTTTCCCCCACTGGAATGGCCATTTTTGCCCTTGGGGACTATTTAAAGTTGTAATATCTCTAGATGATTTATAACAAGTAAGTAGCCAGCATTGCTAAATATCCAGGCACATCTCATATCCTTAGATGCATTTTTGAGACTCAAATTTCAATAATTTGCCGTGTCTTTATAATATCAACATGCACACCAGTAGAATAAGGTAGTGGGGGAGATTGTTTTACACAGAAAAAGAAAATGTTAGAACTAGAAGAAGCTTTAGAGAAATTTATGTCTCCTGTCTCCCAACCTCTGGATAAGTAGCATCATCTATTAAGTGATTTTTTTTTTTGCAGCCATATGCTTGCTTTTAAAATTATACTTAGCATAGGATAACATAAAAATGCTTTTTCTAATCACACATTCATTCAGAGATATAAGGAGATGGCCAAAGAACTATGTTGGTGGCAGTTTGGAAATATTTCTACACATAATCTCCCAAAAAGCAAGCCTGTACCCTGCAGAAGAAGGTCGTCTTCTTCTTTCTTTTCTTCTCTTTTTGTAGTGACAGTAATCTTGCTATGTTGCCCAGCCTGGTCTTAAACTCCTGGCCTCAAGCGATCTTCCCACCTCAGCCTCTCAAATATCTGGGATTATAGGCACAAGCCACCATGCTTGGCTGTATTCTTTATTGAGTGCAAAACTAATGATTTAGCTTTAATTTTCAGAAAGTTTTTTTTTTTTTTTTAGATTTAAATCCCTTTTGCCCGAGAAAACAATTATTGGTTTTTGCTAGCATCATTTGTTAAGGAAGTTTTTTGCCCCCACAATCCTCACATTCCAGATTGTACTGTAGGTGGGAGAAATTTGATTCTGTGTTTTCGGCACAGAATGACCATAGAAAATACTTATTGATAGTTGAATGTTACTGAAACATTAGCAAAGAATGCTGTGTCTTTAGATCTGATAAGTGAGAAACCCACAAAATTACACTTTATATGAATTTATCTGAGTTTGCAACATCCAAACCTCTTAAATCTGTTATTCCTCAGCTTCTTTGGTCCTTTGGAATCCAAAGGACCCAAAGGATACAGTATTGTATTAATTACTCTTTAATTCACACTAGAGAAAGTTGACCTCTAGTTCTGATTACATACAGAGAAATATATCTATTCACATACACACATATGTATGGAAAATATTCTGTTTAACACAAGAAAACCCCTTAACACCCAACTTCATTTTTCTTTATTTATTTTTCTTTTTTTTATTATACTTTAAGTTTTAGGGTACATATGCACCACGGGCAGGTTTGTTACATATGTATACATGTGCCATGTTGGCGTGCTGCACCCATTAACTCGTCATTTAACATTAGGTATATCTCCTAATGCTATCCCTCCCGCCTCCCCCCACCCCACAACAGGCCCTGGTGTGTGATGTTCCCCTTCCTGTGTCCATGTGTTCTCATTGTTCAATTCCCACCTATGAGTGAGAACATGCGGTGTTCGGTTTTTTGTCCTTGCGATAGTTTGCTGAGAATGATGGTTTCCAGCTTCATCCATGTCCCTACAAAGGACATGAACTCATCATTTTTTATGGCTGCATAGTATTCCATGGTGTATATGTGCCACATTTTCTTAATCCAGTCTATCATTGTTGGACATTTGGGTTGGTTCCAAGTCTTTGCTATTGTGAATAGTGCCGCAATAAACATACGTGTGCATGTGTCTTTATAACAGCATGATTTATAATCCTTTAGGTATATACCCAGTAATGGGATGGCTGGGTCAAATGGTACTTCTAGTTCTAGCTCCCTGAGGAATCGCCACACTGACTTCCACAATGGTTGAGCTAGTTTACAGTCCCACCAACAGTGTAAAAGTGTTTCTATTTCTCCACATCCTCTCCAGCACCTGTTGTTTCCTGACTTTTGAATGATCGCCATTCTAACTAGTGTGAGATGGTATCTCATTGTGGTTTTGATTTGCATTTCTCTGATGGCCAGTGATGATGAGCATTTTTTCATGTGTCTTTTGGCTGCATAAATGTCTTCTTTGAGAAGTGTCTGTTCATATTCTTTGCCCACTTTTTGATGGGGTTCTTTGTTTTTTTCTTGTAAATTTGTTTGAGTTCATTGTAGATTCTGGATATTAGCCCTTTGTCAGATGAGTAGGTTGCAAAAATTTTCTCCCATTCTGTAGGTTGCCTGTTCACTCTGATGGTAATTTCTTTTGCTGTGCAGAAGCTCTTTAGTTTAATTGGATCCCATTTGTCAATTTTCGCTTTTGTTGCCATTGCTTTTGGTGTTGTAGACATGAAGTCCTTGCCCATGCCTATGTCCTGAATGGTATTGCCTAGGTTTTCTTCTAGGGTTTTTATGGTGTTAGGTCTAACATTTAAATCTTTAATCCATCTTGAATTAATTTTAGTATAAGGTGTAAGGAAGGGATGCAGTTTCAGCTTTCTACATATGACTAGCCAGTTTTCCCAGCACCATTTATTAAATAGGGAATCCTTTCCCCATTTCTTGTTTTTGTCAGGTTTGTCAAAGATGAGATAGTTGTAGATATGCAGCATTATTTCTGAGGGCCCTGTTCTGTTCCATTGGTCTGTATCTCTGTTTTGGTACCAGTATCATGCTGTTTTGGTTACTGTAGCCTTGTAGTATAGTTTGAAGTCAGGTAGCATGATGCCTCCAGCTTTGTTCTTTTGGCTTAGGATTGACTTGGTGATGCGGGCTCTTTTTTGGTTCCATATGAACTTTAAAGTAATTTTTTCCAATTCTGTGAAGAAAGTCATTGGTAGCTTGATGGGGATGGCATTGAATCTATAAATTACCTTGGGCAGTATGACCATTTTCATGATATTGATTCTTCCTACCCATGAGCATGGAATGTTCTTCCATTTGTTTGTATCCTCTTTTATTTCATTGAGCAGTGGTTTGTAGTTCTCCTTGAAGAGGTCCTTCACATCCCTTGTAAGTTGGATTCCTAGGTTTTTTATTCTCTTTGAAGCAATTGTGAATGGGAGTTCACTCATGATTTGGCTCTCTGTTTGTCTGTTATTGGTGTATAAGAATGCTTGTGGTTTTTGCACATTGATTTTGTATCCTGAGACTTTGCTGAAGTTGCTTATCAGCTTAAGGAGATTTTGGGCTGAGACGATGGGGTTTTCTAGATACACAATCATGTCATCTGCAAACAGGGACAATTTGACTTCCTCTTTTCCTAATTGAATACCCTTTATTTCCTTCTCCTGCCTGATTGCCCTGGCCAGAACTTCCAACACTATGTTGAATAGGAGTGGTGAGAGAGGGCATCCCTGTCTTGTGCCAGTTTTCAGAGGGAATGCTTCCAGTTTTTGCCCATTCAGTATGATATTGGCTGTGGCTTTGTCATAAATAGCTCTTATTATTTTGAGATACGTCCCATCAATACCTAATTTATTGAGAGTTTTTAGCATGAAGGGTTGTTGAATTTTGTCAAAGGCCTTTTCTGCATCTATTGAGATAATCATGTGGTTTTTTCTTTGGTTCTGTTTATATGCTGGATTACATTTATTGATTTGCGTATGTTGAACCTGCCTTGCATCCCAGGGATGAAGCCCACTTGATCATAGTGGATAAGCTTTTTGATGTGCTGCTGGATTCGGTTTGCCAGTATTTTATTGAGGATTTTTGCATCGATGTTCATCAGGTATATTGGTCTAAAATTCTCTTTTTTTGTTGTGTCTCTGCCATGCTTTGGTATCAGGATGATGCTGGCCTCATAAAATGAGTTAGGGAGGATTCCCTCTTTTTCTATTGATTGGAATCGTTTCAAAAGGAATGGTACTAGCTCCTCCTTGTACCTCTGGTAGAATTCGGCTGTGAATCCATCTGTTCCTGGACTTTTTTTGGTTGGTAAGCTATTAATTATTGCCTCAATTTCAGATCCTGTTATTGGTCTATTCAGAGATTCAACTTCTTCCTGGTTTAGTCTTGGGAGAGTGTATGTGTCAAGGAATTTATCCATTTCTTCCGGATTTTCTAGTTTATTTGCATAGAGGTGTTTGTAGTATTCTCTGATGGTAGTTTGTATTTCTGTGGGATCAGTGGTGATATCCCCTTTATCATTTTTAATTGTGTCTATTTGATTCTTCTCTCTTTTCTTCTTTATTAGTCGTGCTAGGAGTCTATCAATTTTGTTGATCTTTTCAAAAAACCAGCTCCTGGCTTCATTGATTTTTTGAAGGGCTTTTTGTGTCTCCATTTCTTTCTGTTCTGCTCTGATCTTAGTTATTTCTTGCCTTCTGCTAGCTTTTGAATGTGTTTGCTCTTGCTTTTCTAGTTCATTTAATTGTGATGTTAGGGTGTCAATTTTAGATCTTTCCTGCTTTCTCTTGTGGGCATTTAGTGCTATAAATTTCCCTCTACACACTGCTTTGAATGTGTCCCAGAGATTCTGGTATGTTGTGTCTTTGTTCTCATTTTTTCCAAAGAACATCTTTATTTCTGCCTTTATTTCATTATGTACCCAGTAGTCATTCAGGAGCAGGTTGTTCAGTTTCCATTTAGTTGAGCGGTTTTGAGTGAGTTTCTTAATCCTGAGTTCTAGTTTGATTGCACTGTGGTCTGAGAGATAGTTTGTTATAATTTCTGTTCTTTTACATTTGCTGAGGAGAGCTTTACTTCCAAGTATGTGGTCAATTTTGGAATAGGTGTGGTGTGGTGCCAAAAAAAATGTATATTCTGTTGATTTGGGGTGGAGAGTTCTGTAGATGTCTATTAGGTCCGCTTGGTGCAGAGCTGAGTTCAGTTCCTGGATATCCTTGTTAACTTTCTGTCTCGTTGGTCTGTCTAATGTTGACAGTGGGGTGTTAAAGTCTCCCATTATTATTGTGTGGGAGTCTAAGTCTCTTTGTAGGTCTCTAAGGACTTGCTTTATGAATCTGGGTGCTCCTGTATTGGGTGCATATATATTTAGGATAGTTAGCTCTGCTTGTTGAATTGATCCCTTTACCATTATGTAATGGCCTTCTTTGTCTCTTTTGATCTTTGTTGGTTTAAAGTCTGTTTTATCAGAGACTAGGATTGCAACCCCTGCCTTTTTTTTTTTTTCCATTTGCTTGGTAGATCTTCCTCCATCCCTTTATTTTGAGCCTATGTGTATCTCTGCACGTGAGATGGGTCTCCTGAATGCAGCACACTGATGAGTCTTGACTCTTTATCGAATTTGCCAGTCTGTGTCTTTTAATTGGGGCATTTAGCCCATTTACATTTAAGGTTAATATTGTTATGTGTGAATTTGATCCTGTCATAATGATATTAGCTGGTTATTTTGCTCGTTAGTTGATGCAGTTTCTTCCTAGCCTTGATGGTCTTTACAATTTGGCATGTTTTTGCAGTGGCTGGTACCGGTTTTTCCTTTCCATGTTTAGTGCTTCCTTCAGGAGCTCTTTTAGGGCAGGCCTGGTGGTGACAAAATCTCTCAGCATTTGCTTGTCTGTAAAGGGTTTTATTTCTCCTTCACTTGTGAAGCTTAGTTTGGCTGGATATGAAATTCTGGGTTGAAAATTCTTTTCTTTAAGAATGTTGAATATTGGCCCCCACACTCTTCTGGCTTGTAGAGTTTCTGCCGAGAGATCAGCTGTTAGTTTGATGGGCTTCCCTTTGTGGGTAACCCGACCTTTCTCTCTGGCTGCCCTTAACGTTTTTTCCTTCATTTCAACTTTGGTGAATCTGACAATTATGTGTCTTGGAGTTGCTCTTCTCGAGGAGTATCTTTGTGGCATTCTCTGTATTTCCTGAATTTGAATGTTGGCCTGCCTTGCTAGATTGGGGAAGTTCTCCTGGATAATATCCTGCAGAGTGTTTTCCAACTTGGTTCCATTCTCCCCGTCACTTTCAGGTACACCAATCAGATGTAGATTTGGTCTTTTCACATAGTCCCATGTTTCTTGGAGGCTTTGTTCATTTCTTTTTATTCTTTTTTCTCTAAACTTCTCTTCTCACTTCATTTCATTCATTTGATCTTCCATCACTGATACCCTTTCTTCCAGTTGATCAAATCAGCTGCTGAGGCTTGTGCATTCATCACGTAGATCTCATGCCGTGGTTTTCAGCTCCATCAGGTCCTTTAAGGACTTCTCTGCATTGGTTATTCTAGTCAGCCATTCGTCTAATCTTTTTTCAAGGTTTTTAACTTTTTTGCCATGGGTTCGAACTTCCTCCTTTAGGTCGGAGTAGTCTGATCGTCTGAAGCCTTCTTCTCTCAACTCGTCAAAATCATTCTCCATGCAGCTTTGTTCCATTGCTGGTGAGGAGCCGCATTCCTTTGTAGGAGGAGAGGTGCTTGATTTTTAGATTTTTCAGTTTTTCTGCTCTGTTTTTTCCCCATCTTTGTGGTTTTATCTACCTTTGGTCTTTGATGATGGTGACGTACAGATGGGGTTTTGGTGTGGATGTCCTTTCTGTTTGTTAGTTTTCCTTCTAACAGACAGGACCCTCAGCTGCAGGTCTGTTGGAGTTTGCTGGAGGTCCACTCCAGATCCTGTTTGCCTGGGTATCAGCAGCAGAGGCTGCAGAACAGTGGATATTGGTGAACAGCAAATGTTGCTGCCTGATCGCTCCTCTGGAAGTTTTGTCTCAGAGGAGTACCTGGCTGTGTGAGGTGTCAGTCTGCCCCTACTGGGGGGTGCCTCCCAGTTAGGCTACTTGGGGGTCAAGGACCCACTTGAGGAGGCAGTCTGTCCGTTCTCAGATCTCAAGCTGTGCGCTGGGAGAACCGCTACTCTCTTCAAAGCTGTCAGACAGGGACATTTAAGTCTGCAGAGGTTTCTACTGCCTTTTGTTTGGCTATGCCCTGCCCCTAGAGGTGGAGTCTACAGAGGCAAGCAGGCCTCCTTGAGCTGCGGTGGGCTCCACCCAGTTCGAGTTTCTTGACTGCTTTGTTTACCTACTCAAGCCTCAGCAATGACAGGCGCCCCTCCCCCAGCCTCGCTGCCACCTTGCAGTTTGATCTCAGACTGCTGTGCTAGCAATGAGTGAGGCTCCGTGGGCGTAGGACCCTCCGAGCCAGGCATGGGATATAATCTCCTGGTGTGCCGTTTGCTAAGACCATTGGAAAAGCACAGTATTAGGGTGGGAGTAACCCGATTTTCCAGGTGCCATCAGTCACCCCTTTCCTTGGCTAGGAAAGGGAATTCCCCAACCCCTTGCGCTTCCCGGGTGAGGTGATGCCTCGCCCTGCTTCAGCTCAGGCTCGGTGCACTGCACCCACTGTCCTGCACCCACTGTCCAACAATCCCCAGTGAGATGCACCTGGTACCTCAGTTGGAAATGCAGAAATCATTCGTCTTCTGCGTTGCTCATGCTGGGAGCTGTAGACTGGAGCTGTTCCTATTTGGCCATCTTGGCTCCACCCTCCCAACTTCATTTTTAAGAAGAGAATAACTTTCTATTGCATGCCAATTAAATTATTTCTTTAAAAAACTGCAATATGTACAGTATACAAAAGGAAATATTATGTCTTGATTGGAGTGAAATTAGAACAATAAACACTTTTTGAAATTGTTGTATGTTAGTGGTAGAATTTTATTTTTTTAAACAAAGCTCGGCATTCTACATATTGTCACTAGTTGCTTTAGTAGTTATTTTTTCTTTTGTCTGATGATATTGTTCCCTTATGTTAACATTTTGGCAGGCTCCTTGGATATAAAATATTTTCAAGCCCTACCAGACGTTGCTTCATTTTCATTCTCTTTTCGTTATGTTTGGAGTATTATCAAATGAGACAATTGGCATGCTACATGTGACTTACTTTTATCCATGGCTATCAGTAAGCATGAGCTACAGTTAAATAAGAAATACTGCTAATACAATTGAAATGCAAAGCATATTAAAATGTTCCAGATTCGATTAACAAAAGTAGATCTCACACGAATTTTAAAGAGGCTCTGCTAGTGCTACACAAGATCAGCAACTGTCAAAGATGAATCTTTTAGAAGAGGAGTTCTTGATTTTGGCACACAGGCCACAGTGAGCTATATAAGTTTCCAGGCTCAACAGCCACAGGATTTAGGGCTCCCTTTGGGATTGAGGGTCCTCAATACTCTCTCCCACTCAACTTTAACCCAGGCTTCGCTCTAAGCTGTGCCTCCAGGAAAGCATGCTTCTTGCAGGGGCCTGGGCTGCTGGCATGCTAATGAACATTTCTGATTGTTTGCATTCCAAATGACCAGCACAAAGAAGGCTTTCTCCCCACCTTTCAATTGTATTTTTGTTTTCTTTTAAGAATAGTTTTTTGAACATGCAAAGGAAAAGCATCTTGCTATGGAGCCTGTAAGAGGGAATTCTGCCAGAGTGTAAAATTCCAAGTGTTCTGAATACAGTCGAAGAATGGATGATTAAAGCAGAGGTGCTTTAATGGTGCTGCAGTGGTAACTGGAAACAGGACATTTGCTTTCCTCCATGTTCTCAGTCCCGCTGTCATAGGGCACGTAAATACTGACATACCTGATGATATTTCTTCAAAGCTTGAGATTGAGATAAATTTGGAGGTGATAGGAAGAATTAGCTACAGCCCTCTTTATCATGAAAAGAGTAAACATGCCCGGAGTACTTCATCAAGAGAGGGTGCCCCATCTCTCCCTGGCCTGGCACTTACTACATGACAACACTTAAGTTCTGAACCTCTTTGGACCATCTCAACTAGTGGGCTTGAACTCTACACATCTGTGAGACTCAAAGTGAAACTCCAACCCAAACTTTATATCTTTAGTTAAAGTTGTTGAGGTTAAAGGGTTGTCTTGGTTTGTTGTTGAGTAGTGCAAACCTAGAACTTCCTTTAAAAATTCTCTTTCAGGCACAGTGGCTCACGCCTGTAATCCCAGCACTTTGGGATGCCAAGGCGGGAGGATTGCTTGAGCCCAGGAGTTTGAGACCAGCCTGGGCAACATGGCAAAACCCTGTTTCTACAAAAATGTTTTTAAAAAATTAGCTGGGCATGGTAGTGCATGCCTGTAGTTCCAGCTACTTGGGAGGCTGAGGTGGGAGGACTGCCTGAGCACTGGAGGTCTAGGCTGCAGTGACCCATGATGGTGCCACTGCACTCTAACCTGGACCAGAGAGCGAGATCCTGTCTCAAAAAAAAAAAAAAAATCTCCTTCTCTATTTCTCTGTGTCCCTCTCTATCTCTCTACCACTTTTCAGCTAAAGCAGTGGTTTTGAATTTGGGCATGTTATCAGCAACACCTGGAAGATTTAAAGCACAGTGAACTAGGCCGGGCGTGGTTCTCAAACTTGAGCATGCATTAGCATCACCTAGATGACTTGTTAAATCACAGATTGCTGGCCGGGTGTGGTGGCTCACAACTGTAATCCCAGCACTTTGGGAGGCCAAGGTGGGTGGATCACAAGGTCAGGAGATCGAGACCAGCCTGGCTAACATAGTGAAACCCCGTCTCTACTAAAAATACAAAAATTAGCCGGGTGTGGTGGCACGTGCCTTTAACCCCAGCTACTCAGGAGGCTGAGGCAGGAGAATCGCTTGAACCTGGGAGGCAGAGGTTGTGGTGAGCCGAGATCACGCCACTGCACTCCAGCCTGGGCAACAGAGCAAGACTCCATCTCAAAAAATAAAAAAGAAAGAAAGAAAAGAAATAATAAATAAAGCATAGTGAACATACCCTAGAGTTTCTGATTCTGTATGTCTGGAGTGGGGCTCCAGAATCTGTATTTCTAACAATTTCCCAGGTGATGCTCCTGCTGAGAGAACCACATTTTGAGAGCAGAAGTGAAAGTTTAAAGATTTTAGAGCAGGAATGAAAGGAAGCAAAGTACACTTGGAAGAGGACCAAGTGGGTGACTTGAGAGATCCAAGTGCCCCATTTGGCCCTTGACTTGGGGTTTTATACATTGGCTTGGTTCCAGGGTTTGTATTTCTTCTCCTCTGATTCTTCCCTTGGAGTGGGCTGTCTGCTTGCACGGTGACCTGCCAGCACTTAGGAGGGGCCATATACGCAGTGAGTTTGCTGAAATTGTGCACATGCTCACTTGAGGTGTTCTTCCCTTACCAGTCCCGCATTCCTAAAAGAAGGTCATATACCCATTAAACTCCACCATTTTGCCTCTTATTGTACATGCTTGAACCCACTTGCCCAACTCCTGAGATCTTATCAGGAAGCGCTGATCATCAGCCTCAGGTGTTTTCTATCTATTGGGAGGCTCCCTTTCCCCGCTGCCAGTTGTGACCAGGTATCATTTTAGAGAGACAGTTAACAACTGCCTGAC
Source organism: Homo sapiens (assembly GCF_000001405.40). Taxonomy (NCBI): domain Eukaryota; kingdom Metazoa; phylum Chordata; class Mammalia; order Primates; family Hominidae; genus Homo; species Homo sapiens. Next base: position 10,712,194 of record NC_000023.11, on the reverse strand, counting down.
CATCACCTGATGGTCACCTGACATTCCTGGGGGTAAAGGGGACCCTCTCCTTCCCTACTCATGTCAGACTACCTACTTTTAACTGTCACTGCTGATAATGCTTGAAATAATTATTTAAATATGGACTTTGAATCCAACAAACTGAATTGGATGTACATAAATCAGAGTTTCTCAACCTTGGCATTATCGATAATTGGGGCCGGTAATTCTTTAGTGTGGGAGGCTGTCCTGCATATTGTGTAGCAGCATTTCTGTCCTCTACCCAGTGGATGCCAGTAACACTCTTCTCCCACTGAGTTGTGGTAACCAAAAATGTTCTAGACATTGCCAGATGTCCTTTGCAGGGAAAAAATAACCCCTTGTTGAGACCCACTGCATTAAATCATTCACAGGTCACTAAAATATAGAAAAGCATTAGAAGATACATTCGTAAGAACATGCCACTATAATGCACTTGAGCTTCACTTTCAACAGCTGGTCACTACAAACCTTTATACACTGCCTATTGCATCTTGATTCTTTAATTCATCAACTTGATGATCCTAATATTTGCTCCTTCTCTTTTTTTCTAAGAGGGGAAAATCATGAAAGGAGATGAAAACCACAATTGAAATACAGTGTAATTTTACTTTGGGCTACTTGAAAGAGGCACAGCCAGAATTCCTGAACTGTTCCTATTGTATATGGGATCAATATGGCTGGGAGTGTTTTAATCATGTTTCATGTCATATACACCTCAATGTGTTTTATTAACTTATAATTATTGGAGCAGTTTGCTTGGCTTTAGTAGACACTATAAAAGCCCAAATTTACAGAGGCCTGAAAGAGGTCCATTAATAATTTGAAACTTGTCAGAGTATTCTGGAACGAGGGTGAGCTCTGAAGTTCCTCTCACCAATTGAAAAGCTATTTGGAGGCTTTCCTACTTAAAACAATACAGAAAACCTTCATTAATTGACTGTCACTTTCCTTGACAAGAAGGCTGTTGTTCATCCTGGCTTCTTAAAGCACCATGACAATAGCTCATTAATACAATACAGAGTCTGAAGTAAGGGAGGAAGGGTACTAAAAGGTTCCACTGCATAACCATGCACTCTTGTCTCTTCACTGCCTAAACCTGAGGCTGGGGGGTGGGGATGTGAAGAGGAGGCACCATAGTGCCATCATTGAGGAGGAGAAAAGATGAAGAGCCATTTAATGAGTGCGGCAGTCAGGCTAAAGAAAAGACATGGCCGGTTTCTGTCTCCCACAGTTATGGTGACAATATTTCCAGAGCAAAATTGAGGAGCATGGTCTGACACAAGAATTTGTGTGACTTCCAGATGTGAAAAGCATCTGGGAAAGGGGGATTGAAAGTCAGCATGTTGGAATTTTCTATGATATTTATATGGATTATGTAAGAAGACAAAATAAGAGAACATATGATATTTTTACTCTCCCACACATGCTGACTAATGTGATTGAAGACTTTGTGTCCAGTGTTTGAATGTGATCAGTCAATGTTTGTCAGCAAGAGGGAGGGATAAAGGAAGAAAGGAAAGAAGGAAAGAATTTGGGGAATATGCCCTGGTCTCCTCCAAAGTAAGAGTGGCCTGGCTGGAATCTCTCAAAACAAGCTAATAACTCTCATTTGGTTGGTGGGATTACAAATAGGTACAAGTTTTTTAAAAAGTAATTTCTCCATCCATATATATATATATAATATATGTACTTATTAATTTATGTAACTTATTGATTATGTGATTATGTAATATATGTAACTTATTAATTACTATAACCCAGTATAAGCCAATTTGTCTATAAAGAAAATATTGCCTGCTTGTTATTTGAGTGTAACTGCTGGGCAAAATAAAGTCAATGGATACATGAAATAGGCCATGCATTTCTATAGAGAAATGTTGGATTGTGGCATCCTTCTAAACTACAGAGCAGAAAATACTAGCTCCAGTAGCTACCTAAACCCATTACTGGCAGAGGGCTTTGGCTGCCTCCTGACCACCCCATCAATGAACCAACCCCCATCTGAATTTCCTGCCCTAGGAATTCTCTCATTGCCAGCAACAAGTTCCCACACCTGTAATAACAATTGACCGTGAATGTTGGACCGCCAGGTAGCTTCTTTCCCCAGACAACCCCAGACACATAATCTTCCCCCAATGGCTAGACCCATAAATTCGGGGCAGTTAAAATGAGCTGTCTCATTTAGAAGTGAATAATTCCTTTAAAAAAGAAGAAGAATCTGCTGTCTTTCTCTCTCCCCACATCCTACACACACTCCCTCTTCCAACCTTCTCCAGACTTGCTGACTTTTTCACTTCCTTTCCTGAAGTTTGTCTTTTGAATCAAAATCGTCATTGCAATTAAAGCTGGGTATACTGAGTTAGAACAAAACAAGAAAGTTTTAACTGGCTTTTATAACCTGTCACAAGAGGATTACAACTACCAAAATATCATGCCATCCAAAAATGTACAGGGTTCAGAAAAAAGGACCCAGTGATAGTTAATAAACAGCATGTGAATTCTGTACCACGTAAGTGAATCCACTTGTATAAATTTGGACTCAAGTTTCAATTTCAGTGGGTGACAACTATGATGGTGGTCAGAATTTGCTAACTGCCTCTGGCTGCATTCACTCAAGTAATATTCATCTACTTCTAGAAACTTGTCAAGTCACCAAATTCTTTCTTAGACAAATGAGCCAGAAAGGGCAAAACTCGCCTAACCCGCCTGAAGCCTGCTGTTCTGTCTCTCCCAGATATTAAAAGACCCGGAACTCTATAATAACAACCATGCAGTTCATTGCACACATGATATTTCTAACAGTGGAAAAGGAAAGATACCATCAGCTAACAACTAGCTAACAACTTCTTGTTCTTTTTTGAAGCCAATGACTGATCTACCTTTTTGGTTATTGCTGTTGTTGCAAATTGGCCCAATCACTTAATGATTGGACAATGTCAACTTTTAGGTTAAAAACTTCTTGAGCACTCATACCAAAGAGAGTTGGAAGTCAGAACATTGGAGATTTTTGAACCTTGAAATAATACCCTTTGAATTATTTTACACCATTAAAATGTCTCCCCATCAGATGTATTGTAAAGTTTCTCAGCAGGACGCATCTTACTTTATACAAAGGATATGTTCCTAGAAAGCTAGATCTTAAGGTTAACCTTAAGAAACTGCCATTTTTGCTAGTCACAAATGATCAGATATCCACAATTCCATATGGTTCAACCTAAATATGTGAAAATAATTTTTGTAAGCCAAAATGTTTTTTGTTGGCTCCAGGGAAAATTCACTAGATATTCATTTTATAGTGAATGTCTGGATAAGGAGTGGAATCCCTTTGTAAATTTGGTAATAACCAAATAATGTATTCCTCTGGTTCCATGCTCTAGTTGTTTAAAGCAGGATATACCCTTTGTTTCTGAGAACCAGCTAAATAGAGAAAACGAAAGCCAGTGTGGACCCTCTGTTTCAAGTGAGGCTTGCAGGCTCTCACTCCGCATACACCCTCGAGGTTGCTTTGGAAGAGTCCATCCCTTTAGTTGCACTTTTGTCTTGTTTCTCCCAGGAATTTCTGTTTCCTGTAATAGGAGTCAGGATTCCAGTGAAGCGGCCTACGGAGAAGCTAACCAATGTGTGGCTTAGCTCAGAGACCCTAGACTTCCCTCATTTCCCCTTTTCTTTTTGCCCCCTCATTTCCCCTTTTCTTTTTGCCCTGGTAACCATCCTCCTCTGCTCTGAACTTCCATCAAGCCTGGAAGGAATTGATTTGTATCCTGAATTATGCAGAATGCACCCTGACTGCTTAACAGTGGGAGTTATTTTGTTACCATTCAGTTAATTCTTTTTTACTTAACTGGTTAAAAAATCATGAATTATGTATACCTGTCTGAACTACCAGCCCATATTTCACTTCCCCAAAATAAAATAAGTTTCATAGAATATACATTTTAAATAACTAATAAATGTTAATGTGTGGTATACAGTGCCCAGACATTCATTTTTATGATTTGAACAAATACCAGAAAAACAGAACCTAATATAGTCATCTATATCAGGAAAATGACCAGATAATTTTTACTAACCATTTTCCTTTTAGCTGATTTATGATAACATCTCTTTATACAATAGTAAGGTCTTGACATTGAAGATTCATTCACATGGCTCTACCAACACGGTACATTTATTTAAACCACACTTGACTAGTGGTATATAAATAATCTCCCCCAAATCATATTGATTTCCCGAAGGGAATATTAAATGCTAAATAACTTCACAGATTGGAAGCAGCCCTGTCTCTGCCTTCTTTTTTGATATAATCAAAAATGATGACATTGTAGCTAGCTTATTTTTAATAATTCACACATTGAGAGCAAAAGAAAATATTACACCAGTGCTGGGGGACATGAACTCTGGGCCGCAAAGCACATTCTCCTTTCTCTAATGAATGATAACAGATTGACTACATCATGTCTGCCACAGATTAAAAATGTGTCTATTCATAACGGAGCTATAAATTAGCATAGTGCATTATTCTCCAGGTATCAGATACATACATAGCACAAGGTCTTTGGGAAGAATGTAAGTTATATATCTTTCATTAGTCCTCACAGAATATTTCTGATTTTATCAATCCTGATTTTATAAATCTGAAAATTAGATAAGGTATGGCTTTTTGGCAATGAAAGTGATTTTGATCATATTGGCAAAGTATAGCTGGATGTTCACCAAACAGTCCTCCCTTCTCTTCTAGACACACACCTGGATTCTATTTTTCAGCCTCCCTTGCATTTAGTGGTAGTCATGTGACTGAGTTTTAAACCAATGGAATATCAGAATTCTAGTCATGGTCTGTAAAAATTCCATTGCAGTCCCCATATTCTTTCTTCCCCTTCCGCGGTGAAGGCAAGAACTCCAAGTACCTAAAGGAAGGCAGAGCCATAAGATTGTTGAAGTTCAGGTCTATGAGTTGCTGTGTAGAGGGAAGCCTCTCAGAAGACCTGAAAAACCAGGATCATCCATGTGGGACTATTGCATGAACAAGAAATAAAATTTTTGTTGTGTAAATTTTAGATCGCAAGAGTTAACCTGCCAGAAGTAACAACATCATCAACCTGAAAACACTGTGATAAACCTGGACATATCAAACCTAGCAAGACCTTGATTCTAGCCTTCTCAAATTGCATGCTTTCCTCACCTACACAATTATAATGCTATAGTTAGACCCAATTATGAGTCACTATGTCTTTATAATCCTTGATTTTCTTTTGAAAACATAGTAATGCACGGTACACCCTGTTTTGGATAAGTTGACTATAAAACATATTTCTATTGAGAAAATTTGATTGGCTTCCTTTTCTAAACTAGAGATAGTTTCAGGAACGTTTTCAATAAAATAATGTGAAAACTTTTTGTGAGGTGGTGGTTGTATGTCAGACTCTACATTATGGTATATGACTATTGTAATAGTCCATTCTTATGCTGCTAATAAAGACATACCCAAGATGGGGTAATTTATAAAGGAAATAGGTTTAATTGACTCACAGTTCAGCATAGCTGGGGGAGGCCTGAGGAAACTTACAATCATAGTGGAAAGGGAAGCAAACACATCCTTCTTCACCTGGTGGCAGCAATGAGAAGTGCCAAGCAAAAGGGGGAAAAACGCTTTATAAAACCATCAGATCTCGTGAGAATTCACTATCACGAGAACAGCAGCATGGGTGTAACTACCCCCATGATTCAGTTTCCTCCCACCAGGTCCCTCCCATGACATGTGGGGATTATGGGAGCTACAATTCAACATGAGATTTGGGTAGGGACACAGCCAAACCATATCAACTATGATTATTTTTACTTTTCTAGAAAGACACTGTATTTTACAAGAGACCCTAGATTTCCCTTGCTTCCCCAGGCTAAGTAGAGGTTCCCTAATTTTTTAGGCACAAACCTCTTAATGTTTAATATTGTATTCACAATATTAAGCAGTGGTTCTCATTTCACACACCCCCCACCCCTTCCTCAGGAAGCATTTGACAATGTCTGGAGACATTTTTTATTGTCACAACTTGGGTTGGGGAAGGTCTTGCTCTTAACATCTAGTGGGTGGAAACCAGAGATGCTGCTAAACATCCTACAATGCATAGGACAGCAGTCCCCATAACAAGGAATTGTCCAGCCCCAAATGTCAATAGCACCAAAGTTGAAAAACCCTGGACTAGGTTGTGAGTTCCATGAGGATGAAAGTCATGTTTGCTTTACTCATCATTGCATCTTCAGCAATTCATAAAGTACCTAAAACATAGTATGTACCCAATAATATTTGCTCAATGAATAAGTGGACTGAGCCCCCCCGAATTAGCAGATTGGCCAGTGGGGCTATACTTAGCCAATGGGTAAGGCAGGATTTGGAGTTAAAACCTTAGCTCTACAGCTTAGCTCAAATGCATTCTTAAGCAAGTGACTCCATCTTTCTAGGCCTCAGTCTTCTCATTTGTAAGTTGGGGATAGTAAGTGCCAACTTCATGGAGCTGTTGTAAGGTTAAATGTGATGAAGCATGTAGAATGCTCAGTGTAGTGGCTGACGGCCTCAATAAATATTCTTTTATTATTACTAAGAAGAAAGGAACCAATGTTTCCTGGGTTTTTATCATGTACCAGGCACAGAGTTAAAGATGCGCATGGTCTCATTTAATCTTCTCAACAATATTTACGGAGTAGAACTTTTGAAACAAAATGTGAAACTGGGTTTTAGAGATATCAAGCAACCTGCTCAAGATGATGTAGCCTTTTAGAGGTAGAAACTGCAGTAGGCATACTGGGAGAAATCAAGTTCACTCACCTAGATACAGTTTTCATAGTTGTCTCTATTTTTAAGATGCAAAAAGTTAATCCCAGAATACCATAAAACTTACATTGACTTCATAGTAACAAAGGGATTTAATAAAGTCTCAAATTTCCTATTAAAGTTTATCCAATAGCCACCTACTGTTTAACAAGGTTTAGCAAATTAAATGTAACAATGTTTTGAGAATCAGAATAAAATAAAATCATAAAAGAAAAAAGGCTAGGTGATTATTATCTTCTTTTTTCTTTATGTGTCATTCTTTGGGTTTCATATTTGTTGTCTCGGCTGGGTGTGGTGGCTCATGCCTGTAATCCCAGCACTTTGGGAGGCCAAGGCAGGTGGATCACGAGGTCAGGAGTTCAAGACCAGCCTGGCCAATATGGTGAAACCTTGTCTCTACTAAAAATACAAAAATTAGCCGGGCGTGGTGGCACGTGCCTGTGATCCCAGCTACTTGAGAGGCTGAGGCAGAGAAATGCTTAAACCCAGGAGGCAGAGGTTGGAGTGAGCCTAGATCGCGCCACTGCACTCCAGCCTGGGTGACAGAGCGAGACTCCATCTCTCTCTCTCTCTCTCTCTGTGTGTGTGTGTGTGTGTGTGTGTGTATATATATATATATATATATATACACACACACACATGCATATATATACACATACATATATTTATATATATAATATATATTTCTTGACTCATCTCCTTTTACAATAATACCATAATATTTGTTGATGCAATGACATTTGGATTCTGTTGTAACTTTTGCTGTTATTTCACATGATATACCAGCTCGATGGAGTTTTGCTGGCTTCAAAAAAGCAAACCACAACAACATTCAGAAGAGTCTGGGGGCCCATAAAGGCTGGGAGGCAGAGCTACTGGTGACAAGAGGAGTGGGAGGCCACTTTGAATATGGCTATTCCCTTTGATGTGTTACTAACAATCACCACACAGTAGCAACGCAGTAGTCCCTGAGCTCTCTTTAAACTGTGTTTTTCTTCAGGAAAAAAAGTCATAAGAAAACGTTGACCTGCTAATGACATAATAAGTGAAGCTTAAAGCTAAATGTACCTTTAAAATGTCACAATTAAGTACAAGCAGTAAAGTATAAATAGGAAGACTTTATAACCACTTTAAAAAGTAAGGTGACTGACAGGTTATTTTGCCTGTTGGACAAGGCACTGGGTAGGGAGAGGGATTGGGCTAAGTACTTCATTATTCATTGGTTTTAAAACATTCACTTACATGTTCTTTTCCTATAAAACTAACATCATATGGTTTTGGTACAATAGGCAATAACTAGTCTATCAACAAAAGTTACGTTATAACAACTCTCCAAGAGATGTTTTAGCAATAGATTTGTTTTAGATATTTATATTAGGATAAACCTCATTTCATTCATCAGACACTGGAGATGAAACGGAATTGGCATTAGTCAGTATGTGTTGATTTTCGAAGAAAAAGGAACTATTTTGAACTTTTTCATCCACTATTTGGTCTTTCTTGTTTTTAAAATGAGAAAATTATATTGGAAAAAAGGATTCAAAGCACCTCTAAAATTCTTCAATCACATCTTACTTTATGAATTCTCTATTGCCTTTATTTTTGTGTACAAAAAGAATGTATTAAACATTGCCTTCAAGGGCTAAAAATCTGTCTTTAGATATAATAAACTTTTTTTTAAACAGACTCTCACTCTGTCGCCCGGGCTGGAGTCCAGTGACATGATCTCAGCTCACTGCAACCTCCACCTCCCGGGTTCAAGCAATTCTCCTGCCTCAGCCTCCCGAGTAGCTGGGACTATGGGTGCGCACCACCGCACCCGGCTAATTTTTTGTATTTTTAGTAGTGATGGGGTTTCACTATGTTGGCCAGGCTGGTCTCGAACTCCTGGCCTCAGGTGGTCCTCCCGCCTCAGCCTCCCTAAGTGCTGGGATTACAGGCATAAGCCACTGCACCCAGCCTGATATAATAAACTTAACAACTATCTGCTTATATTTTGCAGTTACTTCGTGAAATGTATAAGTTGGTAGCTAAATACCACATTTACTTGTGTGGATTTTGCAAACTGTACCATTTTAGTAAGAAATAGTAATAATACTTAAAGATTAAAGGTGCTGATGGCATGATTTTTGGTTACTTTTTCTTCTTGAATCTTGGCACACTTTTTGTTTGCTCCTGAAACCGTAATGTAGTGACAAGTTACTAACTAAAATATATCTCTAGTAATAAATTATGTTGTTCATTGTATTAGTCATCTTGGACTGCCATAACAAAATACTACAGACTGGATGGCTTAAACAGCAGACATTTTTTTCACAGTTCTGGAGGCTGGAAAGTCCAAGATCAAGGTGTCCACAGATTCCATTTTAGGTGAGAACTCACTTCCTGGCTCGCTGCAGCCTCACATTACCTTTCCACAGTGTGTCCTCGTGGAGAGAGAACAAGCTCTCTGGTGTCTCTTCTTATAAGGAAACTAATCCTGCTGGATCAGAGCCTCACCCTTATGACCTCATTTAACATTAATTACTTCATAAAAGCCCCAACTCCAATACAACCCCACTGGGGGTTAAGGCTTCAACATACGAATTTGGGGAAGACACAAACATTTAGTCCATAATGTTAATTATTTGTAGAAAAGAGTAAACTGTCCAATAGAGTTTTTGATAACTATCAACTAACTTTCCTGGTGGTTAAATGAACATGGAAAAATAATTTGTATTGGTGCAAATGTGAGTTTGCCTTCGAAAAACACAGTGATATTTATTCAACTTGCTCATAGATTCTGATAAGGATGTGTAATTAAAGACAAATAAGATAACTAAAATATGTCTTGGTGTATATGTGATTTAAATTTTTTAAGGAACTTTTCACACAGATCTTCTTCAGTTTGTATAATAAAACTATTCATCAGACTCAGTTTAAAGAAGATACATCTTTCTGAACAGATTCTCCACGATTTTTGAAGACATACTATACTAAACGTTCTTCTCACAAAAACAAATTCAACCTAGGACTCTTGACAGCTTCATTTTCAGGCCAGTGAGCTAGGATGAAAATTGAGCTGCCCAAAGAGAGTTGGCCAAATAGTTTACTCACTGTAATTAAAAAAAGGGAAATTTCGAAACCACAGTCGTCTTCAATGCTAATGTGAACAACCAAATGTTATTTCCAGTGGATTTTGTATTTCCTTATTCTTGGCAAGTTGGTACAGTTCTGTGCAGTTGGGAATTAGACACTTTTTCCTTAAGATAGAAATATTCTTTGCATTAAATGCAGAGTGGCATAATTATATGTTCACTGCATGCATTCAGTGCAGAAACATGATTGCAATAATTTTGAATTTGAACACTTAGCTTTACACCTTTCATTTTTAAAAATCATAGCAACTATGTACTTCTGGCAGAATATTTCTTGTGGTCAATGTTATTTACTTATGCAATTGGAAAATGACTTGATTGCAACCACGTTGAAAATCTTTGCCAAGGTATGAGCTTTTCTTACACTGGAGTTTTCTTTATGAGAATAGGTAACTTTATTTTGTGATTTTATTTGGTTCTGCTCAATGACTCAATCTGGCTTAGGAGACATACTTGACAGGTTTTGATCCAGGGAAAAATGAATACAAGTATTTGCATATGAGCTGCTATAATAAACAACCAATGTCCAATTGACTACAATATTAAAATTAGTATATCACCTTGGTATTGGGCACACAAATAAGCAAGTGTTGATAACTTCCAGATGTTTTACTCTTTTAACTGCTGCCGCATCTCCTCTAATTCCACCTTCTTCTTTAAATAGAACAAAGTTTAAATTCTGAGCTTCCCAAAGAAACTTTTCCAAGTGCTCCGTTTCTCATTTACCAGCCACGGAATGGCATCATTGTGTATTTGGGAAGAGACAATGGGGGTCGCAGGGGAAGCTGGGAAACTGGGGGAGGCCAACTCCCTATTTTGTCCTTCTAAGCATGCTAAAGGGGTGTTTGAGCAGACTTTGGCCACTGTCTATTGTGTATACGTCAAAGTTTTTTGAATGGCTTCACCACTTTTGCACATCTTCATGGGTCCTATTTACCAGCCTTGAGATGCAGATGGAAGTAAAATCCTAAATCTGTTCTGGTTGCGATGTAAGAACTAAGGAAGGGATAACACTTCAGCACTAATGGGATTCACACTTTGTTAGAAAACAGCCATGTTGCTCTAACCTTTGCTTGCATCAACAGCGGCTGCTTTAGAGTGAGTATTTACTTTTCCTCTTGCCTGTGAGGTTATATTAATTTCTTTTTCCAGCTTGATGGTTTGCCTGTTCTGGATTTTACATTTAAAAAAAACAAAAAAGTAAGTAAGTGTTTCATCACTACATTCTCAATGGTTTGTGTCCAGGCTTGTAAGCTGCTCTTTAGTTACCAAAATAAATGACTTTTTGTCTTCATAATTCAACATTGTTTGTAGATGGCATTTTTTAAAGTAATGCTAAAGTCTCCAAATTCATTTTTCCCACGATGTCACAAAAGAACATTATTATTGCACATGTAGACTCCACATCATCATAGAGTAGGAGAGACCTGGTCTTTTTTCCAAACAGTCAAAAATTTGATTCTCCTTTAATTGTATTTATTGAAGGCAAATTTAGTTTTTTTCCTAAGATGTCTTAAAGCTGCTTCCTCTTTTCTCTGCCCCAGAATTACATAAGATTGTGCCCCTTAATCTATCATTTGAAGTCATGCTCTCCTAAATGTAAAGAACTTTTTGGAAAGTTCTTTTTATTCTATCGTCTTCTTTTTTCTTTTTTTGAGACAGGGTCTCACTGTGTTGCCCAGGCTGGAGTGCAATGGTGCCATGATAGCTCACTGTAGCCTCAACCTCCCAGAGCTCAGGTGATCCTCCCACCTCAGCCTCCTGAGTAGCTGGGACTAGAGGTGCATGCCACCATGGCCGGCTAATTTTTGTATTCTTTGTAGAGATGGGGACTCACCATGTTGCCTAAGCTGGTCTTGAACTCCTGGGCTCAAGTGATTCTCCCACCTCTGCCTCCCAAAATGTTGAAATTACAGGCATGAGGCATCATGCCTGGCTACCCTATCTTCTATACTCATATTTTTTACAGCCCATAAGTATAAAATACATTAAATATAAGGAAAATTATAACAGGTTTTTGCTATGTTGCAGGATAACTTTACCTTACAACTATATTACAGTAAAACTTTATTAAAACTATTGAGCTAGCCAGGCATGGTGGCTCACGCCTGTAATCTCAGTACTTTGGGAGGCCAAGGCAGGCAGATTACCTGAGGTCGGGAGTTCGAGACCAGCCTGACCAACATGGAGAAACCCCATCTCTACTAAAAATACAAAATTAGCCGGGCGTGGTGGCACATGTCTGTAATCCCAGCTACTCGGGTGGCTGAGGCAGGAAAATCACTTGAACCCAGGAGGCGGAGGTTGCAGTGAGCCGAGATCGCCCCATTGCACTCCAACCTGGGCAACAAGAGTGAAGCTCCATCTCAAAAAAAAAAAAAAGTATTGAGCTAGCCACTTTTCCTAATCTACATACAAGTGTCTATCTAAAAACTGCACACCGTAAAAAGATCTAGACAGTGCTTTAACATATTTGAAGACTGTATTTGTGATTATCTGACTTAATTTGTAGACTCTGTGATGTCCAGAAATTTATTTTGCCTCACAGAGACTAAGGGTGACACCAGCAAGAAGTACAACATAATTACTCAGGAAAAAGGGGCAAGCTCAAGTAACTGCTCCAGGGAAAGATCAGCCCCTTCTATCAATACAGGGCCAGAGAAAACAAGTGATGAGTCCAATGTGAGCCTCCAAACAAATTTTACAGGGTCAAAGCTCCAAACTGCAGCCTTCAGTTTACAATGGAACGGTTTCTCAAAAGGACAACTCCTTATAGAAAATAAGGGGAGAGCTGCCCAGAGATTTAGTTATTTAATGATGGTTAAAAGTGCTGAGGCCAGATGGTGGAATAAAAGTGTTTATAAAGTTTTCCCTAGATAGAAGATATCAGTCCCATTTATTTGCACAACTGCAGCACGTTTTGTCAATTTAGTCTGTTGTGCATCCACCTTGGTGGCCCCTTCCCAGGGCCAACATCATGTTGAGAAGGAAAAAAATCATTTTTCCTCTAACCTCTTAGATTCAGTGACCAGGGCCTTGCAAACTAAACTTGAAAAAAAAGATTAAAAGGAAAATGGAGTTTATTTCATATAAGCATTGGGGATCTCACAGAAATGAAGTGAAAACCCCAAAGAAGTAGTCAGAGCCAGGGCCTTATATACCATTTTAGCAAAGGGAAATAAATGTATGAAAAAATAACAAGTGAAAGGAAAGGGTTTGGGGCTGCTAGGGGCAGTACATTGTAGGAAGGTAGATACATGGAGGAAACTAATGGAAGACAAGGGTTATTTTAGTAAGGTTTATTTGTTTATGCAGATTTAAATTCTTGTGATCTCCAGTAATAGAAGTTGTCTCCTCTTTCTGGTACAAGAAAAAAGGAGAGGGGACACTTTCACAAAGGAAAATGTATTCCCTGCATTCCCTGCCTTTACGGGGAAGGAGGAAGGAGGAAACTGCGGTGTTTTTTTTTTTTTTTTCTTTTTCTTCTTTTTTTTTGCATCTGCTGTTTCTCAATTGCCTTCAGCTCAAAATAATCCTTATGACAAAGTAGCATATTTTGTGGTGGCATATTCTGATATCTTTCAATGGGGAAATGATTGTACAAGTGAGAAGTGGGAGCACTGAGGATATTGATTCCCTGGCTATAAAATGGTGCTCCATTACCCTTCCTGAATCACCTTTAGTACAACATTCAGAATAGCATGCCCATATAGATTCAGCCTACCTTACTATGAAATGTGAACTGGCTGCCCAGAACCATGTGCATAAGACATAAGCTGTGCATAAGATATTAGCTGTGCATAAGACATAACTATGTATATAAGACATAAGCTGTGCATTTAAATGAGATCCGTTTTTTAAAAACTAAGGCAGATCATCATTTACATTTAATTCAAGGGCGAACACAAGTTGGTGTTATGAGGCTATTTCATTTCTCTGTTTTTTCTGGATGGTTGCAGGGATGGGGGGCAGGTGTCACCACATCAGAATGTCAACATGTGACCAGAGTAAATGGTCCCTCCAGACCATGGCTCAAATCTCAGCCTGCCTGATGAGGTCATGGCTCAATGGAAAACATGCTCTCTCCATCATTGTTCAACTTACTAGAAATATTTTAGAAACACGCAATTAAAGATATGCATCATAGCACTGAGGAATAAGAAATAATTGGGGAAGCCCACATCAATACTTTGAAGTCTATGCCTCTCTACATACTATATTTCAAGGGGTTACATCAGTGGTTCTCAACAGAGTGAGAGTGGGGGTGATTCTTTCCCCCAGGGGACATTAGTCAAATTCTAGAGACATTTTTGATTGTCACAACTGAGATGTGGGGGATGCTGCTGGCATCTGGTGGGTAGAGGCTAGGGATGCTGCTAAACGTTCTATAATGCACAGGACAGTCCAAAATGTCTGTGGTGCTGTCATGGAGAAACCCTGTTTTCAATCACCATACACCACATGTCAGCACACAGCCACCCCCTGCTGCCCAACCACGGCTCCAAAAACAAACCACCACTGGCAGGACACCCGCAGACGCCATGCCAGATATTTAGAAAGAGACCAAAACCTTCAATCAATTCGTAAAAATCTTATGTGCTTTTAAGCAACCACACTGAATCATGAGTAAAGATATTTGAGCTTTTTTTTAATTAGCCTCATTAGAGCAGATTTTTCATGGAAAAAAGTCATCAGTGATGAATGCACACAGGCAATCATGAATAAATCATCTTCTCTCCTTATTCTGAAGATTCCTGCTAATTCGGAGACAATTCTCTTCCCTCAATTGCCCTGTTCCAAGCTTCTTTTGGTTTTTCTCAATATTTCTTTTGGTTTTGTTTGGACTAATATGAATTTGGGGAACATCCTCTGAGGCATTCTGAGATCCAGTCCTTTCAATGTTGATTCTTGGACGGATCATTAAAGAGCTATTAAGAGCTGGCAGTGGTGTCCTTTTGTAGAATAGTCAGCATTTTCACCCACTGAGAGTAGCCCTGCGAATCCTTTGTTTCTACTTCTTGGAGGGAGTAGCAGATTTTTGTAACTAAAAAGCAAAACCACCTGGTAGATTTCTGAATTAAAGGAATCTCCAATCTCTCAACTTTTTCATAAGTGGGAGAAATGGTATTGGAGTCCTAGAGGTGTTCCTACACCCTATGCCTATTGAAGTGGAGGCAGGAGGGTAGCCAATGTATAAGAAAGTAAAGATTTCTTACTGAGATTGGAATTGCACTAATAATGACTTTTTAAAAACAGAGATTATGGACAAGGTCAGCCTCCTGTTTGTTCCAAACAAGGTGATCATTAGCCAGCATATAGTTGGGTGAAAATTGTTGATCGTGACCACTTATAGTTAATGTTATTTTTGGATACATCATTGTTCTACAAACAAGTCCTAACTTAGCTTTCCAGGTGCTTCCTGGTCTAGAGCAGTGCTGTCCAATAGAAATATAATGCCAGCCACATATGTATTAAAATTTTTCAGGTAGCAACATTAAAACAATTAAAATTAATTGTCATAATATATTTTATTTAACCCAATATATTCAAGTTATTATCATTTCAACATGTAATTGTCAGCAGCAGTGAATCCGTATGGGTCTGCAGCAACCTCAATTCTTGCTTCCTCAGAAGAAAGACTTAGACCAAGGGGGCATAACTGCAGTGTGAGAGACTGAGGCGAGTTGTAGAGCAGGAGTGAAAGTTTATCAAGATGTTTTAGAGCAGGAATGAAAGGAAGTAAAGTACACTTGGAAGAGGGCAAAGCAGGTGACTTGAGAGATTCAAGTACATTGTTTGACCTTTGACCTGGGGTTTTATATATTGGCATGCTTCAGTGTTGCATCTCTTCTCCCCTGCTTCTTCCCTTGGGGAGGGCTGTCCACATGCACAGAGGCCTGCTAGCATTTGGGAGTTGCTGCATGCATAGTGTGTTTACTGAAGTGATGCACATGCTCACTTGAGGCATTTTTCCCTTTTCTAGTCGAGTGATCCTAGACGAAGGTCATATACCAGTTAAATTCTGCCATTTTTCCTCTTAGTGTGCATGCTTGAGCCCACTCGCCCAACTCCTGAGATCTTATCAGGAAGCTGCTGATGACCAGTTTTAGGTGTTTTCTATGTATTGGGAGGCTGTCTTTCCCTGGCACTGGGTATAACCAATTATTATTTTAGAGAGACAGTTAACAACCACCTGACCATCACCTGATGGTTGCCTGACATTCCTCATTGTGTGTGTGTGGCGGGGGGCTCTCCTGCCCTGCTTCTGTCTGACTAACCACCTACTATAACATAATCAATATTTAAAAATTTACTAAGGAGATATTTTGCTTTTTTTCATACTGTGTATTTTTATATTTACATCCCTTCTCATTTCAGACTCACTGCATTTCAAATGATCAATAGCTACATGGAGCTGGTGGCTACTGTATTAGACAGCACAGTCTAGCCCCTGCCTATTCCTCCAACTCTGTAATTGCCTGATGGGTTCTTCCTGCCTGCTGCGCAGACAAAAATCAGTCCGCTGAGACTATGGCATTGCAGTAAAGAAAGAGTTTAATTGACAAGGCCAGCCACACCATGTGGGAAATGGAGTTATTACTCAAATCAAACTCCCTGAAAATTTAGAGGCTAGGGTTTTTCAAAAATACTTTGGTGGGCAGGGGGCTAGGGTATAGGTGCTGCTGATGGGCTGTGAATGTAATCATAAGGATGTGGAAGATGGGCATTCAATAGTCAGAAATGCAAAAGCCTGAAAAGATACCTCAAAAGGCCAATCTTAGGCTGGGCATGGTGGCTCACACCTATAATCTCAGCACTTTGGGAGGCCAAGGCAGGTGGGTCGCTTGAGCCCAGGAATTTGAGACCAGCCTGGGCAACATGGTGAAAACCCATCTCTACAAGAAATGCAGAAAAATTCACTGGGCATGGTGGTGTGTGCCTATAGTCCCAGCTACTCGGGAGGCTGAGGTAGAAGGATTGCTTGAGCCCAGGAGGTGGCAGCTGCAGTGAACCATGACTGCACCACTGCACTGCCGCCTGGGCAAGAGAATGAGAACCTGTCTCAAAAAGGAAAAGGGGCCAATCTTAGGTTCTATAATAGTAATGTTAATTACAGGAGTAATTGGGGAAGTTGCAAATCTTGTGGCCCCCCAAATAATGGCTGGTAATCATTTACCTACTCTATATCTTAGCAGACTTCAGGCCCCTCTCATCGTCCTAACCTGGTGGCCTTTCATTAGTTTTACAAGGGCAGTTTCATTTTGGGGAGGGGCTATTATCATTTAAACTATAAACTAAGTTTCTCCCAAAGGTAGCTTGGCCCAAGCCCAGGAATGACCAAGGGCCATTTGGAGGACCAAGGGCAGTTTAAGGGCAAGATGGAGTCAATTATGTCAGATTTCTCTTAGTGTCATAATTTTCACACTGTTAAAATTTTTGCAAAGGCATTTTTCAACTCCATCTATTTTTTCACCATGCTTTGTAAAATTCGCAATCCAGCACTAGTGAACGTCTCTCAAGTCCTTTGCCCCAAGTGTTTGTCTCTCTTATTTCTTGGTCTTTGTACAAGTGTTTTCCTGGAACACTTTCTCCACCATCCCTCCCACCCAACTAGGCTAATTCCGACTTACCCTTCGCAAAAGTTGATTCCTCTGGAAAAAAATGGTTGGAGAGGAAAAACTTTTCCCCTACACTCTTAGGTTTGGTGCCTGGGGACTTGCAAATTTAAACTGACAAAACAGATTACCAACAGAAGAGACAGAATTTATTTACACACACATTGTGCATGCAGGAGTGCTCAGTGATGTATAACTCAGAGGGGTGGTTAGAATTTGGGGCTTATATACCTAGCTTGTTAGGGGAAATAAAGAGTGGAGAAAAGGCTTCTATGGAAAGAACAAATAGGCTTATTTAAAAGAAACAAACGGCTTTTTAGGAAAACCAACAGGAGAGAAGAAAGTTTGTGATAATGTTTGTTTATATAAGTGAGATTGGTGTTTCCATCTTCTTCGTGGCCATGAAACTCCCCCAGAGAGGGAATTTATGGTAGGTTTACTCTTTGTCTCTCTCCTGGGAGTAGAGGCTGCCCCAAAGAAAGAATCTGTGGCAGTCCTCATTACTCAGAAGTTTCTGCTTTCAGTCAGAAAAAGGAAGCTCCACAAAGACTTCTTTCTGCATCTGTTGACTCTCAAATGACTTCAGGTTAAAATAATCTTTATGCCAACTCTTGGGTTCTGAGTGAGTCCCCAAGGAACCATAGAAGAGGTTAGGTTTTGCTACTTCATTCCCTAATGCTACTTTTACCTCCCATTCCGTAGGTCTCATTCACTTCACTGTCCTCGCAAGTTTAGTGTCTGTTTTTCCAAATAAACTATAACTTCTGGGAAGGCAGGAATAGCTCTGACTTTCTGTTTATTAGTGTGAAGTCATCATCTAGAACAGTAGACTAGCACATAATAGATACTTGATAAATACTTGTGGAAGGAATCAACCAAATATAAGCACACACACATACATACATGGTAATATTCATTCAGATTTTAAATATCAACATGTCTAATCCTAAAAATAGATGTACTCAAGCTATGTATATTTGATAGTCATTTAGCCTCTCTGAATATATATTTCTTTCTCCAAAGCTAGAACTGTTAATATCCATCATCCCTATTTTAAAGGATTCCTCTGGATGTCAAAAAATAATAATGTGAAAGTTAAGGGCCAGGTGCAGTGGCTCACGCTTATAATCCCAGCACTTCGGGAAGCTGAGGCAAGAGAATTACTTGAGCCCACGAGTTCAAGACAAGCCTGGGCAACACAGTGAGACCCTGTCTCCAAAAAAAAAAAAATTAACCAAGTGCAGTGGTGCACACCTGTGGTCCCAGCTACTTGGAAGGCTGGGGTAGGAGGATCACTTGAGCCCAAGAGGTCGAGGCTGCAGTGAGCCATGATCATACCACTGCACTCTAGCCTGGGCAACAGAGCCAGCCCTCATCTCAAAAAAAAAAAAAAAAAAAGTTAAAACACCTTAAATTAGTTAGAGTATATATTGTGTTTAGTCAAACTTACTGCATCTTTCTTACAAAATTTATTTTTTATAAACAAATCGATCAGAGGGGGCATCATAGAAATTTAAGGGCAGGAAAATAATGGAATATGTAAACTACTTGAAACAGGATCGTTAGAGATAAGGAAGTCAGGCTAGAGGAAGAGTTGGTGGGAAGGAATAGTGAATTCAGTTTCTACTCATCATTGGGGAAGAAGTGTTGATTAGTTACCTTCGAACTATCCTTTTGTCTCATTCAACTAAAGACTGAAGGAGAAAGAAATATGAAGCTCTGGGAAAAACCAACATGTTGAAGGTGAGCCATGTAAAAACCACCATAAGATGCCTGAAGCTACACTATTTTCTGAATTATAATTCTAGACTTGACCTGTTCAATATGGTAGCCACTAGCTACACATAACTATGGGGTATGTGAAATATAGTGAATTCAATGTGATATATGCTGTAAGTGTGAAATACACACCAGATTTCAAAGACTTACTACAAAAAAAGAATGTAAAGTACCTCATGAATAATTTTTTTTTTTGAGATGGAGTTTCATTCTTGTTGCCCGGGCTGGAGTTCAATGGCATGGTCTCAGCTCTCTGCAGCCTCTGCCTCCCGGGTTCAAGCAATTCTCATGCCTCAGTCTCCCAAGTAGCTGGGATTATAGGCACCCGCCACCACACCTGGCTAATTTTTGTTGTATTTTTAGTAGAGATGGGGTTTCACCATGTTGGCCAGGCTGGTCTCTATCGGGGGAACCAGCCCCCAGTATTTCAACGTATATTCTTTTCTATTTTCCCTAAGTGTTGGCTGGTCTGAGAAATAAAGAGAAAGAGTACAAAGAGAAGAATTTTACAGCTGGGCCTCCAGGGGTGCCATCTCACATCAGTAGGACCGTGATGGCAACCTCGAGCCGCAAAACCAGCAAGTTTTTATTAGGGATTTTGAAAGGGGAGGGGGTGTACGAACAGGAAGTAAGTCACAAAGATCACATGCTTCAAAGGGCAATAAAAGATCACAATGCAAGGGCAAAATTAGAATTACTGATGAGGGTCCATGTCCCGCTGTGCACACATTGTCTTGATAAACATCTTAACAGGAAACAGGGTTCGAGGGCAGACAACCAGTCTGACTAGAATTCACCAAGATGGAATTTCCCAATCCTAGCAAGCCTGAGGGTACTGCAGGAGACCAGGGTGTATTTCAGTCCTTATCTCAACAGCATGAGACAGACACTCCCAGAGCGGCCATTCATAGACCTCCCCCAAGGAATGCATTCCTGCCCCAGGGTATCAATTATTAACATTCCTTGCTGGGAAAAGAATTCAGCGATATTTCTCCTCCTCACACATCCATCTATAGGCTTTCTGTGAGAAGAAAAATATGCTCTATTCTGCCTGACCCTGCAGGCAGCCAGACCTTATGGTTATCTTTCCTTGTTCCCTGAAAATCGCTGTTATTCTGTTCTTTTTCAGGGTGCACTGATTTCATATTGTTTAAACACACATATTTTACAATCAATTTGTACAATAATGGTCTTGAGGTGACGTACATTCTCAGCTTATGAAGATAACAGGATTAAGAGATTAAAGTAAAGACAGGCTTAAGAAATTATAAGACTATTGATTGGGGAAGGGATAAATGTCCATGAAATCTTCACAATTTATGTTCAGAGATTGCAGTAATGACAGGCATAAGAAATTATAAAAGTATTAATTTTGGGAACTGATAAGTGTCCATGAAATCTTCACAATTTATGTTCTTCTGCCTCAGCTCTAGCTGGTCCCTCCATTCAGGGTCCCTGACTTCCCACAACAGGTCTCGAACTCCTGACCTCAGGTGATCTGCCCGCCTTGGCCTCCCAAAGTGCTGGGATTACAGGTGTGAGCCACTGCACCTGGCCCATGAATAATTTTTATATTGACTATATGTTGGAATTATTGTATTATGGATATATATTGAGTTAAATAAAATGCACTATTAAAATTAATTTCATGTTTCTTCCTACTTTTATAATGTGGCCACTAGAAAATTTGAAATGCTGTATATGGCTCACATTTTTCTATTAGACAGCACTGAGCTAAAATATTGTATTAGAAGACTGCCAGAATGTAGTTCCCACACTCCTGAGGATCCTGGGCCTGTGAGTTAAATCACAAGGAGACAGTGGTAGGGATTCCAGTAAAAGCCATCACAAATAGAGATGCCATCCACTATCACCATCATTTCAAAGCACTAAAAAGAATGCCTAACAACACAAAAGTGTAACTGGTACAATCTCAGAATAAAAGAGAGTCCTTTCCATTGAATAAATTGCCTTCCAA
Source organism: Homo sapiens (assembly GCF_000001405.40). Taxonomy (NCBI): domain Eukaryota; kingdom Metazoa; phylum Chordata; class Mammalia; order Primates; family Hominidae; genus Homo; species Homo sapiens. The sequence continues at coordinate 10,690,834 of NC_000023.11, read as the reverse complement.
GAACAACTCTGTATATGGTTCTTATTTTGCCCATTTCGATTTAGACCAGGGAATCCTTTGACATGGAGCAGTACTTGGGAAAACTGCCTTACAGATCTCTAGTCCCTCCCTCTGAGTATGCAGGTGAGGAAACTGAGGCACCAAGAGGTACAGTGATTCACCCAAGATCACACAGGACCTGAACCCAAAGAATAGACTTCACCTCAAATGTAGTAAGTGGTTTGAAGGGGAAGCCTGACTGAATGCTTGGTAACCACATATTGTAGGACTGAAGTCGGTGGTGAGCACTGGTCATTAAGATTTCAATTATACAAGCAGTAGGAATATGATGTTGCTAAAGTAGCCACCATTATACCTAGTTTCTTGAATTCATATTTTAGAAGGATAACGCTAACAGCCTTATTGTCACAAAGTGCAAATCTCTTCTTACGATTCTCTTCTTATAATCTTTCAATGGTTTCTTTTTGCATACATGATGTATTGGAATCATTTTAGCCCGGTTTGGAAATACTGCTTTTTGAAGTCAGGCTGAATTGAATTGTAATATTGACTCTACTACTTGCTAGCCAAGAGATCTCTAGCCAGGTACTTAACACCTCAAAGCCCAAGTCTCCTTTGTCAAATGGAGTTGCAAATCGTGTTGACCTCATAGATATTTGGGAAGGATTAACTGAGGTAATGCTTGAACAACTCTCAGCATCTTGATTACAGTTAGCTGAAAGTCTAACTGAGGGTTGTCATTGTTGTTGGTATTGTCATAACTTGCCTCCCACCCACCCTGCCCCTCATTTCCTGTCACTCCTTAGACATGAATCCAAGAGTTAACAAGCACTCCAAATTTCCTGTTTTCTGGACACTCCAAGTTTTTACACATGTTATTTTCTCTGTCTATAAAGAGTACTTGTCTTTTAGGATTTAGCCCAATTCTCTAATTAAATTCTTTTGAAGCAATTTCAATGAAATTCTTTCCAGATATTGACAAAATGATCCTAAAGTTAGGCCAAAAGAATTGACATGAAAGCACAGCCAATAAAAGGGGAAAAAATGTGTAAGGAGAAGGAAATTGGCCCTACCACATGAAGAGGCACTATAAATCTACATTTGGAAGGGGAGAGGAAGAGGTAAAAAAAAAAAAAATCTACAACATTTGAAACACGGTGATATCACAAGACTAGAATACAAAGCCCAGAAAAAAAGACTAGACAGGCAGATAGAGATTTAGGTATAGATATGGATATATAGGTGTGGACATAAGTTTTGGTGTAGGTATAGATATAAATGTAGGTATAAATATACATAGATATAGATATTTATATGGTTTGGCTTTGTGTCCCCACCCAAATCTCATGTCAAATTGTAATCCCCACATGTCAGGGGAGGGAACTGATGGGAGGTGAGGTGGATCATGGGGCGGATTTCCCCTGTGCTGTTCTTGTGATAGTAAGTGAGTTTTTATGAGATCTGATGATTTTAAAGTGTGGCACTTCCCCCTTCACCCTCTCTCTTTCTCCTGCTCCAACATGTGATAAAGGTGCTTGCTTCCCCTTTGCCTTACACCATGATCGTTAAGTTTCCTGAGGCCTCTCCAGCCATGCAGAACTGTGAGTCAATTAAACCTCTTTTCTTTGTAAATTACCCAGTCTCAGGTTGTTCTTTATAGCAGTGTGAGAACGAACTAATACAGATACAGATAATTAACACATGTAAAGTCTGAACACCTCAGTGGTGTAACATAATCTAATCAGAATTCAGTGAAGTCATTAGGGAACTTTGTCCCATTCTGTCAAATGGGGCACACATTCCCTCCATCTAGTAGCTCTGTATCCTGCTAGATCCTCAAAATCCTCTGCTGGATACTCAACATCCATCCACCAAATAAGATAGAGAAATAAATACAGACTAGGCCAGCGGTTAACAAGCTTTTTCAGAAAAAAGCCAGAGGATAGGTATTTTTGTGACACAAAGAACAGTGTATGGCCTGATAAATTTTGCAGACCTCACATAGCTCAGACTGTTCTGAACTTTTTCTTTTCTCAATTCATATGTGCCAAGGTGGGAAAGAGACAGGGATTTGCTTAACATATGGCATTGTCTCTCCTATAATACAGTATATGAATTTAACATATACCATCAGATTACTCAACATATGGGTATGAAGAAAATTGGCTGTTTGAGAAAAAAAATTGAATCTCACCTCATGCCACAAACTAATTAAAGATGAATTCAATAATCAAGTGAAAAAAAGCAAAATTATTTTAAAAAGACAAAATTGATTTGTACATTTCTTTGTTCACTAAATATGGAAGGATGGTCTAGGTGTGAGTACCGTAGACAAAATAACAAAACAGTTGATGCTATATTTGTGAACATAATTTTCTGCCTTCTGAAAGATAAAAAGTAGTAAGAATGAAATTAAAAGGCAAGCAACAAAAAGGAGGAAAATATTTGTCAGAAAGAGGATAGAAGTAATATCCTTATATAAAGAGCTCAAACTAATAAGAAAAGTACCAAAATGCTGGTTACAAAAATGGGAAAAAATACTTTTGAATAGATAATTTAGAGAAAAGGAAATAAAAATATTTTATAACCTCATAAATTATCAAAGTGTATACATTTAAGAATGCAATGTGATTCTATCCTCTTTCTCCTAATAAAAGAGATTTTAAAAAAATGTTTAGCCAGCACGTGCCTCACACTTTGTAATCCCAGCTACGTAGGAGGCTGAGGTAGGAAGATCACTTAAGGCCAAAAGTTTGAGACCAGTCTAGGCAATATAGCAAGATCTCATCTCAAAAAGAAAAAAATATATTGGCATTGGCTGGGAGCAGTGGCTCATGCCTGTAATCCTAGCACTCTGGGGAAGCGACGGGAGGAGGATCACTTGAGTCCAGGAGTTCAAGACCAGCATGGGCAACATAAGGAGACCCCCATCTCTACAAAAAATAGAAAAAAAAGTAGGTAGGCATAGTGGCAAGCACCTGTGGTCTCAGCTACTCAGAAAGCTGAGGTGAGAGGATTGCTTGAGCCTGGGAGGTCAAGGCTGCAGCAAGCCATGATCACGTCACTGCACTCCAGACTGGGTGACAGAACAAGACCCTGTCTTTTTAAAAAATGTTTAATGTTGGCATAATTCAGTAAGAAAATCTCATGTCCTACTGATTAAAATAAAATATGTAAAACCCTCCTGTAAAGCTTTCGCAATAGGCACAAAGAACTTTAAAAATATTTTGACTCACCATTCTCACTTGGACTCAATCTGAAAGAAATAATCACAAATGCACATCTACTGTATATGCTAACATATCTAACATACTGTTCCAGACAGGACTACATTTGGCTGCCTGTAACAGAAACCCTACCATACTGAATTGAACAAAAGAAGGTGATGGGGGTATTTTTCTCGTGCAAGAAGCCAGGCATTTGGCAGTCCCAAGCCGATACAGTTGTTTGAGAAAATCACCCAGGTAGCTTCTTGCCCTGCCTTCTTTAGGCTGACTTTTGTCTTCATAGTCTCAAGTTCCAGGCAGGAAAAAGGGAGAAATTTAAGAGACAAAAGACTCATCCTTGGGAGGTTTTGTCTCTTTTATTGATAAAATTATCGTGTCTAGATAAAATTATCTAGAAATTTATGGCTCTATCTATTTGGCCCAACTATGTTACTTGGTCCTTCCTACCTCTGAAGGAGGTCAGGGCAGAGAATATGTAAAACACCGGAGCTGCAAATGAAATTTGGGTGTTCTGTTAGTCAAAATAAAGGTAACAGTGGATATTAGACGGGCAATTCCAAGGGTTGGGCAAACACAAAGATGCACTGCCAAGATCCCCTTCCAAGGAAGGACTTGCTATCTCACTCCTGGAATGGGGTCCACAGACACCTCCACCCATAAGGTCACAGCTCAGAGGCTGCACAATTATAGAGAGTCACTTCACCCAATGTCCCCTGCTTCCCAGAGCAGCCTGCATCTGATGCCTGAGAAAGACAGGGACATAAAGACACAACCATCTATATCCCACATGAGACAATTCTGATCTGCAACGCTTGTTCCAGAGCTCTCAGCCAGGTTGTCCAAGGATTTGTAGGGCCTGGATTGCAGTTTGGCTGCTTTGTCTGCCCAATCTTGCTTCTTCCCCCTTCTCTTTACTGATGTGGATCTCTAGTAAGTATCTTCACCCCAAATTCCACCTCAGCATGTGTTTCTGGAGACCTCAATCTGCAACAACAAAGTATTTTTTATAATAGTGTTGGGACTAAGGGAAAGCTTTACCCTTGCCCTGTGGAGGTTTGCTGAAAATTTCAGACAAGAGGCAGATTAATAGGAGAAAAGGCATACAATTTTATTTGATCATAGTTTTACATCTGTGGGGGCCATGTTGTGGGCATAAGAAAGGTAGTCAATGTATGTGGGAAGCTGCTGGTCTCAGTAAACCTGGAAGTGAGTCATCCATGTTGACCAACACTAGATCTATGCAGAAGATATTGGTGATGATGAAGCCTAGTCTCTTGGGCATATAAGAGATGAAGAAGGTGGAACCTAATCCATTGACCCCGAACCCCTTAGACACAGCCCCCTGCCCAGCCAGCACACCCGAGCCTTAAGGGTTGATGGTGACACCAAACCCCCTTCCCCAGAAGGATGGTCAGCACCACCATCAGCTCTCAAGATCACAGACTCTGAGCCATGGTGATGATAGTGACTCACATCCCAATGCCCCAGACCCACAGGATCAGAGTCTTCACATTAACCAGATTCCCAGATGGCTCACATTCTCATGAAACTGCAAGAGGCACAGACACATCCTTGTTAAACACAAACCTTCTCATCCACTGGTCCACTGGATAGAAACCTAATTTTGGATTTGTGTCTCTGCATCCCACCCTATTTCTTTCCATCTTGTACTACACAGGTAGGGGTGAGTGTGTGTGTGTGTGTGTGTGTGTGTGTGTGTGTGTGTGTGTATGAGTATGTGGGGTGTAGGGGCCGAGGGGTCCCCTGAAGTTTCACTGAAAAAATCAACTCACAAAAGACAGATTAATTGGAGAAAAGGCACACAAATGTATTTAATGTATACAAATAGGAGCCTTCAGAAGGAAGGCCCAAAGATACAGGGGAAATTATCCATTTTTATGCTTAGGTTCAACAAAGCACGGACAGCGTGTAGAAACAGGGTTGGACAAAAAGGGCCTGATCTAAAGCTAATGGACTGAGTGTGGAAACCCAGCAAGGCCTGTCTGTCTAGATTCTTCTTGGCCTCTCTGAGCAGCGTTCCTTCCTTCTGGGTGTAAGGCAAGACCCTCTCTGGAATGGGGGTGTTATGACCTACAGTCAAACAAGGTATGTCAGGGAATTTCGTTATGGCCAGTTTTTACACAGATAAGGTGGAGGGAAAGTTAGAGTGATATTTTTAGATTTTATGGCTGGCTTTGGGGAAAAGCAGTTTTGGTTTCTATGATCCACCTTGGGGAAGAAGGATTCTAGTTTCTATGGCTAGCCTCAAGGGAGAATGTGACTGAGAGACAGAAGGGAAGGAGAAGGTCAGAGAGAAACTTTTGCTTCTGAGGCCTTCATTTTGGGGTATTGTTTTCTGAGTCCCAACAATAGTAAATACACAGCAATAGAAAAAATTAATACTTTATAGTATAATGAACTATTATGGCCATTGAAATGGGAATTTACATGAAATTTTTAATGACATAAAATATTCATGACATGATATTTAGTTTTAAAAAGATAGAAGTTGTGGCATATGTATATAATAGAATACTATGTAGCAATAAACACTAAAGGAGTAATGATACATGTTACAACATGAAGTTCAAAAACACTTTATTTAGTAAAAGAAGGCAAACACAAAAGACTATGATTCCACTTATATGAAATGTCCAGAAAAACAGATCTATAGAGACAGGAAGGAGTTGCCTGGGGCTTGGGGTGGGAACAGGAATTAACCGTAAATAGGCATAAGAGGTCTTACTGGGTGTTAAAAACCTGAATTTTAATGATGGCTACATAACTTGTCAAATTTACTAAAAGTCATTTTAAATGGGTAAATTTTATAATATGCACATTTTACCTAATAAAGTTGTTACATATTCCAAAGTAATGACACTTAGAAAAAGACACAATTGGCCGGGCGCGGTGGCTCACGCCTGTAATCCCAGCACTTTGGGAGGCTGAGGTGGGCAGATCACGAGGTCAAGAGATCGAGACCATCCTGGTAAACATGGTGAAACCCCATCTCTACTAAAAAAAATACAAAAAAAAAAATAGCCGGCATGGTGGCACACGCCTGTAGTCCCAGCTGCTCAGGAGGCTGAGGCAGGAGAATCACTTAAACTTGGGAGGTGGAGGTTGCAGTGAGCGGAGATCACGCCACTGCACTCCAGCCTGGGTGACAGAGAGAGACTCCATTTCAAAAAAAAAAAAAGAAAAGAAAGAGAAAGAAAGAAAGAAAGAAAAGAAAAGAGAGAAAGAAAGAAAGAGAGAAAGCAAGCAAGCAAGCAAGCAAGCGGCACAATTTAAAAATATATACACCTCCACTATACACCCAACTAGTTGAATTTTATCTCTATCTGCCTGTATGTGTATCAAACTGTTAATAGTGACTGTCACTTCATTTTTTAGTTATGGGTGATTTTTATTCTTAGATAGATCTTTTAATATCCACATTTTCTACATTGAGCATTTATTCCTTAAAGCAGTTAACTTACAAACAAACAAACAAAAAGCCAAAACGAAACAAAATCTTTTTTAAAGGATGAAGTGCTGCCAGGCACGGTGGCTCATGCCTGTAATCCCAGCATTTTGGGAGGCCGAGGCAAGTGGATCACTTGAGGTCAGGAGTTTGAGACCAGCCTGTCCAACATGGTGAAACCCCGTCTCTACTAAAAATAGAAAAAGTAGCCAGATGTCGTGCACATGCCTGTAGTCCCAGCTACTCATGAGGCTGAGGCAGGAGAATTGCTCAAACCAGGGAGGCAGAGGTTGCAGTGAGCCAACGTCGTGCCACTGTACTCCAGCCTGAGAGCCTGCCTCAAAAAAAAAAAAAAAAAAAAAAAAAAAAAAGATGACGTGCAATTCCTTCTGTGCAGATCATCTCCTGCCCTTCCAGAATGGCTGGAACTTAGTCTTCAACTCCTACAAGCACATGTTAAATCACAGAGTACTTGCTTGTGTGTTTATGTCTCTGTGCGTGTAATATTTAATTGAATAATGAGAGAAGGTCCAAATCCAAAGAGGAGGACCAAAGACAGTAGCTTCCAGATTCATTCTTTTTCTTTTTCTTTTTTCTTTTTAATCAAGTTCTCACTGTGCTGCCCGGGCTAGAGTGCAGCAGCATGATCATACCTCACTGCAGCCTTGACCTCCTGAGCTCAAGCGATCCTCCCACCTCAGTCTCCCGAGTAGCTGCAACTACAGATGCATGCCACACTCAGCTAATTTTTAAACTTTTTTGTAGAGACAGGGCTCACTATATTGCCAGGCTGGTATCAAATTCCTGGCCTCAAGTGATCCTCCTGCTTTAGCCTCCCAAAGTGCTGGGATTACAGGTGTGAGCCACCATGCCAGGCCAGATGTTAATGATTCTGTCATTAAGAGTTGATAGAAACATTTGAAGTGAAACTTTTTATTTCTAGAGAATCAGGGCTGAGTTCATCCAAGCATTCTTTCAGAAGAGTGACCTTTCAAGGGTTGAAATAACAGCTCTCACGTAAAGTATGAGAGATTTCAGTTGAGATCAAGGAAGAGAAAATGACTACAATTGAGCACAGTATGCCAAAGTTGACTAAAAGCTGATTACTGTTAAACTGGTCTATAAGTTCAGTTAAAGCTATACTCTCCTTCTAGTTTCACACAAATGACTCTCATTATTTCAGGACTGTGTGTTTAATCAACTTCCACCCAATGCCCCAGATTTGACCCTTTGCCTGTGGATTGCTCTCTTACCAGAGAGGTAATCTGACATTCAAATTTGTCCATATATAACTTCTAGAAGCTGGTTTAAAAGCACTTTCAAAGTATTGTTATACGAGAAGTTAGCAATTTGACTTCCAAAAATAAGTTGTATTTTAATATATTTTTTAAAATATTAATGATCAGGGAAAAGGTAGTGAGAGTACAGCATAGAACATTACATGAACACCATGCTTTTTCTTTTCTGATATCCTTGTCTCCATTGAACTATATCCTGCTAATTCACTGATTTAAATGTGAGTTTATTTATTATTCTCACTGAGGTATGACTAATTTGGAGTCAAATTATATTTATTTTAACGAGCTATCTTTTTTAAAATGCATTTTATGTTGCTGGTGCTCTTGTGTTACACAAATGAAAAATAAAATTTTTATTTTTACATCCGTTAAATACTTTGCAGCAATTAAATGCTTACAGATAGCTGAACAATAAATTCTTCCCACAAGCAGAAAAAAGAAAAAGTGCTTTGCCAGGGAGCATAATAATTAGGTTTCAATTATCTACAAAGAAAAAAAAAAGATAAAAAGAAAGGAAAAGAAAAGAAATTAGGTCAAACTTTCTGACAATCAACTCAGGTTATTGTCCTCTGAGGTTCATTTTGAAATACAGTTTAATTTTCTATGCACATTTATTATAAGAATATTATAAGCTCACAATCTTAGAAAAGTTAAATTGCAATCCCATCACAGAAATATAACCAATATTAACATTTTTTTTTATTGAGATGGGGTCTCACTATGTTGCTTAGGCTGGTTTTGAACTCCTGGGCTCAAGCGATCCTCCCATTTCCACCTCCCAAAGTGCTAGGATTACAGGCATGAGCCACCGTGCCCAACTCATATTAACATTTTGATGTAGCTTCTCACAGAATGTTTTCACTATAGGCACAAACAAAAGATATTATTTGTTTTTACACAAAGGTTTATTCAACAAATGTTTATTGAGTGTCTATTAAGTGCCAGTGTTATTTCTACTGAATGACACCATAGCTACACTGCCAACTCAGCATTCACTATCATTTGAATGTCCTTTCGTGTGAATAAATTTGGATGTGCTATATCATTTTAATGACTGTATAATTACAAGTGATTGTACTCTCCAAAATGACAACAGCAACCTTTCCATTCGCCCCCGCATACTTTCTGAACCTCACCATGCCCCACCAAGAGGTAGAATATATGGCCCCTTACCTTGAACATGGGTGAAGTTTTATGACTGCCTCAGTCCAGCAGAAGTAACACCATGTGATTTCCAAGAGAGATTGTAAAAGGTGATATGACTTCTGCCTAGCCTCCTCTTAGAACATTCACCCTTGGAACCCAGACAGCATGTTGTGAGGGAGCCCAAGCCACATGGAGAAACTGTATATATATGTTCCAGCTGACAGCTCCCACTGAGGTCTCAGGCAACAACCAGCATCAACTGTCAGCCACGCAATGAGCGAGTCTCCAGATGACTGCAGCCTCTAGACTTCGAGCCACAGCAGCTGGTGCCAAATAGGGCAGAGGTGGCTGTACCCACTGAGCCCTTCCAAAAATCACAGACTTGTGAGCAAAATACACATGGCTTGCTTTAAGCCACTAAGTGTCCAGGTGGTTTGTTATGCAGCAGTAGATAAAAGGACTAGCGATAGGCCTTTGAATGACCATACCACAATTTTTGTAACCAATTCCTTAATTTTAGACATTTTTATTGTCACAAAGTGTTTTGATGTTGCTGTTGTTGTTGCCTTTAATACAAACATCACATATATATACGTCTGTGAACACAATAGTGTGTGTAGCATTATTATTATTATTATTATTATTATTATTATTATTATTATTATTATTATTGAGACAGGGTCTGGCTCTGTCACCTAGGCTGAAGTGCAGTGGCACAATCTCAGCTCACTGCAACCTCCACCTCCTGGACTCAAGCCATCCTCCCACCTCAGCCTGCTGAATACAGGCCGCGCCACCACACCCAGTGCATTTTTTTATTTTTATTTTTGGTAGTGACGGGGTTTCACCATGTTGCCTAGGCTGATCTTGAACTCCTGAGCTCAATCGGCTCACCTTAGCCTCTCAAAGTGCTAGGATTGTAGGCGTGAGCCACCGTGCCCAGCCACCTTATTTCCTCAATATTATTTCCCAGAAGTAGAAGTGCAGGCCAAAGGATATGAATATTTTAAGGAACTTTGATGTGAGCTTTTGGCAGTTCAATTTAACGTAGTTTAGTAGTTCACAAATATGTATGACCTAAAAATAGTTAAACCTAAAATGCTATGGCAAAATCAATCACTACAAATTCCATGACTGAAAAGGAAAGATCACTGAGTATAGAAAAAACAAAAAACAAAAAACCCCACAAAACTGGTAATTCTATCATAAAGAAGTTCTGGCTTTTAACTTAAAGATAATACATTCAAACATTTAAATTTTTTAAAGTGATTATGCAAACACGAATTTTGAGGGTGAAAGTCTTACTGAAGTCTGCTTCCATATTTGTCAAATATAATCCCCAGATGGTTCCCAAATACCCTTGGTCACTAATATACCCCTCTTCATGGTAAGATAACTTTATCTGATGAATTTTAACTTCAAGAACGTAAAGATACGTATCTTCAAGCCTAGAAATTTTTCTTGAGCTCTCTGAAGGCTAAATAATTCTACTGCAGTCTGAAGACCTTGCCCTGAGTAGGGTTTTACACTCTGAATCAGTGTTGTCAGATGAGCAGATACAATGGCTTAACTGGTTGTGGAGAATAGGAAGAGCTGAGTTACCATGTGACCATAGCTGATACAATTGTTGCTTTAAAATGTAGATGCAAGTTTTAAGGTAATGCTTTTGCATTAAGTGCTGCAAAGTTTTTAAGTGCCATGGCTATTCTAATTCTTTACTAATTACGTGTGTGTATTACCTGTCACCTTCTCATAAAGAATAGTAATAATAATATCTGAGGTTTGTATAGTAGTTCACAAGGTGCTTTCACATTTGTTTTCATTGTTTCATTTAATCTTCATAACAAAACCAAGGGGTCAGCATTACCTTCATCACTTTGTAGGTGAAGAAAGCAAGTCGAAGAAAGCTAAGTAACGAGGCAGAGACAGCCAGGACTCAACTTAAGATCTTTTAAAGTAGAAACCACGGAAGTCTATCCCATCCTCTTCAGTTTGTCTCTTGACTTATGCTAAAACTCATTACACAGCAATAGGGGTCAACAAACTTTTTGTGGAAAGGGCCAGAGAGTAAACATTTTCAGCTCTGTGGACCAAGCAGTTCAATACTGCAACTACTCAACAGTGCCATTGTTGCACAAACACAGCCATGGACAATACTCAAATGAACGGACATGGCTGTGTACTAATACACCTTTATTTATACCAACAGGCAAAGGATCGATTTGGCCCTCAGACCATAGTTTGCCCACTCCTGACATAAGAGGATGAGTAAACCTACAGGAATCTCACGTCTGTTTCTGCCCTTTTAACCACAATCCTTCCCTTCCCCTATAAGAAACTATCTTTATTAGATTCTTATTGATCCTTCGAGAGTTCCTGTTTTTGCAAATACAAGCCTATGCATATATAGACTTCATCCTCCCACTGCACCTCTCTTATTTCCCTCAGCCCCATGCCCTCTTCAGCACTTTGTTTTCATTGCCTGGGCATCTGTCTATATTAGTACATAGAGATCTGATATTCCATTTTGCCATTGCATAGTACTTCACTATATAGATATGCCACAGATTAGTCAATCTACTGCTGCCCATTTGTGTGGGTTCCTTGTATTGCTTGAAAATATGACATTTCTTGCTTTCTCTGGTGATTGTGTAGAATAGGTGCCTAGAAGTGGGATTGCTGGGAGGAAGGGTCCATGCATCTATAAATTTGTTAGATTGCCAAATCTCTCCCCCAACCCCAGATTGGTGGTGGTATATTATACTCCCAGCAGCAACCTATAAAAGTGCCCATTTCCCCAGAGCCTCATCAATGGTGTATGAGCCAAACCTTTGAATTTAGTCCACTCTGACAGGCAATAAATTATACTTCGGTGTAGTTTTAATTTACATTGATTTTATTGCAAGTGAGAAAGAACACCTTTCCATGCATTTAAAGACTAATTATATGTCTCCTTTTGTTTCATAACCTTTGCCCGTTTTTCTTTTGGGTGGTAGGTTTTTTTCTCTTTTCCAAGTTTAGGCATTCATTAAACATGAAGGAGATGGGCCCTCTGTCCCAGTTCATTATTTCTTTTGACTTGACATATGCTGTTTTATTTTGCCATGGAAAAGGTTTTTAAAATGTTTATGTAGATACATTTATTGATCATAGAGATATATAGGTGTAGCTATAGATACAGACATAAATATCTTCTAGATTTTTTACTCTCTTTGTACTGGACATCTGAGATGAATGTAGGTGAAAAGGATAGAGGTGATGGTGAGAGTCAGAAAGATATTAGAGCTTTTACTCACAAGTAAGTTTGTATCCAAAATTCAAATGGATTATCCAGGTATTATTTTAAATGTTAAGACCGGTGGCAGGTACTGGTACAGAGAACAACTGAGAATAGAGCAAAATGGCCAAGGAAAAGGAGGGAAAGGAAACTATTTTATATCAAGAAAATTATGATGCTAAATGAGTTCTAGTAAGGCTGAAACACATGATATAGACACTTTAAGTATTTTTGTAGTTGCTTACATATAATTTTATGGCAAAATGTCTTAAATTGCGTATAACAAAGATATTAGTATCATTGAGCTAGTGTTCAGTAGTGCTCCTTTTGAAGGTTATTATTCTGCTATCATGTTACAAACTTTTTAGAATATTGAGTTCTGTGCTTTTGTTTGGTTTTGTCTGAATTCTCTGCCTAGTATGTTCATCTCATCCTACTCCCATTACTCCAGCAAAGGGGAATCAGAAAACTGAGGTTAAGAAAGATAGCTAAGTTATAGCATTTGCTATGCACCTCAGACTCATTTTTGCTATTGAGATGGCATTGTCACCAAGCAGAGGCAATTTTTTTTTCTGGAGAGGAGAGGCAGGACAGGGGCCTGGGGTGGGGGGTGCGGCCAGAACTGTGATGTCACAGATTGCATTGTCTCTTGGGAAACTCATCCATCAAACCGTCACCTCTGATTCTATGCAGGGTCACTATGAAAGAGGCAGCCTGCCCCAGTTTGGGTATTCTGAAGTGTTAGTATGTAGTGGAGCTGGTGGTGTGAAGCTGATTCATTTTGTTTCAAAGCCCCAAATGGCATGCTGCCGAACACAGGCACAAGCACAGCAGCGTCTCCTTAGAAATAATGACTCCAAGGCAAACAGCCCTCATTGCAAAATGTAGAAGACTGCCATCTGCTTGTCTCCACTGTGGTTTATTCGTTTCAGGGTTTTAAATGACGTAATAAAAAGGTAAGTCTTCTTTTTAAAAACTGGAGGGGTAAGTGGGAATTCCAGATTGATTATAGCATATCTGGAATATATGTAAGATATTTGCCTTAAGTTAGAAGAGGATTTGAATTTATAAAGTGTGAATATTATTTTCAAATGCAAGTGCAAATCCTGTCCTGGGAAGATAAGGTAAAATCCATATCTTAAAGAAGGTCATGCCTTACAACTTAGCAATTTTATTTGGTATTTTAGAAACATGATTTTTAAAAAAATGAATTTTCATAAAGACAGTAATTTTCCAGATGTTTGATAGTACATATCGATCACTTTTTCATATATGATATTCCACCTTTTCTTGATGTTTGCAATCTGTTTTCAGCTTTTGGATAAGTTAAAAACAAGCAGCTGCTATAAATTGTCAAGGGCTCTTAAAATGAGGTGCCAGATAGATTTGGGAAGCGTCTAGCTGATTTCTACATAACTCGTTTGGAATTACTCTGTTATGGGAGGGAGTATAAAGGGTCATAAGACTCAGATGAAGTTTGAAGCTGAGGTGTCCCCTCTCCCATCCCTGAGGGATAGTGACCAGGGTTTGGAGATATAGGAAGAAGCAAATGCACACCTCCGTGCCTCGCCATGACCTATCGTATTCCAGTCGATGAGGAGTCCAGAGGGCTGGGATCCATGACTCCCTGAGGATTCGCCTGGCAGGAATGAATGCCAGCAAACACCCCCCTTCCACCCCTCCCCTCCTAGCTCCCCAGGAGAGGCGCTTCTGCAGAAGTCATTTGGTGTGTGTGCTGGTTTTCCTTGTGAGAGGATTAGAGAATAGGAGAGTGCTTTGTGAGAAAAATCCTGGGAGAGGTTGCTGGGAAGAAATCAAACAGAGGGAAGGAAGACTTCAGCTTTCAGAGTCCCCTCAGTCAAGTAAGTCTGAGACCCAGTTGCCTGGCCTAGAGCAGCTGAGGGGTTGTTTCCTTTCGTCCACACTAGGAGAAACTGGTAAGGCTCATTTTATTCTCTACTGCTCTGGGATGCTACTGTAATTGCTTTACTGAAGCGCAGGGGTCAGAAGGGAGGGAAGTTGGTTAGTGACTCTGCGGACGTCCTGCATCGTCTCTGTCTGGTGTATGAGGACGGCGCTGTTTCTGGTACAAAGGGCTGGTAGCCACAGAACAATTTTACTTTTCCCAAACTTGATTAGCATCACTTCTGAGCAACTGACTTAAGCAAAACGCATGCCCACGCAAAAACTATACCCCATAGAGGAATGCACTTATCTATCAGATACTCGGATCTTTAAAGCATTTCTATCTCAATTTGATTAGTTTGGGGGGTACAACTTCAGGAGAGTGAGAGAAAAACCCGGTCCTTCTGGAAATTTTTCAATTGTCTGTTTCCTGTGAGAATGTATTTTTGCCATTGTATGTATCACCTGTTTTGTAACAAGAGCCGTTCAGATCCAAGCCACTGTTAAAAATCCAAGTAGTACCTAGCGCAAGTTCAAGACACTGTGAAAGGAGGGGAGAGTGTTCACACTCAAGTGAGGAAAATGGAACTTGAAGAACTTTATATTCTTTGTCTGTATGCAGAGGAGTTCTAATTGGAAAGAAGAAATGAGGAAGCTGCCCTAGAGTCAGAAAGAATAGGTACACGTTTCCTTCAACATTTTCAAAGAATCAGCTCATGCACACAGCCTTCTTGGGCAAATGTTGCTTCTTACTCCCTAATTCCATTCTGTTATTTCTAGAGCTGACTTTCATATTTGTGTGAAGATATATATAGAATACATTATTTATATTACTTATATATTTAAAATGTATATGTATACACACACATATAAATATATCCTTTTATCATATCCTGGCAAACTTGAGCCTGAAGAGTTTAGAAATATATTGATTCAGTCTGAAGCAAATTATCCCTTAAGCAAGCTACAAAAGTCCTTCTGAGAGGCGTGTTTGGAGTTGGGGGCTGTGTGAAGAAGAGAGAAGTGGCAGACAGCTGTTGTTTCTGTGATGGACAAGTCCAGAAGCCTTTCCTCATAGCTGAGAACCAAATTCCTAAAAACTCTGCGCACCCTCCCCCATCCCCAAGACAGGGTGGTAATCTTTGTTGTTGTTTTTGCCCTGAGAAAATTTGAGTGCTGCCTAATTTAGGGGGCTCTCTGCATTTTTTCCTCCTCATTAAAATAAAACTAGAAGCATTGCTAAATGCAAAGTTCTGATGATGGATGTTTTGTTTCTAAACTTAACATATGCCAATACACTTATTATCATTTCAGTTGAATCTGCCCATCATGAAAACACTGATCAAGTAAAATGATTCAACACAAATTATTCAAGTCTGCAACTGTTACTTCAGTTTACTTAATTCTACAGTCTTAAGATGATGTGCTTATTAGAATATTCAAAAATTGAAAATGCATGCCATTTATTTCATTAATAACAACCAGGTTATTTAAACTATAGGTTATAAAATATAGGTTTCAACTACAGGTTATAAACTATTTAAATACAGTTTCTTTGCATGCACATTGATATGAAAACCTGAAAAAATATATGCTTTTTCTTTTAAAATGAAATAATTATTTGCCTGAGATATCCTTTGCCAAAAAATGAAAGTCAATTCCCTTTCAATTTCAGTTTTTTATTCTTTTCTCAACTGAAAATGCTAATTCAACCAAACGATGTTATCTTTGCCTTTAGGAATTGTTTACGGAATGCTGGCAGTCAATTTGGGAGTCCTGAGTGTGAGATAACAGTTAATCAATTTATCTGTGAACTGTGAAGTTTTCAGGTTTTGATCAACATTATTCACTATTCTCCACCCCATGCTCATTCTGGTTATAAAGACTATTTACCTTCATTATTATATTTGAACCTGAGAGCGTCAAGTTTATTAGAATTGATTTTCTTTCCAGGTTGATCTTCTGAAATACTTTGGCCATTTTTCACTACTGCCTTATGAGGTTATCATTAATCTGGCATATATTTATTGAGTGCTTGGGTGTCACTCATATGGCACACGTTTGCTGTTAGAGATGAAAGCTATGTTTTGTGGAGTTTATTGCAGAGGCGACCAAGGCTAGAAGGGAAAGACCAACTCGTGCTGTTCTAACAATTGTTTGCCAGCTCCCGTGGTTCAGTTGCGAATGTGGTTTCAGCAACAACGAAAAACTCTTAATTCTTCTGAATTATTGATACATTAAAATATGTTACTGGCTACTTGGAACCTGTGAGCTGAGTTAATCAATAACCCTCTCACATTGCACAAGACCCACTGTGTGTTATTCTCATCACTGGCCATTTAAATAATTCAAAAGAAAGGTTTCTCGTGAATTAACCTTGCCATTGCACAAATTGGGAAAATACAGAACAAAACATTCCAGCATCCTTAATCTTTAGAGCTTATAAATTACTGTTCCTTCTCATTTTTTTCTTGATGTATTAGTTTTTTCTGTTAGATGACTTTTGTTAAATGTTTTGATATATCATAATAATACACATAATTTGCAATAATGTCAGTAAGAAAAAAGAATCATGGGAAAGAAATGAACATGTCTTGAATCCACCATATACCAGACACTGCCCTGGCCCCTTTACAAGCATGTTATCATTTACTCTTCTCAACAATACTGCAAAATAGGTATTATTGGGCCCATTTTAAAGATGATGGAATGAAGGACCAGAGAATTTAAGAATAAATTCATGCCACACTACTAAGGTAGCAAACCCAAATCTGTTCCCTGCTCCACAAAAGCACTTTTTAGCACACTTCTATATTGCTCTCTTACCAGCCATGTCTTTCTTCCCAGATCTCGTATCAATTGAGAACTCACTATAGCTTACCTTAATGCTTCCAGAGAATCTCCCTTGACAGCTTCTGCCTGTTCCCTATCTTCCTTTATGATCAGAGAGCCAACACATGTAACTATGGATTGGACAGGCACCATATGTATTTACGTGTAAAAATGGCTTTTGAAACATCAAGGTAGAAACATCATATTAGGTTAAAATACAGAATACAGTATTTTAGATTTGCTCAGTTAAGAGAAATTACAGACTTGGTTTAGTTTGGTTTCTGGCCATGCCTGCCCTGGTTTCCACCAGCTATCCAGTAGGGAGCCCCGGTCTGCATGTACGCTGTGACATATTTGTTTGTATAGAGATCTGCTTGTATAAAGATCTAGGTTTCTATACCGACACAGCCTCACTTTCTGCCCCCAGCAGGTGAGCAGAAGACAGGATGGAGTTGTAGAAAAATGCATCCCTTACCCCCATCTGAAGTTACTGGTTGAGGGAAAGAAAATCATAACACATCATTAATAAAAAGAATTCTAAATATATCAGTGCATTAGTCTGGTACTCTCATAGTATAGTCATTCATTTACCGCAACACAATTATTTAGTCAGCACTATCTATCCAATTGCCTTGTGTACTAGTTTCCGATGGCTGCTGTAATAAATTACCACAAATTATTAAAAATTTAAACAACACGGCCAGGCGCAGTGGCTCATACTTGTAATCCCAGCACATTGGGAGGCTGAGGCAGGAAGATCACTTGAGCCTAGGAGTTCAAGACCAGCTTGGGAAGCATAGAGAAACCCCTCCTCTGCAAAAAAAATAAAAAGTTAACTGGGTGTGGTAGCACATGCCTGTGGTCCCAACTACTTGGGAGGCTAAGGAGGGAGGATCCTTTGAGGCCAGGAGTTTGAGGCTGCAATGAGCTATAATCATGCCACTGCACTCCAGCCTGCCCATCTCAAAAAAAAATTAAACAACACAAATTTATTTTATTACATTCCTGGAGGTCTGAAGCACAAAATGGATCTAAAATCAAGGTATCAGCAGGCCTGCATTCCTTCTGAAGGCTCTAGACAAGAATCTGTTCCCTGCTTTTCCAACTTCAAGAGGCTTCTGGCACTCCTTGGCTCATGGCGCTGCATGTTTCTGACTCTGCTTCATTCGTCACATTGCCTTCTCTGACTCTTCTGCCTCCCTCTTTCCACTATAAGGACCTGTGCAATTACACTGGGGCCACCAGGTGACCCCATGGAAATCTTCCCATCTTGCATCCTTAGATCTAACCATATTGAAGGATGTCGAAGGATGTGGTTAAACATCCTTAGCCACATCTGCAAGGTCCCTTTTGCCATGTAACATAACACATACAAAAGTTTGGGAGATTAGAACGTGGACAACTTTGGTGGGGAGCATTGTTCTGACTACCACATCTTCTTTCAATTTTTTTTTTTTTTGAGACAGGATCTCGCTCTGTCACCCAGATTGGAGTGCAGTGGTGCAAACATGGCTCACTGCAGCCTCAACTTCCTGTGGTCAAGTGATCCTCCCACCTCAGCCTCCTGAGTAGCTGGGACTATAGGCATGCACCACCACGCTCAGCTAATTTTTGTATTTTTTGCAGACATGGGGTTTCACCATGTTGCCTAGGCTGGTCTGGAACTCCTGGGCTCAAGCGGTCCACCTGCCACAGCCTCCCAAAGTGCTAGGGTTATAGGTGTGAGCCACCATGCCCAGACACAAATTTCTTTATATTAACTTGATATGTATTTATTCCATGATCTTGTAGGCAGTAGGGAGCCATGGAAATATTTCAAGTGGAGAGGTGAAATGAAAATGATCAGGTTTCCATGTTAGAAAGCTCACTGAGAGAGCCCTATGGAGATGGAGGCCCAACTAGGCTGCCTGTTGGAATGCAGGAGAGAGAGGTCGAGAACATGACTTCTGAGAGAATCTGTAGAGAAAAGGACAAGAAGTTTGAGAAATACTAAGGACAGTGCATTGGCAGGACAGCTGAGAGGAAGAGGTTTGTGACTTGGATATCTCAGGTAGATGATGGGGAGGTAGAGAGGATGGGGGACTCTGAGAAGATGTGTGTATGCTGCACTAGGACCTGGGGATAGAACACCGGCCAGAAACACCTTTTCTCCTAAGAAGCTAAAAGCCCATCTGTGAAGACACCAGTAATAATAATAGGAATAACTCATATTCACTGAGTACTTTAGCTTCTTCCAAGCACACTACATTTAATTTTCATATCAACCCTCTTTGGTAGACACTAGTAACATTATCATCTCAGTTTTCTGATGAAGAAACTGAAGCAAGGAGACCTTACGTGATTTGCCCAACATCATGCAATTTGTAAGGAGAGAGAAGGCAGTTGAAGTCAAGTAGTCTGGTTCCAGAATCCATGGTTTTAATTCTTACACTCTACTGCCTTGCTTAACAAACAATTATAATTTTGTGAGATATTTAGTATGAGAGCTACCTGTACATTTAATGGGGGCGGGAGCAAACCACAGGGTTAGCAATTACTGCTATCAAGATGAACTGTGAATTTTTCTGAGGCACATTCCTGTAGAAGCCTGGCTATCAGTAGGGTGTGATCCATGACAAAATAAAACATTTATATGGAGCATTAGCCTGGAAGCCTGGACATCAGGGCAAAATTGGAGAAAGTTCTTATTTCCCTGCTGTCTAAGAATTTATAACCACACTGAGAAAACCATATTGCAATCATAAAAAATAGATGACCAAAAATTAAATGGTTCCAAGGCCCTCTGGATAAATATGAAGTGAGAGCATAGTTCTTTTCTAAAAGAGAGTGGGAAAGAACAAGGCAATAAGAAGGTCAAGATGATGGGATGCAGAGCCATTGTGTACATTCATTGAATGACTTAATGTGTTATGCACTTGCATTCTCCCATTTCCAACAACACTATAAAATAATGGCAGGGTGAAATTTGAATCCCAAGGTCTCTCACTCTGCTATGTGTGTGTTTAAAGAATGTTGGGACAGAGCTCCCTTTGAATAAAATTTTTAAATGCCTTAGGAATCCTAAAATGATGCTTACATTTTGTAAGATCTTGATACCTTGACGTAGTTGTTCTTCATTATCATTATCATTGACTAGTTGTTGGGTGGAGCTGCCCTGGGCGTGTGAAGATTTCAGTATCACTCAATATAGGTGGGTCTTTAAAAGAAAATCATGCCAAGAAAGATAGATGTAAACTTATTTTTTTTTACATTCTCTTTTATTTTCTTTAATATTCTGTATCTTTGTAGAAGCTATAATATGGAATTATAGACTATTTACTTATGGGCTTTAAAAAGCACTGTGGTAATCATTAGGTAATAAATTTCTTACCAAGAGATATTACTGAAAGGAATGTGGTTTTTATTCTTTTATAGCCAGATCACCAGGAAGATATGAGACCTTGCCATTTAAGTTTGCTTTTTAATTTGTGTAACAGAAAGATTCACATTTAACCTTTTCTACTAGACATGTATTTAACAAACAATTATTTGGTATCTACTATGTGAAAGGGACACATTTTATTCCATTTGTTCCTTGCAATTCTTGTTCGGAAAGACCCTCTTTACAGTGGAAGAAGGAGAATCTCAGAGAATGGCCCAGCTAGACTTGAACTCCTGTCTTCTGTCTCAGCCCAGAAGACTTGCTCCCATGTCCTTTAACCTACTTAGCTAAGACAGATATTCAAAGCCACTGAGGAAGGACTCCATATTTCTTCATTTGGAACAGCAAACTAGGAGAGTTTGGTTATATCCCCATGACCAATGGTAGGTATATCTTGGGGCAATTATCTCTATGCTAAAATCAATATTGCTATTTATCAAGATAATCTACAGCTTGCCTTAAAGATAGAGAGGGGATTTCAAAGTCTATTTGTTGAAAAGATTACTCTCTGGAATTGTAGAATTTGCTTCAAAGTGAGATTTGCAAAAAATATGAGATTTATACCATAGCTGTCTACCCAATCCCTGAAAGATTTCCATTCAAGGTGACATCTGTTCAGGCTTACACACTGCTTACCTATGTGTTGGTGAAACACTTTCTGTGAACCTTCTAAATGTTCTCACAGCACTCTGACTTCACCCAATACTCATGACAAGAAGAGGACAAAGCTAGAATTATTATACCAGAGTATCTGACCCTGGGTTCAATGCTGAGAGTGGGTCACAATTAGTTTTAATAGAAAATAACATATAATTACTGACAGGTGCCTTGGGGCATGGGAAAATAGCATTTAAAATAATGTTTTTAGTGATACATTGCCTACAGGATGACATCATGCAAGCTTAATGGCAATGCTTGAAGGTGAGAACTGACTATGATGTTGAAAGGGAAAGTTTGTTCAGATTTATTCATCCACCATCAGGGAATCAAACGTGTCCTAGATTTCTTTTTTTTTTTTTTTTTTTTTTTTTTATTTTGAGACGGAGTCTCACTCTGTCGCCCAGGCCGGACTGCGGACTGCAGTGGTGCAATCTCGGCTCACTGCAAGCTCCGCTTCCCGGGTTCACGCCATTCTCCTGCCTCAGCCTCCCGAGTAGCTGGGACTACAGGCGCCCGCCACCGCGCCCGGCTAATTTTTTGTATTTTTAGTAGAGACGGGGTTTCACCTTGTTAGCCAGGATGGTCTCGATCTCCTGACCTCATGATCCACCCGCCTCGGCCTCCCAAAGTGCTGGGATTATAGGCGTGAGCCACCGCGCCCGGCCGTGTCCTAGATTTCTAAGACTAACGAAACAAGAAACTAAAATCTACTATTGAAACCTAAATAAATACAGTTATCAATGTGCTGATAAGATCTGCAAAGACTAATAGCATAAGCCCTTAATGAAAAATTATTTTATTCAATGACTTACCAATACAAAGGTTAGATATCCTTACATCAAAGTAATACTGTATTATTCTTCCCTATAGTTCTGTACCACAAGGAAAAATTAGTGCTTTATTTTTGCTAATTCACAAATTTGTTAAAGTGATCAACAAATTTAATTTCCATATACATGTGTAACTTCAAATGTACAGAGGCGTGAAGCTACTGCAAACACAAGCTTGCTCACTAAATTTTATTTGATAATATCTATTGCCTTGCCATATAACAGCAAGAGCAAACATTCTAAAACTTCTAAGTAAAAGGAAATCATCCGTCTTTTTAAATTATGTGAACTTTACCTTATTTGTAAAGTACTGTATAGAACCAAGAAAAGTGTGGGAAATTGGAACATAATTGGAACATAATAGGCATTTAAGCCTTATATTTTCACAACAAAATTGCCTTAAATTAAAATAAAAATGATATGCAAATAGGATTTGTTTATCCAAATGTGGGCAAAAGGGCTGTAAAGATACCAGTATGTATTAGAACGACATGAATAATTTATTTTATAATGTAAAACCTAATAAAGATTTAATGATCACCCATAAGCCTTTAAAATTATGTGAGTAATAGCACTATGGCAAGCAAATACAGGCAGCTATTACAGCTCTACCAAAACTCTGTTTATAACTCTTTGTATGTTACTTTTTGGAAAGGGTGGGTCACAGAATGATGTAATAAATGGTTGCAAAGAAGTTTCTGTCCCAAGATGCGTATTCAGTGAATTCTAGAGCTCAAGCTGCTTTTCTCTAAAACCATGCAATACATGCCTTTGCTTCAGGACTGGACTAACCATTTTCTGATTTATAAATTTAATGATTTCAATATTATGGAGTAACTTCAGTGAAGAAAAATTGTTTTAGGGGCTTACTTTCCTGCAACGATTATTGCCCTATTGCTTTTAATTCCATTTGAATGCATGCTATGGAGTAGTTGAGTTAAATCCATGGCATCTTGGTTATTCTTCACGGATGAGTTCCAGTTCTTTGGGTGATACAACTAAAAGCTCACAAGATGCTGTGTATCGGCACTGAAACAATCAGTCTTTGAGCTTTGGGGAAATTACTCAAGCAGCGAATTAATCATTGCGATTCTGGTCCCCCTTCACAAATGCTAGGTCTCCGAAAAGACTCCCCCCACACACCCCTGTTCCTGGTGCTCTTATTAAAGGTGTAAAATTTCATAAAACTTTAGTAAAACATTATGAATTCTCTTTTTGTGCAATACAGCTGGTATTTCTTCCAGACATATATTTCCATAATTAAACATCCTAAAATACAAATCCCATTATTATTTGTTATGTCTAGTCAGTAATTAGACCTCAGCTGGTAGGGCAATTTCAGAACAGAGTTTACCAATTTACATACTAATCCAGCAGAGTCTGGTGGGACATGATTAGCATAGATTCAGTCAACATCTTAATTAGCCCTAATCCCAGCATGCACTCCGAGGTGCCTTTACCCCACCCCCACTCATGTAGGTCTTGTTTAGCTGACTATTTTCCTTCAACAAATTCCAGCTCTTCCAAACATATTTTCCAGTGCTCTTTTTCACAGAGGAGATGATTACATCTCAAAGTGGTGTGCCAGGGAGGACATTTTGTGTAAAGCCAGGGAAATGTGAGGCATTGGGCCAGGCGAGGGGTGCATACACAAGTCTGAAGCAAAATCAAGGTACCAGAATCTGTTCTTCTAGAATGTTAGAGTATACCCACTTCCCTGTCCCACCCCCAACTCTAGGTAGCAAGATCTGTAAACCATTCCAAACCTGTGAGAATTTTACCTATTTTGTAAGAAGAATATTCCTTATTCCTGTCCATGATCAGGAGCCCATTTCATCATTTACCAGCTTTCATGTCAGGAAATTCCTTATACCTAAATGAAATCCCCCATATTGCATATTTAAGCCCCTGCCTTTCTATCCATCCATAGTGGAAACAGAGAACAGGTGGCCACCTATGAAAAGCTCGTCTTATAGCTGAGGACCGTAATTAAATTATCTCCTTTACCTTCTCTTCTTCAGGTTGGATTTTTCCAGCTCCTCGACTTTCCTCTGAGCTCCCTTTTCTTCACCTCTTTGATCTTTGTGGTTTTCCTCTGAACTCTTTCCAAGTTCCCCACACCCCCTTTAATTGTGCTCAGAACTAGGCCGAGTATCTTTGAAATCATTTGAATGGCCAGATTTCCTCAGGATAAATACCAACACTTGAGTATACCTCCATATCCAATTTACTTCTAGAATCAGTGCCTGCTGTTAGTTAGCTGGCTAGTTTCACTTATTCCTCTTCCATTTTTCAAAAAACTCATTTGGTGTGCTATTGCATAATCTAGAGGGGATTTCTTCTATTTGCTTTTTTTTTTTTTTTTTGCAGTTTATCAAGGGCACTTTGAGTTTCAATTTCAATTTGCAAAGCTATAAACTACCAGTATCTCCTGCTAAGGTTTGAAGTCATTTGCAAATTCAATTTGAGCATTACCAATAAATTATTGCACAATCCTAGGGGAAAGACATCAATAGCGACTGAGAAGATCCCAGGAGATTATCACTTGCTAAGACCTTCATCTCAAGATTCTTCTCTCTGCTTTCCCTGTTCTCTGCCACTCTTTCCCACTTTGACCTTTGTCTTATGACATAGCCTTTCCCTATTTCACTCTTTTTTCTCTCTCTTTTTTTATTTTTACTTATTCTTTCTCTCTCATCGTGTCTTGCGTTTTCACTCAACACTTTCCAGCCATCCCCTGCTTGAGATTGTTCCCCATCCAGAAAATGTGTCTGGTCATAGGGAAGAGACAATGGAATAAGAGAAACATCCCAAACAATTTTCCTTTTTGGCTTTGTACTGACCTAGCTGAAATCAGGTCACGTGTGTCACAGAAAAAAGCAAGTCAAAAGTGCTGACTGATGGATATAATAAACATCAGGGCAAAGAAGTGAAGATGGCTACTTGGCCAGGCGGGGTGGCTCACGCCTATAATCCTGGCACTTTGGGAGGCCGAGGTGGGTGGATCACTTGAGCCCAGGAGTTTGAGACCAGCCCAAGCAATATGGCAAGACCTCGTCTCTACAGAAAATAAGAAAATTAGCTGGGTGTGGTGGCGTGTGCCTGCAGTCCCATCTACTCCGGAGACTGAGGTGGGAGGATTGCTTGAGCCCAGGAGATCAAGGCTGCAGTGAGCTAGGATTGCACCACTACACTCCAGCCTGGGCGACAAAGCAAGAATCTGTCTCAAAAAAAAAAAAAAAAAGTGGCTATTTGAGTCTAGCAGTGACAGGTCAGGAACTGTTTGCAGCCTCGAAGCCTCAAGACCTTTCTGGCCACACAAAAAGAGCTAGTCAGAGTGTTGCGAGGTTCGTGTGTAAAAGAACCAGCCGAATTCACCTCCAGACTCTAGCTTGACTTGTCAGGGGCCAAGCATGTGTTTTGAATTCCAGAAGGTGTCCCAGCTTGCTTTAAAAGTCAGGGTCTGTATCAATCTCTGTCTAGAGGCTTAAGAATCCTTAAGATTATAAAAGGTTTATTCATATGGTTTTGGAGATTTTTTTGAAATAGTTGTACATCTGTGAGCAAGAAGCAAGTGTGAGGGCTTTGACCTAGATGTCTTCATAGCCAAAAATATCTCTTGCTATTAAGAGCTACAAAAACGGTTCAAATATCTCATATTGTTGCACTACTTCAGGGGCTACAGATGGAAGATCAAATGCCAAGGATGATGTTGTGAATCTCTGTTTGACTGGTTGGTTGATTTGGTTTGTTTTTTATTTTTGTATGGCCGCTTGAATTGTGTGTGTGTATTTGATGCAACTTAAAGTTTTAAATTTCCTCACCAATAAATAACTTACATTCTAGATGTTTAATTAATATGCATATCCTTAATCTCCTTGTTTCCCATTCTAATTTCTGATGGCTTTTCTGAAATCATGTGAGGCAAATACACTCTCCCACTTTTCACCTGACCAGACCCAGAAGTGTGTGCAAGAAAGGACTTTGATGGTTAGTTTAGTAACTACCAGGAGCCATCACGGAGGCTTTACCAGCTCAAGTTAAGAAAAGGATTATTAGTGGAAATGAAATATGGTGCAGTCACTTTGGAAATGGTTTGGCAGTTCCTCAAAAAGTTAAACATAAGGTTACCATATGATCCAACGAGTGTACTTTTAGGTATATATCCAAGAGAAATGAAAACATATGTTCACACAACAACATGTATATGAATGTTCATAGCAGCATTATTTACAATAGCCAAAAAGTGGAAACAGCGCAAATGTTTATCAGTGGATGAATGGATAAATAAAACGTAGCATATTGCTGGGCGTGGTGGCTCATGCCTATAATCCTAGCACTTTGGGAGGCCGAGGCAGGTGGATCATTTGAGGTCAGGAGTTTGAGTCCACCCTGGCCAACATGGTGAAACCACCATCTCTACTAAAAATACAAAAAAATAAAAATAGCTGGACATGGTGGTACATGACTGTAATCCTAGCTTCTCAGGAGGCTGAGGCAGGAGAATCGCTTGAACCCGGGAGGTGGAGGTTGTGGTGAGCCGAGATCACACCATTGCACTCCAGCCTGGGCAACAAGAGCCAAACACTGTCTCAAAACAAACAAACAAAGAAACAAACAGATACACACACAAAACAAGCAAACAAACAAAAACCCTCTTTTAACTCCATAGTTAAAACCATAGTTTTGCATTCCTAGCTGTCATGAGTGAAGCTGAGATTTAAAAAAGTAATATAGGACTATCACAAACCAAAGTTACATCTAACATAAATGTCCATTCATATTTCATTTGGCTGTGATTGTGTATTTGTGGCATGTATATGGGTGTGTAGGGAGGATGCGTGTATACTCATACAATGTTAGCATCAACAGGACCATAGGAATCTCCTAATTCAAGCTCAATATTAACACATTCAATATACATAGGTTTGATATTTATAATATATACTGCTGATTGTGCAATAATTCTTCACATTCCCATGGCCTTCTTTAAGAGGCCATCATAGCACACATCTAATTTTATCCTAACATAATTCTACGAGCTTGCTAGAGGGCATTATTATTATTCTACTGAGAAAATGGGCAGCTAATTCCAAAGAGGTCCAGCTTTGGCTCAGTCTTACACGGCATGTGAATGGTGAGGTTGAGGATTAAAACCCAGATTCCACATCCTTGCTCAGAGTACTTCATTCTGGCCCACAATCTCTAAAGCTACAACTGTCTAAATACAAACAAACAAACAAAAAACAAACAAAAAAACAAATGCAGGATATCCATGCATTTCCGTACAACCGGATAGTATTCAGCTCTAAAAAGTATTATTCAGCTGCTGATACATGCTACATCATGCTCAGAGAAAGAAGGCAGTCACAGAGGATCACATATTGTAGGATTCCATTTATGTGAAATGTCCAGAATAGGCAAATTCATAGAGATAGAAAGTCAATTAGTGGTTGCAAGGGGCTAGGGGTGAAGGGTAGGGGGAAAGGGAGTGACTGCTAATGGGCACAGCATTTCTTTTATTGGGGGGATAAAGCTGTTCTAAAATTAGATGTTGATGATGGTTGTAGGACACTGGGAATATACTTTAAAACATTAAATTGTCCACATTAGATGGGTACATTGTGTGGTATGTGAATTGTATCTCAACTAAACTTTAAAAAAAAAGAAAAGAGAAAGGGGTTATGATACAGAGCCGTGTTCCTAGGTCACTCACAAAATGCTTTTAATTGTTACAGTTTAAAAAGAATTAACTAACTCCTATTATCATTTTAATAGAACTCTCCCTCCAACATGCACTGTTTCAGATATTATACAAGACAGTGTAGACAGTGTATTTAGACAGTTGTAGCTTTAGAGATTGTGGGCCAGAATGAAGTACTCTGAGCAAGGATGTGGAATCTGGGTTTTAATCCTCAACCTCACCATTCACATGCCGTGTAAGACTGAGCCAAAGCTGGACCTCTTTGGAATTAGCTGCCCATTTTCTCAGTAGAATAATAATAATGCCCTCTAGCAAGCTCGTAGAATTATGTTAGGATAAAATTAGATGTGTGCTATGATGACCTCTTAAAGAAGGCCATGGGAATGTGAAGAATTATTGCACAATCAGCAGTATATATTATAAATATCGAACCTATGTATATTGAATATGTTAATATTGAGCTTGAATTAGGAGATTCCTATGGTCCTGCCGATCCTAACATTGTATGAGTACACACGCATCCTCCCTACACACCGATATACATGCCACAAATACACAATCACAGCCAAATGAAATATGAATGGACATTTATGTTAGATGTAACTTTGGTTTGTGATAGTCCTATATTACTTTTTTAAATCTCAGCTTCACTCATGACAGCTAGGAATGCAAAACTATGGTTTTAACTATGGAGTTAAAAGAGGGTTTTTGTTTGTTTGCTTGTTTTGTGTGTGTATCTGTTTGTTTCTTTGTTTGTTTGTTTTGAGACAGTGTTTGGCTCTTGTTGCCCAGGCTGGAGTGCAATGGTGTGATCTCGGCTCACCACAACCTCCGCCTCCCCGGTTCAAGAGATTCTCCTGCCTCAGCCTCCTGAGAAGCTAGGATTACAGGCATGCGCCACCATGCCCAGCTAATTTTGTATTTTTAGTAGAGATGGAGTTTCTCCCTGTTGGTCAGGCTGGTCTCAAACTCCTGACCTCAGGTGATCTGCCCACCTCGGCCTCCCAAAGTGCTGGGATTACAGGCGTGAGCCACCACACCGAGCCAAAAGAGTTTTTAAAAAGAGCGAAAAAGGCAAAGGAAATGAGATCCAATTATGCCTCCAGATTTATGAGAATTGTAAATACTGTTTTAATAACTTCTAGAAGAGCGTCTGAAACAGTAAAAGTAAGTAGATTTCTCATTCATAACTGTTTACAAATTCTTTTCTGAACAAGTTGAAAATTCGGGGTAAAGAGATTTTCTTTGAGAAAGTTAACTCATTGTCTAAAATTCCTTTGACTCCAGATGCCAAGACAAATATTGAGAGTAATGTCATATGGTTCTGTAATAGTAATATTCTAAGCTCTACTGAGACAGCATATTCTTCTACAAGTAGAAAAAATATATTTTTATTAGGTATGAAAAATAGATTTTTGATATAACTTTTTTTATTATGAAATAGTTGGAGACACAATGCCGGGTGCGGTGGCTCATGCCTGTAATCCCAGCACTTTGGGAGGCCGAAGTGGGTGGATCACGAGGTCAGGAGATTGAGACCATCCTGGCTAACACGGTGGAAACCCCGTCTCTGCTAAATATACAAAAAATCAGCTGGGTGTGGTGGTGGGTGCCTGTAGTCCCAGCTACTCGGGAGGCTGAGGCAGGAGAATGGTGTGAACCCAGAAGGTAGAGTTTGCAGTGAGCCGAGATCGCACCACTGCACTCCAGCCTGGGCAGCAGAGCGAGACTCCATCTCAAAAAAAAAAAAGAAATAGTTGGAGACACACAAGAGTTTGCAAAACTAATGCAGAGAGTTCCCCCGTACCATTCATGCGGCTTCCCCCAATGAAAACATCTTTCATAACCACAGTAATGTCAAAACCAGGACATTGACTTTGACACAGTATTGTCAAAAATAGATTTTCATATGGCAAAATTTCCCTTAGAAATTGGACTACAAATTATCACATCATTTCAAGTCTCAAGTGTCACAGTTGGATCAAGCTTTTATTATTAAAGGGTATAATTTGATTCTTTGTGTAAACAAGCATTGCCCTAAGTGTTTTTTTAATTACATGCATTGAAACCTGAATAATAGTTCATTTCAGCTTACATTTGTATCTAAAAATACTAATAAGCTCCACTTCAAAATATATAGTACTATTTTTAAAAACTCTGTGTCGCTTTCAAACAACACTTAGATCATTAAATTAGATCCTCATTGTTCCCTCAGAGGTGACAGGCATTATTAAAATGTATTCTGCATATTTTGTTTCTGTAATTATGTCTAATCAGTGTGAATTGATGCTGTGGAAAATAATTAAAAACACATATTTGAGCTATAAGTGGGAAACAAAGGAGAAACTCTCATAGTTGGACTCTAAATGACAAGAACTGATAGAAAGTTGAAATATTAGACAAGACCAGCAGCCCGGAAAAAAAAATGTGTTAATAGGTAGAAAATGCAAAATGTCTATAGAAATATCCTGACCTTAAAACAAAAGAAAGGGCTTTGTCATTGTGTATTCTTTTTCCCCTGCAGAATCGATTCTGAAAGATGTGGAGATCTCATAAACGTCTCCAAAGAACAGTTCACAGCACCCAGGGAGTGAGGCTTTCTGAAAGAAATGCCTTCCCATGCCGTGTAAATGGCATGTGTCAAGGGGGAAAGGCCCCAGCGCTGTGGTGATTGAGCAGGGGCTGCTGTGGGCAGCTTCCTTTGTGTCCTGATCATTTACATGACTTAAACACAACAATGTGCTCCATCGTCAATAACACAAGACGCTTTGCCATAGCAACAGTTTCAGAATGTGGCACAGCCTCAGTGGTGTCCCTGAAACAGAAAAGTTCCCTAAAGAAACACTCCTTATGAATATGTTCAGAGATTTCTTTATCCTACTAGGACTTGTTTCAAATTCCATTGGGTTTAGGTTTTATTTGCACAGCCCATCTTTCCTTTGCTCTGTGAGAACCAGCTTTGGGGAGAAGTTGGGAGAGACACGACTGTGGGGTCAGAGGGTGGGAATACATACATGGCTGTGATAGAAATGGAATTCTTAAGAACATTCTCAGAAAACTGTTAATGCTATCCAGAAAATCATGTAAAATTCAGGAATGCAACATACATCCCAAAGTCATTGTTGGTTTCCTTGAAGGTCTGTAATAAATGGCCCTTTTATTGTTTGTACATTTTGCTTCTTTCCATCACAACATGTGCATGTACTGTGACACACTTTAGACAATCATAAGGACATGAACCCCACACTCAATGGCATTGTCCAAAAGACACAGCACATACGTTATCAAAGCTGTGATTAAACTCCAATACCTCCCTCTAATTTCAAGGTCATTTTCTGGCAAGACACAATTTTCCCGTTAAGAAAGTACCCATCCTCCCCCACCCCCCTTTTTTAAGCAATAGCGCTTTCTACAAGTTTGAATCTAAGAGTTGTTCTAGTGAAACTTTCACCTAAGACAGCATAGAAGAGAAGAAAAACATAAATAATTTTAATGATAAGTGATAACAGTTGAATTATATTTGGCTATGTAACATACAGTGGTGTTTTACCTTTAGGGGATAGTTAGAGCACTTTATAGTTTGTCTGGCTCAGTGAGAAGGAAATTGTTTACCTTGATATGTTTGTGTTTCTGAAAGATGTGCCTTCTGTGGCATATGTGCCATGTTGCCCCCTTTCCTCATCTGTTCCCCTTCGTTGATTTCTGGGAAGTAGCCATCCCTTAACACTGGAGCTGCCTATAGTGATAGATGATACTCTGAATCTGTGCACCTGACTCCATAGTAATCTATAAATTATTGATGAGCTGGTAATAAAAAATCCTAAATGTTCCTGCTTCTCAGGGAGCCACAGACCCCAGGGGTCGCCAAGCAATGAAAGATCAAACTGGACTCACCAGTGAAAACACAATTAATTATTTACACACATCAGCATTTGACATTGGTATCATTTGAATCAAGAGATCCTTTGTTGGCTACATTGCTACATTGATTTGTGCTCCAAAGACTGTAAGTTTGGATGCACCCTTGTTCAGGCAAAGGGAGATGAGTAGATACTGAGTGATGAAAGGTGAGCACTGAGTGTCAAATTTTATGCACATGTTAATATAAAGAAATTGATGTCATATATTATAGTGATATTTTAAGGAGTTTTGAAAACACAAAGATTGTGTGTGGGTGCAAAGTGAAAAGGAAAGGGGATAGAGAAGCAATTATAATTATCTTATCTCAGTCCAGTAAAGCCAAATTAATTTAACCAGAGCTGGGGAGAAGTCTCAAGAGAAACACCTTCTGAATAAGACCCCACTGGAGAAACTTAAGCAACACCAGTGAGGAGTAGCTCCCTCTCATGTCTCTTGGTTGCTCTGCTGTCCTCTAAAATGATTTCCTGAGGGCAGCAGGGCTGGTGAGTTTCATTGCAGAAACTTCGAGTCCTCTATCATAGGCATTTTATGGGTTAAATTGTGCGAGTAAAACACGTCCTCCTGAGTTGGAGTGCCTCTAATATTTAGCCTACTCAAAAGGCTGAGCAGGTTCAGTTCTTTCTGTGAACCTGGGGAAGAGAAATAAAAATCTTTATTTTTGTATGTTCTGTAATTTTCAAGGCTTTTTTTTTTTTTTTTTTTTTTTTTTTTTTTTTTTTACAGTTGAAGGACTGCCATTTTAATGCTGTGGATTTTGTGGGCCGCTGCTCAACAATGGGGAAATTTCATTAAGCTGAGCCAAAGCTAATTTTGAAGCAGTTCTGAGACATTCCCTATTAAGTAGAGAAAGGATTTGATTCCTTATCCTTCCTTTCATGCTTGAGGGATCTCAGAACCCTTGACAAAGCAATGACTGCAATACTGACTGAAAGTAAAGGAAGCCCTATTCAAATGGTTAGCATTGCCTCCCAGATGCCAAAATTCCCAATTTTTTAAGAAAGTTCATCATTCAGAACTATTAAGAATTTTTCCACTCTTTGGTAGAAGAATAATAGGTCATAGATTTATAGAGAGGTCTTTCTTCAATCAGTTCAGACGCCTCAATTGCTCACTGTCTCAAAAGATGGAGTGTAAACATGTGTAATATTTAATTTCTATGTACAAGCAAAGACTCATAATTTTCTGGACCACACAGAATCTCTGTAAAAGTTTTGGATCTAATCTCTGCTTCTGTACTAATTCCAAAAAAGTCAATGAAGTCTGAAGGCATTTGGCAATAGAACTAACCAATTTAAACTCTGTGCTTTAGCCTACAACCCAAAAGTCAATGTTTCATAAATATTTGAACATAGCTATTGGAAGTCCCGCTGGTTATCTTTTAAGTTGTACTTTGCTTTTGGACGAAGAACCATATCAGAGTATCATTCTCCCATAAAAATCTGTAAAATAATGTTTAAATAGTCACACATTACAAAAAAATTAAATTCCACAAGTTTATTGCCCTGTGGATATTGGGCAAAGTGACTGATGCCCACACCCATGGATTAATCAGGTTATAACCAAAAATTTCCCTTATATTCATCCTTGGTTCACATACTCTACTATCAGGAAGGTCACCCAAGACTAAGATAGAGGGCAAATGGGGCCTGGTAGCAACACTGATTTTGCTCACCATCTAAGTGGCTGGTTCTGATCATCATCATATTATTGTGCTGTTTTTCCTTTTAAATTGTTACCATCTCCATAGATCCAGCTCCTGTCCTATAGAGTATTCAGTTACTGGGTGGATTATTATCTTGGTTTGGGTTCTCTTGGATGCAGACCTTGAGACAAAATTTCAAGGGCATGTAATTTATTTGGGGGAGAGAGACAAGGAAGAGAGGAAAACCAATAAAGAATAGGTTATCAGGTAAGTTACCACTGTGGGCACTGAAGCTTAATCTTATTGGGGAACTCTGAGATCCAGTGGAAAACATACTCCTCAGAGATATCCTATCTGAGGGACAAGGGAGCGGGGGTATTAATACACCAATTCTGGCCAGTCACTGCATGAGGACTGCACAGTGGTAGAAGTGGGAGACATTAATTCTCCAGCACTTCTGGGCTGCCATATGCAAGCAAAGCTGGCTCCAGCACCAGAGAAAACTCTCTGGTAAAAAAATTGTAGAGACTGGCAGTTGGATGTCAGGCTACTGGGCATAGAAATGGAAAGGCCTAAGGGAATATGAGCAGAGAATTGACCTATCTGGTTGATATTGAGAATCAATTTCATTGTCTACAACCCCAAAGGCAATAAACAGACTCCACGGGTGCCTGCAAGAGCCTTGTCAATATTCTTCCACGAGGAAGAGAATAGTTTTCCCATGGCTTGTTTTTTTTTTTAAAAAAAATCACCATCTACTTCTACTGTATGTGATTTGTCATCTGAATATGAGAGCTTAAAGAGATTCACTTACCTTCCCAGACCCAGCTCTAACCCAGACAGAGGATAAACTGGAAGAGTAATCGTATGGGAATCTCAATCTAACGAAACAGAATAGGCCAGAAAGGGTTCAGATCTAGGCTGGAAACTGACTGTTGGCATTTGGCAGGTGGATAGCTCTCCTATTTGCAGGAGGGAGTGAAGTCTGCACAGACAAGTGAAGAGGGATGACAGTAGGTCCAGCAATTAGTGACAGATGGAGAGTCACATTG
Organism: Homo sapiens; assembly: GCF_000001405.40. NCBI lineage: Eukaryota > Metazoa > Chordata > Mammalia > Primates > Hominidae > Homo > Homo sapiens. The sequence goes on along the minus strand of NC_000023.11, from coordinate 10,656,453 downwards.
TCAAGCTGTTGGCATTGAAAAGAGCCAACAGGAAGTGGCAGTACAGACCCTTGGCAAAAGGCCATAGGAAGGGGGCCAACCTGACAGGTGTGGGCATTGAAGAGGAGGGAGGAGAAGGTTCTTTTGTAGTTTGTTTATCCACAAACGGTAGTGTCTTTATCCTGGACAAAGCACAGGTGGATAATGTCAACATTGAGATTGGAAGGAGAAGCTTGGAATTCAGGGGCATAGTTCAAGTCACAGAATAACTAAATTAATGAACAGGGCACCAAGTCAATGACACAAGCACAAGAAGCTCTATGATTTTAGTTAGAACTTCTTTTGATTGCAAATGGCAAAAAATTGTTTTACTTTAAGAAAAAATATAAAGTGTGTGTAGTGTGTGCATGTGTGTGTGTAGAGTGTATCAGTTATCCAGCGCTGCATAACAAACCATCATAAAATTTAGTGGCTTAAAACAATAATCTTTAGCTATGATTCTGTGGGTCAGCAATTAGCTGGATTCAGCTGGGCAATTCTTCTGCTTGGCTCACTTGGGGTCACTCATGTGTCTGCAGTCAGCTGGCAGGTGATGAGAGGGCTGGTGGATCTAGAAAACACCAGCTGAGATGCTTCTACATGATCTACATGATCAATCGCTGCTCCACCTCATCTCTCATCCTCCAGGTGGCCAGTCTGGCCCACTTTATATATTAATGAAAGGTTCCCAGCGGCCAGCGAGCACAAGCCCCAAACCACAAACACTTTTTAGCCTCTGCTTGCTTCGTGTTTGCTAATGTCCCATTGACCAATAAGAGTCATGTGGCCACACCCAGATTCAAAGAGTGGGTAGATTTCACTTGTTGACATAATTTGTGACCAATTCATGTGATCTACTATCAGAGGGCATTTGAAGCTGCACAGAAACAGGAATACAATGGTAGAATGACCTGTCTGCTTCTTCCTGTTTCTATTCTTTCTCTCTACCAACTTCAGTCTCATGGGTGAGCTGTCTTCATAAGGCAGGAGGTCCGGGTCACTTTTAGCTCTTGGGATCACATCCTCACTGCATCATAACCTGAGAGGAAAGTACTCTCTTCTGTCAGGCCCAATTTAGAAAATCCTGCAACTAAAGCTTATTGGCCTGGCTTGCATACTGGGGGATGATACTGGTGGCTCATATTCAACCCAGATGATGGGAGAGGAAGGGGGAAGAACTGTTCCTCCCATGTTTTCTTTGCCTTTCTCTGGCTTAATTCTTGTGTTTCCTAGATTCCATTTTTTCTCTTTCTTGGTTTTCTCTTTCATTTTTTTCTGGAACACATACTGGAAAATGTTACATGGAAGGCAACTTTTTTGAGGTCTTGCATATCCATTCTTCCGCTGTCCAACTTGAAGGAAAATTTGATTTATTTCCCCATAGGGCTTATCCTCTAAGATATTATGTAATTTCCTTGTTCGTTGTGTTTCTTGTCTATCGTTTTTATATCCTGCTATGCAAGCACATCAAAGGCAGAGTTTTTTGTCAGTTTATTTCACTGGTGTGTCTCAAGCATCTAGACCAGTGTATACAGCAGGCACTCAATCAATATTTGTGGAATTACTGAATGAATCAGGCTGAGTTTTCTGTAGCACATGCTCCTAATGTCACCCTTTGTCCCTCCAGTCCCCACTGCACTGTGGGTTTTTGAGGGTTTTGTGCATTTTCACATCTCCAGTGCCTTGCCCACTCTGGCATGTGTGGGAGTCCCATAAATCAGGGGCCCCCAAGTCCCCAGGCCATGGACTAGTACCGGTCCCAGTCTGTGGCTTGTTAGGAACCAGGCTACACAGTAGGAGATGAGTGGCCAGTGAGTGAGCATTATCGCCTGAGCTCTCTCTCTTGTCAGATCAGCGGCGGCATTAGACTCTCATAGGAGCGCAAACCTTATTGTGAACCGTGCATGCGAGGGATCTAGGTTGCCCACTCCTTATGGTAATCTAACGCTTGATGATCTGAAGTGGAACAGTTTCATCCTGAGACCACCTTCCTCCCACCCATCCCGGATTCATGGAAAAATTGTCTTCCATGAAACCGGTCCCTGGCGCCAAAAGGGTTGGGGCATCACTGCCATAAATTGTTCTTGAATGAATAACTGAATTACCAGGGAAAGCAAAACTAGCTAATGCTATTTGGAGGGAAAGTTCTTCTCAGGACAGAAGTGTTTTCTGTAATATTTAAATTATATTCTCGAGGTAGAGGAAGTACATGAATAAACTTATAGAATAAGACCAAATTTATTTTGCTTGCTGCTATATTTATATATAACTATAACTATATTAGTATCTCTATATCTAGATGCCCTAGTTAAAGATTCAGTTGACCCAGCTGGAATTCCGTCTTTGCCAGGACTATCTCTGCTGTGAAAAATCTTCTCTTTTCAAATCCTGTGTATAAAGCAAGCTGCCTATAAATATTTGTTGTCTGAATAAACATAGAAATGATGCATACATCTTTCTAATGTTTCACAGAGGGGTTTAGTTAACTGAAGCTAAAGAACAGTTCTATTAAAATCTTGGTAGAATTTTCTGTTATTCAAGTAGAATGCTTGGCAGGGACAAATTATACAATGTAATCTTTTGGCAATTTTCTTTTGCATTCCTGTGAAGCACAGCCTTTAAAGGTATTGCTGGGAAGAGTTTTGTTTTCCAAAAGTGATGATAGATTTCGGCAAAAGGCCATAAAACTTATCAATGTTTTTTAACCTCCATCAACAAAATAATTAAATTTTGTTATGTTTTCAAATTTGAGGGGATTTTTATTTTTCATATTTCAACTCTTTGAGTTTTCATTAGAAAAGCAATGTTTTCCTTGTTTTAAGAAATACAGGTTTTTATTTCTACCTTTTTGACCAATGATGTATAGGAAAGTTTAAGGAGGCACAGACCTCATCCCCAATTATTAAGAGCAGATGTTTTCTGAGAAATGTGCTGTGGATGATTTTAGCATTAACAACACCCAGTGTGGACAATATTGTCTTGGAGAGAACTTTGGTTACCGCACCAGAGTTTATTTCTAAGTCGAGAGGCAGAAATACAAGACAAGACATGGGAATTGCTGAACTGGTTTTGCCCAAGTTAACTTAGAGTCTCAACTAGTTCATGCCTTAATGAAGCTACATTTTACTCATTAATCTACACATTTGAAGGGTAACACATAAAGCTAGGAAAGCAGCTAATACTTTGAAATACAAATTTAGGAACCAGGGGATGATCTGTCTCTGCAAAGAGCATAGGAAGCTACGGGGAAGTGTATGAAGCTGGGGGAAGCAGGAAGCTGGGGACAGTAAAGCATCTGTGCCTTCTTCAGCCAATCTTTATTGAGCACCAGCAGCACATCTAGTGCTATTCTGGATGCTGAGGCCACAAAAGTCAATTAAATGAGTCCCTGCCCTTGTTCAGTTTATATTCTAATGGAGGGAGATGGACAATAAACCAATCACTGTCAGCTAGTGAGGGGTGCTGCAAATACAAATAAAGCAGGATATACAGGAACCAAGGCCCTCCACAAAGGAGAGGAGCAAGGAGGTTACCCTTTCGTGTAAGGTGTCTAGGAAGGCCTTTTGGGAGAGGTTAAGAATTGAGCAGACACCTGAAGAAACTAAGAGTGCAAATCATGCTGATATCCTGGAGGCAAGAACTATGGGCAGAAAGAACAGCAAGTGCAAAGGCCTGAGATGGGAGCCTGTGGCGTCTGTGAAGAACTGACGGGGCCTCAGAGTGGTGAGGGCAGCGGGAGTCAGGGGCAACTGGGAGAGGACTAGGTCACAGCAAGGACAGCCTCTTAGAGCTTTGGGAGCATTGCGTGGACTTTGTCTTTTACTCTTGTGAAATGGGAGCCAACGAAGAGTCTTGAGCAGAAGAGTTCAAAAGAATGACAGCTTTGAAATAGGCTGGGAAGGAGTGCAGGGGAATGCAAGGTAGGAGCAAGCACCCAGAAGAGGCTCCAGCAGTAATGCAATCAAAAGATGAAGCAGAAGGACAGGAAGAGAGGCCATCAGATTCTGGGTGTGTTTTCAAGGTGAAGTCAACAGGATTTTCTTATAAGATTGGATGCTGGATTTGAGAGACAGAAAAAACAACAACAACAAAAAACCATGGATAACTACAAAGATTCTGATCTGAGCATCTGGTGGTCCTTATGGTTGGCTCTTAAATGCCCTCTCTTTTAGGTATGGGCACATCTGTTTACAGGGCCAGAGATGGGACAGACACGAGCTGAAGTATTATAATTCAGCTAGTGATGGTATTCAAATTCAACAAAATGAAATGAAGAAAATATCAAGACTTCCAGTAATAAACTAAGTGCAAAAAGGAAGAAAATGTAGCTTAGCAGCCAAATTAGCTAAATCATTTAGAAGGAGTAAGTTCAATATGAATTAACAGAACCTAATATGGTAATTTGTAGTAATAAATTTACAATATCTCAAGCTGGGGTCACTATTGGAGTATCTCATTCAGTTTTCATTCAAACTGTAAAGCAATTGGAGCTTAGGAAAACAAAAAATGACCTGGCACAGTGGCTCACACCTGTAATCCGAGCACATTGGGAGGCAGAAGTGGGAGGATGACTTGAGCCCAGGAGAGCAAGACTAACCTGGGCAACATGGTGGGACCCCGCCTTTACTGAAAAAAAATTTTAATTAGCTGGATGTGGTGGCATGTGCCTATAGCCCCAGCTACTCAGGAGGCTGAGATGGGAGGATCACTTGAACCCAGAAGGTGGAGGCTGCAGTGAGCCATTATCGTGCCAATGCACTCCAGCCTGGACAACAGAGCGAGACCCTGTCTCAAAAAACAAACAAACAAATCATGAGGGGATGTGAAAACTGATGATATGAGAACAAGTTGACTAATTGGATGAATAGCCCAGAAGCAAGTAGACGTAGAGGCATAATGACTGTCTTCAAATATCTGTGGGGCTGTCATATGAAAGCAGAATTAAACTTGGTCAATGTGACCCAAAGTTAAGCTGGGTTCTATAGGTAGAAACTACTGCAAGAAACACCTTAGCTCAATGGAAGGACAGTTTTCCATAACAGACACTGCTAGTACTCTCCAACATCTGTGAACTCATCTCCATCTTGGTTACCCTGATAGTCTATATATTTTAACCCCTTGCTATCTAAGTGGGGCCATGTGCCTATGTCAGTCAAGCCAATAAAGTATGGGTGAGCTTAGTATATGCTACTTCCAGTCCTGACCTCTAAAGCCCCCTCTGAGCTCTTCCACATATTCTCTGTTCCCCTGCTGCTAGTCAGATGCAGAGGGTCCTGGGGAGGACTCTGAGGTCCTGTAAGATGGTAGGTGAAAGAAGCCAAGATCTGCGAAAAGAGCCAGCTGAGCAGAACTGCCTGGTGCATTGTGATATGAACATTAAATAAACCTTTATTGTGTCAAGCCATGTAGATGTGGGGGATCTTTTCTTGTGCAGCTAGATTCACTTACCCTGACTAACACATCTACTAACTTTTAGAGCTGTCCAGCTATAAGGGGATTGCAAGGGAGAGAATGAGTTTTCTGTCCCTGGATGTGTTCAAGAACCCCCACTTAGACATGAAACTCTCAAGGTTGTAGGGGCAAAGGGAAAGCTTTCCCTTCGCCCTTGGAAGGTTTGTTGAAAAATCAACTCACAAAAAGGGAGATTAAGAGAAAAGCCATATAAAGGTATTACTACCGTGGGCAGGGGGACAATCACAGACTGAATGCCCAATATCCCAACAGGGTACAGATGCTTATACACCCTGCTTCTTAGGAGAGCGGGAGATGGGGAAGTGTGGATGATTTTAGGGATTAGTAAATTATTTTTAGGGAGATTCAATGGGCTTGAAGAACATACAATGGTCTGGAACAAAGTTTGTTGGGCCTGCAGAGCAGACAATGGTTTGTGACAAAATCTGTCCAGGTTTGTTAATAGACTTCAGCCTTCCTTCCTGCAATAATGAAAACTCAGGGGAGGGACCAGAGGTAATTGTTTTCTTCTTTGTTAGGTCCGGACTTTAGGCTGAAACTTTAGAGAACAACTTCAGCCTGTGCTTTGGGAGAGATAGAGGATTCAGAGATGGGAGGGGCAAGTTGCGGGGAGGGAGAAGTAATTGTTCTTCTTGGTGGGTCTGTCCAATCCTTATGTAGATGGCGGGGAGCTCTCTTCTTTTATCTGTTGATTTCTAAAGGCCTTTAATTCGAAATACTCATTATACCAGGGAGCCATATTTTGGGGAAGTTCCTTGTGCTCCAAGGTTAAAATCAAGCTAGAGATAAGTGACCTGACCAAATAATTCGAACAGTACTTTTCAAAACTTTCCACTGAGGTTCCCTTATCAACAGAGAGATGTGGCTTTTTATCCCCAAGTGACAGGAGTTATATGTCTCCTGTGAATTTTCTTTGAACTCTTTTGTTTTCATAATCTTATCTTAAATATGAATGCAGTTTCTGTGTTCTTATCTACAACCTATCAGTTTATTTTCATATACTTTTTAAAGTTATAAAGTACATACTATTACTGAACAAGACTTTTTCTTTTAAATATTACAGTCAGATTGACACGTTAAGTGTTCAAAAATTAATATTTTCAAAGTTAAGCTATGCCAAAATCAATAAATTCATATGTGAGCACTGTTTTAAGTGAAATATAAGATCAGAATTCAAATGAACACATACATTATTTTTCAACAAACTAAAGTTTGAAGATCATTCCCCATGCCAAATCAACAGTATTCCACATTGCACGGTTCATATTAAAAATTATAATGGTAGCTAGGGTCCTTTGAAAAACGCTAGAGACTTCTTTATCTTCTAGGTTTCTTTTATAGAAATGATTTTCATTGCTTATTTTCTTACTTAGATGGATACAAATTGCAATTCTGTTATTGTGCCTGCTTACAAAAAGAAGAGGTTGCTATAAACATGATATGATTCACAAAACGAAAACCATGCTGACGTTAGTGGGCACACACATTTTGCTTGCTCACATGTTGTAATGTGATCCAACTAGAAGGAGAGGTAGATTTCTCCTTCAGCATATTCTCACATCTTCCCTTCAACCAGCCCCGCCAGATGGAATGGAAATGCAGAGATTGTGTTAAAAGCTGCAGAAGATAAGATGTCTAGGCTGTACTTGAAAAAGGGGAAAAAGATGTAGGTGCCTCCAGACATCATTTTCTTAATGGGCTTTCTCTTTAGTAGATGTTTAGGCATGTATAATACCCACTTACATGCACCTACTTAGAGGGGCCTCATTTGTACTGCTAGGAGTAGCTGCTTTGCTTCTATGGAGAAAATTTGCCTATAGATTTTTGTAAACTTTATCTGATATTTTAAAGCCATTTCCCCATACTTATTTTAATATAGGTTTTGAGCTAGCTTTCCTAATTATTAATTTATATTTCCTTTTTAAAGGGAAAGCAAGAAGCATGTGTGAAAAAGCATGAACAAAGTTGTGAACTTAAGGAAATCTTCAATATTTTAATAAAATAAAACTACTCAATGTCTATATAGTGGCCAATATGAAGGCTTGATCTCCTGCTTGTAGTGGTTAGACCTTCATATTCAAACGTAATAGTAACATGACACCAGGAAAGAAGGCAGAGGATCATGTGCAACAGTAATAAAAACCAGGCCACATGTGGCTTTCATCACTTTTTCCCACAGCTCAGATCTCAGTCACATGATCACAGCCTAACAACACGGGAAGCTGGGAAATAATGGTCTTCCCGTGTGCCCAGGAAGAAAAACAAAATGTAACAGGAGTTACTGGACATATAACATTGTCTCTGCCACACTTTCTAATGCAAAATAAAATAGTCAAATAATGAATCCTTACTATGGACTTACGATCTCAATGAGGTAGATATATCTTAGATTCTATTTAGCAAATGAAGAAAAGGAAGATCACATATGTTAAGGAGTTTTTCTCTCCTGGCATCACTCATCTTCTTCTTTTATTGGTCTGAAATAAATTTGCTTTCTCACAATATTGTTTGGCCTGTGAATGCGTTAAAAAATATTTCAAAGTATCATAATGCAGAGTTTTGGATTGCATGTTTTAGTTAGTTGATTATAGTGGCTTTAAAAACACAGATTTCCTTAAAACACACACACACGCACACAGAGAGAGACACACAAATTCAAACACAGTTCCACAGTTGACTACTTCTTTGGCATAATGATGTCATCAAGAATCCTGGTGTGTCTCTGTTTTCCACTCTGCCATCCTCAGCAAGACTTATCCAAGTTCACAGTCACTGGGGCATTGTAACAACACCATAGCTACGAAAATACATACTAAAATATACAGATAGAGGAAAGCTTCGTGGAAATCTTTCTTACTGTTGGTGTTCATGTGTACATATATGAAATCTGTGAAAACTGGATTTATGGCAGTGGAATCTCATATTTTTCTGCCAGAGGTGATGGTTTTAAAAAGTCAGAACTGGAACAGTTGGAGCCTGTGGCTGGAGATTATTGAGGAATTTTGTGTATTCCTTTTTCATAAAGATGGTAGTCATACAGTGATGTGTATAAGATGAAAGCAAAATTTAATTTTGATACCTGGAGGAAATGCCTAAAATGAGAAATGAAAAATTCTTATTCTGGGTAATTTGTGGTAGTTCTGCTCTTCTTTTACCTACGTATATGATGATTCTGACGCTCAGAGATTTCACCCTAAACCACACTTGAATGGCGATGACTGCATTTTCCATGCTTTCCCACACAAAGGGCTGGTATTGTTCTGAGTTGGCTCACTACATGCTAGGGACACGTGGAATCAGGTACATCTCAACCCACTACTAACCCCCAAATAGATAACTTACTTATTTGTGGCACTGTGAGCAGAATATGCCCTTTATTCTTCCATTTTCAAAATATCATGTTATTTTTTCAGGGTTTTTTATTTTTAATTTTTAGCACTCTTTAATATTAACCCTTCTAGAGTCTAATTCTCCATTTGAAGTTAGAGTTGAAAGGCACACAATACTCTTAATAGTTTTCCAGCAGTGATGTTGACCCTTCTCAACCTCATATGTTTCATTTTGTGGGAGTAGTATTGGGGAAAGATCAAATCACAACTAGAAATAAAAAGCAATTCCCCTTCTATAGAATGGGATGCTAAATAAATAAACTAATAAAAATGTCAAAATATAGATGTGGTGGTGGTAACAATGCTGGATCGGGAGCTGGAAGACATAGATCTGATTTCCTGGCTCTGCCTCCCCCATCACTTAAATATAGGTGAACACTGAACTGTTTTCTCTATCAAAGAGTAAAGGTTCCTGTTACACCTACCTCCTGGATGGTTGTGTAGCTTGAGAGGTGTGGGTGAGATGGAGCAATGCCATATATACCCTAATTCACCATAAAAAGATTTGGTCATTTGTATATCTTATGCCACAAGTACTGTATCAGGATCATAGTGAGAGAAGCAGCCTTGAGTGTTTACCTATTACATCCTCCAATTAAGATATTGTTAAAATCAAGCAAAAAAGACAGCCTTCTTTTCGTTTCTCTGATATAATTAGAAAAATTCCTGTTTCACACCTTCTTTTTCTGCAAAATGGCCTGTGGAAAAATGGTTAGGTCAAAAAATAAATTAGGTAAATGCTGTTTTCTCAGCCTCCCTCTCAAAGAATCACAATATATGTTACTATTTTCAAGGCTCAGAGAAAATTTGCCATTTATTTTATAAAAGATTACTTAACTTATTTTCCAAACCTAATTGACAAAGAATACTCTTTTTCCCCCTAACCATTATTAATGTCCCTTGGCTGTGTTCTAAAGGGAGAAATGGCACACTTCCCTCATTTTGGGCAACATGCAAAAATGTGCTTCTCAGACATTTTTCTCCTGAACTTTAAAACTTCTGTATTGAGCAGAAATGGAGGCGAAAATTTCCTTCCCCTATGGTTTTCCTTAACATCAGGGGGTGGAAAGAGAGAAGAACAGTTTTGGGGTCTTTCTCATTAGCCTATTTCTGTTTAAATTACTCTCTGTTATACCTCCTTTCCACTTATATTAGGTTGCTGTGTGATATAGCCAAATATACCCTGGGACTATACCAGAGTCTTATACCCGGTGGCCTCTTGAAGTCAGGCAAAAAGCTGGAAGTAATTTTCAGTTATCCTGGCCACTCAGCTTCTTCCCAGTCTGTTCTTATTACAAGGACCACTGGGCAGAATTGAACTCTGCCAGCAAGCAATTGCACACCCATCAACATTTAAAGCGGGAAAGGATGAAGATGTCTGATATGGAGTAGGTGCTTGTCTTAGCCTGTGTCTGCCCACAGCAGATCTTGAAGCAAGGCTTCCTTAGAGGAAGTTTGTATGGGAGGTGGTCTCAGGGAGTGGCAGTGTGGTTCGGGGAGTGGTGGCGAGGAGAGTAAAACACAGCTGTAAAGCCCAGACAAGGGCATTACCAACTTGGCTTCTCCTATGGACAACTGAGGTTCATCCCAGGGAGTGTTCTGAGGAGCTTATCAAATCTGTCTCAGAACTCCCCTGTTCTGAGGGAAAAGAGGCTCCTGTGGCCCATCCATCTTGGGTGGCCCCATGAAAGTCAACTCCCTGTACATCTGGGTTGCCAATCCAGGAGAGTTGAGGGATGGGTTTCCTTTGCCCTGTCAGAAAAGCCTCAAGGTAGGAATCAAGAGGTCCTTGGTACAACCAGGGGCAAGACACTGTCAGACTGCACCCAAGGGAAACTGGTTAAAGCCAACATAGAAACTGTCACCACAGCAGTGGCTGGAGGAAGAGTTGGCAACTAGAAGCCTTGATGTGGTACTTAAGAGGTGTCCAATAGGGTGCTTAGTAAACCCTAGTGGTTTATCTGCACAAAGCCCAGCCCCTCACTACTGTTAAATCAAGTTTAGCCTAAAGCTGCCTCCTTACATATTTTAAGCTCGACCTAAAGGTTTCTCTGTATATCATGAACTATCACCTAAATGGAGTTGTAAAGAGACTGTAGTCTACTCTTGCACCAACCACTAAGTTTTGGCCAATCAAAGGTGACCAACTGTTCAAACCATGTTCAAATAAGACAAAACTGAGCTGTGACCAATTCAGCTGTTTCTGTAAGTCATTTCCGTTTTCTGTATGTCACTTTCCTTTTTCTGTCCATAAATCTTACCATGTGGCTGCACTGGAGTCTCTGAGCTTCAGGAGGCTACCTGATTTGAGAATCATCCTTTGCTCCATTAAACTCTTAAATTTAATTCAGCTAAAGTTTTTCTTTTAACACTACCCACCTCAGGACTTGGAGACCCTGAGAAGTTACATAGGTTGCCCCAGGACACAAAGCATGCTGGTGACAGAGAAAATTGAAGAGAGCCCTCCTGACCCCCTGTTCACTTGGACTTTCAGCCATGTTGCACTGCCCCGGCTCAACTAACTGTACTTACCACTATGGTAGAAAAGCTTGAGAACAAAGTGCCATGCTGTCGCACCTACAACATTTAGGAAGAAGTTCAAAAGATGTCTGACTTCAATCACGGCAATGACAAAGCAGCAAATGCAAGAAAGAACAGGATCAATAAAAGTCCCAGTGGAATTAAAAAGAAGACAAGAGAGGTTTAAAAGGAAACTGGGCTTTGGATACATACTCTTTCTGCTTGTAATCTGTGCTTCTTACACTTTCTGAGTTTGAAAAGGAGTAATGTTTTTGTGTCACACTTGGAAATTTTGCCACATGACTGTCATCATGGGAACTTTGGACCCTGTTCTGGAGCTAAGAATAGCTGAGATACTAATTAGGTTGCTTGAAAAGTGCTAAAGAACTGATCAAGTCCAGAGAATTCACAATGGAACTTCATGGCCAGACCGAGGTCTGTTCTAACTAGGATTCTTGTGTTGCCATCAGCACATCAACTGCCCCTTGCTTTTTCATATGAAAAACTAATACCTGTAATGATCTCAAAATTCAAATATTTGAGTATCAGAATATTTATTCTGATACTCAAACATATGAATAATGAAAAAGAAATGTCGTGGTGGGAACCAATAAAGACAGGGTTTGGAGGGGCCGAAGATCCTAGGGACGGATAAAATAGGGAGATGGCTGAGAGGAAGGAGGAATGAAGGTCTCCTACTGAAATTTAAGCACCACACTTCTGGACTTGTTTTCTTATGAATTGGTTCTTTTTTTTAATGAGAGCAGGTAATAATATTCCTTTATCAATGCATTTAAAGGGCACAATTTAATTTAGTTTCTGTAGTTAAGGTGTGTAGTTAAGTGCCTGGTACATAACAAACAACAGTGATTAATAACCTACTGTTTTTTTATTATTTTTATTATACTTTAAGTTCTAGGGTACATGTGCACAACGTGCAGGTTTGTTACATATGTATACACGTGCCAGGTTGGTGTGCTGCACCCATTAACTCATTATTTACATAAGGTATATCTCCTAATGCTATCCCTCCTCCCTCCCCCAACCCCACAACAGGCCCCGGTGTGTGATGTTCCCCACCCTGTGTCCAAGTGTTCTCATTGTTCAATTCCCACCTATGAGTGAGAACATATGGTGTTTGGTTTTCTGTCCTTGTGATAGTTTGCTCAGAATGATGGTTTCCAGCTTCATCCTTGTCCCTACAAAGGACATGAACTCATCATTTTTTATGGCTGCATAGTATTCCATGGTGTATATGTGCCACATTTTCTTAATCCAGTCTATCATTGTTGGACATTTGGGTTGGTTCCAAGTCTTTGCTATTGTGAATAGTGCCACAATAAACATACATGTGCATGTGTCTTTATAGCAGCATGATTTATAGTCCTTTGGGTATATACCCAGTAATGGGATGGCTGGGTCAAATGGTATTTCTAGTTCTAGATCCCTGAGGAATCGCTACACTGACTTCCACAATGGTTGAACTAGTTGACAGTCCCACCAACCGTTCCTATTTCTCCACATGCTCTCCAGCACCTGTTGTTTCCTGACTTTTTAATGATCGCCATTGTAACTGGTGTGAGATGGTATCTCATTGTGGTTTTGATTTGCATTTCTCTGATGGCCAGTGATGATGAGCATTTTTTCACGTGTCTGTTGGCTGCATAAATGTCTTCTTTTGAGAAGTGTCTGTTCATATCCTTTGCCCACTTTTTGATGGGGCTGTTTGATTTTTTCTTGTAAATTTGTTTAAGTTCTTTGTAGATTCTGGATATTAGCCCTTTGTCAGATGGGTAGATTGTAAAAATTTTCTCCCATTCTGTAGGTTGCCTGTTCACTCTGATGGTAGTTTCTTTTGCTGTGCAGAAGCTCTTTAGTTTAATTAGATCCCATTTGTCATTTTTGGCTTTTGTTGCCATTGCTTTTGGTGTTTTAGACATGAAGTCCCTGCCCATGCCTACGTTCTGAATGGTATTGCCTAGGTTTTCTTCTAGGGTTTTTATGGTTTTAGGTCTTACATTTAAGTCTTTAATCCATCTTGAATTAATTTTTGTATAAGATGTAAGGAAGGTATCCAGTTTCAGCTTTCTACATATGGCTAGCCAGTTTTCCCAACACCATTTATTAAATGGGGAATCTTTTCCCCATTTCTTGTTTTTGTCAGGTTTGTCAAAGATCAGATGGTTGTAGATGTGTGGTATTATTTCTGAGGGCTCTGTTCTGTTCCATTGGTCTATATCTCTGTTTTGGTACCAGTATCATGCTGTTTTGGTTACTGTAAACTTGTAGTATAGTTTGAAGTCAGGTAGCGTGATGCCTCCAGCTTTGTTCTTTTGGCTTAGGATTGTCTTAGCAATGTGGGCTCATTTTTGGTTCCATATGAACTTTAAAGTAGTTTTTTCCAATTCTGTGAAGAAAGTCATTGATAGCTTGATGGGGATGGCATTGAATCTATAAATTACCTTGGGTAGTACGGCCATTTTCACAATATTGATTCTTCCTATCCATGAGCATGGAATGTTCTTCCATTTGTTTGTGTCCTCTTTTATTTCGTTGAGCAGTGGTTTGTAGTTCTCCTTGAAGAGGTCCTTCACATCCCTTGTAAGTTGGATTCCTAGGTATTTTATTCTCTTTGAAGCAATTGTGAATGGGAGTTCACTCATGATTTGGCTCTCTGTCTGTTATTGCTGTGTAGGAATGCTTGTGATTTTTGCACATTGATTTTTTATCCTGAGACTTTGCTGAAGTTGCTTATCAGCTTAAGGAGATTTTGGGCTGAGACGATGGGATTTTCTAAATATACAGTCATGTCATCTGCAAAGAGGGACAATTTGACTTCCTCTTTTCCTAATTGAATACCCTTTATTTCTTTCTCCTGCCTGATTGCCCTGGCCAGAACTTCCAACACTGTGTTGAATAGGAGTGGTGAGAGAGGGCATCCCTGTCTTGTGCCAGTTTTCAAAGGGAATGCGTCCAGTTTTTGCCCATTCAGTATGATATTGGCTGTAAGTTTGTCATAAATAGCTCTTACTATTTTGAGATACATTCCATCAATACCTAGTTTATTGAGAGTTTTTAGCATGAAGTGTTGTTGAATTTTGTCGAAGGCCTTTTCTGCATCTATTGAGATAATCATGTGGTTTTTGTCTTTGGTTCTGTTTATATGATGGATTACGTTTACTGATTTGTGTATGTTGAACCAGCCTTGCATCCCAGGGATGAAGCCAACTTGATCGCGGTGGATAAACGTTTTGATGTGCTGCTGGATTTGGTTTGCCAGTATTTTATTGAGGATTTTTGCATCAATGTTCATCAGGGATATTGGTCTAAAATTCTCTTTTTTTGTTGTGTCTCTGCCAGGCTTTGGTATCAGGATGATGTTGGCCTTATAAAATGAACTAGGGAGGATTCCTTCTTTTTCTATTGATTGGAATAGTTTCAGAAGGAATGGTACTAGCTCCTCTTTGTACCTCTGGTAGAATTTGACTGTGAATCTGTCTGGTCCTTGACTTTTTTGGTTGGTAGGCTACTTATTGCCTCAATTTCAGAACCTGTCATTGGTCTATTCAGGGATTCAACTTCTTCCTGGTTTAGTCTTGGGAGGATGTATGTGTCCAGGAATTTGTCCATTTCTTCTAGATTTTCTAGTTTATTTGTGTAGAGGTGTTTATAGTATTCTCTGATGGTTGTTTGTATTTCTGTGGGATCGGTGGTGATATCCCCTTTATCATTTTTTATTGTGTCTATTTGATTCTTCTCTCTTTTCTTCTTTATTAATCTTGCTAGCAGTCTATCAATTTTGTTGATCTTTTCAAAAAACCAGCTCCTGGATTCATTGATTTTTTGAAGAGTTTTTTTGTGTCTCTATCTTAGTTCTTCAGTTCTGCTCTGATCTTAGTTATTTCTTGCCTTCTGCTAGCTTTTGAATGTGTTTGCTCTTGCTTCTCTAGTTCTTTTAATTGTGATGTTGGGGTGTCAATTTTAGATCTTTCCTGCTTTCTCTTGTGGGCATTTAGTGCTATAAATTTCCCTCTACACACTGCTTAAATGTGTCCCAGAGATTCTGGTATGTTGTGTCTTTGTTCTCATTGGTTTCAAAGAACATCTTTATTTCTGCCTTCATTTCGTTATGTACCCAGTAGTCATTCAGGAGCAGGTTGTTCAGTTTCCATGCAGTTGAGTGGTTTTGAGTGAGTTTCTTAATCCTGAGTTCTAGTTTGATTGCACTGTGGTCTGAGAGACAGTTTGTTATAATTTCTGTTCTTTTACATTTGCTGAGGAGTGCTTTACTTCCAACTATGTGGTCAATTTTGGAATAAGTGTGGTGTGGTGCTGAGAAGAATGTATATTCTGTTGATTTGGGGTGGAGAGTTCTGTAGATGTCTATTAGGTCCGCTTGGTGCAGAGCTGAGTTCAATTCCTGGATATCCTTGTTAACTTTCTGTCTTGTTGATTTGTCTAATGTTGACAGTGGGGTGTTAACGTCTCCCATTATTATTGTGTGGGAGTCTAAGTCTCTTTGTAGGTCTCTAAGGACTTGCTTTATGAATCTGGGTGCTCCTGTATTGGGTGCATATATATTTAGGACAGTTAGCTCTGCTTGTTGAATTGATCCCTTTACCATTATGTAATGGCCTTCTTTGTCCCTTTTGATGTTTGTTGGTTTAAAGTCTGTTTTATCAGAGACTAGGATTGCAACCCCTGCTTTTTTTGCCCCCCATTTGCTTGGTAGGTCTTCTTCCATCCCTTTATTTTGAGCCTATGTGTGTCTCTGCACATGAGATGGGTCTCCTGAATACAGCACACTGATGGGTCTTGACTCTTTATCCAATTTGCCAGTCTGTGTCTTTTAATTGGAGCATTTAGCTCATTTACATTTAAAGTTAATATTGTTATGTGTGAATTTGATCCTGTCATAATGATATTAGCTGGTTATTTTGCTCGTTAGTTGATGCAGTTTCTTCCTAGCACTGATGGTCTTTACAATTTGGCATGTTTTTGCTGTGGCTGGTACCTGTTGTTCCTCTCCATGTTTAGTGCTTCCTTCAGGAGCTCTTGTAAGGCAGGCCTGGTGGTGACAAAATCTCTCAGCATTTGCTTGTCTGTAAAGGATTTTATTTCTCCTTCACTTATGAAGCTTAGTTTGGCTGGATATGAAATTCTGGGTTGAAAATTCTTTTCTTCAAGAATGTTGAATATTGGCCCTCACTCCCTTCTGGCTTGTAGAGTTTCTGCCGACAGATCAGCTGTTAGTCTGATGGGCTTCCCTTTGTGGGTAACCCGACCTTTCTCTCTGGCTGCCCTTAACATTTTTTTCCTTCATTTCGACCATGGTGAATCTGACAATTATGTGTCTTGGAATTGCTCTTCTCAAGGAGTATCTTTGTGGCATTCTCTGTATTTCCTGAATTTGAATGTTGGCCTGCCTCACTAGGTTGGGGAGGTTCTCCTGGATAATATCCTGAAGAGTGTTTTCCAACTTGGTTCCATTCTCCCCGTCACTTTCAGGCACACCAATCCGACGTAGATTTGGTCTTTTCACATAGTGCCATAATTCTTGGAGGCTTTGTTCATTTCTTTTTACTCTTTTTTCTCTAAAGTTCTCTTTTCGCTTCATTTCACTCATTTGATCTTCAATCACTGATACCCTTTCTTCCACTTGATCAAATTGGCTACTGAAGCTTGTGCGTGCATCACGTAGTTCTCATGCCATGGTTTTCAGCTCAGTCAGGTCATTTAAGGACTTCTCTACACTGTTTATTCTAGTTAGCCATTCATCTCATCTTTTTGCAAGGTTTTTAGCTTCTTTGTGATGGGTTCAAACATCCTCCTTTAGCTCGGAGAAGTTTGTTATTACTGATCACCTGAAGCCTTCTTCTCTCAACTCGTCAAAGTCATTCTCTGTCCAGCTTTGTTCCATTGCTGGCAAGGACCTGCGTTCCTTTGGAGGAGAAGACGTGTGCTGGTTTTTAGAATTTTCAGCTTTTCTGCTCTGGTTTCTCCCCATCTTTGTGGTTTTATCTACCTTTGGTCTTTGATGATGGTGATGTACAGATGGGGTTTTGGTGTGAATGTCCTTTCTCTTTGTTAGTTTTCCTTCTAACAGTCATGACTCTCAGCTGCAGGTCTGCTGGAGTTTGCTGGAGGTCCACTCCAGGCCCTGTTTGCCTGGGTATCACCAGCAGAGGCTGCAGAACAGCAAATGTTGCAGAACAGCAAATTTTGCTATCTGATCCTTCCTCTGGAAGCTTCATCTCAGAGGGGCACCCAGCTGTATGAGGTGTCAGTTGGCCCTTACTGGGATGTGTCTCCCAGTTAGGCTACTTGGGGGTCAGGGACCCACTTGAGGAGGCAGTCTGTCTGTTCTCAGATCTCAAACTCCATGCTGGGAGAAGCACTACTCTCTTCAAAGCTGTCAGACAGGGACATTTAAGTCTGCAGAAGTTTCTGCTGCCTTTTGTTCAGCTATGCCCTGACCCCAGAGGTGGAGTCTACAGAGGCAGGCAGGCCTCCTTGAGCTGCAGTGGGCTCCACCCAGTTTGAGCTTCCTGGCAGCTTTGTTCACCTTCTCAAGCCTCAGCAATGGCGGACGCCCCTCCCTCCACCTCGCTGCCACCTTGCAGTTCGATCTCAGATTGCTGTGCTAGCAGTGAGCCAGGCTCTGTGGGTGTGGGACCCTCCGAGCCATGCGCAGGATATAATCTCCTGGTGTGCCGTTTGCTAAGGCCATTGGAAAAGCACAGTATTAGGGTGGGAGTGTCCCGATTTTCCAGTTGCTGTCTGTCACGGCTTCCCTTTTCTAGGAAAGGGAATTCCCCAACCCCTTGTGCTTCCCAGGTGAGGCAACGCCCTGCCCTGCTCTGTGGGCTGCACCCACTGTCTGACAAGCCCCAATGAGATGAACCTGGTACCTCAGTTGGAATATGCTGGGAGCTGCAGACTGGAGCTGTTCCTATTCAGCCATCTTGGATGACAAGGCCAATATCCTACTGTTATTAAACTTTTCTTCTGCCAGAGAACTTTGTCCATCTTTTCCCACTTCCCGAGTGTATTTGCCGACATTACTCTCTGTACTTTTTTTAAAAAAGAAACTCTTGATTTTGGAACATTTTAAGATTTACAGAAAGTTGCAAAGGTAGTACAGAGAGTTCCTGCATGCCTTTCCCCCAGCCTCCCCTGTTATGAACATCTTACCTAATGGTGGCACATTTGTCCAGACTAAGAAGTTCATCTGTACATTACTATTAATTCCTTGTACTTCCAAATAGCTGCTGTCTCTTTTTCAGGCATTAATTAGGAGCCCAGATAATTCTAATGTTGATATTTGATTGAACCAGGATACTTCCTTGTGAATAAGAAGTGGGCTCTATAAATTCAACATTGTACACACAAGTTATCATAGGTCTTTCTTTCTTTCTTTTTTTTTTTTTTAGATGGAGTCTTGCTCTGTCACCCAGGCTGGAGTACAGTGGTGCAATCTCGGCTCACTCCAACCTCTGCCTCCTGGGTTCAAGCGATTGTCCTGCCTCAGCTTCCTGAGTAGCTGGGATTACAGGCGTGCACCACCATGCCTGGCTAATTTTTGTATTTTTAGTAGAGATGGAGTTTCACCATGTTGGTCAGGCTGGTCTTGAACTCCTGATACCATAGATCTTTTGTAGGGTCCATGTGGTCCTAACAAAATTCCATCACCTCTGGCAGGCCCAGAGAACTGCTGGTTAATTACTAAAAAAAAAAATACATAAAGCAGACTCCTATTGAAACCAATTTAAAATATGTGTTTGAGTATTCACAAACTTACCCTCACTGTGTTTGAAACCTTCAAGTTTTTTTTGGTGAACACAGAATATCTGTTTTTGAACAAAACATTCTAACCTGATGTGTAAATGTGATATGCTCATAGAAAGGGAGCTGAAGATTGCAGCACTCTTTTGGACATGATATTTGATACAAGTTAGATTATAAGACTCAAGATTTTGAAAAGGGCCCCTTGGAAACTTCCCAGATGAGATGGTTCAATGGGGAACATACCAGATGGAATGTATAGGCCTCTGTCCTAAACAGATGTTGTACAGCTGGGAAAGCTGTGACAAGAAAATGCACCCCAAATGCTTCTGATGGACAGATCTCTGTGCACACATGCACACACACACACACACACACACACAGCGTTTTAAGAATCAAAATATTCAGATTGCTTAAAAATTAGAATTTCAGGTGTCAGTCACCAGTGGTGTATATATATATATATATATATATATATATATATCCCCATTGTTGGAATGGCCCAGTTTGTCAGCATCAAATCCATAGTCCATCTGTGATTGCCCTTGAAACTGATGAATTCACTTCAATTCCAACCTAATCAATTCTGAACTAGTGCCTTGAAGTCATTTAAATAGTAACTTCCTTTGCACAAAATCTTAAGACCGTGGAGAGTGGAGGTCAAGAGAACACTAGTAAGGTGGCCTCTGACTTCTTGAGCTTTTGACATTCAGCCACCAGAGGCTGCTCTGAGACCATTATCCTCTTTTCACTCCGGGTCCAAATCCCAACGGTGAAACCTGTAAGGACTGATTTTGTTTCCATTGCTTTGAATTTTCCTTCCTCAATGCAGTTCCCTGGAGGTCTGCTGTTTGGAGAAGATGATTAATTATAGTTAAAGAGGAACAGCTGAAAGAAGAAAAAAACTACAGATTACTGTTTTGCCCTCCTCTCTATTTTTAAACTCTTAATCTTGTTCTGTTTCTTTTAAATAAAAGAAAATTGGTCAGGGTGGAAAGAGAAAGTGCTTTCTTACTGGCACTGGCTAATTTTTCTTCATTTTTCCCCTCTGTGTTGCTGGATTTTCAAAGAACATTTCTGAAGGGTTTTAAATCTTTATTCCACAATACTTACTTCCACATGGTTTCTATTCTTCCAGATTTTGCCAGCATTTTATAGTTGCTTTCATGCTGTTCCCTCTGTTTTATGTTTTTAAATCTTTGCCTTTCTCCTTTCTCTCTATCTAACAAAGCAAATCCAAAATTAAATGGAATATCTATAGTTAGGTAAGAAGGATTAAAAATGGTTTTGTTGCCTCTAACATATTTTGTAGTCTGGGACAACTAAGCACTGATTTAAATTGTTAACTGAAGAATGAAACCAGTTTCTTCATGTGACATTGCTTTCAATCTTCACGAGTGAAGACATGACTGTGACAGACAATGACCAGCCTGTCAAAAATAAGTGTTTTTATGTTATTGTTACATACACCACCCTAATTATTATACTTCCATATTTATGAAAGTAAGTTACTATGTAAAGAACTTAAGTTCTAAAGCCATGGCAAATACTAAATTAATAGTTTTGCAGCAGACAAAGTAATCAATGTGTAAATGACCTGGAGAATTTCAGCATGACAATTCTTTCATTCTAGACTTATTCTTTTTTTTTCTTAGTAAAATTCCATGTCTGATTGGAAAAGGTATAATTTAAATGTATGCATTCTTATAGAAGGCATATAGAAAACATGCTCATTTTCTACAGATTACAGAAAAATCAATTGAGTTGCAAGGAAAATGAATACTTATTTTATTAATTTCTATTTGCAGTAAAAGATGGAAATGTAAAGATTTCCTTTTGCTCTGAAAAGGAATTCTTGAGATACCATGAAACATTCCTAAGTGGTATCATATTCATAGAGTGGAACTATCATTAGAAGCATTTGAAATGTTTGGTATTTCACCTCAAGTGTAATCATAATGGTAAAGATTCTTAATATTGGTGACTAAAGTAGGATACATGTGGGTTTATATTTTCAGGTAGAATACTGGCAGCTACAGTATGTCAACTGGAGCATATTTCACCAAATGCCTTGACAAAGATGGAATGACAATGAAATTGCTAGATCTCTTCTCTGGGGCAGGTTATGCTTTTCAACTTGCCCCTACTAAGGAGAGTACCAGAAGCCATTTGCCCATGAGTAATACCTTATTAAACCATCATGATTTAATGTGGCATATTTTTCTCTCAATTTGCATGCCTGACAGTCGACTTCCTGAATATCACATTCGAGCTGAGCCACAGAAGAAAAATAGACCCACTGAAGTAGCATTAGGTCAGCTTCGCGGGATGCATTAGCAACCTGTCTGAACAAAGACGGGGGACTCAGGCGCAGAAAATCATAACGTGGCCCCAGGCCCTGGGAGGTGGCCCCATTGCCTTGCAAATGTATCGCATGACTCATTATTAAACACACCAAGAACAGACGAATTCCAGGCGAGTGAAGCATCCACTGATTCAATTGCAGTTAGGTGGGTTGTACGATATTCGTCTTACTTGCTTTTCCTTAAAGAACACCCACACCATCTCTTACGCTCTTGAACACGGCACGTCAAATGCATGAAGCAAGTGTATTAAGATAAAAATTGCTAGCATTAAATACAGGCACTTAAATTAGTATAACCCTCTGGCCAGATATAGTGCACTAAATTGCACAGGCTTTAAAATGCCAGCACTCAATTTAAAAAAAAAAAAATGTATCCATAGCAACCTCTTTGTTAAGGGAATAGTTACCAGGAAGGATACACATCTTTCCAGAGAATCAGAGATAAAACCATATTAGTTAACTGGATGATATTACTTGGATTTAAATTTAACTAGAGGCATGGTTCAGGAGAAGGGGCTTTTTAAAAACTTTACAACTTATATGCTTATTTCCAGTAAAATGTGTTTTCATATCTTTCTTATTACCAAAAGATTCTTACATATGGGACTTTTATTAAAATACCATGGAATAACTTTGGGTTTCAGATATTTAGAAATAAATATCAACCATCCTGTTCTTCCTGCCCACAGCATGCCTATCATTTTTTTTCTTAGCATTTTCTTTTAGCATACACATAGGTATTATTCTGCAATTTTTGCTCTATATGCATCTTTGATGGTCCTTTCATGGATATTTGTTACCAGAAAGGGCACAGGGTCTTGTAATAACCCACAATCCTTCTATTGTGAGGTCATCTGACTTAAGTCATCCTGTTTCCAAGAGACTTTCTCTCTGTCTAATGGAGTGGCCTTTCGTGCAGTTATGTCATGTGATGTGGGCTGTAGGGGAGGGGGAAATGGGGGATGACTAACAGTGAGGTGAAGAGCCTGCAAATAACAATGTCTCACATTTCTTAGGCAACGAGTATTGGGGAGGAAATCTTTTCATCTACCTTCTTCTGTTCAATCCCTGGGGGCCTGCAAACTAAACTAACAAAAGATAGATTAACAGGAGAAAAGGCACACAATTTTAATCAATATTTACATGTACAAGGCTGTGTTTGGAAGCTCTAGCCTGTAATTCCAGCACTTTGGGAGGCCAAGGCGGGAGGATTGCCTGAGCCCAGGAGTTTGAGACCAGCCTGAGCAGCATAGGGAGACCCTGCCTCTACAAAAAAAATTTAAAAATTAGCCAGGCATGGTGGTGTGCACCTGTAGTCTCAGCTACTCTGGAGGCTGAGGTAGGAGGATTGCTTGGGCCTGGGAGGTTGATTGAGGCTGCAGTGAGCCATAATCACATCACTGCACTCTAGCCTGGGCAACAGAGAGAGACCTTGTCTCAAAAAAAGAAAAAAAAGTACATACACAAGAGTTCACACAAAAGGAGCAAAACACAAAGAAGCAGCTAGACTCAGGGGCTTTTAACATACCCTTTTAACAAAGGAAAGAGGGTTTGGGCTTCAAGGGATAATAAATTATGGGAAAATGACTAGGAAATATATAGGGGAACTAATGAACAATAAGGACTAAGGTCTATTTATACAAACTCTTCTTGGTATCAACTCCCCATCTTCTATGATAAAAGTCATTCTTCTCTCTCTGGTACAGGGGGCACCTTCTTCAAAGGGAAATGTATGTTCTGCTTTTAGGCAGATAGAGGGAGGGCAGAGAACTCTTCCGACAGCTGTTGATTTTCATTTGACTTTAGCTCAAAATAATTATTATGCCAAAGAGGCATATTTGGGGTTGGCATATTCTGATCCCCTTCAGGAGGTAAACACATCAAGCTTGGAGCTTAAATTAGTCAATGTCAGTCAGAGCCAGCTTCTTGGGCATACAACCTGTGCAGTTACATGAGGTCCCACACTTGGTCTAATGGTAGACTGAATGGGCATGGCTGCATTCCAATAAAACTTTATCTATGGGCACTGAAATTTTAATTTCACATACTTTTCATATGTCATGAAATATAATTCTTTTGATTCTTTCAACTATTTGAAAATGTTAAAAAAAAAATTCTTAACTCATGGACCATACAAAAACAGGTGGTGGGCAGGCTTGGGCTGGAGTACCTGAGTTTGCCAACCCCTGATATACAGAAGCATTTCCAAAACCAACAGCATCGGCCCTACCTGGGAACTTGTCAGAAATGCAAATTTCTAGGCCCCACCCCAGACTGCTGAATCAGAAACTCTGGGGTGGGGCCCTGTAACCTGTGTTTTAACAAGCCCTCTAGGGGATTCTGATGCCCACTCCAATTTGAGAACCACTGATCTAGACCTGTGGTTCTCAACCTTGGCTACTCATCAAAATTCCCTAAGGTAGCTTTTAAAAACTCTGCTCCAAGGCCCAGCCCAGGTCAATTAAATCAGACTTTCTGGGGGTGGGACTCAGGCACCCGTATCTTTTAAATCTCTTCCAGGTGATTTCAATGGGCAGCCAAAGCAACTAATGGTTCCATTGTACAAATAAGGGAACTGTAGCTCAGAGAGTTTAAGTGACTTGCCCAAGATACACAACAAGAAGAAACAGGTACAGCACAGCTCATTTACGTTTGTTTTTTTAGACATATGAGGGTTAGAATAGTACATTTGGTAATGGAATGTATTTGCTAGAAGCTTCAGGGGTCAGGTTACCTTTTATTTAGCACCAATTAATTTAACACATCTGAAAACATGCCCTAAATAAAATGAAAACTAGCTTTGGAAACTCATTAGGCCAGACAATGCAAGCGTAATTGAAAGAAATAAGGTGCAGACGCTCAGCAAGGTCCCATCTGAAAGCACTTTGGGGCTGAAGGGTGAGCTCCATGATTCAAAGGAAAGACAAATATGGAGAGCTAATGTCAGACATTGTTGCCTGCCCTGGAGCTACTTAGAAGTGTGTCTGAACAATTGCTTCCTGTTCGGTATCTGGGACATAGGTAAATATGTTACAGTCCTAAATGACATTAATGACAGAAAAAAAGTCTCCATGCTTGTGATGGATTTTATGACTCTTAAGGATTCCTGTGCCTTGGGCATTTTTAAGGCGAACTTTCAAATGATAAATATTTTGTTCTGATTTTCTCAGCAAAGACTTCATCATATCAAGGAAGGAAGAATATGGGCTACGTACCCAAAATAGAGCTGGAGAAAGCAATGCACGATGGAAACTGAGTCATGCAATGATTACAAGTGGAGTCATATAAACATACAACTGACTCTTTGACGTTTTTGTTTTATGAGTTACCTGATCATAATACAAGCTACTATTTTTGAGTATTTACTATGTGCTGTGTTCTCCTCATAGTTCTATGGTTAAGGGCATGTTTTCAGGAACTGGTCAGCCTGAGTGCACAAACTAGTATCTATGGCCTCCTAGCTGTGTGACTTTGGCAAGTTACTTTGCCTCTCTGTGCCTCAGTTTTCTCCTCTGGAAAATGGGGATAATATTAGTACCTTTTCTCATAGGGTGAAGGAAGATTAAATGTGCTCACAACAGTGTCTGGCTTCTAATAAGCATTCAATAAATGTTAAATAATATTATTTTTAAACAAATCACCTCAATTCTCACAATAACTTTGAGGGATATTAAGCAGATGGGCCAACTTATCACAACTATTAAGTGACAGGATTGATATTTGGACTAAGGCTGTTTCCAGCATCAGTGCTGCCAGCCACAGTGCTATACTGCATTGATTGGGAATAATAAATTAAGTATTTATGTTCAATTTTTTCCATGTATAGTATAAACTTTTGGGCATGATCCAAATATCCCTGGACCTTCTTGTTATCTGGATGATTTTACAAAGCCTCCAGACTGCCCCTCCCACAGGACACTGAAGCAAGGTTGTGGTCCCTCCTATCAACTGCTCCTCCTGCAGTTGTCCCCATCTCAGTAAATAGTGACTTCATTCTCCCAGCTGTCCCAGGAAACAACCTGGAAACCTCGTTTCTGCTCTTTATCTGACACATACAGTCCATCAGCAAGCCACACTCATTGTACTATCAAAATCTATCCAGGAACTCCCCAAGTCACCCCACTTCCAGTGCCACCCCCGTCCCAATCCACCATCATCTCTTAACATCTCCTGCCTTGCAGGCTGCTCTCTGTCTAGCAGTCAGACTGAGCTCTATAATATCAATTGGATATTGTTACTCCTGAGCTCTGAAACCTTCCCATCTCACTCCAAGGAAAACCCAAGATCCTTCTAGTGATCTACTAGACCCTACAGGATCTGCAAACACTGCCTCACCAACACCCACCCACAACCACTGCCCCCGCCCCCCGCACACATACACCCTCAGACACATTCCTGAGACTTCAGCTCCTACTACTGTAGTGCTTCCTCCCTCTGCTCCAACCTACATAGGCTTCCTGCGTTGGTTGAGTTCACCCTGGCCTCACAGCTTCTGCAATCACTGTTTCCTCTGCCCGGGTAACTCTGCCCCCATCCATCACTGTAGTTGAAAGTCTTGCTTCCTCACTTCCTTAGGACTTTGCTAAAATATCACCCTATAAAATATAGAAACTCCTCATCCCATTGACACTCCTTACCCCACATACAATAGCCCCTATCACCATCAGACCTACTTTCTACTTATTTGTTGATGTGTTTGTCTATCTCCCTTCACTAGAAGGTATGCTCATGACAGCAGCACTTAACCTATTTGTACCTGTCTGTATCGTCAGCACCTAGAACAATGCCTGGCACATAGTAGACACCCAATAAATACTTACTGACATGATCAGGCATGTTCAGGGTGTTATAGCTGTAGTCCATAAATACTTACTGAATACCTATGACCGTTCTGGCATAAAGAAGGTATACCATCTTTGTTAGCATATGGTTAAGGCATGAGAGTCTCTCCGATTCTTTTTCTTATATGAAGCACTTGTCTCTATGCTTGAGATCTTTGGATTCCCTGGGAGTGATGAAAATCAATTCATAGAGATGTACAGATATCTATCTATATGTTGCTAATGAAATCGATGGCTAGAACATTGATGCACCAATTAGCTCTGAATAAAGAAAAGTGCTCTAAGGCTGCATTCCTAACTGTGGAAATGAATCACACAAACGTATTCCACTAGGAACATCATTCAGCAATTCTGAATGGAAAAGGAAAACCTCATTCACAGTCCTAGACAAAGAGCCCTAAAATCCAAATCCTCCTCTGCATAGCACAATACCAACATCTTTTTCCATGAGGGCTACTCCCTTAACAGACAAATGCATTGTTTTTTCCTACCTCTGGTTGATTGGATGAACACAGCCCAAATTTGGAGAGCCATTTAAGGTGATTAAAAATCATTACAGTGCTGGCCAGGCTTAGTGGCTCACGCCTGTAATCCCAGCACTTTGGGAGGCCAAGACTGGTGGATCACTTGAGGCCAGGAGTTTGAGACCAGCCTGGCCAATATGGCGAGACCCTGTTTCTACTAAAAAAGAAAAAAAAAATAGCCAGGCATGGTGGCACTCACCTATAATCCCAGCCACTAGAGTGGCTGAGGCTGGAGAATAGCTTGAACTCAGGAAGCAGAGGTTGCAGTGAGCTGAGATCACGCCACTGCACAACAGCCTGGATGACAGAGCAAGACTGTCTAAAAAAAAAAAAAATCATTAAAGTGCTTCAGTTTGCTTCCAAATGTAATGGCAAATTCCTGACTCATCTTGAAGGTGCAACATGAGAGACTTTTGGAGGTAGATTGTGGTTGGGGATCTTAGAACCATCTAAGTGGTAAATTCCATCACCCCCATTGAGGCACAGGAGGTGAAGGAGTGTTTGTGATGAGTCATGGGCATACTGCATTTTGAGCCTCATTCCAAAGGGGACCTGCATCTGAACTAGGGTGCCAGCACCACATGCTGCTGGAAAGAGTATGGGTTCTCGAGTTTGAGAGATGGATTCCGATGTCCCATATACCAACTGTACACTTCCTGCATGTCCAAAAAGGGACTGATGTATAACTGGTCCATGATAGATACGAGAGTTTTTCAATTGCCTGCCTTTTAATTCAGCACAAATACCTCCTGGTGGGTTATATTATATCATATTATATTGTATTGTGCATCTCTGTAATGTAGGTACTCGTATTTTTATCTCATTAGACCTCTCAGTGTGTGGTGTATCAGCTGGTTTTAAATTCCCTTAATTGGGCTAAATTAATTTGCCCAGTTGAAGAAAAGTCCACCTATTTGCGAATTGGTTGGTTTCTAAAGATGACCATAACAAAATTATCTTTTTTTTCCACACAGATATAGTTTAGGACAAATATCACTAGGGCACTGTGGTACAACTTAAATAATGCTATGAAAAAGAATAGTTATTTTGTTCATTGTATGATGCTATTTAAATCACTCACATTAAAATAATATTAAATAGCATTGCTATTTATAAGATAATGTAGACAGGCAATATAAGCCCTTCCTTTTGTAAATTAATGATTCAAAGGAGAAATAAAATGAAGCCTCATTTGAATGTAGTTTCTCAGATATTTAGATTTCTTTAATAAATATGGGAAAAGCTGAGGCACTGATACCCATGTTTGCATTTTTTTCTTGCCATGACTAAATATGTTTATTTTGCATCAGGGGAATAATATAAGAAAGCCTATCTCAGTATGTGTTGATTTTCATAAGTGGTTCTCAACAGAAAAAAAAAACTTATGACAAGTTACCTAGTTATAAGGAAATAAGGGTAAATATTATTTCCTTGGCCATTAAAAATGTTAAAAAAAAACACACACCATGATCTGTGTGTAACAAAGGAAAGTGACACATAAACCATGATTCCTAAGTAGTTTTTATCTTTACTACCATCTTAGATCCAGGTATGTGTGAAGTGGGAGAGGATTTTCACCAATCAGAAATAACACAACCATCCTGGCAATCTTTCTGTTCATTTAAGTACCAATCTAAAAGATAAAGCATTGACTTTTTGTAAGCAAGGAGCGCAAATCCTGTTCAAAGCTTCTTTTGATTAAAATTTTTATTCACCTCCTTATGTCCACATGCTTATCAATGATCCAGCCTGATTTGCTTGTTTCTAACATACAAAAAAAGAGATCTGATTCATAAAAGTTAATATTTTTAATCTCTAAGACTAATTTAAATATCAGCTTTGTGCATTAAAATATTAAAGGTTTGAGGGACTAATCTTTCTCGTATATAAGGAAAGTGAGATAAAAGAATAAGAAGTAAAATGGTTAAATATGAAGGACAGTAACCAGCTATTCCTAGTCATACAAAAACCCACAAAAAATGGATTTAAATCAAGAATGATACCAATTAGGAATAAGAACAAAAGGTGGTTTTCGATTACTCTAATGAATTATTAAGGTGTCTTGGATATAGAATATTCATTCCTGGAGATCTAAAAGAATGTCCAAAACAATTTGGATCAGAACTGTCTATATGTATCTCTGGTTACATGTGGAAAAACTATCATAAGCCTTGAACAAATTAAAGCTGAAATGGTGGAAACAGGAAATGCCAATCAGGTCATATGTGTATGACGTGATCACATTACACTTGGGTTTCAGAATGGACCATTAGGCATATAATTTCTCTGAAGCTCTACCACGACTCTGGTCATCTATGGGCCAGATGATAATAAAACACTGCTAGTTCATAGGAAGTGACTTTAAGGACAAGAAATTGATTTAATAACCAGAGAGTATCTTTTTGTTTATTTTAAACTAATTTTAATTTTATCAAAGTAATACATGTTCAACATACAAATGTATGAAAGACTCTTAATGAAAAACAGTAATCCCTGTCCCATCCCACTCCACCCTAGGGACAATCACTTTCAACTGGCAAATATCTCCTCTGCTATGTATCTCCATATTTCCCATAATGTGCCTTTACTGCTCTTTCCTGGTTTATGAATTTTGGATATTATTCTTAACATTCTACATATGATCAAAAAGGAATTAGCCCTCCTCATCCCAATACCACATTCTTCCAATATAATGGTGTCAGGAATTATGTTCACCCAGTAACACAGATCCCAAAACATTGGCTCAAACAAATTAGCAATTTATTTTTTCATAGAACATGAAGCTTAGGGCTCATTTGGAGGCTCCAGGATGTCATCAGAAATCCAAGATCCTTCTATCTTTTCTGTTATCCAGCTTTACTAGGTGTTCTGTCCTCGTCATTGTTACAGAAAGGCCCCAGTCCCTCAGACATTGCAACCATTCCTGGTGGAGAAATCCAGGAAGGGCAAAGAGCAAACAGTGTGTGTTCCCTTTAAATAGCTTTCCCAAAAGCCCTACATAGCACATAGCAGCTTCTATTAAAATTTCATAGGCCTACCAGACATGGTGGTGTGAGCTTGTAGTCCCAGCTACTTGGGAGGCTGAGGCAGGAGGATGGCTCGTGCCCAGGAGTTTGAGGCTGTAGTGCAATATGAGTGTGCCTGTGACTAGCCACTGCACTCCAGCCTGGGCAACACAGCGAGACCTAGTCTTTAATAATAATAATAATAATAATAATAATAATAATAGTTTCATATGATCACCTATACCTGCAAAGGGGGCTGGGAAATGTTCTTCAGCTGGGCACATTTCTGCCCCAAGTAAACTGAGGTTCTGTTGAAAAGAAGCAAAGGGAAGATGAATACTGGATTGGCTACCAGTAGTCTCTGCCATAATATCTATATCAGAAATCACTGCCAAGTTAAGGACTGTTCTATAACAATGCTTCCTTTTTTTGTGCATTCTTTTGTTTTGCCTGGAGTTAATAATAGCCTCACATATTGCTTATATTTATGTGTAACTATTTGCCCTCAAATGTTACCTATAGTATCATTTTTCCCCCAGAGTCCTAACTCCAGGACTCCTCCATCCTCCTGCTACAATTTAGATGGGGCCTTTCTAAGATGCTGCACACAACTGCATGATAATTATGTAGTTATTATCCTGGACTTTCCTTACTTCTTTTTATGTTGGTTCCTCTATTTTCTGGGTCCCATTGACTTATCTTTCTTAGTTTAACACTCTCATTTTGCTAAAACACATCTTTGAGTGGTTTCCAAAGAAAGAGTACATGGGATGCAAAAATGTTGAGCCTTGGTATGAAAACAATTGCATTATATTCTGACATTTGATTGATAGTATGACTTGGTAAAGAACTGTCAGCTAGAAATCACTTAATCTCAAAATTAAATAAAATGGAGCTCTTAACTTCCAGCACTGCAGTTGATAAGTACATAATAAATCGATTAGCAAAATTTCATTATTGATAAAGAAGACGGCCTTCTACTAATGGAGATTTTAAAATTATTAATATTATTATTAGTCACAACAACTCAGTAAACATTTATTGACTGACCACACACTCTGTGCTTGTTGTTGCAATGGATATACAAATGTTTGGGCATGGGCCTTGTGACGGTTTATGTGTTAACTTGGCTAGGCTGTAGTACCCACTTATTCAACCAAATGTTAATCAAGGTGTTGCCATGAAGGTATATTGAACATATATGGTGAATATCTACAATCAGTTGACTTCAGTAAAGGAGATTATCCTTGATAATGTAGGTGGGCCACACCCCATTAGTTAAAGCCTTTACAGCAAAATCGAGGTTTCCCTGAGGAAGGAGAAATTCTGCCTCAAGTCTACAGAGTCCGCACCTGCCAGCCTGCCCCATGGATGTCAGACTTGCCAGACCCCATAGTTACATAAGCCTGTTTTATGTTTCTCTGGAGAGCCCTGACTGATACAGGCAATCACTTAAAAAATAATTAATTTAAATAATTTTCCTCTTTAAATTTAAATAAAAAATTATAGTAAAAAATAAATGACAGAAATTGAAGAATTATTCTTGGGAAGTATGATATTATTGTATTGAAATGAAGTAGAAAGTTCAATTGGGAGTGGAGATTTTGACCACAGGAGGAGGATATAACAAGCCCTTGGTAAATTCATGCATAAACCATTTTTGGCGGCTGAAGCAGGAGGATCACTTGAGCCCAGGAGTTCAAGACCAGCCTGGGCAACATAGCAAGACCCCCATCTCTACAAATTAGTAAAAAATATTAGCCAGGCATGGTGACATGCACCTGTGGTGCCAGCTACTCAGGAGGCTGAGGTGGGAGAATCACTTGAGTCCAGACGGTTGAGGGTGCAGTGAGCCGAGATTATGCCACTGCACTCCAGCCTAGGCAGCAGAGTGAGACCCTGTTTCAAAAAAATTTTAAAAAAGTAATAAAGTTAAATGAAATAAAATAAAAATCTTAAAAATTCATGCATAAACCATTTACCAGATTACTCAAGGGCAGATAATGAAGAATCTGCTATATTTAATCTTAAGACAAACTAGATGCTGTTAAAATATTTCACCTTTAAAAGCATAGAATTATTAAATAGTAAGGTTTAATTAACATTAAAAATGACATGATTTGCTTTGATTCCTTAATTTTCTAGTGAGGAAACAACAAGCTTAGGGTACATTTCTGACTACATAGATTTTTTCCCTTCTTTCCAGTGTTGGTCATCCAACACATTTACACAACAAGCAATAGCGATTGCACTGGGCACACTTCCCAATATATGAATTTATTCAAGCTGTGCAATTGTCCCCTGAGAAATCTTGGGCTTAGAGGTATCAACTGGCTTATCTGAGGTCTATTAGCCAGTTAGTGACCAAGTCAGCACAGAAAACTGACTCCAAGTCTTATTTGGCCCATCCTTGTGGTATGCCACATTGTTTCCCTTAACCAACTGAAAGAAACTAATTTAAGGAGTACCTGTACACAGGAAGTAGAAACTTTTTTCTCTTTTTGTGACTTTCTATAAGAATTATAGATGAGATTTTTTTTTCTAAGTGGGGACTCATGTTGTTGTCAACTTAAATTACCTTTACTAATCACTTCGAACACGGTATTCCATACATTTCCCTCTGTCCCGATAATAAAACAACTGGATTTCTGAAACCTCTGAGGGAGAATAAACATGCTCTTTTCATAGCTCCCAAAGTCTGTGCACTTGTACTGGGCACTGTCCAGGTGGCTGCATAGACAACTTCAGCTTGATTTTCATTGACTTTTGATGTGTCCTGACACACATTAAAATAACCTATGTGAAATTGCTGATATTCAGCCATTTTTTACTTACACAAACATTCACTCCATGTTCTTTGATCTATGAGATCACTGAGAGAGGTGGCACAAATACTGTTAGGTATCGTCCAAGGGCGCCACAGCAATGCCTGTCCATGTCTGAGTAGCGCTGCCTGTCCAGGACTATCCACCCAGAACCTATGTTAGGTTTGCTACAAGGTCTGTTAATAACCAAACCCGCACATAACTAACAAGATTATCGACTAGGCTGCTTTTTTTGAAGAAGAGCTTTCAAAACTTCCAACATCCCTTCAGCTAATATTTGCAAACATGTTTAATCACAGATTTGGGAACAGAACATCTGTTCGTTTGGTAGAGCAAGCTCTTTTACTCACTTCACCTTTCTTTTCTTTTTCCCTTCCTTCCTTCCTTCCTTCCTTCCTTCCTTCTTTCTTTCTCTCTTTCTTTTCTTTCTTTCTTTCCTTTCTTTATTTTTTTTTCTTTTTTTTCGGGGTCTTATTTGTCGCCCAGGCTGGAGTGCAGTGGCACAACCTAGGCTCACTGCAGCCTCGACCTCCTGGGTTCAAGTGATCCTCCTGTCTTAGCTCCCCAAGTACCTGAGACTACAGGCACACACCACCATGCCCAGCTATTTTTTTTTTTTTTTTTTTGTAGAGACAGCATTTCACCATGTTGCCCAGGCTGGTCTCAAACTCCTGAGCTCAAGCGATCATCCGCCCTCCTCGGCCTTCAAAAGTTCTAGGATTACAGGTGTGAGCCACCTCACCGGGCCTCACTGTTTCTAATAGGTGGATCAAATCCTCACTCAATGAACATTCTCCAAAGGACCATTTATTTCATTCAGAATTTTAAACATTTCCATTTGTTTATTTGTAAATGAAAAAGACTTTGTGTATCCCCACCTTTCATTTTTTTTAGAGGTTTTCTGAAACATGGAGGCAGCATATTTTATGGCACTGTGTTAGTTCAGGCTGCTATAACAAAATACTGTACCTTAGACTGGGTCATTTATAAACAACAGACAATTATTTCTCGTAGTTCTGGAGGCAGGTAAATCCAAGATCAAGGTGCCAGCAGATTTGGTGTCTGGCGAGGGCTCTCTGCTTCATCAGTGGCTCCTTGTTGCTGTGTCCTCACATGGCAGAAGGGGCAAATAGGCTCTCTGAAACCTCTTTTATAAGGGTATTTTGCTTTAAGGGCATAGAAGATGGAAGGGATTAATTTTTCTTGGGGCATTTGGGGAAATCACGAATGAGTGGTGACATTTGAGATTGTTGGATAGTTGGTGAGTGAGTCAAAGGAGAATAAAAATGGAAGGAACATTAAAAGGGCTCAGTCCTTGAGAGAGGAAATCCCAGCTCATATTTACCTTTGAGGTGATGAAAGCAGAAGGCAGACGCAGTTGTAGCTTCTACTGAAGGTGATAAACAGATGTGCCATGGGATTAAGCTCCAGTATTTAATGGCAGGAGCCCTGGGTAGCTTCCTGTGTCCTGTGGCTGGGGCATACCTAGGGCTGGGATAGACGCAATATTTCTCAAAGTAAATCAGAGTCCTTTGTCAGTGGGATAAAATGCTGATTCTCAGGCTCCTCAGCAAACCTACTGAATCAGATTATTTTGGTGCAGGGGCCTGGAGATTTGCATTTTTAACAATCTCCCCAGAGGTTTCCTTGCACCCTCAAGTTTAAGAACCACCCTTTCAAAGCGTGATTTCATCACCCAGGAGACATTTGGTAATGTCTGGAGACATTATTGGTCATCACGATTGTGGGGGTGCTACTGGCATCTAGTGTGCAGAATCCAGGGATGCTGCTACACATCTTACAGTGCACAGGACAGCCCTCACGACAAAGAATTATCCTGCCCAAAATGTCAATAGTGCTGAGATTGAGAAATCCTGAACTCCATCATATGAAGGGCTCTCAAGGAAAAGTACAAGAAGTGGACTGAAGTCAGTTTGTGTCACTAGGTGGCTCCTTAGGCTACTCAGGCAGGGGGCTAGCGTTATGGGCTTCCAGGCCCAGTTATCGGACCACCAAATTTTCACAGAACTGGGCAGAGCTCACATGTATTGAACCCATGCAGCTGACACTCCTGAAGCCACCAATGCATTATTTGCTAAGTAATTTTTTTTCCTCTGATACCAACACATTTAAAATCTTTATTGAATTATCGTCACAAAATTGCGGTCATTTCTTGGGGGAAAATATGCCATTAGTTCTACACAAAGTACTCTTTGCTCAACTTGCACTTTCTTGAAATCCAGAAGGTAGATTTACATTAAAATCATGTTGGCTAAGAGTTGAAAAAAGTTATTGCTTATATGGAGTTAAGAAAGCAAACTTTGGAAATTTTTTTTGGTCTGAGTTTGTTTCTAAGAAGCCAACTACTTCTCCAGCTCTCCTGCAATCCTGCCAAGGTGATGTCCAGCTTGTCCCTGTTAATAAGTTCAACAGATCAACCCTGTAGGGAAGCCAAACCATAGAGAAAGGTGGATGCACTAAATTTTTTTTTTTCTGAACAAAATGTCAGTGTGTATTGTTCTATGACAATAGTGTTATTTGAAATTATGCCTCGGGCCTTCAGTAGGTAAAGATTCTTGTTCATTTGCTGCATTTCAAAAAAATTGTGTGCACGTTCCCATTAAGATTTATTTTTCTTAAATTGAATATACAGTTAATCTATATGCAGATGAGGTAGGTAACACCCTCCTTTCTGGATTGTTCGTTTTAGTTAAGGTGTTACTCATAACAATTTGGTTTCCTTTCCAGTCTTTTGCAAAAGTAGGGCTTCAGTGCAAGATATCCTTTTAAAAATACCCTTGGGTCCTGAGTGTTGAACTTTTCTGGCTGAAATAATTTTGCACCTTCCAAATGTTTTAATGCTGTTAGGGAGCTCTTAAAATGCAAGGATTTAAGGCCCTTAGCTAGTTAAGCTTTTAGCAGAACTAGAGCTGTTAGATAAGAATAGAACTCATCCTTTACTTTTGGAGCTTTGGACATTGTTTCCAGCTGCTTCCAGTCATTTGAATCCCGAAAGCGCCCCTAATCCTCGCGGAGGCAGCCTTTCTGGCTCCCAGGACCCACCCCCTTGCTTCTGATTGGCGAAGCTCCTCCGCGGCCCAAGCCAGCCACCTACAACGTCTCTGAGAACTGATTTGAAATAAGAGCCAGGCGGTCCTCGCTTCCCTGCGACCGACTTTTCATAGGCTGGGGGAGAAAAGGTTGAGAAACTTGACATTGTCTCGAGCAGAGTGCGTGTAGCAACAGATCAAAGAAAAAGAGGACGAAAACGTGCTCTTTGCTGCCCGTAGATTTCGCCGGGTTGCTTTTGTCTTGCGGGCTCCTGTCGGGTTCGGTGTTTCCGCTCTGAAGACTGCGACGCGGGCTCCGATGCAGCTCGCTCCCTGCCGGATGGGTCATGGGATTCTAAACATGAGGCAGGTAAGCTCAGGCGGTTGCGCTGGCGGCGGAGGGGGCGGGCGCCGCCCGGGACCCCTGCGACGTGTTACTGCGGAGAGCTTGCTGGGTTAGCAGGCGCCTGGCCGTAGTCGATGCGTTTGGCGGAAAGACGGGGCTGCATTTTCCTAAGACAACCAAAGAAGCACATTTTACCTGAGCCACCCCGGTCTGGTCCTCGCCACCCGCCCCCACTTTTGCCTCTAATTGTGGTTGATGTCAGGCAGTCGTTGTAAAGGGCTTACAAGCAGTTTGTAGAATATATGTAAATCAATTCCAGTTTGCGGCCGCTGGAATGTATCGTGCAGGATGTATCTCGAGCTTTTAGTGCCTCTACCCTATGCTTTGGGCTAGAATAAAGACAGCTGAATGTCCTGAAAAAGAATTTCACGGGGCCTCTTATCTCATTTTGGTTTCGCATTCTGAGCACTTACTGTGTTTCTGGCGGAGAAGGCGGAACCAGCTTGAAATGAGCACAGACAGTCCTTCCAGAAAAATGCAAATTTGTTTTTCTGTTCTAGCAGTTTGGAAACTGTATTGCTTCTGGACGTGAGAAGGCAGCCCTGAAAGTAGTGAGCGGAGAAAGGGCTGGGGGATTACTTAAATGAGTCTTTGAAAAGAATTCTAAACCAACAGCTTCTTCTGTGGCTCTGGGGCATGATGATAAAATTCCTTATCAGTCCAGGAAGAGGTTTATAGCTTTGCTGTTAAGCAAGAAAAGGAAAGAAAAAGTGGATGTAGGAAGCCAAGGAGAGGGTGTGATTTACAACTCAATCAAAGTTATGGAAGAATTTTATGTCAATATTTAAATATCAAGAACAATACTCATATAAGGAGAAAACAAGGCTGGAAAAACATGCCAATAGGCTTGGAAGGGCAGGGATTTCAAGAGGAATGCTATTGCTTTTACCAGCTCTGAATAAATCTGGATGGGAAAGTTAGCATCTGTATCGCAACCGGAAAAGCTCTTCACTTTTTCTTCTAAGTGGGTTGGGTGCTCGCCACCCTGCACACTTTGGGGGAAGTGAGCTTTCCATTTAAGAGCGCAGGGGAGGGGTTTCGAACTTTCTGTCCCTTTCCCACAGCCTTGGGAGATGAAGCAGAGCCCCCTTCGAATGGTCAGCGCAAACCCTCCGCCTTCTTGCCCCCTCGCTTGTTCGCTCAGCAAGCAGGCTTGGCAAGTTTCAGTGAGTGCAGAAAAACACTTGCGGAGGAGCAAGTGCCGTCTGCTTGCAATGAATTGCCCTTGCCTTGGTAGGGACTGTGGGGAGGACGTCTTTAAGTTCTGCAAACTCACAGTCCAACCTCATACTTTTAATGTCTACTAAAGTGGGATGAGGAAAAGGAAGGAGAAGGGTAATTGGAAAGGATTGAAAAGGAAAAAGAGGAACGCAAAACATTTTTGACAAAGGTCCTTAGCTGGAACAAAGAAGTTATTTGATCCTGTGCAGAGCCACCTGTCCTCTCCTCGGTGGTGTCTGAGCTCAATTTCCAGAATCCCTGTTCCCACACAATTCCTCAGGAACCATGGCAGTCTCCGTGCCTTATGCCTAAGGTTTGCTTCCCCCAGCTTGGAATGGTTTTTCCCATGCCTAGTTTGTTGTGGCATTTACGTGAAGTTGGAAAACAGCCCAGTATTGAAATTTTAGGGGTACAAGTACACATATAGTGAACTCCTTAGTTATTTAATGAATGGGCAACTTTTCATCTCACAGCTACGTATGTCTACTAATTTTTTTGGCCTGTTCAGAACTTTGAAAGAGGGTGGGATGGAACAGGGGAGGAGATGAAGGAGAGAGACAGGATCATTGTTCATCCAAAGAACGAGGACAGTTTCCAGAATCTAGCATGTTGTTCCACTGCAGTCAGAACAAGAATGTAGGGAGGAATGAGATGGCAGTGTTATTGGCATGGGTTAATCCCTACTTTATTTGAGTTTCTCTTGGGGAAACCTGACTGTTGCATCCAGGCAGGGTGAGTCGAATTCACCAGCCAATTTGTCATCTCAGCCCGGCAGCTCCAGCTGGATTTACAGGGTTAACTATCAAACAGACCTGTGTGTCATCAGCTCAGCAATGAAATTGGATCTCTTTGCTGATGAGTGATCTGTCCCTAGGGCTGCACAAATGTTGTACACTGGTGTGGCAGCCCAGAAGAGACCCCTGCCTGCCACTGATAGCCAGAAATTCTGGGTAGCCAGAAATTGCCCGCAGAATTAGAAGGCTGTTTGCCTAGCTATAAGATTCAGAGGGGTTTGGGCTTCTGCCAGGTTGGCAGAAAAGGAACATTCCTGAAGCCACCACTTCAGGTGTAGAAGGATAGTATTCTTTGAGGGTTCCTAAGGCCACGGCTGAGTTAGGCCAAAGAAAAGTGTAAATCTGATTCACCTTGATCAGGAAGTAATTTTAAAATATGTGCCAACCTGTCTCTGCCCTCTGATCATAAACGGGAAACTTTTATGAACCTTCCTTGAGAAGGAATTTGCTCTGTTCCCAGGCAAAAGGAAAAGCATGGCCACCTGTTCTAGAAGCCTGGCCGAAAACAACAGGTTTGCCTGTGGCATTCCCGCAACTGCATATATCCTCCCCACATGGCAAGCCACCCATTGTCCCTACACACAAGAAGAACAAATAGTTCATTCTTGAGCTGGGGGAAAAATCAGATTCTCTAGGCAAAATTGCCTACTAGACATATTTTGTGTTTTTAACATCCTGATAACTTTAGAAAAAAAACTCTAAGGGAAGAAGGTGCATGATGTATTTCTGATCTACTAAAACAAAGTAAGTCACGTAGCTGCTAAATTCTTGCAAGGCCAGGATGCTGCTGTTTCAAGGAAGCCGTGAATCTGTTTGGTTAGCCCGTTCTGCATTCTTTAGATTGGAATTAAAATGCCCAAGGACATCTGGCTTAATAATGAAAGTCTTCGTATTAATCTTTCCTCTGAGGATTAGAAAGTCCTTTACAAACACGATCTATTTATTCTCTGCCACATCCCCAGGAGAGAATGAGGTGGCAATTTGATCCTCATTGAACAAATGGTGAGACGAAGGCAGAGAAAGGTTAAGTATAAAGAGACACAGCAAGTTAGGGGCAAGTCTGGGGATGAATACTCACCCACCCAGAAAGACTACCTGTGCAGGTTTAGGATCTCAAATGGCATTCTAGGGATTAAAACAGAATCTCTCTTACGACATTCTTTTTCTTATCATTCTGTAACTGGCAAGTATATTGTGTCCCAAGTATGTTGTATGGTTTCCTTCATTTGAAAGTCCAGACTCTTAACAGTTCAAAAGGCAGTTCTGTTCTCATTTCTCCCAACATTGAGATCAGGCAGCTTTTATGAAATCTAATAGAAAGATACAGTAACTAACTGGAATTTTAAATATGCATCTGAGAAATGTTCCCTTTCAACAGATGTTTTAAGTTTTTGCACATGGTTTATAGAGCTCAGTGTCTTCAACATATGTTAAAATTTTAATTTCTTCTCTGCTATCTCTCTTTCAGCAAATGTTATAATCATAAGACTTGCTGTCAGTTTAAAGATCCTTGTTGGTCATTTTGAAATAATTTTTTTGAGTCATGTTTTTAGTTCGCTTGGCTGTAGACCGCATAGGCTACAAGCAAATCCGTTAATTGGTAGTTGCATGTTATCCACAGACATTCCAGCAAGTTTTAAGGCTAAGTGCATATGTGGATGTCTCCTGGCTTTGATCGTTTGTGTGGTAAATAGACATCCAAGGTAGCTATGGCAACCTGGGCTGTGCGTTGGTGAAAGGAGGGGATTTAGTTACTGGACAAAGAGTAATTTGTTTGATTAGAAAAAGGTAGGGGCAAATCAGGACATTTTTAACCCACATGATTTGAGGATCCCAGTTCAATCAAATCATTTGGATTTTTCTCAATAGGCAAAAAGAAGTAATGGCTAAGCGCACCAGAGTATCTTGCAGACGTAATTTAATTATTTTTAAACAAGTGGTTGCTACTTTCCAAAAGCAATTTATACAATGAAAAGGAAGTACAATATATCATATAAATATCATCAATATCCCTATTGTACTAAGTATGAACGTTTTTATTTTCAGAACTTGATGGGACTTTGAAAGACCAGGATCTGATTAGAGGTGTGCATTTCAGTTATCTACCTGCAGGGGTCAGGCTTGAAGTTCCCGTGGTCGGAAGATCAGGCAGCGGACTTCACTGCAGGGAGCCCGAGGCAGAGTCAGAGAGAATTGCTCTGCTTATTTGGAACAATTAGTTAGCGATTCTTTAATCTTGTGACCAAAGCTACTATGAAAATGAGTTCATTCAAGGAAGAGAATATCAAATACGCTGTGATTAAAGAAAGGGCGATAAAGCCAGGTCAAACAGCAATCTAATCTCCGTTTACATGTAAGGCAGTTTATCGGGAAGATTCTGGCTCATTATCAATTCCTTTGATTTCACACAAAAGTGAGCTCAGCGGTTTTGTTCTAGAAATTTGTTTGCCCAGTTTTATGAGCTGGCATGTTATAAAAATTTCTTTAAACTAAAAAGGACACAATATTAGGGAGCCATCTGGATCCGAAATATTTTTCCCCCTCTGGAGGAAAATATTCCATTGACACAAGATCAGGATGGTTAATGGCCTCCAGGAGGTCAGGTGATAGTAGGAGCACAGAAAATTGAGGCGCAGAACAAAATGCCAAGAGGGGACTTTCCTGAAAAAACAAACCAGACCAAAGAAAATAACTTACCTGCTTTGCGCTATGAAAGAGAGGTTCTGAGTAAACATGGAAGAGGTGCTGATCATTTGTAGTACAAGTGGATGTTGAAGGTCTTATATTCAGTCCAGTGTTTATGATGAATATAATATAAAGGCTGTCCTTCCTTTCTTATATCATTCAATGACATTTACTGAGCACTCACAGAATTAATATATTCTGCCACATTATACGTGATTATTAATGTGCCAGGGCACTTTCTGGGTTCCAAATATGACTTTGGTAAGGCCCCTGCCCTCAAAGAACTTTTGATCTGGTGTACAATTTATTGTACCAGTAGCATAATGTAGGTTTTTCCATGGTCAAAATGGATGCTCATTAATATCTATATTTGTATGGGTAGGGATCCACTTGAAAAACTGATGGTATCCAAAACCTTACTGAACTTAGGAGACTTGAGAAGTGATTTGTAATTGTGAAATTTAGTTGATTTTTAGCCCACATGTCCATTTG
The DNA here is from genome assembly GCF_000001405.40 of Homo sapiens. Lineage (NCBI taxonomy): Eukaryota > Metazoa > Chordata > Mammalia > Primates > Hominidae > Homo > Homo sapiens. The sequence continues at coordinate 10,615,061 of NC_000023.11, read as the reverse complement.
TAGAAATTTATGACTTCTTACATAAAGCAGATTTCTCATAATTATTAAATAGTAATTTATTTTTCTCAATAGAGAAAAGTAACTCATAGGTAGTCCCCAATCTAGGAATACTTTATGTTTTAGGAGTTTGTTGTTTGAAACCCAGAGCATTTTCCAGCGAAAAATAATCAATCTGATTAATGTGAGATCAAGTTCTGTGTTTTGAGGACATGCCACTGTGTTATACAGGATGGAAACAGAAGGAGAAAGAATTGGCATACTTTTGGTAATAGGCCAGTCATGGCAATATTTGAAATAGGAAGTTCGTACTAGTTTTCACCTTTCTTTCTCCATCCTTCTGATGTCTTCTGGTCTCACTGGGGCATCTCCCCCAGGCCTGTCCTAATATATAGTGAATTCATAATTGTTCATCTTCCCACCCTTCCCTTCCCCACCTCCAAACCACTCTCCTGTTTCCTTTAGTCAATGGTCTCTACCACATGGCAGGAAAGAAGTAATATGGGTGAGCCAAAGCTCATGACTCTTATCCCTTTAACCCTTAGGATGAATCTTTAATTGGGGAAATTTCAAGCAGTGGAGCCTGGAGCTACAAAACACATGATTTTCCTTTCAGGGACAATATTTGGGGGCAGGGCCATGCCTTTGGCAGACAGAACTTGCTGGTGTGTCTGCCCGTGGGTCAGACCTCTTCATTTGTTCTTTCTCAGCAACCTGCCTGAACTTCTGGACCCACTAGGGTCTTTGTGAGTAACAGCCAGGGAGCCACAGGCCCCCAGTTGAGAGGGAATTATGGCGTTTGTGGGTTTGGGTTGTTTGTAAGTATGCTCTTTGTATGCTGAGCACTGTCTACTTGGATTAGAATAAATGGAAAGAAAATAGCTGTAGCATCCTCTTATCCACACGAGTATTTGAGTTGGTGTATATATTTCTACTCGTTTGTCTGCTTATCTTGGAACTGAGTTACTCCAGAGCAAGAGTCACATATTAATTACCTTTGAATCCCCAGACCCAAGCCCAGTGTCTGGCACACAATAAGAATCATTAAGTGTTCTACAGGCACATGCTGGGTGAATTTTAGTAAAAAAGAGAATGGAAAATGCTCCTTAAAATCCGAAGGGATATGAAGAAGAAAGGGCATTAGAAAGGTCCGGGAAACAGCAAGGACTAAATAGATCAGTAGTAGAGAAAATTAGCATAGGTTATGATTACTGAACTATATGTATATGGTTTTATATATATATAGTCCATTTATATACACATAGTCTCTCTCTGTCTGTCTGTCTGTCTGTCTGTCTCTCTCTCTCTCTCTCTCTCTCTCTCTCTCTCTCTATATATATATATATATATATATATATATATATATATTCCTTTCAGTTGTGTTCTGGGCAAGAACACAACCCAAAACATGGTAAGCAGCTTGGCTTATCCTCTGTTTGATTGTTCTGCAGAAATGATTACGAAATGGGTCATGCCCTCCAATAGCTCAAAGCCTAATCGCCAAGATAGAATCTGCTGCTTTCTCTCATTGAACCCAGCCTGATAGTTTAGGCCTTAGGTCCATGTGCAGTTGTTTAATTTTGCAGGTGAGTGGCATGCCCAAGGTTACTCCAGAACTGAGATAGCGTGTCTGAGAGAAGACTGAAGCCTTCTCCATGTAGATGGTGGCCACATTTTTCATAGTGAAGTTCAAGATTTGTGCCGGACAAAGCATTTTCATTGCTGGTAGGTGTAACAGACCAGAAGTTATAGTTAAAAATGACAAAATAGAAATTTCAGGGACATTTAATAGTTTATGGAAACAACAGGACTAATATATTACCAAAGGGTCTATGCGGTAGACTGTGGTATCTGTCCTATGTCAAGTTTTGGAGTGTTGCTTTGGTTGTGTGTATTTAGAAGTGGTCTTCCCCAAACAATTCGGAGGAAGGGGGATGTTACTGGGAAAATGGAATTCATTGAATGCCCTGCTGAGTTAATAATAAGTAGATGAATGGCCAAATAAAGCAATATATAGATGGACGGCACCACCAAATATTATTAATAGAGATTTATTTACTTACATAGGATCAAGTCTTCTGTACGAAATACATTAGGAATCCAGACTAAGAATACTGGTTAAAGTTTAGCATTTCTGGGTTGACGTTTTAGCACAAGAAACACTTTACCCTCCATCTGGGAGCAAGGTATGAGGGAGACTTAGGTTCTACACCTAGAAGCTAAGTCTTCTAGACTCCCCATCTCATTCTCTTTTGTGACTGTACCACATGCCTTCTACTAAGATATAATTTGGATGTTTTCAGGTCATGTGCTATAATTCAATATGCTAATAAATTCCAAGGCAATTTGAATGGAATGTTGGTTTATAATGAGGCAACTCAGGAAAGACTACATCATCTTTAGTGGAAAATACTGTCCAAAAAATCCAAATAGTTAAATGATCTTATATTTGGGTTTTGTGCTTCTTTTATGTGTATATTCTTTGCTCTGATTTTAGTTAAGTATGAAAATGTCAGACAGCAAAAACTAGGAGGATTATATTTATATAAAAGAAAGTTTAGGGAATGAGATGAGTCATTTAGCCCATGAATTAATCAGCTGTGCTTTGAGGAAATAGTGCAGGAAGGTAAAATGGAACAAATAGACGAGAGAAGAAAGCGTGACTTCTTTTAGTCAACATATGATGGGGAAAGCGGTAGAGAAAAATTGGCTATTTGGTGAGTGATTCACTTGAGTTCCTTTTCAGTGGTCAATGTTTAAAGTGAAATCCTAATGAGATTGTTGCTGCCCTTTTTGTACGGCTCTGACTAAAAGAGGGAAAACAGTCATAATAATTAATTGAGAGGGGTATGACTTTCTGAGTAGATAAAAACATGATAGACTATTAGATAATGAATATTTATTGCTTGATGCTTCTCAGTCTGGAAGAGACACTTTCTGAATATTTCTCCGCTTTCTAACATTTCAGCTGTCAGAATTGAATGGTTCACATATAAACTACATTGTTTTGGTTTAACTAACAAAGAGTGATAAGACATGAATTGTTTGTGACAGCCCCGAACATTGATAACAGAAGACATTAATGCCTGCAGACACAGCCTACATGGTAAAAATCTGGAAACAAAAATGCTTATTATGTTAGGCCATCGTGCTTTGACCTAGTTTTGCTTTTCTGCTTGGAAATTATGTCAATATTAGTTACATCATCCCTTCGGATGAGCAATTCCACATTCTTGTTTATTTCAGTGTCATATTATTAGTTTTTGTATATTTAGTTCTGACCTCTGAGGAGCCAAACTAATCCTCATTGACTTGCATTTTCCTTTTGAAATGAGACTTCTGCATGATAAAGAGAGAGGATTTTATGTATTAACAAAACAATCTAAGATGCCTCTTTAAAGGCATTCATTTCTCCTTGATCCGGAGCTACTGCCCTCTTGAAGGTTCCTAGAGGCCATCCAGTTTTCTGCTGATCAGAATTAGTCTTTTTTTCTTTGTCTTATGGGGATGGAATAGATTACTGGGCCTAGAACTGCCATAGTTGAATAACAAAAAGTAAAACTGTGAGGCTGATGGGACATTTCCCAGCCCATCATCCTTAAATTTGCCCTTTTCATGTTTCTGCTTTACTTCTTCATCCAGCAGAAACGGGCTTAGCATATTTTTCCCATTTAACATTTTTATTGAATACTTTTCAAAATGAATTATTTCCGCAGTTGATTTCGAACACATTTTTTTCTGTCATTTAATACTTTATATCACTAGAGGAAAGAACCATTTAATTCTTTCATACATTTATGAATTCTAATCTTCAAAGAGTGTGAGTTCTTCAAGTGATCAACTTACATCAAATTTACAAGTATAATTTACTACCAAAAGACCTTGAACGCTTTTTGGTGCACATGTTTTGGCATTCCTTATTAACAAATGTAATGAGGCAAAAGCCCACAAGAATATGTATTCCTGGTTCCTCTTTAAAAATGTACCATTTGCTCTTATTTTCTAATTAAGGCTTTGAAGGTTAAAAATCCCTTTGTTGTTAGCTCCTTTACAAGTCTCCTGCCTGAGTGCAGAAAACATAAGAAGGGAGTGTCCTCTTCAGAGCATAACCAAACCAACTAAATTTTAACCAGGTAAATTGTTGATTAGCATTGGATCATGTAAAGAAACAGTATGAAAGTAATTGAGATAGGCACAACTCCTAATTGTGTGATCCCAGGGGGCTTCAAACATTGTTTGAAACATTCACCTCAGAGATTATATTCCATGTCTGATCCTTATGCTAATTTGAATACTAGGATCCTGAAGAAAAACTTTATAGGATTTCTTGAGTCCCTAATTGGTATGTAAACATCGTCATTCCCAAGCTGCCCAAAGTTGTGAATTATAGTATACCATGTGTCTCCTGTTGTGATATCAATTTCTACAGCAATTTTTCTGCTTGTTGTAGGCAAATGTAAATATATTTCCCTCCTCTTACACAAATAGTGGCCTTTCACATACATTATTCTTCACCCTGGCTTTTTTCTGCTTTAGAGTATACCCTAGAGATCTTTCCATAACAGTCCACAGAGAGCTTCCTCTTTAAAAACAAAACAAAACTGCATATCATTGCACTATGACGATGTACCATAATTGATTTGACCCTTCCCCTACTAGTCACGTGGAGTGTGTCCAATATTTTGCCATTAAAGCAATGTGCACTGAAAAACGTTGTGTTCATCAGTTTGTATGGGGCGGATGTATCTGTATTAAAAATCCCCAGAAGTGGGATTGCTGGGCCAAAGGGCAAATGCAGTTTCTAATTTTGATAAATAAATAACATTGTCTAACCAGCCTGTGTGAGAGCACTGCCCCAGAGCCTCATCAATAGAGAGCATTGTCCAACTTGTGCACCTTTGCCTATCTGATATCTGAAAAGCGGCATCTCTGTGTAGCTTTGCATTCTCTTCTGAGTGACGTTGAGTGTCTCTGCATGTGTTGAAGGTCTATTTGCATTTCTTGTGCAATGTCTGCTCATATCCTCTGTTTAGAAAAACAAAAAGAAGGCCGGGCGCGGTGGCTCACGCCTGTAATCCCAGCACTTTGGGAAGCCGAGGCGGGCGGATCACGAGGTCAGGAGAACGAGACCATCCTGGCTAACACGGTGAAACCCCGTCTCTACTAAAAATACAAAAAAATTAGCCGGGCATGGTGGCGGGCGCCTGTAGTCCCAGCTACTCTAGAGGCTGAGGCAGGAGAATGGCGTGAACCCGCGAGGCGGAGCTTGCAGTGAGCCGAGATCGCGCCACTGCACTCCAGCCTGGGCCAAAGTGCGAGACTCAGTCTCAAAAAAAAAAAAAAAAAAAAGAAAGAAAGAAAGAAAGAAAATGCCAGGTCTAGTACAACGATGTTTGATGGGTTTTTTTGACAATGATAAAACTACTATTTAGTAAGAGAATCACTCCCGGCAGTAGACTTAGAAGCACACTATCAGAGACCCTCGAGTAAAGACCCTAACGTGCCACATCTTAACTCTGTGACCTTGGGTTGATTCCTTAAACTTCCCAAGTTTCCTCACCTGTAAAATTGAAATGATGTGGACAACTCACAGGGTTTATAGAATAATCACTAAATGAAGGATTATATATATAAATGATATATAAAGCACTTAACAGAGTATTGGTTACATACTAGGCACTTAAAAATGTTAGGTTAACTTCTCTTTTTTTAGGTACAAACTTAAGGTTTCAGAGAAGGCTGGGTTTTATGGACATTTCTACCTCTTACCCTCTGAATGAATACACATCCACCCACACAGAGGCATGTAAATATACACATATGTACACACGGTGGAATAATATCTGAAATGGCTGTAATGATTCAAAAGCATCTCTTTAGACAAATGTGTGTGTGTGTGTGTGTGTGTATGCACGTGTGCATGTATATGTATAAATATCCCTGTAATGTAAGAAAACTAATTTGTTGCTAAAAATGTACCCTTTTCGGACAAATTATCCTAATATGCTAAAACAACACCAAATAGTATTAAATGGACATGATCACTTATCACTACCTTTCATATTATAATCCAAAAAAGCATATTTTTCCTTCATCTATCTTATTCTTTACAACAATTAAACTCTTTTACAATGTTACACACCTTATACTTACAGCTATACCTAGAAATAAAATTACACTTATACTCATGTTTATGTATTTCTGTCTTTAAAACAAAAAAATAAACACAGCAGTAAATACAAAAGGTAGAAATGGAAAAAATGCATTTTAGAGGGCATGGTGCTGAGGGCTGAGAATATAACACTGGTCTTTAAAACAACTCTACCACTGTGAATGAGACCATTTGGGTGATCTTGTTTCCCAGGGCTGTGTTGTTACAGAAACATAATTTTAAAAATTGTATTTTGAAATAATTACAGATCCATAGGAAGTTGCAAAAAAATGTACTGGGCAGTCTGCACCCTTTACCCACCCCTTACCCCATCCCTAACCCCCAGAAACCAGTAATCATCTGTTCTCCATCTCTATAATTGTGCTACTTCAAGAATATAAACGTAATCATACAGTATGCAATTGTTTGAGATTGACATTTTTTCCCGCTCACTTAATTTTCTAGAGGTTTATCCAAGTTGTTGCATGTATCAGTCGTTTTTTCCTTTTTATTGCTGAGTAATGTTCCTTGGTGTGGATATATGACAGTTTAATCATCAACTTGTTTAAGGACTTTGGAGCTATTACAAACAAAGTTGCTATGAGCATTTGTGTGTAGGATTTTGTATGACTGTAAGTTTGCATTTCTCTGGGATAAATGCCCAGGAGTGCAATTGCTGGGTCATATGGCAAGTACACATTCAGTTTTGTAAGAAACTGCCAAAGCGTATTGCAGAGTGGCTGAATCATTTTACATCCCCACCAGAAATGTATCAGTGACCCAGCTTTCTCTGCATCCTCCCCAGCATTTGGTGTTGTCCCTGTTTTCATTTTAGCCATTCTGGTAGGTGTGTAGTGGTGTCTCATTTGTATTGGTTTTCAAAAAGTGCAGAAGATACTTCATAATCCAGTTTGGGTGTGTTCAATACCTCCCAGGTAAAATTCTCACACATAATATGGGCCTATCTTGGTACATGACTGAATTGTCAAAAATATCTATGATTGCTGCCTTTTTTGTTGAACCTTAACTGAAATATTGAGAGCAAAAAAGAAACTGTGTTGTGCAAAATATATCCGAACATTAGACTGGGCTTCAATTTATACTCTGAGACACTCAGAGAATTGTTACTTGCTCAAGACATGGCAGATGCACGCCCCAACACCTAACTTCACTTTAGGAATAGACACATTAGGTATCAGGAAAAATTGCTAAGACTATTTAAATTCCTCTCCCCTTTTCCAACATATTCCATTGCCTTTGCATTTGCATAAATTAAATAGGGGCATGATCTGTCTTCATTGTCAATATACATGTAGATGTGTGTAAATCTACAAACATACATATACACAGACATACATACACTGGCTCTGTGGGCGTCAATCCCAAATGTTCCCCAACATCCAGTCTAGATTCTCCCGGGTCAGGATTTCTCAACTTTGGCACTATTGACATTTGGGGTTTCATAATTATTTGTGGGGCTGTCCTGTGCACTGTAGGATGTTTAGCTGTATCCCTGGCCTTAAGCAACTGGATGCCAGTAACACTCCCATGCCCCCAAAGTGTGACAACCAAAAATGTCTCAGCACATTGCAAAATGTCTACTGGGGGCAAAATAAACCTCCCTTTGAGAATCACTGGGGTAGACAGAAGAGAAGGAGAATCTCAGGCTTCAGGTTACCTCACTGGGTTTGCTGAAACTTGATAAGAATCTCCTTACCAGCGGGGATCAGGTTTTGGTGCCCACCTGTTCATTTCTGATAACTACCAATCTCTAAATCTGTTTCTGCAAGTTATGGCTGAAGATTAGTGGTTAACAGAGAACGATATCAGCCTTTGTTTCTTAAAGAGCTTATATTCAATGCTTTAAAATACAAATTGGATCTGGCACTGTTGTGGTTCACACCTGTAACTCCAGCACTTTGGGAGGCCAAGGTGGGAGGATTGCTTGAGCCAGGGAGTTTGAGACCAGCCTGGGCAATATACTGAGACCCCATCTCTACAAAACAAATAAAAAATTAGCCAGGCCTGGTGGTGCAAACCTGTAGTCCCAGCTACTTGGGAGGCTGAGTCGGGAGGATCGCTTGAGTCTGGGAGGTCAGTTCTGCAGTGAGCTAAGATGGCACCACTGCACTCGCCTGGGACCTTGTCTCAAAAAACAAAACAAAACAAAATAAAATAAAACACAAATTGAACACACATAATTGAAAAGCAAACTTCATGCATACCTGGTTTTGTTTTACTTTTAATGATGTTTTATCACTTATATTAGATATCATGATTATTTTAACAGATACAAAATTTAATAGGTAATAAAATACCTCATAAAATAGGGTATATCTCCATATGCATAGAGAATTTTATAGAGAAATTGGCACAATTCCTGGATCTTCCTCTGATTCAATGTGTTTATCTTTGAATTCTAATAGGTTTTAAAAGACATTTAAAGAATTGCAAAACAGGCAAAGGAAAATATGATAGTGTTTTATAATTTAAATTATGTCTACATGGCAACAATAATTATTATATAAATTATAGAAAATGTTATGTATTTTTTAACTTTATAAATTTACCCCTACTTGATAAATAATATATTTTGTATTTATTACATTTGGTATATAAATATATTTCTACTTTAGAATTAAAATAAGGTGAAAATAGTTATTTTTTGAAATACTGTTAAGTTGCATATTCTTACCTGTATTAGAATTAAAATATGTATCTTATATTTATATATAAATTACAAATTACCTGAAAAAAGAATAAATTATAACCGCATGTAAAAATAAAATATTCCTGTATCAGTTGTGCAATTTAAATTCCGGTTTTAGTTTTCATTCTTTAAGTTGTTACATTTGGAAGATTTGGATAGTAGTTATCATGAACTCACTGTTATCTATGGCTCTGACAGTAAAATACGCCATTGAGTTGTACTGTAATATGAATCTCCCGGGAACGCTAAGCCAATTCAGAATGAGGCATTCCTGTCTCAGGAATAGAGATTTATAAAGTGACCGGAGGTATCACTATTTCTAGAGGAAGGTGCACCTTGAAGTATTCTCATTCTTTTCTATGCATTTATGATCCCAGCCTACTAAACTCAAGCAACACTTCAATACAGCAAAGCCTCTTGGAAGTATATGAGTTTAATAAGAAAATTTATGAAGAAAGAATACACTGAAATGCAGACTGACCCCCAAAATAATAGGATACTTTTTAAAAAATGTATTAGTTTCATAGCATGGCAAATAATACTCAAAAATACTTTGAAAATGCACATTTTAAAAATGCCCAAAGGGTTTAGTAGATTATGTTGAGAGAAGGCATTGGAGGAAGAAACATTATAGCCATAAGAACCAGGAAAATGATCCTCCTTTGTTTATAGGATTACAAAGAGGAATTTTAACTTCTAAAGTGAAAATACAAATTACTTGTGTAGGCTAAAATCACCCTTCTTAGAGGAAATGGTACAAATTTTCTTCATATAGTTTATGTTCCTCCAGAAAGTCTCTGTGAAGTGATAACATTATAACTGCATGCATTCTCCTGGTGACTTCATTTAAAGTCTGTGATGTAGTAACATCATGCACACTTCCCTTTCCTACAGAGCCCTTATGTTCTCTATAGACCAAGAGGTTAATTAATTTTTAGAGTTATATAGCAAAGAGTTGCCAGAACCCCAAATAACATATCTCTAATTTCCAAAATTGCCTGACAAACTATATTTTAAAGAAGCCATGTTATTCTTAGGATAAACCTAATAATGTCACTTTAATCCCCAGTCATGCTCATCTTTGCCTTTCTTCCAATATGTGCAAGGAATATATAAGGTGACCTTTTAAGGTTACAGTATCTTCTTACAAATTAGAGTTGATGCACTGAGGTTATAACAGCAGCTGAGCATTCTCAAAAGCTGCAGATTGAGCCGACAGGCAGATTAGCAAGTACATAAAATGTTAGTAGAGAAAAAAAATAGACTTCAATTTTTTGGCAATCCTGTTAAACAACTCTGTGAATAAGTCTTTGAAACTTGTACAGTGGAAGGTTTGAATTTTCCTCAATGCCTGGCACAAAACTTACCTATCTGTTGCATATGTGCATTGCTGAATTAATTAATGGAAAGTAAAATTTTAAAATGTAACCTTGGTTATTTGGGATAAAATGGCACTTCCATGTAATGGAATGTCATAACTGAAATTGTAGGGATTTTCAGATACTCTAGCTGGCACTAAATCTCATCAGAGCCCTTCAAGTTATAACATAAGATAGCATATTCAATATGAGAAAATATTTAATTGTCAGCCTTAAAAATGTATATAGCAGAGGCAATCCCTTTTTTTTCTGACAACAAAGCCTTCTAAAAGCTTTTCAAACTATACAGCTTTGAGATTTATAACTTTGAACCAAGAAAACATAATTTCAAGAAATGAAGAGAACTTCTGATTAATTCTAGTCTAAGGCAGTGAAGTCCTGCTAGATTTTAAAGTATTATATTCTTCATAATTAATGTCAAGATAGGTTCCTCCCTGTGGCTCATTATTTTCTTGTAAAAAGTACATACTGCCTGTGTTTTTAAATTTCAGGTTTTCTCATGCCGCTCTTGTCTAATGATCCAGCAAGTTCAGGCATATAATACTTTTGAAGAATCTATATTTAAAGACTAATTATTTATGCATGTGTGTCTATGTATTTTGAAATATATATATTTCAAAAGACTGTTTTTAGCCTTTGGCTCAAATATTTTTTTTTTAAGGAATATAATATTGAATATCTGGACAGGTTAAAAATCTCCAACATTTAACTATAAATGTTAACTAATGCTTTCCTTTTCATTTGTTAAATTGCTGCATAAATGCTTTAAAAAGTATGTTACCGTTGGCATTAAGACATCATCTCTTTTACTTACCAAAGTGCACCAATCTTTGGGATTGAACCATTGTAGCTGCTTTAAGCCAAAAATTCTCCCCAGCCGGGTTCCTTATCATCACCCTTGCCACAGAATCTATATCGTTGGGAGTTAAAGATCTTTGGTCTCAAACCTTATCCTGGTTGAATTCCTGTCATATCACCAGCAACCCCTTTCTAATGGCCCCCAGGAATGCTAGCACAACAGGGGATCTTCAGGAGGCTCATTCCAATGAGAGACATCATTTGCAGTGACAAAGTTTGTCCTTAGATGAAATCTGTATCTCTCTCTCCCTATAGCTTTTACCCCTGTTTGGCCCCCTCTCTACAACACAGAACACGTGCAGTTACTCTGTTCTCTGACAGCTCTTCAAAGACAAAGCTAACATGGCCTTCTGGGGGCATTTTTTCCAGGTTAAATATGCCCAGATGTGCTTGATTTGGACTCTATCCTTTAGGATCAAGCCATGTTAGTAAGTACAAATGTCCAACATTTAAAAGAACTGTTCATAAGAGAGACTCACCAGATTAGAGGAAAGAGATACCATTCAGTTTCTAATACACAGTGACCTTAATGCCACTATTTTAAGCTCTCTCTGCCTGGATTGTAGAGACTTTGCCTAGTTTACCTCTGGAATAGAAATTCTGAACCTTTGCTAGTGAGTGAGCAATAACAATGATGACAGACATCTAGCTAGATACTAAGAAAAAAAGTCATGAATGACCAAAGTGTGAATTTTGTTTCTTTGCTTGTCTGATACCCCATGGCTATTTGCAATATCTTATTGTCATGTGCTAAAGGATTTAGGATATTAATCAAAGAGAAAAGCGGTTCTAAGATGGAAGAAAAGACAAAAATGTGGGCAGATAAGTAGGAAAAGAAGGGGATGAGGATTCAGGAGCTTTTTCCAGGTACTTGGAAAGTTGAAGGCAACTTAAATCATTTTTAATAATTTAAGAAATATCATTTTTCATTTTTATATAAAATACTAAAAGTCTGGAAAATATATAGGCAGGCACAGTGTGTTGGCAATATGCTGTTTACAGGTTGGCAAAACAAGCCAGTGTCTAATGAAAAGGAAGGTTGCGAAGAGCTTAGATCTGAAACTGAGAGGCATGTCTTGTTCCACACCTTGAGAAACACTTGGCATATACCAGGTGCTCTGTAAATATTTGCTTAGTAAATGATAGAATGAGCATGTGGTGGCAGAATGATGCCTTACATGGCATTACCCAGACTCATAGGCATCCCTAGGGACTGTAAGAAAAGTTTGTGGGCTTTTTTCAGCGTTTTGAAAAACCCAGAAGATATTGTATAATTACTTTTTCAATGATTGTTTTATCAAATACTTCTAAACCTGAGGATTTATGAAGTTAAAAGTGAAAAGGTTTTTTAAAAAATGTTATGCCAAATGAGAGAAGCCAGTCACAAAGGGCCACATATTGTATGATCTTTTTATATTAAATGTCCAGAAGAGGCAAATTCATAGATCCAGAAAGTAGATTCGTGGTTGCCGGGGGATAGGGGAGGGGAGAATGCGGAGTGAGTGCTAATGGGTATGGGGTTTCTTTTGGGAGTGATGAAAATGCTCTGGAATTAAGTAGTGGTGATGGTTGCAAAACTCTGAATATACTAAAACCCACTGAATTATACACTTGAAATGGATGTTTGTAATGTGTGAATTGTATCTCAATAAAGCTGTTTTTAAGAATGATAAGCATAGCATCCAAGCATTTAAAAATTTTTTTAAAAGTGGTCATTGGTGGTAAAAAAAAAAAAAAAAAAGTCAGAAACTATTTGCTTAATTGTTACAGAGATTTTATCCCAGATTAAAATACTCCAATTCCGCACTTTGGGAGGCTGAGGCGGGTGGATCACGAGGTTAGGAGATCGAGACCATCCTGGCTAACATGGTGAAACCCCGTCTGTACTAAAAATACAAAAAATTAGCCGGGCATGGTGGCGGGCACTTGTAGTCCCAGCTACTCGGGAGGCTGAGGCAGGAGAATGGGCGTGAACCCGGGAGGCGGAGCTTGCAGTGAGTCGAGATTGCGCCACTGTACTCCAGCCTGGGCGACAGAGCGAGACTCTGTCTCAAAAAAAAAAAAACAAAAACAAAAACAAAAACAAAAACTCCAATTCCATTTCGCCAAAGGGAACAAGCAGAATATTCCCACAACCCTAGGGAACAGGGGTAGGCTTGGCTATTAGTCATTCTCCTTCTTCCCCATTCCCAATAATTGGAAAAAAAAATGTGTGTGCACACGTACGTGTGTGTGTATGTATATGTCTGTGTGCATATGTGACAAGGGCAGTAGTCAGAGCAGGATCATGTGACTACCAGGATCTATGGACAGCCCCACACTATTAGGGGAGAAAGTGTCAAGCTATTTGTACGGTTCTTATAGAGCATGAATCTAGGCCAGGGGTCAGCACCCTTGTTCATAAAGGACCAGACAGTAAATATTTTGGGTTTTGTGGCCATGCAGTCTCTGTCCAAACCCCTCAGCTCGACATAGACTATATAAAGCAATTGGAGGTAACTGTGTTCCAAAAAAACTTTATTTATAGACACTGAAATTTGAATTTCACATAATTTTCACAAGTCACAAAATAATATTTAAACAATTTTTTTTTCAACCACTTAAAAATGTAAGAACCATTCTTAGCTTGTGGGCCACACAAAAACAGGCAGAGGCCTGGATTTGGTACATAGGCGGCCTGTGGTCTATAGTTTGCAGAACCCTGCTCTAGGGTAATGACTGAGAAAGGGACTCTACTAATCAGCAGGTTGTTGGGAAGCACGTTACTTACCTTAAGCCAGTATAAAACTTAAAGCAATAATGCTACATTATGTCTAAAGGCTAAGCTAGTGAGAGGCTAAATTATAACACTCAACTTTTTTAGCAAATAATTATGAAGCATCAGCTAATAAGACCTTTTCTTAAGAGTATTCAGAGTATAATAATGCTACCTTGTGTGGTTTGGGGATTTTTATTTTAAGTTAGGGAAGCTATGAATCTCTTGAACTTTGTCCATTAAGAAGTCTGCCAAAGCTGTGAATTTTAAAGCCATGGGAATTTTTCATTGCGCTTGGCTGCTGAATTTTAACAGCAAAGTTATTCATTAAGTCCACATTTAAAAAAAAAAGTATCAACAATGCTTCTTTATACTTTATCTGCATTTGACACACTTCCAGATAGATGATCTTTAATTTGACTAATGAGTGCATCCTTTGTTATTTTAATGACAAGTAATTTACAGAAAGAGAAAAGCTTTTCAACACGCAAGTCTCTTAAATCTGGAATTTAAAGTCCCTGATGTTCAGAAGCAGGAAGCAACAGTTGGTGTAAGACAGGGCCACTAGGACACTGGAAATGCATCCTGGGTAATGAGTGGGAAATACAAAAGGAAGAAAACAGTTGGAAATATGTTGGCCATTTTATATGACACTTTCTGGGTTTATTTTCAGGTTGGAGCACAAGTCAGAAGCTGAAGAACTTGGAGATTTTGGGGAGCATATGTCCCACCTTCCCCAACCCCCAAGTATCCAAATATCCCCTTTGGTTCTATCAGAGAAGTATTAAGATTTATTAATTAGAAGAAAAATTAAAGTTATAAATGTTCAATAGGAACATAAGGAGAATTCAAAAAAATAAAATGTTGAGCTCACCACAGTTTTCAGCAGAAATTTTACTCTTTTTTTTTTCTTTGTTGAGATGGGGTCTCACTATGTTGCTCAGGCTGGCCTCGAACTCCTGGGCTCAAGCGATCTTCCCACCTCAGCCACCCAAAATGCTGAGACTACAAGCATGCCACTGTGCCCAGCTAAATTTTACTCTTTAACTGATTTTTCAATGCATAAATAAATGAATAAGTGGGTAAGTACTTACTGAGGACACAGTTTTCAACCAAACCCTGTAGATACTCAGGATGAATTAAGCATGGGCCCTGCCTTCATGGGGCCTAGGGTTTACTCAACTTTACAGAAAACCCAGAAATATCCTAACAAATGTGGCAACTGAAGAACTTTATTCCTAATCCTAAAACTCACTTTCTTTATTCTCAGAGCAATGGATACAGCATTCTAATGTCAAATCATTGTTTCCATGTTACACAATACTCTAACTGTCAAGGCTAAACCCTGTCTTAAGGAAGGGTGACAATGGCTTTGTTCTTATGATAATAGAAGAGATAAAAAGATTATTTACAAAGCTACAGCCTCTGAAAAATTGGAAGTATTTTATACAAACAACCACCTCAATTCTTCTCACAGTGATATTTAAGTGTTTGTGCGTGCTGGTTTCTGTTATGTGGGTCTTTACCATTTTCATTCCTCCTTGCAGCTCTATGAGTTAAGTATTACTATTATTCTTTTACAAATGAGGAGCATGAGGCCTGGAAAAATTTAAAAACATGCAGAGGTGATAAAATACTGGGAAAGTTTCACATTCAACCATGTCTGATGCTTAATCCTTTTCCTTCTCTTTCCACCATAGCATATGATCATGGCATATCATCACTGTTTCTGTTTCCCCTATAGAAAATTCAGGAAAATTAACACATGGAAGAGTATTCAGACTTTCACTTTTCTTCTTACATAATCTTTGAGCAGCCCATTATAGGAAAATAAGGGCATTGGAGATTTGAAGAGGCAGAATGAACACGTTCTAGATGTAGAAAGAAAAGTTCTAAGCAGGTAAAAGACAACCAGAGTGAAATACACCAGATGGATGCTTGACTTGGAGAAGATGCTAAGCACTAAATAAGCCAGGTGGTAGAGGGTGTGAAAGCGGAGAGCCCTGAGAAATTGATCATTAAGCGGAAGGTGATTAAAATCTTCCTAAGGGACAGTTGGTCAGAGCAGAGGTCAAGAGCTAGGACTTGTCTGGCAAGACTTATTGTGGATTCTTGAAGGGTTAAGAAGTCAGTCAGAGACCCGGGATTGGATACTGTATTTGAACTGATTGTCACTCACCAGAATCTGTGATCTAGGAGACAGACATTGCCAGGATCCCCCCCGTCAGGATGGTCATAGAGAAGGGAAGGTGTGTTCATTTACTATTGCTGCATAGCAAATTAGCACAAATGTACAGATTAAACCAACACCCCATTTATTAGCTCGTGGCTCTGTAGGTTGCAAGTCTGGGTGGCCCAGCTGTGTTCTCTGCTCAGGGTCTCACAAGACTGAAATCGAGCTGTTGGCCAGACGAAGCTCTTATCTGGAGGCCCTAGGGAAGAATTTGCTGCCAAGCTCGCTCTGGTTGTTGGCAGAATTTACTCTCTGGCAGCTGTAAGACTGAACTCCTTGATAGCTATAAGCTGTGGTCCACTCTTTCTAAGGGACATCTGCATTCCTTCTTAAGTGGCCATCTCCAACCTCAAAGCAACAGCACATTGAGTCCTTCACACACATAGAATCTCTCTAAATTCCTCTTTCATCAGTCAGGAAACGTTCTCAGCAGTTAAGGGTTCATGTGATTAGGTCAGGCCCACCTGCATCATCTCCCTTTCTAACATCAACTGTGCTCTGTAACACAACACAATCCAAGGAGTGATGTCACATTCACAAGTTCCAGGGCTTCAGGTGGACATCTTTGGGCTGCCATTTTAGAAAGTCTGCCTACCACAGAAGGTGATGAAGAATCTCAGCTCCTGCCTTGCTCCTTGGTGAGCTGTGTGACCTGTAATAACAGCAGCTTTGTGGAAAATTGGCCCACCCTTTCCTAGGGTTAAAGGGCCAAAGCGAAGTTTTGTGACTTTTTCTTCCTCTTCTGACACTGGCTTCTTCCTCTAAGGAAATCTGCTGCTTTTGGTGTTCTCTTCTTTCCTTCACCATCTCCTGGTGTTGGTGCCAAGAAGCACTGGAAGGCAGGTGGTCCATCAATTTAGGGCAACTGAAGGTTTTGAGATCAAGGCATACTGGAGGCCCAGACATCACAAGAGGGCAGCACAGAGCAAGAGCTGATAAATGTTGAGATGCAGACTTAGCAGGCCCTAGCTCTTTCTGAGATGATGTGTTCATCTGCCCTCAAAACATCCTCTCACTCAACATGTGCCTCCTAACCCAGACCCCAAGGAGTCTTTAGTAAGAACATGGCAGATATCACATGTGCTGACCATGGGGTTATCACAAAACATTAACTCTCCAAAAATCTGCTGCTTGGAACCTTGGTTTCTGCAACTAAGAAATGAGTTAAAAATGTATTCAAGGTTGATAAATTTAAAATGGAAAAAATCATCTTCTGAACTCTAGCAATATGAAGGCCACTTTTTACAAGTCTGATGCTGTAGTGCAGTGTTTACAACCTATTTTCATTTTCAACCCCCTGTCACAAGGAGCCTGTTGAAACATTTTTTGCTAATTGCTCCTTGCATGAAATTTTAATACCACAAATATAGTATAAATCTATTTATGTATATCTGTGCTTTGTGCATAAAAAGAGTAAGGTTTTTTGTTTGTTTGTTTGTTTGTTTGCCACTGAGAACTAGTTTTCTCGCTCTTGGGGGCAATATTGCCCCTATTGACAGTGCATGTTATAATGGGGAAAAATTGCTAACATTTTAATATTTAGTAAATCTTCAGCTTATATAGTCTATTTGATTTGGAAGGTGGCTGTAATACTTTAGTTGTACTAAAAGGTACTTGAAATTAATCTTGAAAAGTCAGAAGAATCTTTACACATGAAAAATCACCCAATATATTATATTTAAAATAACAACTTGCAAAACAAAACGTAAAGTCTGATCCCATTTTTGTGGCTAAGAGGTACAGAAAATGACTAGAAAGATCAACCTGTGGAATGTTGCTTCTTTGCGGTTAGATCCTTCTATAGGTGTTTTGCTCTTTGGGAATGTTATAAATATTCACCAATATACATTATACATATGTATAATAAATACATATTATATTCATGTCAAGAAGAATACTATTTAAAAAGTTAGCCATTCTCTCTCTCTCTCTTTTTTTTTGCCTTCAACATTTAGGATTAATGGGCAGTATAAATTCAATCATTCACATGTAGCAAAAGGAGAAATATTTCACATGGCCCATTCATGACTCCTTTAGATCTCTAGAGGGCTTCAAGCCTCAAAGTTTATTGTTGCATTCTTCTTAATTCTGGTTGAATGCATGTACATTATTTTCTGCAAAGAAATACCACCCACTAAAGACTGTTCCTTCTCTTCTAACAGGGTTTTGGTGTCCCCAGGGCTCCCTTAGTCCTATTTACTTTGGATATTTCAGGAGTTACTGTAGGTTTAACTGTGGTGAGTCCTTAAGCCCTCTTTTTAAATTCATAAACTGTCTCTAATCTTAGCAAAATGTCAGGTTACACTTTTGAGAGGTTTGGGAACTTGACATTTTGTAGCCCAGTTGGGGTGTAGGCTGCTTCTATTCTGAGCACCTTGTTCCAATTTATGTCAGGAGGAATTATATACAGGTCAGGGCTGGGAGCAGGTTATAATTAATGGGGTGGACAAGTGGATTTTTAATGTTTCATAAAATAAAATGGAAATCACATGTTCTTGGAACTGTTGTATGTTTTAAAATATTTACATTTATTCTAGTAAACATTAATTATAACTGATATATTTCTCCTATGAACTCGCTAACTGTGAGGTCACAAGCCATTGTTCACTGAGTAGAAAGAATGGGTGACAAGCTAGTTACAAGAAAAAAGACAGTACTTGGGCGGGTATCGGTGAGTGAACTCGTGGAAGTAATCCAGTCTTAGGTCTTTCTCCTAATTTTCTCTTATGTTTAAAGCACCCCCTTGCCAATATGATCCAGATGTCAGTCCTTCTAAGACAGAACTGGGAGGGTTTAGCCTGTGAAATTTCTGAATAGCTCCTGGTGAAGAAGGAACACATGACCAATGTTTAACTATTTGTCTTTTCAAAATTAAAGTTTAGAAGTAGTTGAAATACTGCCAGAATCTACAGCGTCCACGTTTTATTCATATTAGTTTATCAAAAATTTCCAATTCCTTGAAGCTGTAGCAGCAATATGTTGCTGAGGAAAGAAATTTTTTTTAAAAAAAATTTGTACTTATAATTGACACCTAATAATTGTACATATTTATGGGGTACAATGTGATGTTTCAGTACATGGATACACAGTATAATTATCAGATTGGGGTAATTACCACATCCATCATTTTAAGCATTTATTATTTCTTTGTGGTGACAACAGTCAAAATATTCTCTTCTAGCTGTCTTGAATATATATTACATTGTTATTTGCTGTAGTCACCCTACTGTGTGATAGCACATCAAAACTTACTCTTCTTGTCTAACTTTGTGTACCTATTGACCAATCTCTACCCGTTCCTCCCTTCCCCCATACCCTCAGCAGCCTCTGGGAACCACTGTTCTACTCTCTACTGCTATGAAATTGACTTCTTTAGATTCCACATATGAGTGAGATCATGTGGTATTTATCTTTTTTAATGTTTTTAAATTTTATTTTATTTTATTTATAATTTGAATTTTTATTTTAGATTCAAGGGGTAAATGTGCAGGTTTGTTCCATGTAGTAATTGTCTTCTGTGCCTGACTTATTCCACCTAACATAATGTCCTCCAGGCTCATCCATGTTGCCAAAAATGACAGGATTTCATCCTTTTTATGGCTGAATAGTATTCCATTGTCCTAATCATCCCCATAAAGAAATATATTTTCTTTATCCTTTTGTCTGTAGATGGGCACTTAGGCTGATTCCATATCTTGACTATTGTGAAGAGTGCTGCAATAAACATGAATATGCGGGTGTGTCTTCGACATAGTAATTTCACTTCCAGAAAGAGATCTTTAAGAGTCAGAAAAACCCAGATTCTAAACTGGTCTCTGCCATGTGCCAGTTGTGTGGCCCTGGAGAAGATGCTTTAACTCTGTGTCTCAGTTTCCTCATCTGCAGAAGGGGGAAAATGATACCCACTATTTAGGGATTGGGTAGGGATTAGACCCAATTTGTATAAAGTGCCTGGCATATTGTAGGTATTTTTTTAAATGCCAGTTATGGATATATGAAGGAAAGCTCCAAAAAATGAAATTCAAAGGAAGCCTTATGTAAATTGCATCACATGTCAACCATTTGGGTGTTAGGAATATTGATGCATTCTTTATTTTGCCTAGAATTCATCACTCCCTAAATAAATATTATTTCCATTAAGTCACCAAATTTTATATATATTCTTTGTCTTGTATGGTGAAGAATTAATACAAGTGCGCTACTCTATTAGGGTATAACAGTTACCTAAGTAATGTATCATGAGACCTTTTTGCCCTTTTCTAAGGAAAATAAGTATTTATTGGAAGGACAACTTCACACACAGTCAGCAGGTAATAATCCGCAGTACTTCCCAATGCTGCTTCTATGGGCTGGAAGAGTGTTTGGTGGTTCTATATGGCACAGGGCTACTTGTCCATACCCTTGACCCAAGGATGTCACGTGCACCCAATCAACCTGGAAATCACTGTGGTGACAGAAGTTGGGGCCCAATCACCCTCAGGGCCTTGACACTGATTTTGAGTATACCAGTTTGGAAAGTCTCTGCAGAATTCCCCAAGACATTAAGTTTATAATATCCCTTGAGGGGTCCTTAGAAAGAAAAAGTGCCTATGTTTTGGTGTCATTATCGTTCTTCAGGGCAAGGCTTGGTGAAAAGATACTGAGAGAAGACAGTACAGATAGAAGGACAAAGCGAACAAAAATAAGGACCCACTGATTTTATCTTTGCAAGCTCTAAACTGAGTTACAGATTGAGATCTAAAATATATACTCAATACATGCATCCTCAAAATGTTCTTCACACATTTGTGCCCAAGACATAGTAGTTGATAATATTAATACATAAATATATATACACACAGATATATATGCCTTACAATACAGTCCTATTTTTAGTGTGTAACAACTGTACTATTTTCAAAATAGTCATCGGCACAAACACCAGTACCACGGCTAAATCTGACATTATTGATCTTTTCTCCCTCTAAGAATATCTTTTGTAGGCCCATAAGTGAGAGATGGCAGATCTCCTGAGCTTCATTCAGTCCTTTATGGAAATATTTATGAAAACCCTACTGTGTGCTCAGTAGCTATCAGAGTTCTTGGCATATAAAAGATTTCAAAATAAATTTGCCTAGTATTGCTTTGGGGGATGAGGACTTGGTGATATCTTCCTCTCCCCAAAAGAAAAAGTGGTGTGTGTGTGTGTGTGTGTGTGTGTGTGTGTGTGTGTGTGTCAGAGGGACAGAGACAGAGGTAGAGAGACAGAGTGTGAGAGTGTGTGGGTATTCAGAGAGAGAACATGAGTCCCAGTCTTATCCTTATCTTCCCTCATACAATGCAAGCTATTTGGAATTGTAGAGCTGGAAGTGATCTTAGCTAACATTTTCCCAATCTCCTACCCAATACAGGAGCGTCTTCTACAATAACCTTCATCAAAGGGTGGAACGCTAAAATGTAAGACTAGAGGTCTCTTTTTGTTGGGCAATAATTTGATTCAATTATGGTGTCATTATTTGGTAACTCAGGTGGCACAGTATAAATTTCTGTGGGAAATTGGAATGGGGAGCCCAAGCTGGACTGGACATGACTGCACCATGGAAGGAGGACATTTGGGACCAGTCTTGAGCTGCCATTGTGTTCCACTGGGAAACTAAACACTAGTGCTTTCTCAATTAGTTTATATATTTCTCAAAGTATTCCATAGTCTTTAGTTTGTGCTAACAAAATTGATCGGAAGTACTATATTAAAATTATCATTCATTTTTTACTCTTACTGAACAGCAGTGAGAAAAGCAGGAATCTTTGTCATTTTGTTTAGCATGTAAATGCACAAAAACCTCAGCTTACCTGAACTTTGCTAAAATGTCAAACCTTTATTAACCACAAGTTTTCTACATTATACTTTTCCTAAAGATTTGTGAAATACAAGGAAGAAGGTGATATTATGAATTACTGTAAAAATCCATGGTCATGGATACAATTATACATTCAAGTCAATCTCCTACGTCATCTCTATTTATGATCAAATGAAAAAAGGTCTTTTTAATGATGATCTCAAGGAAAAATAAGATTTGAAATTACCTCAAACTTTTCAATTAGATCCAATATGTGATTTGTAGTTATGCAAGTAAAGTGGACTCAAGCATTGTAGAAATGTTTCAATTAGGATTTTTTTTAAGTTAATTGAGATTTGATCATATTTTTATTGTCATCTTTGTTCCCACATGGAAATTAATTCCATTTCAGACTTATTTCTTGGAGGGTGTTTAGCATAGTTATCACCTTAAATGAGTAGGGTAGGGTGCGTAGGGTGGCTTTTCATTTTTGGAATTTAATTATTACTCTCTCTATATATATACATGTATATATATATGAAAAAGAAAGAGCTTGCCTTGGCAGAAGTGTTTAAAGAAACATGAGTAGTTAATGCCCTCACTGTGATTTGACTTCCATCTTCCTTTTTTTAAGCACATTTTTCATTTTTTCCCCCTTTAAACCTGCCATTTAGAGCTGAAAAGTATTTTTCAAGAAATGGAGCAATGCTTTCTATCCCATTTATTAAAGTAATGCACAGAAGGAAATGCACCGTGGTAAAAACAATTTATACGAGAAATGATAATGTTTTGCTAAAGATAACCAGGAAGTGAGGAGGAGAAAAAAACCCCTCAAATAGCAGAGAGAGGCCAGATGGTCTTTTTTTTTTTTTTTTTTTTTTTTTTTTTAACGCAGTCCCTAAGCAGGAAATTTTGTTTGATTAAGAAGACACTGGTCTTGATTTTCATTCAGCAGTTTTGAGGAACTTTTTTTAATGGACACACACACATATACACACACACACACACACACACACCACAAGCCATTTTCATTCAGCCAAATTATCATTTGTGCTATTGTAAGCAAGATTCTGCTGATGAAAATGTGAAGTCTTAATGATAAAGAAGAAAACGAGTTCCCAAGTCTCAGTTATGAAAGAACTTGGAATTTACCCACTACCCTAAAGACGCTCGATCATTACCATATCCATCATATTGTTGTAAGGTCTGGTGTTTTGTTTTGTTTTCTTTTGATAGCCTGGAATGGAAGAAAGACTGTGTACCACAGTGGCTAACTAGGGTTTTGTGAGATACAGGGTAGACCCGGGGGAAAAAATAGAGGTTTTGGAGTTCAACACCCCAGGGGGCTAATGTGCATAAAGCGACTGCTCCAAAGGACCTGAGTTTAATCCTTGGAGCTGCCAGTCAGGATCAGGATGAAGAAGCACCCATGCAAAGAATTGCTTCTGGATGCTGATAGGCAGGGAGGTGAAGGGGGGGAGGTGGGAAGGGGGAACGGAGCACCCCTCTTTGGACTGTGATGTTTTGGCAGTCGGTGCTTGGAGGAGGGTAGCTGGCAGTGGCTCCGGCACAATAAAGCTCCCTTCGGTGAAGTCACCAGCATCCTTGCCATGGTCTGGCACCCTTTGCCCAGCACCCCTGGAGTGTGCAATTTCCCAGTCTGTATTCTAAGGATGAAAATGACTAAAGTTGTGAAACTAACTATTTGCATCTGTTTCAAAGAGAAAGAGTCACTTGGAATTTGGAATGGAAAGAATAGATTTAGACAACTGGCAGAATTGTTCGGAACTATGCCCTGAATCAAGAGACCCTGTTGACTTATATAAGGACAAGCTAAAGGAGCTACGTAAAAGAGAGAACCAACATATCTTTACCATGAAGATGACAAATCAGGCATTCAAATTTGTTTTTTCAAAAATGAAATGTGTTCTCATATAGTTGTGTGATACTTTCTCTAATCAGTATTCATATTTATAGTCAAAATAAGTATAACTTCACTTTAATATAGCTTAGCCACCTTGAAAGCTCACTGTTCTTAAAGCTAGATTTTTTTGTAAGTGAATTTTTAAGCCCTAGATTGCATCTTAAGTACTGAGTTATTTTAATTTTGCCTTTTTTTTTAATGTTTAAAAGCCAGCTTCTTGTCTAATTTGATTCAATGGATAAAATGTACAGGATGAAACTCACACTTAAAATGCATTTCAATGAGAATTAAATTGTTTAAAATGAAACTTTTTTCCTTTAAATTTTAAATAAACAAATAAGATGCAAAGCAAAATAACAACAAAAAACTCTTAAGTCAACTCCCTTGGGGATAAGGGATAACCTTAGGGATAAGGTCATACCTTTTGATATTAACTCCAAACTCATGCCTTGTATTCGTGTTTTACAAATTACATTTATAATTTATCTCAAAGATAACAAGGAAGCATACTTTGATAATACAAGAAGAATCTCTCAGACTTTAGCCTGCCTTGAGAATATGTTTTAAAAGCCATTAGAAGCTTCCTAGCGTTTATGGGATTTGTTCTTATATAGAGTACATTTTTTTTTACATATATTTTGGGCAGAATTCTCAAGTCTCCAAATAAACAGTTTAAATCTTGGCTTTTAGGCCAAAAAGTCTTTGGGCTGGGAATAACTCACCCTCAGAAGACTACTTGCTTTATAACCCCTCCCCTGGAATGCTGCGACCCTGTCTTCCCACAAACCTTATTTGCTTCACTGTGGAAGAGTGGCACAGGGCACCCACCACCCAGACTTCCCAAGCTCTTCTCTTGGTCTCTGCTATAGCTACAATAGCAACTTTATTCTCCTACAACTGAGAGAAGAGAGACAGACCCTCTCATATTGTTGTATATTGTTTTATACTCAGAAAAGGAAAGAGAAGCAAAACTAAAGGCAGGTAGCCCGGCGCCTAAGAACCAGACGCGAAACCAAGGAACCAGACCTGAAACCAGGCCTGGGCCTGCCTGACCTAAGCCTGGTAGTTAAAATTCCACCCCTGACCTAGCAACTGATGTTATCTATAGATTATAGAAAGACATTGTAAAACTTCCCGGTCTGTTCTGTTTCACTCTAACCACCAGTGCATGCAGCCCCTGTCACGTACCCCCTGCTTGCTCAATCGATCACAACCCTCTTACGTGGACCCCCCTTAGAGTTGTGAGCCCTTAAAAGGGACAGGAATTGCTCACTCGGGGAGCTCGGCTCTTGAGACAGGAGTCTTGCTGATGCCTCTGGCCAAATAAACCCCTTTCTTCTTTATCTCGGTGTCTGAGGAGTTTTGTCTGCGGCTTGTCTTGCTACATTTCTTGGTTCCCTGACCAGGAAGCGAGGTGATTAACAGACGGTTGAGGCAGCTCCTTAGGTGGCTTTAGCCTGCCCTGTGGAACATCCCTGCGGGGGACTCCAACCAGCCGGAGCGACGCGGATCCTGAGAGCGCTCCCGGGTAGGCATTTGCCCAGGTGGGACGCCTCGCCAGAGCCGTGTGTGGCAGGCCCCCGTGGAGGATCAACGCAGTGGCTGAACACTGGGAAGGAACTGGCACTTGGAGTCCAGACATCTAAAACTTGGTAAGACTAGTCTTTGGAACTTGCCCACTCCATTTGTGTGGAAGCGTGGTCTGATCACCCACGGCATGCCTTTATCGGCACTTTGGTTTTGGTTTTGACTTGGTTTGAATTGCTTGACGGAACTGGTCTTGGGAACTTGCCCGCTCCATTTGAGTGGAAGCGTGGCCTGATCACCCACAGCGTGCCTTTATCAGCACTTTGGTGTTGGTTTTGGTTTTGACTTGGTTTGAATTGCTTCACAGGACTGGTCTTGGGAACTTGCCTACTCCATTTGAGTAGGAACTTGCCTACTCCATTTGAGTGGAAGCATGGCCTGATCACCCACGGTGTGGCAGTACCGGCACTTTGGTTTTTGTTTTTGACTTGACTTGGATTGCTTGATACTTGGATTGCCTGGATTGCTTAGTTTTGGTTTTGACCTGGCTTAGATTTCTGGATACTCTAATTTTGGTTTTGATTCTGGTTTGGTGTAAACTGCAAAAGTGTGTGTGTGCCCTTTTTACCTGTTCTTTGTTTTGTGGTGTGCGTGTGGTGTGAGCATGGTGTTTTGTCTCAAAGAAGCATGGGTCAGGCACAAATAAGCCCACCCTACTAGGAACTATGTTGAAAAATTTCAAGAAAGGATTTAAGGAAGACTATGGAGTACTATGACACCAGGAGAACTTAAAACTTTGTGTGAAATAGACTGGCCAGCATTAGAGGTGGCTTGGCCATCAGAAGGAAGCCTAGACAAGTCCCTTGTTTCAAAGGTATGGCACAAGGTAGCCTGTAAGCCAAGGCACCCAGACCAGTTTCCGTACAGAGACAGTTACAGCTGGTTTTAGATCCCCTTCCCCCCACAGTAGTTAAGAGAACAGCAGCATAAGCGGCTGGCAGAGGCAAGGAAAGACCAGCAGACAGAAAGAGAGAGGCAGAAAGAGAGGAAGAAACAGAGGCAAAAGGAAAGTCAGAGAGAGACAGAGAGACAGAAAGTCAAAGAGAGAAAGAAAAAGAGAAAGAGAGAAATATACAAGTAGTTAAAAAAAAAAACAACAGTATACCCTATTCCTTTAAAAGCCAAGGTAAATTAAAAACCTGTAATTAATAATTAAAGGTATTCTCAGTAACCCTGTAACACTCTAATACTACTTTGTTGTCAGTGTAAACAAGGGCATATCCCAAGAGCACTGAGGCCTTCCTATCAAAAATCCTTAACCCAGTAACCCGCGAATGGCCCAGATGCATTCAATCTGTAGCGGCAGCTGCTTTGCTAACGGGAAAAAAAAAATTATGCAAAAAATGTTGTATAATTTAAAAGTACTCAGTACTATTGAAGAAACAGTTTATGTTCAAGGTGTATAAGAAAAGTAAAATATACCTTTGGTAAAAGGATTATAAGGAGGCATAAGAATGTGGATTTTTACCTACATTAAAAGGTTAAAAAAATTATTGTTTTGAAAGTTTAAGCGAGTTTTGAGACGTTAATTGTAAAGAAAATTCTGTGTGTAAACATATTAGCTAAAGTTAAAAAGGTATCATCCAGTTTTTCTGTGAACTGGACATTAAAATAAAAATGCAACAGGTTTTTCTTAAAGCACCAACCTGCTCTTTAACAAAAATTATGAAAGGTTAAAAAGAGTATATAAAATCTTGCTTATGGTCAAACATTAAAAATTAGATAAATATGTCTACAAGGTTTTATTAAAATTAAGTTTAACATCAATAACACTAATATAAAGGTAAAATTTGGCTTATCTAGTATAAAAATCATACAGAAAGCATTGTTAAATGTAAAATGGTATTTGGCTTTCTTTGGTCTAAAAACTAATAAAAATAGGTGCTAAAGGAAACATTCATTTTACTAGAAGATCATAAAAGTTAAAAACTTAAAACAAACTTTGGCAATTAAGACAGCATACCAAGATGCAAATGCCTGGTTGGAATGGATCAAATATTCCATGTGCACGTTAAACAAAAGCAATTGTTATGCTTGTGCACATGGCAGGCCAGAGGCCCTGATTGTCCCCCTTCCACTAAGGTGGTCCTCCAGTCGACAAGGCATGGACTGTGTGGTAGTTCTTTTCCAGGATTCTACAGCCTGGAGTAATAAGTCATGCCAAGCTCTCTCTGCTATATCCCAAAGTCCGGCACCCTGCGGGTCAGCCCCCGAGGGCTGTCCAGCCTCCGTCTCCCAACACTAAGTTCACTTCGTGTCTCTCACGACAGGGAGGAAACTTAGCATTCCTTGGAGACCTGAAGGGATGCGATGAGCTTAAGAATTTTCAAGAGCTTATCAATCAGTCAGCCCTTGTTCATCCTCACGCGGATGTGTGGTGGTATTGTGGTGGACCTTTACTGGGCACTCTGCCGAATAACTGGAGTGGCACTTATACTTTAGTCCAATTGGCTATCCCTTTCACCCTGGCATTTCATCAACCAGCAGGAGAAAAAATAAGACATTGTAAAGCGAGAGAAGCCCCTTGTAGGTCTTTCAACTCTCATGTCCATTTAGACGCAATTGGAGTCCCATGAGGAATACCAGATCAATGTAAAGCTTGAAATCAAATAGTTACAGGATTTGAGTCAATATTTTGGTAGATGACAGTTAATAAAAATGTAGATTAGTAAACTACATCTATTACAACCAACAGCAGCAAGCTTTTCATGAGTTAAAAGAAAAACTCACGTCAGCCCCAGCCCTGGGGCTACCTGACCTAACAAAACCCTTTACACCCTATGTGTCAGAAAAAGAAAAACATGGCAGTTAGAGTTTTAACCCAGACTGTAAGGCCCTGGCCAAGGCCAGTGGCCTATCTCTCAAAACAACTAGACGGGGTTTCCAAAGGCTGGCCTGCATGTCTAAGGGCCCTAGCAGCAACAGCCCTGTTAGCACAAGAAGCAGATAAGCTAACTCTTAGGCAAAACCTAAACATAAAGTCCCCCCATGCTGTGGTGACTTTAATAAATACCAAAGGACATCATTAGCTAATGAATGCTAGACTAACTAGATACCAAAGCTTGCTCTGTGAAAATCCCCACATAACAATTGAAGTTTGCAACACTCTAAACCCCGCCACCTTACTCCTGGTATCAGAGAGCCCAGTTAAACATAACTGTGTAGAGGTATTAGACTCAGTTTATTCTAGTGGGCCCAACCTCCAAGACCATCCTTAAACATCAGTAGACCGAGAGCTGTACGTGGATGGGAGCAGCTTCGCCAACCCTTGCAAAGTGACTCTGAAGAAGACGACAAGCCCTGCTTCAGTCACACCCAGAAGCTAACTGGTCCATGCACGGCCGAAACATGAGGAAACTCATCGCAGGACTCATTTTCCTTAAAATTTGGACTTGTACAGTAAGGACTTCAACTGACCTTCCTCAGACTGAGGGCTGTTCCCAGTATATACATCAAGTCACTGAAGTGGGACAAAAGGTTGCTACAGTCCTATTATTTTACAGTTATTATAAGTGTACTGGAACTCTAAAAAAACTTGTTTGTATAATGTTACTCTATACAAGGTATGTAGCCCGGGAAATGACCAACCTGATGTGTGTTATGACCCATCTGAGCCTCCCATGACCATAGTTTTTAAAATAAGATTAAGGACTGAAGACTGGTGGAGGCTCATAAACGATACAAGTAAAGTGTTAGCCAAAACAAAACAAAACAAAAAAAGAAGTGCCCAAACAAGTCACCTTGAAATTCGATGCCTGTGCTGTCATTAATAATAATAGGTTAAAAATAGGATGTGGTTCTCTTAATTAAGAAAGAGGCTATATGGCAGAAAATAAGTACATTTATCATAAATTAAGACTGTGTAAAAATAAATGTGGATACTGGTCTTGTGTCATTTAGGCTACTTGGATAAAAAAAAAAAATCCTGTCCACCTTCAGCAAGGGAAAAGTGGCCCTTCCTGTACCAGTGGTCAGTGTAACCCCTTAGAACTAGTAATAACCAACCCCCTTAATCCTCACTAGAAAAAAGAGGAACGTGTAACCCTAAAAATTGATGGAGCTGGACTGGATCTTCAAGTAAATGTCGTGGTTTGAGGAAAAGTTTATAAACGCTCTCCTGAGCCAGTATTTCAAACCTTCTATGATGAACTGAATGTGTCAGTACCAGAAATTCCAGGAAAAACAGGAAATTTGTTTTTGCAATTAGCCGAGCATATAGCCCAGTCTCTCAGTGTCACTTCGTGTTATGTATCAGCACAAGTGTAAATATGTGAATCATTATCAATCTATTGCACAGGAAGACATAAGTAGCAAAAATAAGAGTGAGAACTCCCACTAATAAAAAGTGAGAGTCTCAAAGGGGGGAAATGAGAGAAGAGAGACAGACCCTCTCATATTGTTTTATATTGTTTTATACTCAGAAAAGGAAAGAGAAGCAAAACTAAAGGCAGGTAGCCCGGCGCCTAGCAACCAGACGTGAAACCAAGGAACCAGACCTGAAACCGGGCCTGGGCCTGCCTGACCCAAGCCTGGTAGTTAAAATTCCACCCCTGACCTAGCAACTGATGTTATCTATAGATTATAGGAAGACATTGTAAAACTTCCCAGTCTGTTCTGTTTCACTCTAACCACCGGTGCATGAAGCCCCTGTCATGTACCCCCTGCTTGCTCAATTGATCATGACCCTCTCACGTGGACCCCCCCACCTTAGAGTTATGAGCCTTTAAAAGGGACAGGAATTGCTCATTCAGGGAGCTCGGCTCTTGAGACAGGAGTCTTGCCGATGCCCCCAGCCGAATAAACCCCTTCCGTCTTTAACTTGGTGTCTGAGGAGTTTTGTCTGCGGCTCGTCCTGCTACCCAATTTTCTCTGCGATTATTTTCCTTCTAACCCTTTCTTAAAGTGATGGGCTCTAAAAAATCATGATTCAGCTGCTATTGCAATTTTACCTAGCCAGTGAATTTATTTATTTTGAGATGCTTTTTGATATTATTGTCATTGTCAAATGACATTATGACATTTCAAAAGACATTGGCTGTCAGCCAGTGGGATCTAGTCTTAACTCATCTTTGGTGCTCACCGGTCATAAAGCTGTAGTCACATGTGTTTATTTCCCCCAGCACTCTTCCCTCATTTCCTTCCTTTCCTTCCTGAAATTTCCTCTTCCAGTGGTGCAAAAGCTGGTGAGTAAGTACTGACAAAACCAATGCCTCTTCCAATGTCTCTATTCATTTCCTTCCTGTCCATCCCTATAAGCTTAACTGTACATCCATGGTTATTTTCAACTTTGAGTTAACATCGTAGAATCAAACACTTAAGATATTCAGGTAATTCTGAATACCATATGCTATGGTTTGAATGTGTCTCCCAAAATTCGTTTGTTGGAAACTTAATCCCCAATGCAGCAGTACTGGGATGTGGGGCTTAATGGTAAAGCCCTTACGAATGGATTAATGCCGCTATTAAAAGGGTTTGTGGAAGTGGGTTCTTCCTCTCCTGCTCTTTTGCCATGTGAGGACATAGCATTCCTCCCTTCCAGAGGACACAGGCTTCAAGGTGCCATTTTGGAAACAGAGATACCAGGCCCCTAACCTGCTCTCTGTTCTTCTTTTTTTTTTTTTTAGATGGAGTCTCAGTCTGTCGCCCAGGCTGGAGTGCAGTGGTGTGATCTCTGCTCACCGCAACCTCTGCCGCCCGGGTTCAAGCAATTCTCCTGCCTCAGCCTCCCGAGTAGCTGGGATTACAGGCGTCTGCCACCGTGCCCAGCTAATTTTTGTATTTTTAGTAGAGACGGGGTTTCACCATCTTGGCCAGGCTGGTCTTGAACTCCTAATGTCGTGATCCACCCGCCTCAGCCTCCCAAAGTTCTGGGTTTACAGGCGTGAGCCACCGTACCTGGCCTAAATCGCTGTTCTTTATAAATTACTTAGTCTCAAGAATTCTGTTATAGCAGCACAAAATGGACTAAAACATCATGGTTCCTGCTTTTTTGGCTCACTAAGTGTTCGTGGCTTTTCTCTTTCAAAATTTTATTGCTAAAATAAATAAAGATGTCACTACTTTACAATAATTCATCACATTCCATTTTTTTGTAAGAAATAGTAAAAGTTGGATTTCTATGCCCTTGAAAAAGAACTCTATCCTTGAGGCAATCTGAAACTAAGCATTTAACAACTTGAAAAATTAGATCACAACCCTCTGACCAAACACCAGAAAGTTTTATACTGAAATTCAGATACTCTTTGCTTGTTTATTGGCAGGGAAAAAGCCAAAATATCAAGAAAGCCAGCACAAATATGAGTAGTAATATCCCCTTAGCTAACATAGATTTGCACCACCCATCTACCTTCTATCATGTCATCCTTTTTATTTCTTTCATTTTATGTATGAGTCTTTGAAATGTTTGTGTTTTTAAAAACCTTTTATTTTTTTATTTCCTTCATTAAAATGTAAGCTCTCCAAGGGCAGGCCTTTATGCTCATATTTACCACCAATTTGCTGCTGCCTAGAGCAGCTCCTGGCACACAGAATGACCTCAAAAAATACCAGTGGAATGAAAGAGTAATGAAAGAAATGACTCATCTGGTTTTACTCCAAAAGAAGTAGTTCTAATTTTTTTTAATGCTTAAAGAAAGCCAAATGGATATACATATAGGATTTCCAGTGTCATAAAAGTAACAAAATTAGCTTACTCTTCCAAACTCTTATTTTATTAATATTTTTTAATAATAAAAAATTATAGAATGCTTCATGAATTTGTCATCCTTGCATTGGGGCCATGCTAATCTTCTTTGTATCATTCCAGTTTTAGTCTATGTGCTGCTGAAACAAGCACCAAACTCTTAAAATTAGCTTAGGTTCAGAGTGAAGAGCTGAAGTTGCAGACCAGACCCAAGCTGTTTTGGGACTATGAAGGACATTAAGGGCTCTGTTTATTTGAGCAAAATCTATGGGTGAGGCTTACCTGCTTTCTGCCAATTTTCCTTGTACAACAGCTGATGTCAGAGGGTGGTTGGATAAGGAGCTTGGAGCCGTTGGTAAGGAAGTTCTTATCACTTTCTTGCAGGCTCCTTTTACCTCTAGTCTTCTATGACTCAAGGGTCATTCAGTGCCAAATGAAATTCTGCCTCTGTGGTAACTGCTAGAAAGTCCAGTGATGATCTGATTTCTAGTAACAACTATTGGCCATATCCCCAGGAGGAGATAAGAATTGTGTCTATTAGGAAATAATTTTCCATGGATCTATCACCTTTTTGTACCTCTTGTGAGCTGGAGCACTGAATGATTTTATTCCAGACTATTCCCCAGGATGTTTGTATAGCAAACAGTCTTGGGAGATAGAGGTAGTATCTCGCGCCAGGGGAGAAGGCAGGTTTGTTTGTTGTTCATTATATTAAAGACAATGTCTTCCTCCAGGGCAAAAGTTGGGCAGGCTAACTTGCAGTCCATTATAAAAGATTCAGATTTCCTAAGCTTGGAGTTGCTTAGGTATGATGCAAATCTCCTGAGTGTGCAAACATGGACCTAGGATGCTCCGTAGGACTTCGAGAACAAGGGGAACCAACAGAACATGAAACACATACCATTTGAGTAAAAACAGCCTTTATCTTTGATTCAGGTGTCTTCTGCCAGCATTCATGAAACGAAACTGGCAAATAGCAAAAATCTGAAACATTTCACTGTTCTTGATAGTTTCACATGCTCCATCCATGCCAGGGTCCCTTATTTCCTGCAAAATAAAAAAATTCTGACAAAGAGTGCATATGGGACAGGGTGACCTTCACTGGGAAGCGGAAGTGAAGCCCCAAGTTCATGGTGGGAGATCAGTGGTAATGAACAGAGGTATGTCATAGTGTAGGAAACAGATGAAATTGCCAATGTGAAGATAAGTCATTAGTGTTAAGAATAAAAATGCTAGTTCATTTCACATTCACATACTGTTTGTTCACATAAGATGCTCCATAAATGTTATTGAATAAATGGATTTATATCCTTCTTGCTTGCAAAAATGGTATGAAGAGGTTTCCAGTAAAAAACACAGATAATGAATTTATTCAAAGAAGAGTGGGAAGAGGCGATTCAGGACAAGAAGGGAAGAAGGACCCCAATCCCCCATCCCCTACCACCCTGTCCTTCCATAAGAGTGAGAATTTTGTCAGGCATTTTAAAAAGTTCACCTCACTAATCCTCAAAGGACCCTTAAGATTGCTCTCAGATAAGGAAACTGCATAGAAGATAGGAAGAGCATCTGTGAGTATAAGATATGTACAGTATCTGGCTCCGATCTGCCTTTGCAAGGAAATGGCAGAGCCAGGATTTGAACTCAGGTTATCTGGCTTCAAGGTACTACATGTTTTTTGTTTGTTTGTTTGTTTGTTTTTTGTTTTTGTTTTGTTTTATATGACTGAGTTTTTTTACTCTATCACCCAGGCTGGAGTGCAGTGGCGCAATCTCGGTTCACTGCAACCTCCGCCTCCCAGGTTCAAGTGATTCTCTTGCCTCAGCCTCCCGAGTAGCTGGGATTACAGGCACCCGCCACCATGACCAGCTAATTTTTCTATTTTTAGTAGAGATGAGGTTTCACTACATTGGCCAGGCTGGTCTCGAACTCCTGACCTCAGGTGATCCGCCTGCCTCGGCCTCCCACAGTGCTGGGATTACAGGCGTGAGCCACTGCGCCTGACCTCTACATGTTTTTTTTTTTTTTTTTTTTTTTTTACAGGACACCACATTGACAGTGTCAGCCCAAAACTAGACCAAGAACACTTGGGCACACTGAGCTCAGGGCTTAGCCCAAAGTTTTCTGAAAGCATGCCAGAGGGAAAGCTGGATGAAATGCTTTGGTAAAGAAGAAAGCACATCAGCTCATCACTCATCTGACAATAGAAAGGACTGATCAGGAAGTGGGGAAAAGGAGAATAGTGGCAAAACATAGAAAAGAGAAAAAAAAAGACTGAAATTTTTAATGGAGCGCAAAATCAGACATATTTTTTTACTTTTTTGAACTTCTTTAGAGACTACAATAATAATTCTTATGTGATAAGTCCAATAAGCTATGATGATGTTTTATTAAATGTACCATCATACTAGCAGCTTTTGCAGAATTTGCATCAGAAGAAAAGTATAAGATATTACCACCATGACTTGGCAAAAGCGGTATACTATATTAATGTTAGCCACTTAGTTGCTGTCATTGTTTCTCAGCACAGTACCCATTGCCTAGTTTCCCTGGGAGTTCTTGAAAGCTCTATTGAAAAGTTATATTTAAAGTGTAAGTTAGAGTGTGCTGTGAATGGAGAGAAAATTGTTTTTCTTTTTGTAAAAAATTCACTTTCCTTGGGACTATATACTAAGTTAGCTCAGTTATTTGACAGAACCAGTATCTTATTTTACAAAGAGAAAAACATAGATCTAGAAATTTCCAGAAGCAGATCACTGGTTGAAAGGGCGGGGCGGGGGGGGGCATGTGATTGAATGTGATTTGAAGGCAGTTTTAATTTTATGACACTTTACAGTGTGTGTGTGTGTGTGTGTGTGTATGTGTTTTAATGATAACCTAATTTTATTGTCCCAGACTTAAAGATCTGTGCCACCTGGAGAAACTACAGTTCATCCATTAGCATGTAAATCTGTTAAGAGTATTTTTGCTTGAATTTCTCCGAGAAGGCTCCCGGCTTTGTTCTGTACAGACACACAGTCCCGACGCTGTTCTTAATATCCTGTTTTCATTTGTCAGCGCTGTTGTCCTTTTCATTGCCATGTTCCCATCATTCCTCTTCTTTCATGTGGTGCTTTACAATAACATTCAGAACAAAAGAGTCACTCCTCTTTCTGTTGCCTTTAAAAAAAAAAAAAAAAGACTTCTTCCCCTGACTGCAGAGCTTCAGTGATCAGGGGAAATGTTTAAAGCATGTTATTCGTAATAGTTAACCAGGAGTTGTGAATAAGGGTTCGTTTTCCTTACTTTTTAAGATCAGGAGGTAGCTTCAGGGTATTGTGAGCAAAAGGTTTTTGTGTGTGGCTGACTTTGAAGTTGAGGGAAAAAGCGATTTTCTTTGAGAAAAGGAGGCATCATATTTGAGAGAATTTCCAATCTGCTCACACAATGGGAATCAGTTACTCTATAACATCGTCATTACCTCCATGAGTCACGAGACTAGTATTTGTTCTTGTCTTTGAACTTAAGCTTTCCAGTGTTCAGAGAACAGTTGTGAAATGTTGCATTGGCCATCATCAATAACTATTTTGCTCCTGGTTGGTAATAATTGGGAAGGGGAGGGTGTGTACTTTCTCTGCCTTCTAGGAGAGTATTATATAAATAAAGTGAGAAAAAGTTTCCCCAAGCGGCAAGCTTTTCTCCAGGGCACAATCTATTATACTTGCTGCAAAAATCCCACTTGACTGGTCTTTCAGAGAATAGATCACTTGCGTCATTTTGCTCATTTCCAGGTGACCTTTTGCAGATATGAGCAGGCAGTTGTTTTTAAATAAACATTATCTACAGGTTTCTGTTTCTGCACTAAGGAAGGAATGTTTCTGTAATGCAGAAGGGATGCTATGACTGAGGGGTTTGTGAAGAGTGAATTCTAGCCAGTCTCAAATAATTCTGAAAAGGTGCTTTTGTATATGTATATGTGTACTTATGTATACATGCACATTGTATATAACTACAAAAACTAATTCCATTATGGACATATATAGGACTTTATACAGACATAGTTATATGAATATATATAGAAATACCTATCAAACTATAAATACATTTGAGAAAGCATTCAGGGACAGCAGTGTTAAAAGCTTTTCATCTGTGACTGGTTTCACAGAAATTAGTGACTTCCATTTCTGCTACCATCACGCTGTTGGTCTGTTCACCAGGAGGGTTGATTTAGACTTCTGCCAGGAGACTAGGTGTGGCCATCTCTCACCCTCTTCCTCTCTGTCCAGTCTGCTATCATTGCCTTCAGAACCAAATTCTTGCATGATACCCAGTACAGCATAGACCTGGAAAACATCGGTCATTTTCAATATAATGTAAAATAGGTTCTGTGTGCCTTTAAAACTAAATGCTTTATTTCTTAAACTGTAAAAGACATGAAATGTCTGAGACATTCAGATAGTGGGAAATTTCATCTGCAAGTTGTCAGATTATGCCCTTTAGAAGATTGTAATTTTTTTTGTTGTTTATCATTTTCTCTTGAGGGGTGGAGTAAATATTTCTTTCCTGATGTTTCAACTTCAGATGTTCAGGCTAATTTTCCACTACAGTGCCAAAATAGGGAAAAGTTAGGCCTGTAGAATTTTGACAATTTAAATGTTGTTTTAACAAAAGCCATGTCTTGATGAAAAGTTCTTTAGAATTCTACTTGATGATCTATGTGTGTCTCTTCCGAGGACAATGAGAACTTCTTAAGGAAGTCATCTATATGTGAAATTGAGTAATCCTTTTATTCATTGTTAAAAGACAAATGAAGTTATAATTTGGAGAGACATAAGCCAAAAAATCTATGTTTGCATTTTTATGTCCTAACATGTGAAGCATGCTTTGATTTACTGTGAAGTGTTGCAATGGCAATAAAGTAGATGTTGAGACGTGCAGACTGGGCAGCCCGAGGAAGCAGTTCTTGCCTCTGCTTCCCCTTTATCATGAATGTTCCTTAAACACCTTTGGTGGAGTCCAAATGTCTGGATTATGAATTGAATTGTGCAAGATTCTTTTTTTAAACACTTTCCTGATGATTTACTTTACTTGCAGTTTCTTGTCTTGCATGGTGATAAGCAATATCCTTCAAAGAACTGCAGCGCAGGACTTTTTTTTTTTTTTTTTCTTTTAGGAAGACTACTTCCCCTTCCTCCTTTAGTCAATCAAATTTTAAAAGATTACTTCTTTCCATTCTCAGTTCACCCTTTCTTTGCCATTCTGGAGACTGAAATTTTGGACACCCATCACAGATTTGCTATTATATATATACCGTGTATGTAATATTAAATATATATATATATATACACACACGATGTTTTTATATATGTGTGTACATAATGTATGCATACGTGTGTATGTGAAACCTGTGTGTATATACATATATTTTAAATTGTTTATCAGGATGATAGATTGCTATTTAGGTCACTATTTTTGGAAGAAATAAATGACTGTTCTTTGTGTCTGTACTGGAGATTGTTCTTCCTGATATAACTTTGAAGAAAACTTCTTCCAGACATTATACATTAATTCAGAAGATAAAGGCACAAAATAATGTGTATATTATTTTTTTAAATGAACAAGCCAGCATGCAGAGCATAATGTGATCATGTGCTCAGTACGACACTGAAAGGCCCCAAAGGCAAATGAGTCTAGTGCCTGTTCCCAGCCCCAGGAGCTGGGCAGGACGGCTCCTATTGGTGGCATTGAAAGCTAGCATTCAGCCTTCTGCCACAGGACAGTGTCTCATTCGGCCAAGCTGCTGCTGGTCCCTGTAAGGAATGAGAGTACAGATCCCGTTGCCAAGTCCTCATTTTTTTGGACCAGGCAGTGGGTGTTGAGCTGACCTGAGCTACCTTTCCATTTGGGTTCAGTTGAACATTGAGTAGGCCAGAGGATAGGGAAGTTGTGGCGGGGGCCGTGGAAAAGGCAGTTGATTCTTCAACTCGGGCAACCCTGGCGGAGTGGATGAGGTGGAGCTGGCCTTCCTGGAATTGTTGGACCGATTTTCCTGTTGTGTTTCACTGTTGACGCACTCACAGACACACAGGACCGCTCCAGCACTGCCTGCCACCCACCGTCTGGTCTCGGTGGCCTGTCTATCATTTCGTGGGTCCCCATCCTCTGCCTACGGCGATGTTTCTTCAAAAAGAACTAGTGTGCAGTCCATTGGTGGGTATTCAAGGTGATCTCTTTGTCAGAATCTAGAGAGGTGCTCAAAGAACTATTAAGGACCAATGTACTAGTTCCTGTTTTTAACCTGTTTATCAGTCTTTCAATTGAACAAATTGGATTTCTGAAACTGCTGAGGGGTTTTCTGCACTATTAGGACAGAACAGGATAGGGTGGTTGTTCCTCCAGGAATCTGGGTTGTTCTTTTGCATTGCCATTTGTCTTTGTGCTTGTCTGCTTGTATAAATGAACCTCGAGAAGGAGTGTTTAAGTATTCTGTTAAGTAAATTTGGAAGACTAGGTTTCAATTAAAATAACCAGACAGTGTGACCCAGCTTCCATTTCCCCTTAATTTTGATCATTAAAGCCTTCATATCCCCACAGACATCTGCCATGCTTCGAAGTGATTCTTCTCAGGAATGTTCATTCATTATTAATCAGGTTGCATGGTCAGGCGAGTATGTGATTATTTTAAAGAATGTCCTAGAGATCCAGTTACTAAGAATGAGCATGTTATAGGCAGATGTGAAAGTACAGAAAAGATTTGGTTAACAGTTTAATTTGATTTGCATGAATTCCACCAGGTGGGTGTTTGGCGAAATTAAAAGTCTTCCCTGGTTCTCACTTCAGATATGAGGTAAAAAAATAATAATAATAATAATAATTTCAGCACTTCTTAAAGAAGAAATGTCAAGTTATTCAAAATATCTATTGTATTAATTATTTTAAAACTTGAGGCTAGCATCTCAGTGCTCATCTGCTTGTCACTTTTTTTTTTCAAACAGTCCCTCTGGTCCCCTACAATTTTCTTGGCAGAAATTCTTAGTTGTCTGTTACTGGTTGAGCAAATGAATTTGAGTGTGCTGACATTTGGAGGCTAAATGCAGTGATAATTCAGAGTAACATTCTTTACCTATAAAATGTTACTGGATCACCTTTTTTCACCTGTTCTTACTTGATGTATTATTTATACTGTTGTTTTTAAGAACCACTTTGCGTTTGTACTGAAACAGCCTACATTATGCTATCAATTTCCAGTCTTTCAGAATGCAGTTAAATCCAACTGGATCCCCTTCTCCCCTTTTTCCATCAGTTCATGGCCCTGTTTTACTGTGCCTTTGCTAACCCACCTGCTTCTCAAATTGGCCAGAGTGCTAATCAGTAAAGTAACATTTGGGTAGTGTCTTTATTCGGTGGTCTTTATCACTCAAAGTCAAATACTAAATGGCATAATTGAATATGCAGATGCTGAGTGCTTGTATTATGTTATTCAAAATACCCTATGATGAATTCATCTTGGATGTAGCAGCCAGTTTTTATTGAGTTTGTGTTAGACAAGTTTTTGAGTTGAGAAATTATGCTTATTTAAGATGAGAGCAAGTCCCTTCTGAGTTGGGTCCCCGTTGCAATCTGCCTCCCAAACTCAGGTTGATTTCCAGTGTTTCACACTTCAGTAGTTTTGAGTCCTCTGAAAGTCTGTATTTCTGCTGGTCCAAGATAGAAACATCACTCTGCAGTCTTTAAAAAATATTTCACCTATAGTTCTATAATAAAGATAATCTCATAGCAAAAATCCAAACAGCAATAGTCAACTAAATCTAATTACCCAGGTGAATAGGGGTTAAGAGGAGCGGACAATCAAGTAAATTGACTTGATTTCGTTTCTGAAATTTAGGACTCTCAAATAATTCATTTGTACATTTTCAATGCTATTTGTTGTTTGAAATACTTATAGGAGCTTCCTGTTCTGAAACCATTTTCGTGTGGCTTGCTGTAACATCGTGCAATTTTAACAGTGTGTTTGTCATCTCAGTTATGTTTTGGTAAATTTAACAATAAAGTTAGTCTCTATAGTCCAGAGGATATTTGGAAAAGAACTAGAGGAAGTGCCTTGGGAATCATCTGGGCAGTGGCTGACAGCCACGTGGTATTAACGATTAATCACAGGCCACCCAGTGTTGGCATACAAGTTTATTCCTTGGTCTAATGACTCACTAATTTCCCTGGTAGTGAAGGCTTTAGAGTTGTACAAAGTGAGGGGCTGGAAGTAAAATTATTGATAGAATTGATAGAATTGCATGTTCTTTTTCATATACTCCAAATTAGAAAAATAATTGTATTTCATGGAGTATGCAGACATAACCTAGAATACTTGTAGGAAAGCATTGAGAGGTGGGTTTACCTTATCATTAAAAAGGTCAATGCCTCCATTAAGGGAAATTTGGGATAAAAATTATGGATGATGTGCTGATGATGGGCGATCTCCTTATTCTAATGGATGCTGTAACAAGTTAGCACAAACCTGATGGTGTTAAACAATGCAAATTCATTATCTTACATTTCTAGAGTCAAAAGTCTGACACAGGTCTCACTGGGCTAAGAGTAAGGTATCTTTAGGGCTGTATTCCTTTTGGGGGCCCTTGGGGAGAATTCATTTCCTTGCCTTTTCCAGCTTCTAGCCTGCATTCCTTGGCTTGTGGCCCCTTCCTCCATCTTCAAGGCCAGGCATGGCTGGTCGAGTCTTTGTCATATCTCATCATTCTGACTCTGACTCTTCTTCCTGCCACTTCCACGTTTAAAGAGCCTTGTGATTCCTTTGGGTCCACCTAGATGATCCATGCTGCTCTCCCCATCTCAAGGTCAGCTACTTAGCAATCTTAATTATATCAGCAACAGTCAGTCCCCTTTGCTCTATAACCTAAAATATTCACAAGCTCTGAGGAGGAGGCTGTGGATATCTTTGGGGACCATAATTGTGCCTCCCCCAAAGAGGGAGGAGTAGAAACTGTGGTGTCTGCTGTCTGGTGACCAGGAGGACAGAAGCCCTGTGAGGAGACACCAGGAGCCCTGTAGAGAAGACAAAGACAGGCTAATGAGGGAAGAGGATAAATCCCACATCATGTGCATTCCAAGTCTGAGGCACTTGCAGTACATGAAGCAAAGAACTGTCAGTGCTAAACCGGGTTCCAGAAAGGGGTTCTCGACCATCTTGGGATACAAGCCTAGCAGTCATTCTCAGAGAGGCAGTACATGAAACAAACAAAAAACTGGATGGCCCTGTCAAAGGAACCATAGACCATCAGAAAACACTTAGGCTTTGATTAGCAAGAGGTAGAAGTCAGCAGTGGTTAGACAGAGGAAAACTAGGAAAGTACAGTTTCAGTGACATACAGTGATGTGGTTTGTTTGTCCCCACCAAAACTCATGTTGAAATGTAATCCCCAATGTGGTGGCATTGGGAGGAGGGGCCTAGTGGGAGATGTCTGGGTCATGGGGATGGATCCTTCACAAATCGCTTGATGCCCTTCTTGAGGTAGTCAGTTCTTGCTCTCATGGAGACTAGATTGGTTCTCACAGGAGTGGATTAGTTCCCATGAGAATGGAGTTGTTATAAAGCAAAGTTCCTTCTCTTGAGCAGATGCCAGTACCATGCTTCTTGTACTTCCCAGCCTGTGGAGCCACGAGCTAAATAAACCTCTTTTGTTTATAAATCGCCCAGCCTCAGGTATTCTGTTATAGCAACACAAAATGGACTAAGATACATATTATGAGAGAGGAAAGGAAAGGAAGAAGAGGGAGGTGTGAAAACATTTACATCATTATTTTCCAGCAAAACATCTACTTATTAATTTTCCATTTTAAAGAAGTACTTTCCTCATAAGTCTTGAATCTATAAGAAAGTTTTTTCAAAAGATGTATCCAATGCCTCCCACGATGTGGGGCTTCACTGTAATCTGTCACTGAAGACTCTCCTGCCTAGGGGAGTGATTAGAGTGAGTGCTAGAGGGACTGTAGGGAACATCTGTGGACACTCACCCATGGATACTCAGACAGCTAATAAGTAGCAGAACTGCAGGATGTCTTAGATTATCCCGTCACCTGTCCAGCTCTCTCCCCTTTCATTCATTATTCTGTGCTGTGTTCTAGATGTTTAAACCATGGACAGGCAGAGGTGTGAGCTGTGATTTGTTGCCATTCCCAGTTTGTTGCAAGGGACTCTCAAGATTATCTAGATCCTCTTCTCAATGAGGACCAATCTGCCCATTCACAAAAATGTTAAGCTATAGGATTTCCTGACAACAATATGCATGTGTGATTTCCTTTTATTGAAGTAGAAATGAAGAAGTTTTTTTTTTTTTTTGAGGCATGGAAATTACATTATGACAGTTAAGAAAAGGCAAAAGCTGCTGTTTTATGATATTGGGGTTTTTGTTGTTGTTGTTTGTTTGTTTTGAGACAGAGTCTTGCTCTGTTGCCCAGGCTGGAGTGCAGTGGCATGATTTCAGCTCACTGCAACCTCTGCCTCCTGGGTTCAAGTGATTCTCCTGCCTCAGCCTCCCGAGTAGATGGAATCACAGGCGCACGCCACCACACCCAGCTAATTTTTTGTATTTTTAGTAGAGACGGGGTTTCACCACGTTAGCCAGGCTGGTCTCGAACTCCTGACCTCAAGCGATTCACCCACCTTGGCCTCCCAAAGTGCTGGGATTACAGGTGTGAGCCACCATGCCCGGCCTGATACTGTTATTAATGATATAAATAACAATGTAAGCTATATATATATGTGTGTGTGTGTGTGTGTGTGTGTGTGTGTGTATTAGATACATATATATATAGAGAGAGAGAGAGAAAGAGAGAGAGAAAGGGAGAGAGAAAGAGAGAGAGAGAGAGAGAGAGAGTGAAAAGAAAGATAACATTTTGCATAAAATTCCCACCCATGTACCACTATCTGCTTGGTGAATCCCTGTTCATCTTTTAAAACCCACTTCATACTTTACCTCCTTCAGGAAGCTTCTCCCTGTCTCCTCTCCCCCTATATAGAGTTGATTATTCCCTGTCTGTCTTTGGCATGCATCTTTTTTTATGTTGCATTACACCTTGTTCATTTTTTTTTCTCGATATGGGCTCACTCTGTTGCCCAGGCTGTAGTGCATTGGCATGATCACGGTTCATTGCAGCCTCAGCCTCCCAAGTATCTGGGACCACAGGCATGTGCCACCACTCCTGGCTAATTTTTTTATTTTTATTTTTTGGTAGAGATAGGGTCTCACTATGTTGCCCAGGCTGGTCTCAAACTCCTGGGATCAAGTGATTATCCCACTTCAGCCTCCCAAAGTGCTGGGATTACAGGCATGAGCCACCACACCTGGCCTTGTTCATATTTTCTCTCTCGGAATGAACCATAAGATCATGGAGACAGGGGCCAGCTGTTACCAGTACTTGTCTCAGGACCAAGTACATAGATGAACTTAAGTATTTGGTGAAAGAATGAATGGCAAAAAAAAAAAAAAAAGGAATGAATGGCATTTTAATTTCTCCAAAAAGATATTTTAAAGAAAGCTAGAAAATAAACCATACTAAGTTTCTTTTAGAAGAAGGAATGGAATGAGTACAAATAAGATACTGTAGAGTCATTTAACAAAAATGCTATCTATGCCATTGTAAAATCTGGGTAAAAGTGGAAAAAGTGGGATGCACTATAGATATCAAACCAAAACCCCTTCCTTTTTGGTAGCATACAGGCAAAAGATTTAGAAAATTGGCTGAAATTCACCTACCACATCTGAGTATTGTGTCTTCACCTAATACAATTAACCATTTACAGTACAGACACTTGCATAAAGCACTATGCCAGGTGCTATGGCAGTAAAAGAAAATATCTAGTTTTGAGCAGCTACTATTAATTCGTTCTTACATGAGTTGCCCCTAAGCACTCGAGTCACATAATTTCCATTGATGTCAGATTCAAAGCCCATTGCATATCATTTCCCATTAGCACTGGAAACTTGTAAGTGCTTGTTCAAGTCTTGCTCCGCCATCCTTGCTGCTGTTGCCCACACAGCATTTTATTCATACCTCTCTGAGAATGATTTTCATTTATGTTCTGGTTATCTGTATATGCCTCTATCTTCCAATACATGGCTCAACAAAATAAGATGTGCAGGCCAATGCTGGCCTGTGACCTGTTTTTCTAAATATGGTTATGTTGGAACACAGCCATACTCATTCCTTTATGTATTGTGTCTGATTGCTTTTGCACTACAGTGGTAGATTGAGTAGTTGCAACAGGGCCCCTTTGGCCCACAAAGCCAAAAATGTCTACTATTTTACCCTTTATAGAAAAAGTTTGTTGACCTCTGTTCAAATATATTGAGAGATCCTTAAAGTCAAGGGCTGTGTTTGATTCTTTTTGGTTTTAGCTGAAAAGTCAGTACATTTAATGGAATCAATGAATGTTTGAGTCATTTTGTGTGCTGAGTGCTGTTCTAGGTGTTGGTGGTACGTTCTTCAAAGAGCAAAGCAAAATCTCTGCTTTCACAGAGCTTATATTCTAGTGTTGAGGACAGTGGGGACAGAAGGAGCAATAAACAAACTAAAAGAATATGTCAGTGATAAATATTATAAAGAAAAATAAACCGAGATGGGGGAAGAATTACCACGATGGGTAGGTGGTATAGTGGTAGAAGGGGAATTGGTTTTATGTGGGTTCAGAGAGAAAGTGACACTGGAGCAGAGAGTCATGTGGATTCTGAAGACCTTGCAGGGGCGAGCAGGGGATTGATGTGCTTGGCATGTTTGAGGAGTCAGAACGAGGCCATGTGCTCAGAGCAGAGAAA
Organism: Homo sapiens; assembly: GCF_000001405.40. NCBI lineage: Eukaryota > Metazoa > Chordata > Mammalia > Primates > Hominidae > Homo > Homo sapiens. The sequence goes on along the minus strand of NC_000023.11, from coordinate 10,570,166 downwards.
GGAGTGGGTAGCGTGGGAGGAAGTGAGCTCACTGTCTGAGTCTGTGTTTTCTGGGGCTGGTTTATTCTGGTGAATTTCTCTCTGGGTGAAATGGGAAGCCCTTACAGGGCAGAGCAAAAGGAGATGCATGTTCTGTCATGTTTTAACAACAGGCTCTCTTGCTTCTGAGTGGAGGATAGACTATAGGGGGAAGGGCAGGAGTGAACAGAAGCCAAGAGACCATTTAGAAAGGTCTTATGATAGTCCACATAAGAGATGATGCTGGCTTGGCCCATGATAATAGAGATGAGGTGATGTGAACCCCAGATTCTGGCTTCTTCATCTAACTCAGTGCCTGGCACACAGTAAACATCTGTTGAAGGAATGAATAAAATGTCAGTATTTCCACTGAGGTCTCCCCAGTGGAATCCTTTCTAGAAATTCTCATCACACCTCTCTGGGATGGAATCCTGGCACCTGCATTAAAAATATAGTCATCATAGCTCTCCAGACATAATTTGATGCTCATCCTTCTATTCAGATTCATTGGTAGGCATTCTTGTTTTATCTGAGAACAGAGCAGACCAAAAGGGCTACATTTTTCCTTTAATTTATATGCTTCTGATGAGAAGGTAAAAGAACTTTGATTTAAAGATAATTCTACATTTTTTCTATGATTAACCAAAATAATTATTAATAGGTAAAAACCTTTCCATTTCTTCTGAGCCATCTGTAGGAAGAGGTGACAGACCAAGTGGGGATGATATGTTTCTTACAACAGCAACCCTAGGGTTTCCATTGCAGGTTGTAGAAAGATGTACAAGCTTTAATATTTCAAGTCACAGTTGCTCTTTTATTCTTTCCTATATAATAAATGCTAGTGAATGGTTGAAGATTTTTTAAGATACCAGGCTTTTATGAAGCCAGTAGCTGTTTAATTTTTAACAGGCTCGGGACATACTTTATACTTTTAATGATCAGTTACCATTCAGTTGGTAGCAAGATGAGCATTAATTTCACCAAAGCACCATATTGGTATTTCTGAGGGATGCTATTTCAGAAGGGGTCAGGGTATTCTAGAAACCGTGAATTTTGTAAATAAGCGGAGGTGTGAATACAAACGATTGATTGTCAGAATCACTAAACATAGCTTTGGATGTGAAGCCTTCCCATAAATCCGGCTGAGAACGCTCTCCCCACCACCCCCGTGGGTGATTTGAACCTCCCGACCACTGGGTGAACTGCACTGTTCTCCCACAGCCTGCAATGGGCTGCATGTAATATTCCCATCACTGGTCTGCAGACCTCTGCTAATGGTCTTGAAAGGGAGAAGGTTCAAAGCGGCTTGGTTCCCAGGCCTGCTAATGAGCATGAGGCCTCTTCACCCTTAATGAACTGGGGTTTGTGTGGAATTCTTTCTACTACTCTTTTTGATGGGAAGGCAGATGAGAGTTCACAAAAGCACTCAGGTCTTTATGGCAAGGGGAGCAGGCAGCTGGGCCACCCTCGGGTGGCCTGGAGGAGAGCAACATAGCTAGCAGAGGTCGTACCCAGGCCAACATAGCTCTGAGTGTGAGGCTGGACCTCCTGCCAGCCTGGCCTGTTGCTGGCAACAGTGACAAGCCCGTGGTGGGAGTTTTTTGGCCAAAAGGGTCCCTCAGCAGTTTTGTAAGCCTCCTTAAATTGCTTTCTCAACTGTAATCATTATCATTGTCATAACATAACTTATCACATGAATATGATGACCACTGAAATCCTTGTTCTAATTAACTAAATCATTGCTCTAAATATTAGTCATTGGTACTCAAACTTACTGCAGCCACTGAAAAAGCCCCCAGATATTTTTCTCCACTTCGTTCTGCCTACCCACGTCCCACTGCTGGATTAAACAATAGAATTATTCAGAAACATAATGAACACATGCCAAAAATATTGCCTCTATCACAATCATCTTTGTGAAAGTCAATGTTTTTTCTCAGGAATATATTTTGGAAAATGACATCCCACACTTAAACACGATCATCTCTGCTGAAATCCCCACATTTGATTTCATGTACATTTCATGCCCATTTCTATAGTTACTGCCTTCCTATTGTTCTGAAACCTGGTTTGGTATTGCAGAGTAAAAGTCCTTAAATCTCGTATACATTAATACGTAAGTTTATAAATTCAAATTTATAAAAGACTCTAGTTTATTGATGAATATTTCTACATTTTAATTTTCTGTGCGAGGTTAAACCTGACTCTGACACAATAAGATTATTCTGATTAAATACAAATTATGGAAATTACAGTTTCAATTACATTCTAGTTTTGAATGAAGCCTTTTAAAAAACAAAATTGAAAAAAAAAATTGCACATTTTCAGTTACTGAACTTTGAGAAAATGTTAACTGGTATATGATGGCTCAGGATGCTTTTTCCTCCTTTTTTCCCCAGTGAATAGAAAGAGAATTATTTGGAATGTACACACACTTACCCTTTCATGACCTGTGTTTGGAATTATTCTGAGATGCATTCAAAGCTGACACCCCCCTATGGTTGACCTCCCTGTGCCTAATCAAATCTTACATTCTTGTTTCCAGATAGCTGATCAGCTTCCTTGGGTTTTGCTGATGACACAAGAGAGCTTTGCCTGAAGATGGAAACACTGGAGTCAGAACTGACCTGCCCTATTTGTCTGGAGCTCTTTGAGGACCCTCTTCTACTGCCCTGCGCACACAGCCTCTGCTTCAACTGCGCCCACCGCATCCTAGTATCACACTGTGCCACCAACGAGTCTGTGGAGTCCATCACCGCCTTCCAGTGCCCCACCTGCCGGCATGTCATCACCCTCAGCCAGCGAGGTCTAGACGGGCTCAAGCGCAACGTCACCCTACAGAACATCATCGACAGGTTCCAGAAAGCATCAGTGAGCGGGCCCAACTCTCCCAGCGAGACCCGTCGGGAGCGGGCCTTTGACGCCAACACCATGACCTCCGCCGAGAAGGTCCTCTGCCAGTTTTGTGACCAGGATCCTGCCCAGGACGCTGTGAAGACCTGTGTCACTTGTGAAGTATCCTACTGTGACGAGTGCCTGAAAGCCACTCACCCGAATAAGAAGCCCTTTACAGGCCATCGTCTGATTGAGCCAATTCCGGACTCTCACATCCGGGGGCTGATGTGCTTGGAGCATGAGGATGAGAAGGTGAATATGTACTGTGTGACCGATGACCAGTTAATCTGTGCCTTGTGTAAACTGGTTGGGCGGCACCGCGATCATCAGGTGGCAGCTTTGAGTGAGCGCTATGACAAATTGAAGGTTAGTCCGATCCGCCTTAAGCCAACCCCTTTCTGCCAGAAAATGTCATGGAAATAAAAAGTGTATTCACTGCTAGCTACATGGCAGGTGAAGGTTTTCTCCTCACCTTTGTTATCTGATTAGTTTTAGCATGTTTTTGGCAACCTATAAATGTTACACAATAAGGGTATCTTGTAAAAGTTGACTGCTGCTTGTAATTTTAGCGTTGTCAAGGTGAGGGCAAATTCTAAAAATCTGGATCATTTTCAATCCATGCAGTTTTTCTGGATCATTTTCAATCCTTACAGTTCTTCCAAAGAGAGTGCTGCCTCTCTCTGAGAGAGAGGGAGAGAGAGAGAGAGAGAGAGAGAGAGAGGGAGAGAGAGGGAGAGAGAGGGAGAGAGAGAGAGAATGACAGATAAAATCTGGCTTTGGGCATTTGGGGAACACTTACTTTTCTCACTCATCTGGGAAAACTAATTCACTCTCATTGTACCTGTATCTAGTTACTGCACAAACAAAAGAATAGAGGGAAGAATGTCTGTAGCAAATGTGGGATTTTAGAGGACACGTGACCTTTTATTCCTTGTATAAACGATATCCAGCTTATTGGTGAAATTCAGTGCTCTGACAATCTCAGGTTTCACGAAAGAATTCCTTTTCGTGTAGGCTCTTTATTCAGTAAGGTTACAGTCAAGACTATTTGAACTTCATTTTTTACATGAAATTATTAACCTAACTCCAGCTTGGGGGATAATGATTAATATGACTATATGTGAAATAAAAGGATCACTTTCTAGGCAGGGCGTGGTGGCTCATGCCTGTAATCCCAGCACTTTGGGAGGCCGAGGAGAGTGAATCACTTGAGGTCAGCAGTTCAAAACCATCCTGGCCAACATGGTGGAACCCCATCTCTACTAAAAATAAAAAAATTAGCCGGGTGTGGTGGTGGGTGCCTGTAATCCCAGCTACTCGGGAGGCTGAGGCAGGAGAATCACTTGACCCTGGGGGGTGGATGTTGCAGTGACCCAAGATCGCGCCACTGCGCTCCAGCCTGGGTGAAAGAGCGAGACTCTCTCTCAAAAAAAAAAAAAAAAAAAATCACTCTCTAAGTATGGATAGAAAGCACTAGGGAAGAAATAATAAGCCAAGTCTCCACATGTTTGTTCAATTTCAGGCAACAGTGGGTCTAATTATTGAAAACTCAGCTGAGAGAGTTTGAGTGAGATACTATGTTCATCAGCTAATTTTAGATCACAAGACACCAATTAAAAGAAAGGAAGTATAAATTAAAAGCTCTAAGTAAATATATATTGAAGTCCTTCCTCTCAGGAAAAACACATACCATGTTGTTGAGCAAACAAAATGAATCACATGATCAAAAGAGTGTTATCACTTAGAAAACAGTGTCACCTTTAACAAATGGTTTCTATCACCTCTCCTTAGCGCTAATGGGTGGTTGTGTTTACTGGGACCACATAGTTTATTCTGTGACAGTGGGATTAACGGACCACATCTGGGATTTGGCTTTGCTATTTCTTGACATGTTGAGGGAAGCCGACATGCTGAAGTCAATTCCTGCTTCTCAATGTCACTTGGGCAACAAAAGCATCACCTGGGCAGCATGTTTCACTTCAAGTATCCAAAGAATTACTGGTGCAAATCCATCTTTAAACCATGTAGAGGAAGTCAAGCACAAGGACTCAGGTGACACAGACAACAGAAGACAGCCGCTGACAGGCTTTCCAGAACAGTGCATGGCAGCACAGGAGAAAAGTACCACCAAAGTTAATCATAGCAAAGGCAATGCATGTATGAGCTGTGCCTCTAGAGCAAATTCTGAAGAAATTGCGAAGGCTATTAATTTTTACAAACCAAGGTAATCTTTTTTTTTTTTTTTTTTTTTACCCCTTTTTTGGTTGGTGGTGGAGCTGAAGGGAGAATATTTAGGATAACTGAACAGAGATGTTTGATTTTTGTTTTCCAAAATGTAAACATGCCAGATCTTTGTTTCTTTATTAAAAATGTTCCTTTGATTGGATTTGCACTACCTTTTAATGATTGTTTGTTAAAACACCACAATCATAATGATGTTCAATATTTAACAACTCCCAGGCTTGATATTTATTTAAATCTTGTGGTCAGGTTCTGCTCAAGTACTCATGGCCTGTCACAGCAGAGTTATTAAATATTTACATAACATCTCCAAATTTATGAAGAATTCCTGTCATGCTCTAGCCCTCTTTGTGATAAAAACAAAACTCTTCAGTTACGAGCCCTGCACACTTTAATTGAGCCAGTGGCCTATCGGTTGTTCTACTGTCACATGGAGGGCCTGACAATTAATGATGTGGTTTCTTTTTATTTCCTAGTTACAGAAATATAAGCATATAAACAGCATCCAATGCACCGAAACACATTTACAGCCGTTCAATAAGATGTACTTATGAGCATTTGAACAAATAACTTATCGACATAGCATGTTTGTTTTAAAACATGCCACTTACGTTAGAATTTTAAAAATAATAATTATGACATTTGGATGTCTGATATTTCAGTTATCGCATACTTATGAACATATGTACATCCTTGTTTTATTTAAAACCTAAGCACAATATAAATGTTGATTTTTTTGAAGGAAGTAATAGCATACCAAGAGGACCAAAACCAAGGAAGTATATTTCTGTTAATTACTACTTTGGTCTGAAATGTGCTCTGAACATGCATTTTTCTGTAGCTCTAGGATCTCATATAGATGTGGATTTGTGATGATGTGAGAACACAGATAAAGCATGGAGGAATTTGAGGATGCTTTCATTGATAAGACAATAGATTTGCTTTATTAATTTGCATATGTAAGGACCCTGGTGTCTTTGGAAACATTTTTGTCCTTCTGTTAGTAAAAGTTTATTACCTGAAGAAGGGAATTCTGCAATTATTATGAAGAATAATTTCTTGCAATAATACTAAACTTTGGGGGACATATTTTACTCATTAGATCTCAGTATAAGAGATGTTTGTTTATACAAAAAATCAGAATATCATTTTGTACATTACAATCTTTTTCTAAGTGTAAAAGAAAAAGAGATAAAAATTCTAACATGTTGAACTCGTACAAATAAAATCATCCACATCATGTAAAATAGCATCATGTCAGTAATCTAACGCTTTCGGAGACTATGCATTGAGAGGCACTCATGAAATATTGAAGCAAAGAGAAAATTAAGGTAGCATTTCCTGAACTCTACTAAGATAAAAAGAGAAAAGTTTTCCTGCCAAGTGCAAAGGTCTCTAAGTGGAGCGTATCCATAATGTGGATATTTCTTTACATCGTTTTAATTGAATTTTAAGAAGCCTCTCAGTCCTTCAAACTTGGAGGAAAAATTTGATTTGTGAACCACATAACATATAAGAGAATTTAATATAATTAATGCATTCCAGAGTTTTCAAGGAATTAAAATGCAGTAGTCCTCTTTTTCTGTTCCAACATACAAGGTTGGAGCTCTTGTTTCTTTTCTCTAATTATACCTATAAAAATATACAAATTGAAAAAAACTGACCTTTCCTTGCCTTTCAGTTTCAGCATAGCCCCTTCAAATTAGCTGAAGCTGAAGTTCCAAACTATTGTTTTGCTATTCTTATTCTAAAGGCTGGCTGAGGAAGTTTGTTTGTATAATGCATGTTTCAACGGATCATCCCATTGTAATTTTTTAATAGTTTGATTTAAAAGTTCAAATTAAAGCTCAGCATTTCTATGTAGCACTTTTTATCTGGAAGTGAAGACATGAGATTTCATTCTTGGGTTTAATTTATAGATTGTAAGGTTCTATGTTTGAAAAATCTTTCCCAGTTTGCAACTAGGAAAGTTGTAAGTGTATACTGAGCTAGACTTCTTTTTATTATAATTTCTATAACTTGTTTCTTCTTTGAAAACCAGTAGCAGGCATAGTGCAGGTTCTAGTGCTATGGTGTGTGATGCACACACATACTTGCATATACATATACATACATGCATTTATTTATTTATTTAATATTATAATCTTCCTGAATCTAAGTTGGAGACAAATTCAAGTGACCAGTATTTTCATTAGGGATATTTCATTCTGCAGGCAAGAGATGACAACAAACATAGCAATAATAACTATATTCCCATCACTCAAAATATTTTACCTGTTCCTTGAATGTTTGGTAGATGGATACAAGTCAACTTTGGACTTGGTATATTTTTTGTGGGAAGAGTCTTATCTTGAAGGGGTTTTTTTTTGAAGTTACAAATATGTGTATTTTTTAAAATGTGTCTTTCTGTTTATTGGTTTCTAGTTTAAATCCCTTAAGATCAGGGCTCAAGACAATTGCATATGGTCTCACTTATGGATGCAGTATGCTTTAAGAAATATTAGAATAAGTTTATTGTATCTTCAAAATTTCCATGAGCTCATTAATGTTTTCAGTCTGTGTAATCAATTAATGACTAGGAGAGGTGCACTTAGGCCTTCCACTCAGAGAGTGAAATTTTCTTTTTTTTTTTTTTTTTTTTACTTTAAGTTCTGGGACACATGTGCAGATTTATTACATAAGTATACATGTGCCATGATGGTTTGCTGCACCTATCAACCCATCATCTAGGTTTTACACCCCACATGCATTAGGTATTTGTCCTAATGCTCTCCCCCGCTCGCCCCACAACCCTGACAGGCCCCAGTGTGTGATGTTCCCCTCCCTGTGTCCATGTGTTCTCATTGTTCAACTTCCACTTATGAGAGAGATCATGCGGTGTTTGGTTTTCTGTTTCTGTGTTACTTTGCTGAGAATGATGGGTTCCAGCTTCGTCCGTGTCCTTGCAAAGGACATGAATTCATTCTTTTTCAGGCCTGCATAGTATTACATGGTGTATATGTGCCACATTTTCTTTATCCAGTCTATCATTGGTGGGCATTTGGGTTGGTTCCAAGTCTTTGCTATTGTAAATAGTACTGCAATAAACATATGTGTGCATGTGTCTTTATAGCAGAATGCTCTATAATCCTTTGGGTATCTACCCGGTAATGGGATTGCTGGATCAAATGGTATTTCTGGTTCTAGATTTTTGAGGAATTGCCACACTGTCTTCCACAATGGTTGAACTAATTTACAACCACCAACAGTGTAAAAACATTCCTATTTCTCCACAGCCTCGCCAGCATCTGTTGTTTCCTGACTTTTTAATAATCGCCATTCTAACTGGCTTGAGATGGTATCTCATTGTGGTTTTGATTTGCATTTTCCTAATGACCAGTGATGATGAGCTTTTTTTCTTCATATGTTTGTTGGCTGCATAAATGTCTTCTTTTGAGAAGTGTCTGTTCATATCCTTTGCCCACTTTTTGATGGGGTTGTTTGATTTTTTCTTGTAAATTTGTTTAAGTTCTTTGTAGATTCTGGATATTAGCCCTTTGTCAGATGGGTAGATTGTAAAATTTTTCTCCCATTCTGTAGGTTGTCTGTTCACTCTGATGGTAGTTTCTTTTGCTGTGCAGAAGCTCTTTAGTTTAATTAGATCCCATTTGTCAATTTTGGCTTTTGTTGCCATTGCTTTTGGTGTTTTAGTCATGAGATCCTTGCCCATGCCTATGTCCTGAATGGTATTGCCTAGGTTTTCTTCTAGGGTTTTTATGGTTTGGGGTTTTACATTTAAGTCTTTAATCCATCGTGAGTTAATTTTTGTATAAGATGTAATGAAGGGGTTCAGTTTCTGTTTTCTGCATATGGCTAGCCAGTTTTCCCAACACCATTTATTAAATAGGGAATCCTTTCTCCATTGCTTGTTTTTGTCAGGTTTGTCAAAGATCAGATGGTTGTAGATGTGTGGTGTTATTTCCAAGGTCTCTGTTCTGTTCCATTGGTCTATATATCTGTTTTGGTACCAGTACCCTGCTGTTTTTGGTTACTGTAGCCTCGTATAGTTTGAAGTCAGGTAGTGTGATGCCTCCAGCTTTGTTCGATTTGCTTAGGATTGTCTTGGCTATATGGGCTCTTTTTTGGTTCCACGTTAAATTTAAAGTAGCTTTTCTAATTCTGTGAAGAAAGTCAATGGTAGCTTGATGGGGATAGCATTGAATCTATAAATTACTTTGGGCAGTATGGCCATTTTCACGATACTGATTCTTCTATCCATGAGCATGGATTTTTTTTCCATTTGTTTGTGTCCTCTCTTATTTCCTTGAGCAGTTGTTTGTAGTTCTCCTTGAAGAGGTCCTTCACGTCCCTTGTAAGTTGTATTCCTAGGTATTTTATTCTCTTTGTAGCAATTGTGAATGGGAGTTCACTCATGATTTGGCTCTCTGCTTGTCGATTATTGGTATATAGGAATGCTCATGATTTTTGTACATTGATTTTGTATCCTGAGACTTTGCTGAAGTTGCTTATCAGCTTAAGGAGCTTTGGGGCCGAGATGATGGGGTTTTCTAAATATACAGTCATGTCATATGCAAATAGAAACTATTTGACTTCCTCTCTCCTATTCGAATACCCATCATTTCTTTCTCTTGCCTGATTGCCCTGGCCAGAATTTCCAATACTGTGTTGAATAGGAGTGGTGAGAGAGGGCATCCTTGTCTTGTGCCAGTTTTCAAAGGGAATGCTTCTAGCTTTTTTTTGCCGAGAGTGAAATTTTCAAGTCCTCTTCATAGTTCTGTCATTTTGCTTGCTTTAGGCCTTTTGAACCTATGTTATTAAGAACGATATGGCTGGGCATGGGGGCTCACACCTGTAATCCCAGCACTTTGGGAGGCCAAAAAGGAGCATTGCTTGAGCTTGGTCGTTTGAGACCAGCTTGGACAACATAGCAAGACCCTGTCTCTACTAAAAATAAAAATAAAAATTCAACTGGGTATGGTGGCATGTACCTGTGGTTCCAGTTACTCTGGAGGCTGAGGTGAGAGGATCATTGAGCCTGGGAGATCAGGGCTGCAGTGAGCAGTGATTACACCACTATGCTCCAACCTGGGTGACAGAGCAAGACCCTGTCTCAAAAGAAAAAAAAAAAAACCCACAATGAAAGTTAATATAGGTTTTTTGAGAGGTCATAAAAAATTAATATGTGTTTAATTAATTAAGGTAATATGAACAGTAACAGTCCCTGCCTTCATGGAGCTTATAGTCTAGTAGGGCATTCCAACAGCTACTAAATACTTTCTCTGTTGATGGTGGCAGGAAGCACATTGTGCCCAAAGCAAAGGTACTGACCCCAGTCCTGAGAGATGGAGAAAGGCTTCCCAGAAAAGGGATCACTGCACCTACCATTTCCAAGCCTTGTATTAGAAAACAATATTGAATTTACTAGATGTCTGTAAAATCCCTGTTATCAGTTATTCCTTTTTAACTTTTTACCACGTATGATGTTCTTTGTGTAACCCTATATAGTTTTTCAAACTTGTTCACAGTAATTCCCAGTTGATTTTAATCTAAAATACAGACAGACTATATGATGTTTCACCATGTGGTATGTGAATAACTCAGACACATGTCTTCTAAAATGTTGTAATTTTATGGAGTTTCACCAGTTCCAACTGACTCCAATATGCAATTCTGTTTGTACTAATTTTATGGCAGCATTTGTTTAGTCTGCAATATAGATATGTATTTTTTTCCTTTTATCTTTAGTTGGACACTTAATAATTGCACATATTTATGAGATATAGTCTGATATTTCCAAACGTGTATACAATGTGTTGAAATGTATATTTTTTAATAGTTTCCATGTGATTAAAATAAGATTTCCAAATATTTGTAAAATGTATTAAAACTATATTTTAATTTTGTTAGTTTGGTACAAGGATATTTATGATAGATGGAATAAAAGAAAGCATCTCCAGGCATATGTTCTTAATGGGAAACTCAAGGCAGCTTCCTTTTCCTCCTCCTCACCTGTCTATTTTCTGGATGAGTCCTCTCTCAACTCCTTCACCTGCAGAGAGCAATGTATTATTGCCTAGTGATTTATTATTGTTGGAATCATTCTTGGTAAGCTCAGAGAGTTCGAAAAATGCACAAACAAGTACACATGGTACCTCTTCATCATGTGGCTGTGTAAACGTAATTCTTGGGCACCTTGTTAACGTTCTTGTGCTATATTTTACTCGTCTATAAAACAGGGCTAATGTATAGTACTTACTTTCACAGAAAATTGGGAGAGCAAAATAAAGTGTTTCATGTGCCTTAGCATTGTGCCTGGCCTACAGAAAGCCTGCAACACATGTCAGAACGACTGTTAGAAACTAGGAGGCAGAATGTGTAATGGTTAAGTGTATGGACATTGGATGTAGACTGACTGCCAAATATTTTTTAACCACTGTCTTGTATTATGTGTATGTGAGATAAGAGTATATATTGTTGCTTTAATGTGTTTTGTAGTTTTGTTTCTAAAGCACCTGCCAAAGGGCAGAGACGTGACAATTAATAAACACTTGTTGATGGACATGTGCAGAATTGATGCATTAGACGAGTGTTTTGGGATTCGGAGGAGGAAGAGATGAATCTGCTTTTGAGTAGACAATAAACCTTGCTTCAGGGTGGTGGGATTTAAGCTGCTTTGACAGATCTGTGGATTATGCATCAAAGAAGAGTGAGGTGCTCTGCAGGAGTGAGACCAGCAGAGACCTGTCGGTAGGAATAGGCAAGACAGCTTTGGAATTTTAGACAATCCTAACTAGAGCACAGGGTGCCAAATGGGGAGCCAGGAAAGAGGATGTTGGAAGAGTCACCTGGAGGGAAGGTCTTGAAAGTCTTTAAATGCAAGGTTAAGGGTTTAGGCCATTTTTACCATTTTCTATAGAGTAATAGTGAAGTGTTTTTTTTTTTTTTTTAAGAGAGAGAGGTTAATGTATATTTTCTGAAATAAATTTCATGTGAGAATATAAGAATGGATAGGGTTACTGTGTTCATGGAAGAAATAAAAGGGGGAAGAGACATTCACATTACTTTAGATTTTGTGGTCTCTCTTTTAATTGGCAGAAAGAAGTAGTATCACAGGTCAAAAACCACCACCCTGTCAACAGAAACATGTAAAATTGTGAGATTCAAGGTCCTGCCCCTTAAAACTAGGAAGAAATAGGAGATGTCGTTGCTGATTGGCTCTTAGGTACAGACACAAATGTGATTCTTTTCCTGCTTTTCTAGTGCAGTAAGACACAGTGGGGACAATGCATGGTTATTTCTTCTGGCTTTTTGATTCACAATAAGGAGAATGCTGTTCAAACCTCCGAATGCCCACTATAAACCAAAATAATGTTTTAGAGCCAGAAGCAACCTTGGAGCTCATGTCATTCCATCCTCATTCTGCAGATGAGGAAAGTAGGGCTGAGAGTAGTAAAAGAAGTTTTCCGCAATGACCTAGTGGGTTAGTGACTCTGAACTAGGACTAGAGCACAGTTCCCAGCTGTCCAGTTTTGTGTCTTTCCTGCTACTTCCTACAGCGGTTAACAGTGCCAGCCAGCACAGGCAGGATTGCCTTTTGAGTGGTTCTGAAATTTCTGAGGTCTCTTCTGAGGTTTTCAGGAGTAAACACAATGATTTTACGGTAATTTTTAAACGCCTGCTTGGCCTGGCAATAAACCAGCATCATGGGTGTAGGATGATGCCTTACCATGCTGTCTGGGAATTATTGCAGAGATGTGGCTTTGCAATGATGCCTCCAGGGCCACCAAAATAAGTTGCCTAGAAGATGCCCCCATGCTGACATTTTCTATAGCTGAGCCAGTGTAGATTTGGCCATCTTGAAGGGCCAGACTTCATGCCTGGAGCTGTGTTCATGTACATGGACCCAGACAACCTCGGGGACACTGCAAAAGAAAGCAGAGTTAGGACAGTGATGTCAATGAGGAAACAAAGGAATTGTGGTTGCAACTTAATGGGCTCACTAATTCCCTTCTTAGGATTATTGTTTTCCTGAATGTCTTAATATATAGATTATTCTTAGACTGGTAAATTTTTTGACATTGCCATAAAGTGGGCATGAGTAGTCTGAGAAACTGAATGTGGCTAAAGATTTAATTTATTTTCAGTATGTGGCATAAACATTCTGGAAAAATCTGATACAAATGCAATTGTAAAAATCCATTTAAAACTTAATCACTTTATATTCTGGACTTTTGGGTATGACACAACGTTGTTGCGTACCCATGAGGTATGGACTTTAAGCTGACAAAGGAAAACACATTTTGCATGTCGCATCAAAAAGGAAAATGCTTGTAAAGTGCCGAGCATGGTGACTGGCACATAGTAAGTGTTGGATGTACACGAGGTATTATTTTATCTGGGCATTTACTGTTACAATAAAACCTTCATTGGTGTAATCCAATGGTGGATTTCTTGACAGTATCATAAATTACTCAGTGGTTATAGGGTTGATATGTGTTTCTGGCTGACATGGGAAACTTTGAACAACTCTCAAGGGAATTATAATTGGGTGGAAACTTTGATTTGTCCTTTCTAAACCAAGCTAAGTAGTGAAATGGACTTTTAAGAAGCAGTGAGTGGTGAATTGAAAGAAATGGCTTTAAAAACAAGGCCCAATTTGAAGTCTGGGGATGCGGGTGGCAGGGGTGGAGGGGAGCGGCTCTTTCATGTTTCTGGTTAATCTGATTGGATCAGCACCACAGGTGCCATCAGAGCACCTACAGCTGTTTCCAAGAAAAGAAAAGCTGGCATTGGTTTATACTATGGCTGTCACATTTATACACATCTAGACAGATGAGGAAAAGATGGGTGACATGATACACAGTAAGCCTAGACTAGTCAGACGAGCTCAGGGGGCTAGCTTTCTTTTTTTTTTTTTGTAGGGTTGCCTTTGGTATGTGAGTAAATGATGAAGCAAGTTGGCCCTGGGCTGTGTGTTAGCAGCTGTCTCTCTTAGAATAGGAAGAGGAAGGAACTTCGGTATCGACTGGGGCTGGAGGAGGAGGAAAGCGCTGAAGTGAAGGAGCTGTACAAGAAGGCAGCTTCCAACTCCTCCACTGTAGGGGCCCTGGGGTGTTTTGTTCTCTGTGCTCTCTTCTGTGCCAGTTGTGCAGGGTGCCTAGAATAGCGGTATCATCGTCTGCCTCCTCCCTTATATCTCTTTTGCTATTTATTGAGGGGGAAAATCCGGAAAATATGGTTTTTATTTTTATTTACATTGGGATAGACTAGGTTCTTATTACTGAAACAATATGGAAATCATGAGCAGCTTCTATTCCTTTTGTGCCTTTATAAATATTCTTTTCCCTATCTGCTTTATCAGATCCTGCTTTTAAAAAAAAAAGAAAGAAAAAACCTTATTTGTTTACTCAGGGAATATTTTATGTAGCTACTATGAGATAAACACTGAGTAAATTCTGGGAATGCAGAAATGAAAAACAAAGATAAGTCGTTGCTTCCATGGTCTAGAGCTCATTATAACATGTAATAAGAATATATAGACAGGATATGAAAAGAGCTCCATGGAGCTCAATCAATGAGATAATTTTTAATGTGAATAATAATAAAAAACCACTGACTTCGGTGTTGATATCTGGAAATTGCCTAATTCCAAAAGCTGAAGTAAAAATACATTTCAATAAAAAGCAACATTTACAGAGAACAGTGACATTCAGTCATTTGGAATTGCAAATTCCACTGTTCAGTCATTTGGAATTGCAAGTAAGGGCAAAATATGAAGACTCCAATCCATGAAAAAAGCCGGCTGGATGCTTTCTTATGAAAGGTCTACTGTTCGCGGGCTGGACTGCTAGCCCTTCTCACGTGCTTTCCTCAGAGGTCTCCATTTCCTTCCTGAACAGGGCTAATAGGTCAGATAAATATCCAGGCTCACAAGCAGTTTATGTCATTTCCACTCTGAAAGGATCCATCCCTAGGAAGATATTATGGGAGCAAACTTGCGGAAGTGCTATTGTGTTAACCAAGCCAGCTGGTGGGTTTGCTTTATCTGTTATGGAATTTTTACCAACTTAGGTGTTAGGATGAATATCCTGACCTGGTAGAGTGTTTATTTCCCCCTTCTTTGACCCTTGACACAGCTGTTTAGAGCTCAGTCACTCTTGGTTGACATGGTCAGATTCAAAGCCAAGAAGAGTGAAATGGGCAGGCTTTTAGACTCACACACTGAGTATGGCCTGTGTGAGTGAGTCTGAAAGATCTAGGAGACATGGGGAAGCCGTATGCACTTCACTTAAGGAGCTTGGAGGGAGATGCTATTTTTGCCTCTGGATTGCTGATTTAAGCTCTAGAGGGTCCCAGCAAACAAGGGCCTCACTTATTTATAGTGTCCAGCTTGTTAACTGGTTCCAGTAGCTCTTTCATTCTAAATACCCTGACTTGATCATTACAGATTCTATGCATGTAACAAAATATCACATGTACCCCATAAATATGTACAAATATTATGTATCAATAAAACGTTCATCTGATAACATATTAGGCAAGGCCATAGGGCTGCTTCCATACCTCTAGAAAACTGCCTCGTAGGTCAGGGCTGAGTGGTAGTACAGGAAGGTGGAGTAATCTGTCAAGATGCTGCTTTAAGTTGTTTTGAGATGTGGTTCAAGGGTGTTTGTTGATCAAACACCAAGAGCTAGCTATTACCAAGAATAATAACTAGCATTTGTAAATCTCCAGATTGACAGTTTGCAAAGCACTTTCAAGTATTATTTGATCCTTGGAACAACCACGTATCTCCTGCAAAAATATGGGAATGATAATACCTGCTCATTAGGGATCTTGGGAGGATTAAATGAGATAATATAGGTCCAAGTGTCTAGCCTAGCATTTAGTGGGTGGGAGCAGCTGGGTAAATAGGAACCATCTTTAACAATGCAGAACATGAGGCCATGGAAAATTCAAAAGCATAACTGTAGTCAGATGACTACGTTTTGGAGCTCAGACCCAGGGACCCCATTTTGCCCTTGACTAATCGTCACCTATGATTAAAGCAGAAACAACTATGGTCCAAACATACCACCCTTAAAAAATTAGCGAGAAAGAAAGAGAGAGAGTTTGAGTATGGAGAGAGCAAGTATTTTTGCCTTCACTTTTGACACACAGGCTCCCTGGACTGAGCAAAGAAGTTCCCTTTGAAGTGGTGACTATGATTGAGGATGAGCTAGTTTCCACTCTAATATAAATAAAGAAGTAAAAATACAAAGTTGAAATATGGAAATCCATATGGAATCATTTTATTTACTTACAGCAATATTGAATTATCCAATACTCAATAGTTTCTCTGTACCTAAGTGTTAACATAAATGAATGAATCTCTGATGATCCCTAAAATCATTTCATCACTTGAAATGTGATTATTTACTTACCCTGGCTAAAAATGTAAATTTATAGTCTTGGTCTATGAGTTCAACATTTCAAATTTCTTAAGAGACCAAAACGAGTTAATATTCATATTTAGTTATTCATGCCAAAGCGTGGATACATATAAAAATGATCACCATGTGTTAGTCAATAATAAAACTTTTTGATCTGTTATCCATTCCTCTTTCTAGGATCGCTAATCAGTCAGAATTGTAGATTTAAATTGGTTTCTAAAACAAAGATATCTCAAACATGGTTGTGCACAAAGCCACTCAGGGTTCATACGTATATATATGTGTGTGTGTATACATATATATATATATTTTTTTTATTTCTTTTTTTTTTTTTAGATAGAGTCTCGCTGCATAGCCCAGGCTGGAGTCCAGTGGCGTGATCTCGGCTCACTGCAACCTCCACCTCCTGCATTCAAGCAATTCTCCTGCCTCAGGCTCCCGAGTAGCTGGGATTACAGGCATGCGCCACCACGCCCGGCTAATTTTTGTATTTTTAGTAGAGACGGGGTTTCGCCAGGTTGGCCAGGCTGATCTCGAACTCCTGACATCAGGTGATCTGCCCGCCTAGGCCTCCAAAAGTACTGGGATTACATCATGAGCCACCATTTATAAGATTCAGCAGATCTGAGACAGGTTTAGAGTCTGATTTCAACTTGTGTCCTGGCGTTGCCATTTTAGAATTGTGCGAACTTAAGGGAAAAAAAACAAAACTAACTTTTCAAGCCTCAATTCCTCATCAGTAAAACAGAGGTAATAATTCAGTAATAACTCCATAATGCTTGTCCCCTAGGAAGCCCTGGACAAAGGATAGTGGTTCCTCTTTCCATCACTATTGTTATTCCTTGAATGCCTCTATCTTTACCCCGTTATTCTAAATTTTAAGCCTTTTCTGTAGTTATATGGACAATGCAGTTGGCCCTCCATATTTGTGGGTTCTGCATCTGAGGATTCAACCAATCGTAAATCAAAAATATTTGAAAAAAAAACAATTAAAAAAGATAAAAACACAAATAAAAAAGTATAACGACTATTTATTGTATTATTAATTATTAATAATTATTGTATTATTATAAGTAACCTAGAGATGATTTAAAGTATTGCAGGATATGGGTAGGTTATATGCAAATATTATACCATTTTATATCAGAGAGTTGAGCATCCATGGATTTTTGGTATCTGTAGGAGGGTCTTGAAACCAATCCCCTGTAGATATTGAGGAATGACTGTATATGTTCTTATACAAAGTCAAACAATACAGTTTATGTAAGTGAATCCTCAGTCCTTCCAGCTCTTCCTCTACCAACTCTTGATTATTCTTAAAGGATCAACTCAAATCTCATGGAGGACTACTCTAATTTAACTTTTAATAAAATTATCTGATCTCCGACATTCCCTATTTTTTTTTTTTTTACCACTCCTTCATAATTGCATGCTGTTTGTGTATTATTTCATATTCTTTGGGCCGGATTCACAAAGGATAGGATAAAGTAATACCATGTACAGTGGCTTACGTTTGTAATCCCAGAACTTTGGGAGGCTGAGGCAGGAGAATCGCTTGAGCCCAGGAGTTCAACACCAGCCTGGGCAACATAGTGAAACCTTGTCTCTACAAAAAAATAAAAATAAAAAAAAATTCCAGGCATGATGGCACACGCCTATGGTCCCAGTTACTCTGGAAGCTGAAGCAGGAGGATTGCTTGAGCCCAGAGTTGGAGGCTACAGTGAGCCGTGATCACACCACTACACTCCAGCCTGAATGACAGAGAAAGACCCTGTCTCTAAAACGTTAAAAATGTAAAAATAAACCTACTTTGGGCATAAGTCTTCCCTCCCCAATAGTGTTTCAATTTCTCAAGCCCAGTGGCTGTATTTTGTGTTCTTTTATATCTGATTACTCATTTTTCAACAATAAGAGCATTCTGAAAAGCTACAAGGTATTTTATCAGTAGTAAATAGTTGTTGAAACCAGTTGAAAAAGGCTGTAATGATTTAATTAGATTACAGTCTGTATTGTGTAGGTAGAAGTTGCCCATCAGATTAAAAAAAAAGGAAAATCCTAGCCCACCAGCCATTCTTTCAAATTTTAAATACATAGTCAAGCAAAATAATGCCTTTCAGGTCTCTGCACACCTTTCTGAATCTACAAGTTTCTTCTCAATGATTTCTTTCAAGAAAGTCTTATAAAGAGACCATTTGAATTTTTAAAACTTTAATTCAGGCAGCAGTGATCAAATATTTGTGATTCACAAAGGATAGGATAAAATAATACCATGTACATATACAATCGGCCCTCCGTATCTGTGGATTTCACATCTGTGTATTCTACCACCCGAGGACTGAAAATATTCAAAAACAATAAATGGTTACATTTGTTTGTACTGAACATGTATAGACTTTTAAAAAATCTCTAAACAATACAATGTAACAACTATTTACTAAGCTTTTACATTGTATTAGGTATTATAATTAATCTAGAGATAAAGTATATGGGAGGATATACATAGGTTATATGCAAATACTATGCCATTTTATATAAGGGACCTGAGCATCTGTGGATTTTGGTATTCATAGGGGTCCTGGAACGAATCCCCTACAGGTACCTCGGGACGACTGTATATATTTTGTGTGTGTGTATTTTCTTCCCTATTGCCTCAGAATAGAGTTTAATTCCACTTTGAGACAGGATGGTAAGGTATCATGAGGACCATAGGGTAAACTTAGCAATATACAATTGCTTAGTTTTCGAAACTTGGGAGAGGAAGGGGCTGCCACTGGCGCACAATGGGTCAAGGCCACGGATGCTGCTAAACATCCTGAATGCACAGAACAGCCCCCCAGACAGATAGTCATCCAGCCCCAAATGTCATTGGTGCCAAAGCGGAGATACCCTGAGTCGAAGCAAAGCATCTTTGTTAATGACATAAGAGAAATGCTCAGTTTTACTCTTACAGACATTTACTTGTTTGTGTGACCCCTAAACCAAATCTACTTTGAGATGTAGAGAGCTGAGACATTGCAGAACTCCCCTCCCGCCATCTGCAGATGCCCTGAGTGGCAGCCTGGCAGCCTGGCAGCCTGGAAGCAGCCCCAGAGTTCTTTGCACAGCGGGCTTCTCTCACCCATGCCCCCAGCCCAACTCTGAGCAGTCTGGGCCCGCACATGCCAGCCTTCAGGCTGTTTCAACAGTATTTAAACCTCCAAAGGCTTATGAAATATTCTTTAATCCCTTCCCAAAACATGATTTAGGTGTATTTGATATTATCTGCTATCCCCTAGATTTCCTAGTGTTTGCAGCTTATTTTCAGGACTACCTTCCAGGTGTAGCCGTCTGTGTCAGAGACAGGAGAGCCTGAGGCTTTCCTCCAAGTGGGGAGTCTGCAGAGAACAGGCTGGCAGCTGAGACTTTCGCCCAAATGGCTTATATTTGATGTATAATAGTTTTAATTGTGATATTATTAAAAGTGAATTATTTCCATAGATCAAAAGTTAACTCATTAAATCTGTTAGTCTATTTTAAGTTGGTCTTCCAAAGGAACCATTTATATTTATATAGCATTGCGTCTTTATCCTTGCAAAACTGTGGATTCTAAACTCCTCAAGTCAGAGACTTGGAATAGCATAAATCAGATGTGAGTCTTCATTGCTGAGGCTGAATTTATTCAGTCATAATTTCCAAGCATTTGTTCCTGCTGGAAGGTACTACTTATTTCACAAGAAGTTCATGTCATGAAAGCGCTGAGCTCGAAGGGCCATCACGCATATCTAGTCCAGTGGTTCTCAACCTGGCTGCACAGGGATTACCTTGGGCAGAAGCCCAGCCCAATGGGACAAGATCTTCTGGGGTGCAGCTCAGGCATTGGGGTTTCCCCAAAACTACCCCAAGTGATTCTAATGTGCAAACTTGGTGGAAAAAGTTTATTCTTTTCCAATTCCTCAGTTACAATGAGTAAACTGAGGGTCAGATTAATTCATAAAGGCAGAAGTCAGCAAACACCGTAAAGGACTAGCTACTAAATCTTTCTGGCATTGCAGGCCATATGGTTTCTGTGGGAACTGCTCAAAAGCAGCCATAGGCAATTCAGAAACAAATGGATGTGGCAGGCTGCCAATGAAGCTCTATAAAAATAGGTGACTGGCCGGATTTGGCCCATGGGCCATAGTTTGCCAACCTCTGGTTTAGATCTCACAGTTGGTTAGTAGAAACCCATATGCTAGGCCACAGATAGACTAACCTTCAACAAGTGATCTTCCTTCTACTAGATGCAGTTTTCCTGTTTGAAGCAGTGTCTATAACATACCCAACTTCTGTAGAGGTTAAATAATAATTATCTTTATGTAAGTTAAGGCAAATATCTTAGCATAGGTACTCATAGTCTAGAGCGCAGAAATTTTCATTATCTGTGTCTTTATGAGAGGTCTGCATTTTGATGGTATTTACCAAATTTAAAGTAATAATCACAGTATATGTGTTTTACTAAAGTAATAACCCAGACAATAATATTCCTATCCAAGAAATTTTTTCAGCTAGAAAGTCAGAAAATGAGACAGCGTGATCAGACCACCAAAGCAAGCAAGAAAAAAAAATCAGCTAAGAAAAATGGAGATCTGATTTTCTTTTCACCCAGTAAAGGAATCAGTTGAAAATCTCTTAATTCTTCCTTACTGTGCTGATGACTCATGGGGAGATACTTTATCTCAGATTTCTTTTGAATACATCTGAGTAAATTTGAATATGAATTATATCTAATAGCTAGAGATGCTTCCTACGAGTCCTTGGGAAACAGCATGGACTAAGGCTGAAGAAGTGGAAAGAAAGCCATCACAATTAATGTGGAGAGTTATGTGTTTGGTACTTATGAAACTTTGGGTATTTTTCACTGTTTGTATAGCCTTTCTTCCAAAGTACACTCATAAAAATAGGGTTCCTGAAATGTTAAAAAGCCACTGGATCTGGTCATTTTCCTTGGAGATTAATTTATCTCTATTTGGCAATTACTTCGTATCTATGTTTTTCAGAGAAAGTCACTCTACCTCTTCCCTTTTTTATCTAAATAACACATTCAATAAAAGTGCTTCATGTCCTGAAAAAACAAAACTGTCTTATTTACGATTATAAAATGGTGTTCAATCAATGATTTCCCTGAGGGGATAAACACTAGAGATGGAAAAACAAAATCAATTTGTTTTTCACAAATTGACATCCCTCTGTATGATGCCATCATTGAACTGAAGTTATTGAAAGGGGCCTTATAGAGAGGGCACCATAGAGGGAAATCATAGAGAATAACATCATAGAGAGGGGTATCATAGAGATAATAACTGCATGGAGAGGAGCCTCATGGAGAGGGAGCTTTGAGAGGGGACATGGAACACACAGTGGTAGATTAAAATAATCCAGTAATCAATTTGGCCACATAAATAATAGTGATCATAATTTATGAGGGCTTCCCATACTAATTAAAATATGCATAATAACAACAGTTCATTTTCATAATTGTACACTTAAGTCATGCTATTTTTTCTCTTTTTGCCTAGTTCTATGGTATGTGTGATCATGGCCTTACAACTTTTAGAAGGTACTGGCAAATGTGGTTGCAGTGAACTGTTTTTCTCTGAAGCTTTCTGCAGTAATCCTCCTGGCATTATTAAGGTTTCCTTAATCATACTTGGTTAGAGGTGATTTGCGGTCCTACCAACCTTAATTTGAATTTTCTCTCTGCCTCAGATAAGCTTGACTCTGGGGAGGTTTCTGAACATCTTTAAATTTGAGTTCCCAAATTATAAAGTGGGTTCAGCAATGACTGCTTTTCATGGCTTATTTGAGAATATATGAGATTGTGCTTTAAAGGATTGAGTAGAATGCCTGGTTTGTTCATTAGTTTTTTCTTTTCTTTTCTTTTCTTTTTTCTTTTCTTTTTTTCTTTTCTTTTCTCTTTCCTTCCTTCTTTCTTTCTCTTCCTTTCTTTACCCTCCCTTCTTTCCTTCCTTTTTTTTTTTTTTTTTTTTTTGAGACAGAGTCTCACTCTTGTTTCCCAGGCTGGAGTGCAATGATGTGATCTCGGCTCACCGCAACCTCTGCTTCCTGGGTTCAAGTGATCTCCTGTCTCAGCCTTCCCGAGTAGCTAGGATTACAGGCACGTGCCACCATGCCTGGCTAATTTTGTATTTTTAGTAGAGACAGGGTTTCTCCATGTTGGTCAGGCTGGTCTCAAACTCCCGACCTCAGGTGATCCGCCCGCCTTGGCCTCCCAAAGCGCTGGGATTACAGGCATAAGCCACTGTGCCCGGCCTCCTTCTTTCTTTTTTGAGACAACATCTTGCTCTGTCTCCCAGGCTAGAGTGCAGTAGTGCAATCATGGCTCACTGCAGCCTCGACCTCCCCGGCTCAGCCTCCAGAGTAGCTGGAACTACAGGCATGTGCCACCATGCCCAGCTGATTTTTGTATTTTTTTGTAGAGATGGGGTTTTTGCCGTCTTGCCTGGGCTGATCTCAAACTTCTGGGCTCAAGCGATCTTCCCACTTCAACCTCCCAAAGTGCTGGGATTATAGGCGTGAACCACTGCACCTGGCCCCCAAAACTTTCAATGATGACAAATTATTCCCTGTAGTACCATTACTATTATTCTACCCTTTGGCATAACATAGCCTAGGCTGCATGTTCTGTCTTCTTCAAGGAAGTGTCTATGATTAGGAGAAATGCAAGAGGGAGGAACATACTGGAGGATGATTTTATCTCTCGCACATATGTGAGGACAGCAACACCTAAGTTTGCTCACTCCACCCTAGTAAAACTTCACTACTGGCTTAATCCTTGATTCTTGAGTCTCAGTGGGGAGTCATTTTCTAGTACTGTTGAGAGTTATATAGCCCTAAGGGATTTTATGAAATAAAGTGTTCCCAAGGAGTGTTCTAGAAGATGAGTGATATGAGTTAATACCAAGGGTTTCTTCTGACAGGGAGTGTTAGGTGATAAGACAACTGCTGAAGATTGAACTGATCTTTATCCAGGGAAGTTCTGCACTTGAGATTGTCTTTATAGGACAGGCAACAGGCATAAAAAAAAAGTGCTATAAAAATAGGTTTGTTTGTTTCACAGTATCATTGAGAAAACAGCTATAAAGAAGATATATAAAAATATATAAATCTATCATGTGGTCATTAAATGCCAGCGACTTATTGAACGATGATTTATAAATGGCTGAAATTCAAAGAATTTTCATGGAACCAAACCAAAGCATTTCAGAACATCTTTCGTTCTTTCAAAATTGAATCAACTGTTCTTCATTTTACAGCTTCTAAATATTGTTTGTGTGTGTTTTTGCTGTTGTTGCACAGGAAATAATTTTTACCTTAAAATATTAAAAACTTTTTTTTCTAAATAATAAACTCCATGCAGTAAAAGGCAACAATCAGAGAGTGTAATGCTAGAACATTTCAGGCATGCCCAAAATGCCCATGGCAGGATGAAGGAGGCAACCTCATGGGGCCCAGCCATTTGTCTTGTAAAGTCTTAAACTACCATAGGAAATCCCTGTAGGATGTTCTATTGTGTAAGAGTTCCATTTAAAATACATTGGCAATATCCTAAAAAAAAAAGCAGTGAAAATCTAAACTATGTCTTGTAGCTTATTCAAATCTATTATTCATCTACTGCAGCAGCCAACACTGCTGCATAGAGCTAAAGGAGAAAAAAAACGAAGATAAAATAAGCAAGAGAATCATGACTACTATGAACTGATAAATAAAAGTGTTAAAAAAGCAATAAAACAAACCACCAGCTTGTTATTGGGCTTTCAAATAGGTATGTTTCCGCCTCCTCCTCCTCCTCCTGCTCCTTCTCCTTCTCCTTCATTCAGAAGCAATCATCATACCACAAGCAAACAAACCATTTTGAAGGTGTTTACCAGGAATGTTTCCCTCCCTTTTAATTTTCTGACCTGAGTATTGGTACAATTTTTTCTTTCATCCTTTTTGCAGGCAAAGGGGTTACTGGATGTGCTAAAGGAAAGTATGATTGTAGAGTGGGAAAAGGGTGAAGAACAATGTTTTATCTTCTTATGTCAATTAGGCAGGACAAAAGACACAGGCTCCCAAAAATACCTTCAGAGTTTGTCATCCTGGATCATGATAACCTTCAATATGTTGAAAGTCTCGTTCATCTGGGTTCAAGATCCCACACTTAACGAAAGAAAGGCCGAAATTTCCCGTAATGTTCTTTACTTTGGGTTTTACAAAAACACTTCTATCCAGGTATTTTTTCTTGTTGAAATTCTGAAGTAACTCAAGGTGTACACATGTAATTTAAAACTTAGCTTTGAAGCCGGGTGTGGTGGCTCATGCCTGTAATCTCAGCACTTTGGGAGGCCAAGGTGGGCGAATCACCTGAGGTCAGGAGTTCGAGACCAGCCTGGTCAACGTGGGGAAACCTCGTCTCTACTAAAAATACAAAAATTACCCAGCATGGTGGTATGTGCCTGTGCCTGTAGTCCCAGCTACTAGGTAGGCTGAGACAGGAGAATCACTTGAACCTGGTAGGTGGAGGTTGCAGTGAGCCGAGATCACACCACTGCACTTCAGCCTAGGTGAGACAGCGAGACTCAGTCTCAGGAAAAACAAAACAAAACAAACAAACAAACAAAAAACACTTAGCTTTGAAAGGAAATAGCCTATGTTTCCACAAATTAGAGTTCATAATTATGTTGCATTTCTACTATATAGGACAGCAACATTTTCACCTGATCTGAGCTCATCTATTAGCCTTTCCTTACAAATTTGAATCAAAACTTTCGCCAGGCTATAAATCTCCCTATAATTGGTAGAGAGCTAGATAAGAATTATCCCATAATAAGAGTTTGGGAGAACCTTGTGGTATTAAAGGGATGCTGACATGGAATACTGTATATATTTCTACTGTTAAATTAGATGCAGTCCTAATACTGTTTGTGAAACTAAATTAGGTCAATGACTCAGAGCTGGTTTTATTTAGAGTGAGCTATATATTAAAATGTAGCAATATTTCCCTTCTTCTGAAAAGCCTTCTGGTAAGGATTTCAATTCATTGTAGAAAAACATTTCCCAAATTAAGGTATTTTAATTAAGTCCTGGTAAGAAATTCCAAGCATGCTTTTTTTTCCCCTCCTCAAAAGAGGCCTTCCACATTGTGCATTTAGTGTTTACTAAGATTTCAAATCTCTTTGGTTCTAACCAGTATCACTTAGATAACACATTTCACTTTTTTTTTTCTCCCTTAAGTGTAACCTGGGAAATCCCAACTTTCCCTTTGATGCACTAAGTCTTTGGCATCTCAATCTGTTAAACCAGTGCAACAATCATAACAGGCATTTTCTGGAGATGTTACAAGGGATGAAAAAAAAAATGAATGAAATGAGTTGACTTTTTAAAGAACGATGCCATAAGAAGCAAGACATAAATTTGCTCCAGAAGTCAAATGGTGTGTGGGGAGAACAGGCTTTGAAATCAAATGGAACTGGTTTGGAGTTCCAGCGCTGGCATCACTAGTCGTGTAACCCTGGGAAACAGCCTGAGTACATTTTGTTTGTTTGTTTGTATTTTTGAGACAGAATCTCACTCTGTTGCCCAGGCTGGAGTGCAGTGGCACGATCTCAGCTCACTGCAACCTCCACCTCCTGGGTTCAAGCGATTCTCCTGCCTCAGCCTCCCTAGTAGCTGGGATTACAGGTGCATGCCAACACACCTGGCTAATTTTTTTTTTTAAAAAAACAGAGTCTCGCTCTGTCACCCAGGCTGGAGTGCAATGGCATAATCTCAGCTCACTGCAGCCTTTGCTTCCCGGGTTCCAGTGATTCTCCTGCTTCAGCCTCCCAAGTGGCTGGGATTACAGATGCACACCACCACGCCCAGCTAATTTTTATATTTTTAGTAGAGACCGCGTTTCACCATGTTGGCCAGGCTGGTCTCAAACTCCTGATTTCAGGTGATCCACCCGCCTCAGCCCCCCAAAGTGCTTGGATTACAGGTGTGAGCCACCACACCCAGCTCTGAGTTCATCTCTCCATCACTAGAAATCAGGGTAATCATACATTCCTTATCACATTATTAAGAGGACTAGAGATAGAATATGCAGAATACTGGGCATGTAGTATGTGTTCAATAAATGGTAGCTGCTATTGTTACTGCTACTACTACAGCTGCTGCTACTACTAAACTGCTGCTATTCTCATTGTTACTATTATGACTCCTACTATTATTTCTACTGCCAAACAAGGAGGACTGTGGAAAAAGAAGCCACTTTATCCAGCTCTAAACAAATGAGTTGTTACCTCACTGTAGCCCACCTTTCTAGCAGGAATAGGAGAATGACCAAGTGTTTTGGAATCAGATAAACCCAAGAGTAACTTAAGGAGAATGATAGGACCATCGTTGATAGGAGAGCCTGAGTACATTCCCAGTGCTGTACTTGTGTGGCTGTGAAAATTATTGTTCCAAAGTTGAATATTGTCAAGGGTGTTGAGATTTATCTCATGGTCAATATTTGATCTTTCAAAGCTGACCTATACCTAACACACTTCAAATTGGTTCAGTGTATGTAGCCCTTGTTACGTGGATATTATTGTGAGCACTTATATACCAGGGAATGTGTCATGAGGAAGAATTATTATGTGTTTGGTATGTAGTCATTGAATTAAGACTTCCACATAATGAACTGGAATGGAATTGCATTAGAAATTCTTTTTTTCATCCAAAATAAAAGTAAACTCAAATATAATTATGATGTTGCCTTCTAATGTGACCTGATTGCCATATCTTTGTAATGTTCCGTTACTCCTGCCAACCTAATGTCAGTGTGTACTCCAATTCAATTCAGCAAACATTTATTGATCCTAGTCAGGGATGGGAAGACACTAAGATTAGCACAAAGATACCTTTGTCATTAGTAAGTTACTACCCAGTAAATCTGGCTAGTATATTAAATCTATGGTCATTTTTTACATTTTGCTTTTCATTCTAAACATGTAAAATGATAATAAAAAAAGAAAGTATTTAGAACAGTAAAGGTTCAAGTCCACCCCTTTTTTCTTCACCTTTTTGTTTAGACACTATTTCTGACGTTAATTACCACATTAATTGGGTCTTAAGTTCCCCTTCCAGTCCTCATTATGACTTCCACATTTCTTACAACTGGCAGACCTTGCTAAGTCGTGAACTATAAGTTTTTTTTAAAGGTTCAGAGCATTTAGTCCAGCAACACAAATTACCCTATGGAGACACTATATACACTAGTAGCAATGAGCAAATGTTTCTTTTATTTTTATAATTGTTTTGGAAAATCATATGATTGCCAAAGACAGCCTACACATGGTCAAGTTGGATTCATCCCAGCCTTAAAAAGTCTGCGAAACACATTAATACTTGTGATGTATAGAGTTGAGGGATGTTTTGTTTTGTTTTAACATGCTTCTTATATGTACATTGGTAATGTTTAATTTAGGTTAAAATTCTATGAATGATTTAATTGATATTATCCAGGTTTGTTAACCATTTTAAATGGCCGTTGATTTTGCCAAATTCCATTCTATGCCATTAGAACGCTGTCCACACTAAGTTCCGTTAATGGGGGTAAAACTCCCATCATTTGACTCTTAAGTATGGTAAAATAGCTGTCTAGAAATAAATGAACCAGAGTCCTGGAAAATCCAGTGGAGATGCCTAGCAATGGGGGTCCCCAAAGACTTCAGCGTAAGGTGCTTATCCCTTGAAGCCCCCACCCTCCCACCCTTCCTCTATTTGTTTCTTAATTGCACATTGTTGTTCAGAAAATTCACACTTGGGATTTTTATATTTTGTGATTTGAACTCATTTTTGCAATTTCCTTTTTACATTTCTAGAGAGCTGCTTGAAATGGATGCTAAACTACAATTCCAGCCTTATGTGTTAGGAAATACTTTTTCTCTACTACAAAGTGCAAAGAACTGGAAACTACTTTAGTAGAGTTTTCATTTAAAAAACCTCTATCGTACTTCAGTACTGGAGGAAAGAAAATGCTTGTCAATCAACAGCCTTGTGTTTTTCAGTCTTGATATATGTAATTGATATATGATATATCAATTATATGTAATATCAAAAGAGATGGTGTGCACAAAGCCTGCCTCGGAGTACATTGAATAATATTTTATTCAGATATTCATTTTAAAGTTAGTGATTTCAGATATGGAGAAGTTGTAGTCACCAGCTGTGATTTACTGGGGGGTGGTGGGAGGGCAGGGGGACCTATTACTGGCACCTGAACTGGTGATTTCTGTTTACCTGTAATCCAAAAATAAGTAAGTGTCTGCTAATTTCACCTGCTAACATGTGACAGCATCTTTCCAGGCAAAGAGTAGAGGTAGCCCTGAGAGTGAGGCCTTTCTTTTCGGCTCATGTATGGGAGAGAATTGTGTTTTTTAGCAGAGAAGGAGATAGCTTAGACCTATTGCATTTGGTACCTTCCGTAGAATGTCAGTATGACAAGTAACTGGACTCTTCCAGACAGATCTCAAGAGAACCTGAGTGCCCATTCAAGAGAACTGGAAAAACTTTCAACTCCCAGGCAGCACCCGCATAGCTCTGAAATTTGAGAGCACTCTGCACTCTCAATTCATTCCCAGGATTTGAAACCAAAGTGCCAAATTGTTTTCTCAAACTCTGTAGGAACCGTTATCCACCTACTCACCCATCTACCTGCCCATTTCTTTAGCAAATATTTGTTGAGACTACTATGCAGCAAATACTGTGTTCGGTGCTTTGAATCCAATGGGGAGGGAGAGCAACCTGGGTCTTGTCCTAAGGATGCTTTCCTTTTAAGGGAATTCATGAGTCTTTTCTGCCCTAAATTGTCTAACTGTAAGAAGAGGCAGGGAGAACCTCAGTATGTGTTACTAGAGAACATTGGCACTAGTCGATTTAATTTTCACCAAATTGACTATTTGGATGAGATCCTCATTATGCACAGTGCACATCCAACTTAGATGGAACCATCTAAATTGGAATAATAGACCTTTGTGATCTGTGACTCCACGGATGAAATATTGGGTCTCAGACAATCAAAGACAGACTGACTCTCACTTTGAAGCAATGCATCAGGCTTTATAATTAAACTAGTTTAGTCGCAAACTTCTTACTATGAACCTCAGGACGTTCTGCAGGTAACAACTAGAATTATTTGTGTGGAATACTAACAGCCCAGGAAACAGATTAAAGTCACAGGCAGAATTCTTTAGCCTTGTTAAGTACTTGGTGTTAGGAAGAATATGGAAATTTCCCAGATCTTGAAACATTGTAAAGGCCCTGGGATATACTATCTAAAGGCCTGCAGGCAGTATCCAGAAGTCTTCCACGATCCTTTTTTCTTTTTCTTTTTTGAGATGGAGTCTCACTGTGTCACCCAGTCTGGAGTGCAGTAGCACAATCTTGGCTCACTGCAACCTCTGCCTCCAAGGTTCAAGCGATTCTTGTGCCTCAGCCTCCTGAGTAGCTGGGATCACAGGCATGTGCAACCACAGCCAGCTAACTTTTATATTTTTAGTAGAGATGGGGTTTCACCATGTTGGCCAGGCTGGTCTTGAACTCCTGACCTCAAGCCATCTGCCCGCCTAGGCTAGGATTACAGGTGTGAAACACCGCACCGAGCCCAGGTGTCTTCCACAAAAATTAGCCAGGCATGGTGGCACCTACCTGTGGTCCCAGCTACTCAGGAGGCTGAGGTGGAAGGATCACTTGAGCCAGGGAGGTGGAGGCTGCAGTGAACTGTAACCACACCACTGTACTCCAGCCTGGCTGACAGAGTGAGACTCTGTCTCAAAGAACAGAAAGAAAAGAAAAGAGAAGAGAGGGTTTGATTTTTTTTTGGCTATTGAGGAAACTGTAGCTGTAAATAGTGTTAATTCTCAGAAAACCAGTTAAATGGTAAAATTCAGGAGATCATTATAATCAACTTTAATCATGAAGAGATAGTTACATATGTGGCTCAGTTTCTTTTTTTGTTTGTTTGGTTTTGTTCTTGTTGTTTTGAATTCAGAAGCAGCTTTATTTTAAGAATCTCAATTTATAGTGAAGTCTCAATCTCTTTAGTCATCATTATGTAAAATAGAATAACATTGCAAAGAAAAATCAAATAAAAGATTAAAAATCCTAGGGCTAGCACATGATTGAAGCAATATTGAAGGTCACAGATAGTATAAATTCTCTGATTATTAACAGAGGTGAGCTTTGTTATAGGGAGATGGATCATTATTAAGTCATCTGTCTGATCTAGAGCCAGCCGCACGATCTAATGATTTCATTCTTGGATTATTTTTAATATGTAGAATTAGAGATGTTTGGGAAGTGTTTGCTATTATCTTGATAGTACAGTTTCCTCCTAAATTACTTTTGTAAAGTAAAATAATGTTACATTGGAAGAAAGTGTGTATTTCTTAGTAATGCTTCACAATTCCTCATCCTACATTTCAATAAATCATCTTATACCTGTCAGCACATGTAGTCTAAGATTTATTGCATGGTCCATTGTGAAGCAGATAGCTCCTTGGCCAGAGAGCAATTTCTGAAACTAATTTAATCAAAATGTTTTTATAATACAGTGAACTATGGCTTGATGTCTTAAATATGCATTGATGTCTTCAGAACCATATGATTAAACTCTATCCAATTTTGAAATGGAATTAAGATTTGGCTTCATATGACTTCTGTTATAGTCAGGAAATCTTTGGTTGCATTAATATTATTTATGTACTGTTATTGAGCAAACATTCATCAGTGCCTCTATTTGCACAGCCAACCCGCTAGATGTTAAGATGTTGTGGGGGAACAACAACAAAATACTAGTTTAGTAGAAAGACGTAACTGAGAGCTTGGAAGGAGCAGTAGACATGGCACAATTTATTGGCCAAAAAGGAATCCAGTTTTGCTGAAGTTGAATGTTCATTTTGCAGGGTGGTGGTAATTATAGCTGCCTTCTACTGGGAAAGTTTTAAACCTATAGTTTTGATGAGTTTGCACGCCAACTCAGGAGTTTGAACTTCATCCTTTAAGAGTTGAAAAATTTTGGAGTTTTGAGAGTGATGTAAGCTTACTGGAAAGATTACGTTGACGGCCATGTGTGGACCCAACTGGACAAAAATTAGAGGAATGAAAACCAGTGATTCATGGAAGATTGTTAGAATGGAAACCTTGGGAAGAAAAGGGAAAACTGAAGTCAAGGAGTCTTTTAAAAAAACAACTCCCCAAAATCTTTAGAGAGTGATTAGATAGAAGACATGAAGAGCATAGTAATATCTTTTGTAAAGATCGAGGCCGGGCATGGTGGCTCATGCCTGTAATCCTAGCACTTTGGGAGGCCAAGGTGGGTGGATTGCTTGAGCCCAGGAGTTCAAGACCAGCCTGGGCAACATGGCGAAACCTCGTCTCTACCAAAAATGCAAAAATCAGACTGGCGTGGTGGCACATGCCTATAGTCCCAGCTACTTGGGGAGGCTGAGGCAGGAGGATTTCTTGAACCTGGGAGGTCAAGGCTGCAGTGAGCTGAGATCACACCGCAGTACTCCAGCCTGGGTGACAAAGTGAGACACTGTCTCAATAAAAATAAATAAATAAATAAATAAAGGGAAGGTGGGGAGAAATTTCAAAGGAACAGATGATGCATTTAAGACAGTTGAGTTTAAAATAACAGGGGACCAGCAAAGCTGAAAGTTGGTATTGAACTGATAGTGAGAGACTAAAGCTTAGGTCAGAGTTGAGATCTGAGATCAAAATCTGAATCGTGTCAGGACAGAGGATGGAGTTAAAGCTGTGAAAAAGAATGCCATTGCTGATGGAATATGTACATATGAAGCCACTGTTTTATTATAATTGTTTGGATAGAACATGTTCTGGTGGGAAACTCACTTGCAGTCAAAATTGCACAGTGCTAAAGTCTGCCTTTAATTATAGTAAATGCATTCGATTTGAGAATTTGTTCATTACCTGTATCAGTGACACTTTATTCAAATAAAAACAGCACACTGGAGAAAGATAACAGTTGTGGAAGGCCAAAAGTCCTCTTTGTGATTTACTATCACCATTTAATTATTAAGCTGTCTGATGTCATGTGACACTGCCTCCCCAGAGTGTCCTATCACAGTGATAGACGAAGGTCACAGACATTTGGAAATCAAATTATAAAAGTCACACTAAAAAGTCCTGAGAGCAAAGTTTAACATGTTTGTTTTCAGCTTTATATATTTTCTGTCAAGCTGAATTTTGAATTTTGAAGAGGTACACTGAGTCCAACCAATGGTTGGGGGGGCATTATTTTTTCATCATAAACAGATGAGTCTGGATCCTCTGCTGGCTGGTTGCCCTCTCCCCCTTTCAATACCACTTAATTTTTTTTTTTAAGAACGACGTTTATAAGTAATCAAGAATACACTGGGAGCAACTTCAGCATGACTGTTTTTTTGCGTGTGAGAGAGGGCACGTTGTGAACATCTGAGTTCTATCTTCATTTTTATTAGAAAAAGCAATTTAGAACTGCCAGTCAGATGGGTTAAAAAGCACAGCTGATCGAGGTGCAGCATCCATGCCTGAACCTTCTGTGTGGCATGACATTGGCTCATAACCCCCTTACACCTTCTCTAGCTCTCTCTTCAGTTCTGCTTCCTGTTCCGCAGTAGAGACTGAAGGAACTCGGGAAAGGCCCAAGAATGGGACCTGATTACAAAGCCTTAGTAAGTAATAAGATAACAAAATGTCCACAAGAAAGGGAAAGTGGGGAGAGAAGCAGAGCAATTGCTTACTTCCTACTTAGCTTTTCCTCTCTTTCTGTTTTCCCAGGGGAAGGTGCCCAACAATTTGTATTTTTAACCGGCTCCCCAGGTGACTGCTGTGGTTGGGCCAAGCTACATTTTGAGAACTCCTGGTCTACCTTCTAGATTCTACAGAAAAGATGAGACTTTGCAATTTGTAATTGTTATAACTGGCAAGTCTCCTTCCACTTCTGAGTATTGGACAGTTTTCTCTCACTGGATTAAAAGCAAATGGCTTGGTTTTTAAAAGTTTTTGAAAGTAACATTTATTATTTGACTTCCGCTTTAGCAACACGTTGTATATGTAAACTCAAATATAGTTCAGGGAACTGAGAGCTAGTTCACTTCCAAAATACAGTGACCCATAAATTGTCTTTAGTCATGTATAAACAAATGAATGCTATTGGGAAAATGCCTTAGTAAATATTTTTTGTAAAACACAGCAAATTAAATCACTTTCTAGAAAATCTATTTTTTTTTTCCCCAGGCAAGTGGCCATCAATCAAAGAAGCAGAATACTAGGTGTGGTTTTCTTTGTTTTTGTTTTGTTTTGTTTGAGGCAGTGTCTCCCTCTGTTGCCCAGGCTGGAGTGCAGTGGCACGATCATGGCTCACTGCAGCCTCGACCTCCTGAACTCAGGCGATCCTCCTGCCTCATCCTCCGGAGTTGCTGGGACTATAGGTGCATGCCACCACGCCCAGCTAATTTTTAATTTTTTTTTTTTTTTGAGACAGGGTCTCCCTATGTTGCCCAGGCTGGTCTCAAACTCCTGGATTCAAGTGATCCTCCAGCCTTGGCCTCCCAAAGTGCTGGGACAGGTGTGTGTCACCATGCCCAGCCTCAGAATACTTTATCACTTTGGTTTCCAAATATTGGGAATATTTTGCAATTTACCTTTTAGACTACACAAGGCTTCAGGGCAATGCTCTTGCCTGAGTTGACGTTTGAAAGTGAATAGAGCTGTAAATCTATTCTTTTGTCGTCAGAATTTTTTTAATGTTTTTCCTAAATATTTAAGTTAAATGTGTTAAAATATTGTTGAATGATAAACATCTGTAGTACACTTCTGTTGTGTTTCTGGTGAAAGTAACTACTGTTAAGGTCAACAGACCAAATTTGTATACAAATGCTTTGGCAAATTAGAAATTGAGGTGACCATTCAGTAGCTCTTTTTAGGCATTGGGAATACTCGAATGCAAGAAAGCATTCCCTTATATTTTCAAGTATAAAAAGTCCTCTAAATTCCTTAACAGCAACAATCAGTGTTTCCCCGCTAAGCACTGTTTTAATAAAGTTGCTGGGATTTTCTATGATAAAATCACATAAATTTATACTTCTACATACATCTATATATAATTTTATTCCTGTACTTGTTATATACATATAAGCTGCATTACAAATATATTTTTATTCTGAATAAATCCTAAAGTATAAAAGTAGTAAATTGAATAAATTATTGATTTTCCTTCACTGTATCACAGAACCTGTTTCTCCATTTTGAGCAATGGTTCTCGAACTTGGATGCACATTGGAATCTCCTGGGTAGCTTTCACAAATCCTGCTCCCTGGACCTCACTCAGGCGAAGTTATTTATACTCTCCGGTTGGGAAGGGAGGATAGATCCAGGTGATTGCCATGTGTAGGCCAGAATGGGAACTACTCCCCTAGTAGACACTCCTCATCTTCTTTCCTTCCATGATTTCCACATTTCTTTCAACTCAGTCGAAATCATCTTGAATAGACAAAGGCAGTGTCGGTCCTACTAAAGGTTGAGGAAATGGCTGAGTAAAGATGATGAAGTCAGGGACAAAGGATGCAATGAATTTTAAGAATTTGAGATTCAAACTTCAAAACTTAGGCAAGGGTCTGTTTTTGAAGGTTCAGAGCTGAAAAACAATGGCATGCTTTCATATTCTTCTTTGATTCTGTAGGATGTCCCAAATGGGGAATTCTCTTACATAATATTGATTTTGTAAATTCCTGACAGATCGTACCCACTTTGGATGGAATGGAATTTTAATCTATTTTTTTGAGCCAAAGAGTGTGACCTCCCTTGGCCTTAAATATTTTTTTGTACCACACATGTGGGGATATGAGTATTGTGAAAGCTACGAACCTTTCCTTTGAATGCCACAATTCAAGAACAAAGCTGATCATGTATTGAATTTTAATAATCATTTTCAGCAGCTGGTCCAGAAAAGGGCATTTTCCTCTAAAACCTAAAAAATTCAGAAGATAAATTCCTATAGAAAAAAAGGAAATCATACTTATCTATTCAAAATTATTAGATCAAAGACTTTCAACTATTTTAGCTTCAAATATGTTTAATATATTGAGTTTAACTGACATGAAGTACCTGCAGGATGCGTGGTGCTGGCTTAGAAAAAGATTTGGTTTTCCTACAGTATCTGAAAAACAAAAATGTATTTTCATCCATCCAAGGCTAAGCATCCACTATGAGACTAATTTGACATTCAGGTCTGGTAAAAATGTTTGATGGTATCAGTTAAAACCCTGTTGAAGTAGGAAGACCAGAACATGTTCATTAGTGAGTATCTGGCAATGTTATCATCTACTTAAGATGGAAGAAAGGGGATAAGATCAAAATTATTCAATCCCTGAGTGATGGAGGAAGTAAAGCTTGAAGGGGCCTATACAGACAACATGTATGACATCCATCAGTATCAGGGGATTTTATAGACATTAATTATCTAGTGCTCTACACCCTCCCTGCCTGCCTTTTAAGGTGTATTTTATGATTGAGGAAAAAAAAAAAGACCAGGATAATAGAATTGAGGAAGATAGCAATCAATGAGTAATTCCTTATCCAGTCGGCACTTAAAACTCAATGCTTTATATATTTATTTGCAGAGTGGTAGGAACTAACTAATCCTCATGCTGTGCCTTCCTTACTCACTTTTGACCATGTTTTTGCTATAGCAACCTTGATACAATTGAAGATTGTCATTTCTTACTCTTCCTCAGTTTGAAGCTCCTGCTTTCCTGGACAAAAGACACAAATAAAACAGGAATTTATTCAATCATTGCATTTTATCCATAATTTAAGACATCTTATCTATAATTTTTTTCTGAGTTAAAATTTATTTTGGTGGTTAACAAAAAGAGTCTTTAGAATTTTGAGTACCTGAAGGATTGGAATTTGAGGCATCCTCCTACACTCCCATAGTAGGTGTTGAAAATGTTAAGTTAATTGAATTATATTGAAATTTTAAAATGGCTTGGAGCAACAGAAAAAAAATGTTATGTATAAATTAATTAAAAACTACATGGACTGTTTTTTTTTTTTTACCATCCACATGGATACCAGGGATTTCTTTTCTTTCTCTTTCTTTCTTTCTTTCTTTCTTTCTTTCTTTCTTTCTTTCTTTTCTTTCTTTCTTTTTCTTTCTTTCTTTCTTTCTTTCTTTCTTTCTTTCTTTCTTTCTTTCTTTCCTTTCTTTCTTTCTTTCTTGGATTATTAAAAAGAGAAGGTTGTTTTTTAAATAAGGAAAACAATTTTCTGCAAATGGCCAGATAGCAGATATTTTGGTCTTTGTAGGTACAAGTCCTCAACTTTCTCATTGTACTGTGAAAGCAACAGTAAACAATACTTTATGGCTACAGAAATGTGAGTTTTGTATACTTTTCATGTGTCATAAAATGTTATTCTTTTCATTTTAAAAAAAATTATTTAAAAATGCAAAAATGAGGGCGGGCACGGTGGCTCACACCTGTAATCCCAGCACTTTGGGAGGCTGAGGCGGGTGGATCACCTGAGGTTGGGAATTCGAGACCAGCCTGAGCAACATGGAGAAACCCCTTCTCTGCTAAAAAATACGAAAATTAGCTGGGCATGGTGGTGGCACATGCCTGTAATCCCAGCTACTCGGGAGGCTGAGGCAGGAGAATCGCTTGAACCCAGGAAGCGGAGGTTGCAGTGAGCTGAGATCGCCCCATTGCACTCCAGCCTGGGCAATAAGAGTGAAACTCTGTCTCAAAAAAAAAAAAACCATTCTTAGCTAACAAGCCACACAAAAACAGGCGGCACGCAAGGTTTGACCAGTGGACCAACCATAGTTTGCCAACCTCTGGTTTAGGACATTGAATATCTCCTGATTTGAAAGTTTTCACTTGAACAAAAATAATTAACTACTATTAGTCTGTTCTACAATATCCTCCTCACCATGTAATTCTTAACTGGCAAGTAGATTGCCTCTTTTGTTTTATTTATTTATTTATTTTAAAAGACAGGGCCTCTTTCTGTCCCCCAGGCTGGAGTCCAGTGGTGCAATCATAACTCACTGAAGTGTTGAACTCCCAGGCTCAAGCAATCCTCCCTCCTCAGCCTCCTGAGTAACTGGGATTACAGATGTGTACCAGCTGTAGTCTACAAATTTGACCTGTACCCAATCCTTGGCTTAATATTAATTTTTAATTTTTAAAAAAGTTTTTGTAGAGATGGGGGTCTCACTATGTTGCCCAGGCTGGTCTTGAACTCCTGGTTTAAAGCAATCCTCCCGCCTTGGCATCCCAAAGTGTTGGGATTACAGGCATGAACCACAGTGCCCTGCCTGTGGCCTCTTTTGATATTGCTATGGCAGCCCAGAGTACTGTGTTGAGAAGGATTCAGAAGTTGAACAAGGGCAAATGAGCAGAGAGGGCTGCCAGAGAGTTGCCCAATTGGACCATCCACAGCTCTTCTAGCTGTGTTATAGTCTTACAAAATGCTTCCTTTATGTCCTGCTGATAAAAGTTATAGACTTATTCTTAGAAGCATTTTTCTGCAGGCATAAATTTTGCAACTGAGATCATTGTTTTTAAGTTAGAGAATTTGAAAGGATTCTAGTAATATAGCTTCATGTGATATCCATTCTCAAAACCAACAAATGTATTTATTGGTCATTTGCTCACCTCTCTTATTATAGGCAGAAATGGGGCTGGGGAGGAGGAGTGAATAAAAAAGGCCATTCACATCTCTAATACCTGGAAATAACTAGTCGTCATTGGATCTGCTAAAATTATAACTAAATGAATAGAACTATACTAAGATACCTATTTATCTCCATTAAAATAAAAGCTCTTCTAGACCATACACAGTATTTAAAAGTTGTTCTCTGTATGTTATTGACTACCAGGTTAGAAAAATAAACACTGAACTCCTAATGATGGAATTTATAAATATATGGAACAGATTCTGTGGTGTTAATATAGAAATTTCAAATAAAACCTGACAAGGTAAACACTGTATCACATATCAAAATGACTTAAATTGTAGTCCATGGAATACTAGACTTAAATTTATATGCAGATTGTATTTTATTAGGTTTTTGAAGTTCCCTCGGCGGCCTGTCTTGCCAGGGCATTTGGAAATGGTAGCTATTATAACCAATGAAAAAAATGCATTAAAAAATTAAAACAACCTAAATTACATGTATTTGCGGTCTGTCGAGTCAAACCTGAAGATAGTCTCAGCCTCCTGCAGTGCAATTAAAACATCTTTAAAATTTAGTTACATATAAAGAATTTATGCTTTTATACAAGTGGCATGTGTTAATATGGGTGTGTTTTCATATTAACTATTGTGATTAAAGTTTCTTAGAAGAAAATATATGGGTCGTGGCACTTGACGTGTCCATATCCTGATCACGCTGGAGTGGTGGTGTTGGGTGCCAGGGCTCCGAATACAGTTGCTGAATGTCACTCTGAATATTATGGAATGAAACAAGCCAGATCTGTGTTTGCCTTGAAAGGTATCCAGACCTAATATTGTACTTTAAAGACATTCTGAAGTATTGACTTCGGAATAAGAGCAAGCATTCTTTAAGTCCTGGGCAAACCCAAAAGGAATTACTGAAATCTCCTGTTTCAAGCATACATTTTAATAGTAGTGCTCAATGACAAGTCATTAATTCCCTGCAACCTGACTCTTAGGTTCAGGTCTCCAAAGGCTAAAATTAGGGGCATTTGTCTGCTTCCCTTGCTATTTGATTGGGTATCACTGTATGTAGAAGTACAAAGCTCATCTGTTAAGTTGGATTTACTATTCTCTGCTGGTGTCCCTATCCATGCCTAAAGGCTCATATTGAGATTGGTGTAAAATCAGCTGTCCCAACATGAATTGTTCAATTATCAGCTCAAATAAGCCTTACTAAAAACTACCTAACATGAAGGAGGTTGACTGTGGCTCTGTGAAGATGCATCCAAAATGTGTGCATTAAAAATAAAAATTATAAGAAAAATTAATCACCCTTTTTGCATAAAGTATGTAAGGAAGCCTCATTCTTTAAGCAACACATGTTTTATAACTTTGCCTTCCACAAATTTGACCTATACCCAATCCTTGGCTTAATATTAAGAAACTAAATCTGCCCACAGGTATCCTTGCCTTTTATAAGGACCATTTTGAATTATTTGTATTTCTTTTCTTTGGTGGTAGTGGTGGGAGGGTAGTATTGAATGCCACCAAGTCGTAAACCTCACAGAATAAGAGCACTATGAAAAAATCACTTGGGGAAAAGGTAATGAATTAAGGCTGGGAGCAACTTGACTTTGGGTTTAGATGGAACTTGAAGTTGATGTGTTAGTGATAATTGCTATAGCATCTCTCTATTTTTATAAATCCCGGTTTGGAAAAATTTGTTTGATAATGTTATATTTGCCTTCACAGGAATCCTGTGCTCTGGACAGTGTTATATAACATTCCTCAAAAATTCTTCTAAACTCTCAAGGCCCTCTTCTTGGGGTCAGACTCAACGGTACCAATGAGAAAAGCCTGAAAGCATGGAAGACTTCTGTTGTTTAGCAAAGCTGAGAGAAGACATTGTCTTAACTATCTACACTAGTTGTTAAATTAACTAATCAGTTGATTTACTACATTGGATTTCAGAAGGGTTGTCCGGTGAATATTCAGTTTTCCATGCTAATTGGAAATATCATTGCATATTTAAGGGTGTACGGTGGGAAGGGACTAAGCAATGATGGGTATACAGCAAGTACTCAATACATCCTGTGGCTTTATTATACTCTCTTTTTGCTGGTAGAATTTTCTGCTACACACATGCATTCCAGGCAAAGGGAAGAGACTGCGCCCATGCTCAGACCCAGAAACAAGCCTGGATCCATAAAACAGCTTGTTCACAATGGCAGGAGCACAGCACAGGAGTGGGGAAAGTAGAGGAAAAGAGGTATGAGTAATACTGACCACGAAAGGAAAGGGAGTTGCCCATTCAAACTAACAGATGAGAAGGGCTTCATGGACGAGATGACAACAAATAGTAGCATTAGCATTCATTGAGATTTAGGACATTGCACAACATTTTAGAAATATGTACACTTAGTCTAAAACAGGGACCCGCAGTCCAGATGGGAATTCTGACAATAATCACATCATGAGAAAGCTGAGCAAATAGGATTCAGTGTTTTTGGAAAATGTAATCTTAGGGGGAAATATATTCTTGTAGCTATGTACTACTAAATTGAAAATCTACAGAACAAATCATTTATGAAATGTGTGGGCATGCTTTTAATTTGGTGGTGGTTTAAATATTTTATTAACTGTATGGGCATGCTTTTAATTTGGTTGTGGTATAAGTGTTACAAATTAAGCTTTTTTTAAAAATCAGTCTAAACTCGAAACTTGAAAAACAAGTTTTTTATTTTATTTAACAAGCACCGATACAACACATCGTGAGCCAGGTACTCTTCCTAGGGCTTCCATGTATCTCCTCCTCTAATCATCTTGACAGCCCCATGAGGAAACTGAGGCACAGAGGTTAAGAACTTGTTGAAGGTCTCAGAGCTAGGACTTCAAACCAGGCAGACTGGCACCAGGTTCTGTGTACTTAACCATTATGCTCCTTAAATTAGAATATCTACGAGTCAAAATGCTGTTTAATTTTCTTCAGATTATTGTGGGTTCTGTCAAGCTAAGCTTTCTGCCCATAAGTGAAAGTGCTCTTAGCATCTTGTACAGAAAGAATTCTTCCTAGAGGTTCATTGAGTGGCATCTATTTCAGACTTACACAAAAAGTTTGGGACAAATGTTAGTGTTTAACAGAAGCAGATGTTTATCAGTGGCCCAGACAATATTATCATTTTGAGTTTTACCTTCTAGGCTGGGGGCGTGGCAAACAACAGTTGTGGGTCAAATCTCACTCACCACTTGTTTTGGTAAATAAAGTTTCATTGAACACAGTCCTATCCACTCGTTTACATGTTATCTATGGCTGCTTTCATGCTAAAACAGCAGCAGAATTGAGTCATTGTGTCCAAGAACATATGGCCAATAAAGCCTGAAATATTTACTACACGATCTTTTATAGCAAGTTTGCCACCCCCTGTTCTAGACCAGTGAGGTAGCCACCAGCCAGATGTAGCTCCCAAGTGTTTGAAATGGGGCTGGTTTGAGTTGAGATGTGTCATAAGTGTAAAACATATCAGATTCCAAAGACTTAGTAAAAAGAAAGAACAAAATATAAAATATCTCATCAGTTTTCAAATATTGATTGCAGGTGGAAATGACAATTTTATTAAAATTAACTTTTCTTGGTTCTATTTTTTTTAATGTGACTACTAGAAAAATTTGAAATGTGACTCACATTTGTGGCTCACATTAGGTTTCTATTGATACTGCTGATCTACAGCCTGGAATTTGGAGGATATGTGACCTCTAGGAAAAGCAGAAAGAGGAAAGATGGGGAAAGAGAGAAAACCTCTTGTATTTGCAAATGTCTTTCTAAAGCAATAAAATATTTTCTGATTTGGCTCTTCCTCACAGAAAGGCATACGCAAAAATGGGTTAGGTGGTCTATGGAGATGATCGTAGATGAGTTCTCCCAGAAGCAGACTCTGACTCAGAATTTGAATTGGGAGGTGATCCAGGAAGCACCTGGAGGGAGAGGGGATGCAAACAGGGAAGAGATTGAAGAGGAAAGAGGGTTAATGAGCAGGTTGTTGCTGTGGACCCATGTGCTGCCTCCCAATTGCGCCCTGTGGGAGATTTTGTAGACAGAGGCTCAGAGTGGTTCCACCCAGGAGGTGAAAAAGCTGGGCTGCATATCCACCAATTGCCAGTAATTGCCACTTGAGGGCTGCTCCTAGGAACATCAGCTTCTTCTTACTCTCCCCAGCACCTGCCTTGCCTGAAGCCAGGTAAGGCCCTGGGGTGAAAAGGCACAGGTGCTTGCAGGAAAAAGCCATGAGCAAGCTGGAGAATGGTGCCTCCCAGAGGCACAGGGTTGGGCCCTTCTAGTGTCTGGAACTGTGTCCAAACTAAATGTTCCATCTTCTAATTCATAATTTCAACAGACATTCATGTAGTTCTCTGGTGAATGTGTTCATTTTCTCATTTGATCTTAACAATAGTATAGATAGGTAGATTTATCATTATCCATACATTATGGATGGGAAAACTGAGCCCAAGACACATCCAGTCATTTGCCGAAGAGAGTCCAGCTGGGATGGTAGTCCCGGTCTCCTCCCTCTTCATATGTGGTCACTGACTCCTTGGATTTCTACAAAACTTGCCTTGAGTAAGGAGATGTCAATATATTGATGTTTTCAAGGTGAGAACAGGAAACTAAAACCAATTTTTCTTGTGCTCTGTAGAATTTTTTTAGATATCCATAGGGCAGTATAGAAACTGATATCTACTTAATCCCATGACTTTTATATGGAAAAGTATGATCTCTGTTTTGCACAAGTCACAATCAAAATCAAGAGATTATGGAGACTGCTGACCACTACCACACAGGATGTTAGTGATAGAGTTAATTTCCAGAAAATCTTCAGAGAAGTCCCTGTAGTGGAAGCTTATGGGTGCATGGCTCATTAAGGACTGGATTTTGTTATCTTCCCATTACCCAGGTTCCCTTCAAAGGTGTTGTCAGCCCCTTTGGTACCACTTGGAAACAAGTCTCTCTCCCAGCTTAATTTCCCTTTATTATGCTTCTAACTGACTCGGTAATTCTTTGCAGACTTCAGTAACACTTGTACTATTTAAATTTGAATAACCCCAAAGGATCTGGATAGGTCAATGTGTTTAAACCACAGGCTTTAGTCTATGTATTAGTTGATTAAAAACAGATTTGATGCATGATGTATACTTAATAAAGGGAGGGGGAAGCAAGCAGATGTTTGTAAAATCTCAATGTGTTGGATTGCATTTCTTTGGCCCTCTTTTGCTGACTAACTTTAGAAAAGTCATACTTATGACAATTGAACTGTAAACAGTTAGATGATGTATTTCCCTAGAAATTTCCTGCTGTGAAGGGTCAGCCAAAAAGAAAAGTATCCCCTAGTATTAACATACCAAAAAAGTTGACAAATATACGTTATAATGGTTATGTCTATATCAAGGACATTGAAGAATGGGATGCTTCAAAATCATCCTCTAGTCTCTGACCATAAAGTGATTAGCAGTTGCGATTCATTTAATCCAAACAATAAAAAAAAAAAACTTTGGCTTTTGTTGTTGTTGTTGTTGTTGTTAAAAGCAAGTTTTTCTTTGATGCAAGCATAAGATCAAGTTGTACATAAATCACTGTGTCTAGTTCATTCTCTGACTCTTCAGCCTCTTGTATCCCATTCTTTAAGTGAAAAAGTTATTCTTCCCCTTTAAAATTGTCATATTTGAAAT
Organism: Homo sapiens; assembly: GCF_000001405.40. Lineage (NCBI taxonomy): Eukaryota > Metazoa > Chordata > Mammalia > Primates > Hominidae > Homo > Homo sapiens. The sequence continues at coordinate 10,526,144 of NC_000023.11, read as the reverse complement.
GTTTTGAGTGATTCCAAGACAGAATTGAAGGTTTCTTGTTGGTTTTCCAGTCCAGATGAAATGTGCACAAAGCCTTCCTCTGAAGTTTGAACACATGAGAATTACAGATAAAATATTTTAAAATGTATTTTAGTGAATACATAACCAAGCATAAACATATGTGGAAAGCCTCCAAGGACCGGAAATGAAAGAAAGTGTAGAGTGGTGAGAGAAGACTGACACTGGGCTACTCCCAAGAAGTGGAGATGACATGGGGCAATGGTGACTTCAGTGGACACATAGGGAAGTGAACATCACATGTGGCAAGAGCCTTGTACACCTGGAGGCCAAGACCCCCATGCATAGACTGGACTCAAAGGGAACCTGACATCTTCTCTGGAATTGAAGCCAGACACAGAACTCTCATGGAAGGAAGCAGAGGCACTGAGTCAAACTAGGATCTGTGCCTCTGTTGCACACGAGTGCCTTGTGGGAGCGTCTTCTTTGGGAAAAGAACCTCACGCCCTAACCTCAGAATATGCTTCTTATCTGGCTGGGCTATGTCAATCCCCAAATCACAGCACAGGGAACAAAGTTTACATCGTATGAGCTGTCAGACAAAAATTACAAGACAAAGATAAAATCAGATCCTTGAGAAATAGTCAACAAGCACAGGGAAATACAGAATTGCCTTTTCTCAAAAGAGCTTAAGAATAAGTAAGTTTAGTTGTTTTGAGATTATGGAGAAGAGAATCGTGTTTTTGTAATAGGAACAGAGAGAAATTCAATAAGAAAAGGGAGATGTGATAAAGAACCTACTAGAAATGAAAATGCATTCATTAAAAAATTTTAAAATCAGTCAATAGGATAAACACCAGATTAATAAGTTTAACTTGTTTTAAAAATAACCAGAAAGTTCTGCTTTTGACATATGCATTTTAAGCCTTAGATGAAAGTGGTTCTTTTCCTTAATATACTTTTCTAAATAAAAAATTTAGGGAAGTAGAATGAGCTAAAATTTTCATAAATAAATTTTACAGCATAATGAAATTAACACCTTTATGAACTTGTTAGTTTTCAAAATCCCTCAAACTCTTTCTAAATCCTCTTTCTTGGATGGCATTATAAATTTGAGGTCTGTTTTCTTTTCCATGAAATTTCCTGTTGTTCCGTATCTTTGCCATACTTGTGGAACTGTCTATATGCTAAAACACAGTTTCCCTAATCTTTTGCCCTCTCAACCTCTCTGATGTTGGCATACGACATTGTTCTATTCCCTGCCCATGGAAGATTCTTCCACATGCTCACTTCTTTCTTTCCAAGAAGTTTCCACTGTTGTGCAACAAAAAACCCCTGGACATCCTTCAAGCCTCAGCTGCAAGACTTGGCCCTCTTGGAAACCTTTAACCAGCAGCCATCAACTCTTTCCCTTCTCTTGTTTGCAGCATCTTTCTCCCAGTTTGTACAGTCATCCATTTCCTTGTGGACAGGGAATAGATATTAATATTTTTATTTGATTTCCCCACTGTCTCTTTCAGAGTCTGGCATATTGTAGAAGCTTAATAAGTACTTGTTGTATGAACACATAAGTAAATGAATGAATGGTAGGAACACATAAGTAAATGAATGAATGGTGTAAATCAAGCTTGTCCAACACGTGGCCTGCAAGGCCACCTGCAGCCCAGAAGCGCTTTGAATGCAGCCCAACACAAATTCATAAACTTTCTTAAAACATTATGAGATTGTTTTGTGATTTTTTTTTTTAGCTCATCAGCTGTCATTAGTGTTAGTTATTTTATGTGTGGCCCAAGACAGTTCTTCTTCCAGCATGGCCCAGGGAAGCCAAAAGATTGGACACCCCTGGCAATCAAGAGCATGTGAATGAGAAGGAACAGAGAAATCTTAGTGAGTCTTACCCAGAACAGAGAGCTATTGTGTTTGAAAATAGGATTAAATAGTCATTCCAGAGAACTTTAAGTTTGATGCTCTAAAGGAATAGGGAATAATTCTAGAGTCTTATGCAGGATAATGAGTGGTAAATACAGTGTTCAAAGAAATTTGATCTGGCATTGATGGACAAAGAATAGAAGCATGAACAATAAAATGTACAATTGTTTGTTGGTATCCATAAAGGATTAATTTCAGGGTCTCTCATAGATACTAAAATCATGGATGCTCAAGTCCCTGATATAAAATGGCCTGTTATTTGCATATAACCTAATCACATCCTCCTGCATACCTTAAATTCTCTCTAGATAACTTATATTACTTATTACAATGTAAATACTATGTAAATAGTAGTTATATTCTATGGTTTAGGGAATAATGAGGAGAAAAAAGTCTGTACATGTTCAGTACAGATGCAGTCATCCATTTTTTTCCAAATATTTTTGATCTGCAGTTGGTTGAATCCAGGTATGTGGAACCCAGTGGATACAGAGTCAACTCCACTACAACTGACCAAATGTGTGTGTGATGAGGACTTATCATAAATGTCTATAAATGACCTTATTGTCAGCAAGAGCTAAACAATTCAAACCTTCCTCCAAGGGATTAGCCTCAGCCTGCCCATAAAAGGATAAATCTGAAAAATCCAATGGTAGTTGATTTGATGTGGGAATATATTCCTTATGTTATTGCCAGCTCTGATTCAAGTAAAGGGATAGAAATCCAATTACCTCCTTTCTTCCTAGGTCGTGACCTAGAGATAACCTATAACTAATTATTCTGTTAAGTATCCCTGAGTTAGTGCAAGAAGCAGGAACAAAAAGAATAAAGTCTGAGCGTGTCTAAAAGGTTCTTTTAAATGCAACTTTTGAAAATCCAGTTTAAATCTATAAATACTTGAAATTATGTCGATTTCACTAAGGTTTCTGAAAAATGTATCAGTTTTTCCTGAGAATGAGTAATTTTGTGTATCTGAAGTATAAAAGTATGCAGAATAATATTTTTCCTCTTTTTTTTTTTTTTTTGAACAGCAAAACTTAGAGAGTAACCTCACCAACCTTATTAAGAGGAACACAGAACTGGAGACCCTTTTGGCTAAACTCATCCAAACCTGTCAACATGTTGAAGTGAGTATCTCTGTATTTCTGTATGGTATGTTTCATATGAAAACTGCCAGATCAAGGTTTTGATATCCTCATGCTTTATAATTTTAAAACAAGAATCTTTCTTAAAATTAAATATTTTGCAAAAGCCAAAATAAAAGATGGAGGAAATTAAAAGGAATTAGAACTTCAGAGAGTCTTTCCCATCCAGGGCTGCTTCCCATTCCCATTATAGCTCTTCCTGATCTAGCATTACATAGCAGTCCTAATGTTGGAGATTTTAATTGCCCTTACAAAGAACAGTCAAAAAAGGTATTGTAGGCCGGGCGTGGTGGCTCACGCCTGTAACCCCAGCACTTTGGGAGGCCGAGGCAGGCAGATCACGAGGTCAGGAGATCGAGACCATCCTGGCTAACACAGTGAAACCCCGTCTCTACTAAAAATACAAAAAATTAGCTGGGCGTGGTGGCATGCACCTGTAGTCCCAGCTACTCCAGAGGCGGAGGCAGGAGAATGGCATGAACCCGGGAGGCGGAGCTTGCAGTGAGCTGAGATCGCACCACTGCACTCCAGTCTGGGCAACAGAGGGAGACTCCGTCTCAAAAAAAAGGTATTGTATTAGTGTACTATGGCTACCATAACAAATTACCACAAACTGGGAAAGTATGAAACAAGACTAATTTATTCTCTCAGTTTTGGAGACTAGAAGTCTGAAATCAAGATTTTGGCAGGGCCATGCTCCCTACAAAGGTTCTAGGGGAGGATCCTTCCTTGCCTCTTCCCATTTTCTGGTAGTTGCAGGCAATTCTTGGAGTTCCTTGGCTTTCAGCTACAGCGCTCTAAACCCTTCCTCCGTTATCACATTCTCCTGGTGTGTCTCTGAATATGTGTCCAAATTTCCTTATTGTTATAAAGAGCCCACCCTACTCCAGCCTTACCTCACTTTAACTTGATTACATCTGCGAAGACTCTATTTTCAGGCCAGGCATGGTGGCTCACACCCTGTAATCCCAGCACTTTGGGAGGCTAAGGCAGGAGGATCGCTTGAGCTCAGGAGACCAGCCTGGGCAACATGGCAAAAACCCATCTCTATTAAAAAATACAAAAAATTAGCCAGGCGTGGGAGCACACACCTGTGGTCCCAGTTACTTGGGAGGCTGAGGTGGGAGGATCACCCAAGCCTGGGAAATCGAGGCTGCAGTGAGCTGAGATTGCACCACTGCACTCCAGCCTAGGCGACAGAGTGAGACCTTGTCTCAAAAAAGAAAAAACAAAGATTCTGTTTTCAAATAAGGTCCCATTTACAGGTACCAAGGGTTAGGACTTGAACATACCTTTTTGCGGACACAGTTTAATGCACTGCAGGTGTATATTAATGCATCTTAGTTGTCAGATATGTTTCCATGAAATAAACCACAATTGCAACAACAGCAGAACCTGCAATGACTACACTGAATAAGGAAAAAATAGATGCCACTTCCTTTATGTGATTTTCAAATTCCTCTTCCATCTTCTCCCAAACTGTCTTTTTTACCACCCCACCCCATGAACTGAAACTAAACAATTATCATTCATTACACTTTTAAGCCTTCTGGCCCTTAACCAAGCAGTTCCCTCTGACTGGTAGGCCCATTCCTCTAACCCATGTCTATTTGTCAGAATGCTTCTTGTGTATCCTCCAAGTCCTAAGTCAAGGGGCACTTCAGTTGTGAACGTTTCTCTGGTTCCCTGGACCAGAGTCATCGCTCCTTTCTCTGAATCACGTAACATTTTATGATACCGTGTATGTGATTCAGAGAAAGGAGAGATGTCCCCGCCCCAATCTCATGTCGAATTGTAATCCCCAATGCTGGAGGTGGGGCTTGGTGGGAGGTGTTTGGGTCATGGGGGCAGATCCCTCATGGCTTGGTGCTGATTCCATGATAATGAGTGAGTTCTCACAAGATCTGGTTGTTTAAAAGTGTATGACACTCCTCCCCCACCGCCCGCCCCCCTCCCATACACACTCTTTCTCTTGCTCCTAATTTCGCCATGTGACGTGCCAGTTCTGGCTTTGCCTTCTACCATGTGTAAAAGCTTCCTGAGGCCTCATCAGAAGCCGAGCACATGCCTGGTGCCATGCTTCCTGTGTAGCCCTGCAGCACCCGTGAACCAATTAAACCCCTTTTCTTTGTAAATTACCCAGTATCAGGTATTTCTTTATAGCAATGCAAGAATAGTAATAATCTTCTCATGGCTTTATCATTCTTTCATGTACCAGTTCCATTTTTCCAACCAGAATGTGAGGTCTTAGAGGATGGGAATCAAATCTAATTCGTCTTTGTATCTCACAGACTCTGATGCAATGATTTTCACACAGTAGGAGCTCAGGGAATTTGTTTTAGATGAATTTGCATGATGACTCTCCAAATGGCAAATTTTGAACACTATTTGAATGCCTGCAAGTTCAGCTCCCCTAAAATATCTAAAGTTGGAGAAGCAAATTATTTTGAGCAGGCATTTAAAAATTTTGACAGTAACTCCATTTTTGCAATAAGAATTCCTTCAAGTCCCTTTGATCGTCTACGCAGTAATTATAAGTTTATAGCCTCCTATGTGCCTATAACTGTCAGTAGATGCACAATGTAGCAAATAATAATAAAGATTACAATATGTTAGAGAACAGTGTACACACATATAACAACATATTTAAAGAACAGTAGAGTAGCCAATCAGGTGCTCAGCTAGTAGAATATTGCATTTATGGATTCTAAGATTAGCATTTTTTTGAAGACTAATATTGCTGAAATTGAGCTGCAACTTAAATGAATGGTGAGACAGTTTAATGGGCAACATTTGTTTGTTCCTACTGGCACACAAAATATAGATGAGACAGTTGCTGGTATCTTAGATTAGATGGAGTATGGTTTGAGAAGGGGGGATTAAAAGAGAAAAAAATGCGAATACAATTTTTCTGAAGCTTTGTGGAAGAGTCAGGACTTGAGCCAGTTCTTATAGATTTCACAACTATTATTTTTCAGTACCCTAAGTATTGAGGTGTCAGCTTATTTATGCAACACAATGATGTTTGTCAGTGATACATTCCTCAGCATAGCAGAAATTAGCAAAGATTGCTTTCAGAAAGATCCTATCAGTGTAAAAGCATGTCTACTATGCAAATACTGGTGCTTTGGTGGAAGGCTTAAAATACTTTGTGTTTGTAAAGTCTGTGCTTTTACTTACAAGTGCTCCCCTTGTGATCAGAAATGTAAAACTGGTTACTAAGAGAAACACATGAGTTAGCAACTTTTTCCAACTCCAAATTTGTTGTGTTTTCCAAGGATAATATCCAGGGAGACAGAAATTAGGGATGTTCTCATCTCCTACCTAAGCCATCTACTCCAGCTGTTCATCATTTGAGGTGCTGATGGAGGTTATGATAGGTGGAAGAGGGAAAGGCATACAAAAGGAAAGAAAGGGAGGAATCAGAGTAAAACATAGGTGAGAGAGCAGATTAGGATTGTCCAGTGAGCTTATTGGTTCACTTAGTAGACCCTCTTGCTTTAAAAGCTACATGATTGTCAGGGTAGAATCAGTGTTTCATCATGTTGAGATGAAGTTGAGAGTGTGAAGGCAGCAGTGTGTTGCAGAATCCAGACCTTTTGAACCCTCTGCTTAGACTGGATTCTCTTTTGGCAAGCCTCTTGCCAGGGAACATGTTGAGCCTTGTTGATTAAACAACATTGGAAATAATAGTGAACAAGCATAATGTTTTCATTATTATAGGGTAAAGTTAATATGTATTATATGAATAAATGGATGAACAAAATGGAATAATCTGTGTGCCATATTTTATTTTTATGATGTGATGGCATTTGATGTTTAGGATAGTAAGAAAGAATTATTTCTCTTCAGTTAAAAAAAAAATTACCTGAGCTTTATGGTAAATCTTATAAATGCTTTATGGATTGGGTGATTATGTCATTCAATTTCAGCTAGTTACTCCTTAAAGCATTAATGTCTGGTTTCCATTATGACCTGTTGTGATTTCAGAACAAATGCATTGCTTCTAATGCAATATTATTATGGCTTGAATTTACAAGACGCTATTCATCCTAACATGATGTAAAATTACATTCTAAGATGTTCAGTAATTTCAAATGATAGATAAATTGAAGAAATTTACAGGGAGATTTTAGTTTTATTTTAATAGATCAGATATGATTTTAGTTGCAATACAGGCTTTTCAAATAAAGCTATTACTGAATTGATTGTAGTGGACTTGCATTTACAAGGAATAAAGAATATTCATTCTTTTCTCTGTTGTTTTTGTATAAATCCTTGGGAATGGAAGCACATGTTTATGGGTGAGTAAATTTGGTATTTGGGAAATTTATTCTAGATAAAAATTAAAGAAAATTATGAGTACAAAAATAATGATACTTACAGTACTTATTTTTACGTTTGTTTTTATTCCTAATTATTAGTATTCTGAAAGTATAATTTTCAAAAGTTGAACACCCAATTCTCCTATAATGAATGAATTAGTCCACATCAAAGATTTTTTTAACTTCTTAATGAAGGAACCAGCAAGATGATAAAGCTGCTTCCAAGGAGGATGCCAGAAACGGATACATATAAATGTGGGGAAGGGGGTAGTAGGGGGAAAAGAATGCCAGACTAGCATAGCTAATTTGGATACAAAACTGGTTAGTGACCTACAGGGCAATAAACCTGAAACATTTGGACAAAATAAGTTGCATATTACTGGGTTTCTCTAAGTTAACATCTAACTTCGCAGAGTCTAAGCCCTAACCACTAGTAAATAGAAAGTCAGACTCTGTTACATCCCAGTCTGGAGAGTCAGATGACCCTGACTTAGGCTGACTTCATGGAATATGCTCTCGTGGGACTTTGGAAGGGCTCACAGTCTTCTCTTTCTCTTTTTTCCATGTTTTGGATAATTTTGCTTAACATGACTTTCTGTTCTAGAGACTGTTGGTCTAGGAGCAGTGTTTGCTAAACAAATATTTCTGGGAGGGGATGTACATTTTTGCCTGTGGACAGTTACTTTAATTTGTTACAGTGTCTTGCTAGTTTGTTCATTTTGGTAGTGCGGTTGGAGTACCCACTGTGTGTGTGTTGCACTGTGTTAGGTGCCAAAGGACCCTGCCCACAGGAAGTTTACTATCTTCACTAAGACAGAAGAGCACTTATAACACAAAATAAAGTAGAAAGCCATAATTACCATGAAGAAGGTGTGGATTATCTACTTCAAACTTTCAGAGAAACAAGAAATTATTTCTAGCTGGGGACTGGGGAAGCAGCGCAAGATCTGAGCCTGCCTTCAAGGGTAGGTAACATTTGAGTTTATGGAAGCAGCACTGCTTGCCAGGCAAATAAAGGCATGGGGATAGAAAGACGAGGAATGTATGTACACAAAGCAAGTAGTTCATTCTGGAGAAATGGAAAGCATGGAAGAAGGAAGGATCTGTAGGAACTAGTTTGGGAGAGTTGAGAGCTGGAAAGGCTTTCGTGTTGCATCTGAATTTGAACTTTGGTTTTGAAGGTTTAGTGAGGGTTCAAGGAACACATAGACCTGTGTGAGTTTCACAGTGACAACTGGCATTTCCAACTCTTTTCAGGAAATGACATTTTTGGTTATTGAGAAAATAATATGGATATTGTCATGCAAAACAATCTCATGTCCAAGGGAAACCTTCACAGCACTAGGAAACTCCAAAAAGGCCATGGAGTTTGTTAGGCACCAGCATGCTATTCTTTTAAATCAGTGCAGTGGAAAAGAATTTCCTGGTCCACATCCTTGGTTCCTAGATGGTACTTCTTCCTTTTCCTCTTCCTGAAGGTGTCCTTGTATTTGGGTATGAGCATTCCCCGGGAAAATAATTCCCATGCCAGCTGGAGCTAAAAAAAACTCACAGCACAGAGGCACCTCCTAATTGTTGTAAATTAAATCAATGAATTCCTTCCCACGACCCATGAGGAAATGCCACATCCTTATAAGTCCACATCTCTTCCCAGGGATTTACCTCTGCTTTTCTTCAGAATGGAAAACAGTTTGAAGGTTCCCCTTCAGCCACCCAACTCTCCCCACCCCTGCCACATTGTTTTCATAACTTGTTTTTTAAATGAGGGTAAGCAAATGAATGGCTTTTTGATTGTAAGTGCCAAACATTTTTAAAACGGTGGATAACAGAGAATGGCATGCTGTGGCTCATGCCTGTAATCCCAGCATACTTTGGGCGGCCAAGGCAGGAGGATTACTTGAGCCCAAGGATTCAATAACAGCCTGGGCAATACAGTGAGACCTCGTCTCTACAAAAAATAAAAAAACTAGACAGGCGTGGTGGTGTGCGCCTGTAATCCCAGTAACAAAGGAGGCCAAGACTGGAGGATTGCTTGAGCCTGGGAGGTCGAGGCTACAGTGACCCATGGAGTGCAACTGCTCTCCAGCCTGGGTGACAGAGTGAGACCCTGTCTCTTAAAACACACGCGTGCGCGCGCGCACACACACACACACACACACACACACACACACACACACACACACACACAAGAGCAGAGTATGAAGGCCAAGACAGTTTGGGACTCAGGAGGCAGAGACATTGAAAGAGCAACTTCAGGCCAGGTGCGGTGGCTCACGCCTGTAATCCCAGCACTTTGGGAGGCCCAGGTGGGTGGATCACGAGGTCAGGAGATCGAGACCATCCTGGCTAACACGGTGAAACCCTGTCTCTACTAAAAATACAAAAAATTAGCCGGGCATGGTGGCGGGCGCCTGTAGTCCCAGCTACTCGGGAGGCTGAGGCAGGAGAATGGCGTGAACCCGGGAGGCAGAGCTTGCAGTGAGCTGAGATCACACTGCTGCACTCCAGCCTGGGGGACAGAGCGAGACTCCGTCTCAAAAAAAAAAAAAAAAAAAAAAAAGAGCAACTTCAGGTAGACTCCTAAGAAATGTTTGTCTAGGATTGTAAAAACTAATGGGTTTTCAACCACTCTATTTTGTTTTCTTCAGGAGAGAAATAAGGTAGAATGGATGAGTTTGTAGTTACACTAGACAAGTTTGGAGTTAATTATATATGTAGTGAAAGACAAGCTTATGAGAAATGATCAAAATTTGGGTCACCTGTAGAACTTAACTTTTCTAGGTCAGATAAGGACTGTATCTCTTCATCACATTTCTCTTTCCATTTTCTTTGAAAAATCAGAAGACACAGTTTATTAGCTAAGCAAACACTTGGAATCACTGATATGTACCAAATTTTCTGCACATTCCAATAATCAAGTTCTTTTACAGCAAATACAACACCTTGACACTTAATAGATGTTCGTTTTGGAAATGATAGGTGCCAGTGACTCTAAAGATGATGGCCAAGAACAACTGGGAAAGGGTGGCCAATTGCCATAATGGTTTCAAGAGGATAAAGGCTCAGCAGTCCTTACCATTCTTGCTCAAGGTCATCCTAGAAGGGCATTTTCTAATCCAACATCACTTCAAAGTTCCAGCATTGGCCCCTTTGGTTTATCTTGCCTTGTTTGTAATCACTTCTTAAAATTCTTTTTGCCATTATTTTTCTCACTAAGTTTTTAATCTATCTTTGTTGTTGTTTTATTTTAATGGAAAGTTTGCTCTCATACGGCTTTCTCTGAGTTTCTCCAGTGCTAGTTGTCATGTAAAGTGACAAGGTTCTTGTGGAGGAATTAAGGCTGTTTAATTAGATTTCTGCTCAGATGATGAGTTTTGTAAATTGAAAAGGATGAGAGTGAGGTGTTACTTGGGTGATATGTACCTTGTAAGAAATTGTAGAAAATCACTTGGCAAAACAGATGGGAGTCTGTAGAAGACTTTTCCAGTAATTCACCAAGCCCTAAAAGCATTCATTTGTAAACTTTGAAATAATGAAAAATCACTGGGTTAAAAAGAAAGATGAACCATTTGTTTAATTTTGTTGTGCAGTTTTGTAATGCCAAAGCATTCTCTCTCCGTAGAAAACTTGGCAATGGCTTCATCCGGAGTCATTGGATGAAGACCAGCATGCAAACACCAAACGAGCTATTTGTGTCTTGTGAACGTGTGTCTGATCTTGGATGAAGTATATCCTGCTGGGGGCCGACATGAATGTCCAAAGTTATAATCCATTTTCACTTGCAGATGAGGGTCAGATTCCCACCCGATCTGACCCCCTGTGAGAATGCTTTCAAGGTATAATTAGAGTCAGATTCTGGGCCTCATTAAACCACATCATACAACCCACAGTCAGCTCTGGCTCTCCATGTAATAGGCTCTAGAATTATGATAATGTGATAGTGCAAATATGGTGGCTTTCAGAAACTGGATTATGACGAGCCACTATAATAATGGTTGATTTCCCAAGTTCACGTCTTAGGATTCCCATGACAAAGGAGAAAAGAACTGTTGGTCTGCACAGAAATTTATCATCTCTGGAGAAGATTTGTTTTTACTATTGCATTTGAATAATGTCTATTCATATGCAATAGTAAGACAGTTGAAACAGTTTACTCTACCAAGTTTACTAAAATTGACAACTCATGAAGCAAATGTAGTTTTTCTTGGTAGAGGTTAAATTTAATTATTAAAGTATCTAACACATACTTGAATGTCTCCCTTTGGATTCAGTGCCCTTGACTTAGAAAAATTTGATTCATAACAGGCATTGGATCCTGTTTCTTTCTTGGGCATATTCATAAGGAGTAATGAGAAGATATCAGCAAAAATCTTTGAGTATTTTGGAATGAGATTAATCTTATGAATAAATGAATATAAGGCTTAGTAAGCTGGTATTACTTTTAGAATGACATTCCCAAGTTTCAGTTTTGAAACTTTATATAAAACATTATCCAAACCTTTCATCGTCTGCAAATCTTTCTAGTTTGGGTGGTATGACCTATTGCATCATATACAGAATCCTACCTAGTGGCTCAGATTGGAGTATGAACACTTGTACGTGCCTCTGAAGACAAACCCTCTAATGTTTGAATTTGGTAGTGCAGATTTCCAAGGTTAATACTTAAATGTGAAGCAATAGGCCTTAATTGGAGGCCCAAAGGCTGAGCATTAGAAAGTTAGAGAGAAAGTGTGCTTTTTTCTGATATATCTTATTGTGCTCCCTCCCTCCACACAATACAAGAATTCCTTATCCTGTCTCCATTACAGTATTCCACACACAACCTTCTTTACCTGGAAATATTTACTTGCGTGATTGACTAGAGCAGCAGAGATGTTTCTGGCATGATATAAAGAATAATAGGAACAGGTAGTGATACATTTTTTAAAATAGCCATTGTTGGCCAGGCACAGTGGCTCACGCCTGTAATCCCAGCACTTTGGGAGGCCAAAGTGGGTGGATCACCTGAGGTCAGGAGTTCGAGACCAGCCCGGCCAACATGGTAAAACCCCATCTCTATTTAAAATACAAAAATTAGCTGGGTATGGTGGCAGGCGCCTGTAATCCCAGCTGCTCGAGAGGCTGAGGCAGGAGAATTGCTTGAACCTGGGAGGCAGAGGTTGCAGTGAGCTGAGATCACGCCATTGCACTCCAGACTGGGCAATAGAGCCAGACTCTGTCTCAAATAAAGTAAAATAAAATAAAATGGCCATTGTTATTTCTAACTCAACTTTTATATGAGATGGTCTTAGCTGGATGGTTTCAGGTGAAAGAGTCAGAGGGGAATGGAATGATTGCAGGTGAGAAGGTAACTCTCAAGTAAAAGCTTTGGTTCACTTATTGCTCCCATTCATGACATTCAGAAACAAGAATAATCCTAACAATCAATCCACCATTTTGTTACTGAACCAACCTTTTACTTCTGGGTCTAATATCTAGTTTAAATTATTTTTCTCAATAAATGAACATAAAATTGTCTTCCAATGACAATCAAGTTGAAATTATCTCTGTGTATAAAATAATTACAGATTATGAAAGAAGCCAGACATATCATTTTTTACCTGATTCGGTTGACTTCTATTTTTAATTTGCTAAATTAAATGTTGTAGGAAAAAATGAAGAGCTTTGTTCTAATTTTGAAATTCCACAGCAAAATAATTGAGTCATGCATATAAAATGTCCGTTAACAAGAAGACAATTGTAGTACTGGTTATTTTTGTTTGAAATAGAAATATGAAATTTTAAATTCAGCTATTTAAAATGCCCGAGGCTACCATGGAATGTACAAGGCTCTCAGTGAGGAGCAACACAAAGATTTTTACAACCAAGTGAGGTAACTTCTTGGCCTAGGAATTTATGATAGAGCTTTTACTATGCTTTTAAAAGTATTTTCCCTAGATATAACATCAAGTTCATATATGTAAAGTCGTGAAAACTATATAGTGGTCTAATTCTCTGACAAGGCAAGCTTGGTATTGAGATGTCATAAGTTCATTCAAGGAAGCCTTCTGTCAATTTCCATAGGATTGGGAAGGTGGTGCCTTGTCCATCTTTGCAGGTGTTGGAAGGGGAGCATTATTGCATAGATCTGTTCCAGTTTCACAGCAACACATAGACTGTAGTGTAAAGAAAGAAAAAGTGATAGGACTTATGTAGATATGCACTACAAGCAGTTATGACCATGACCAGCTCTTACTGTCACTTCCTGATTTAATTATCCCAACAGTCTTTTGACATAAACATCATTCAAATAACCACAGATACGTGGCCTGAAGCCAGATATAACAAGAATCAGCCAGTAAAGAAATAGGTTGAATTTAACCAAGTAATAAGTAACTGGAGTTGTTACTGAACCCAAACCAGGTGATTAGAAAGTTAGATTCCCAGGGGAATTCTCATTACAAGAACCATCTTATCAGATAGGTAATTGGAAACCCTGTTAAACCCACCATAACAAAGGCTCAGCAAGTGTACATCTGCAGTGCCAGTACAATCAGTGAGTCTTCAGTTCTTATGAACGTTCTGAAATCTTTTATTATTAACCATTGACCCTCTAACCTCAACTTCTTTGAGATGATAAATTTGTTTCCTTTAGTAAATAAGTAAATTCCTTTTTTTCCTCCTTCCCAGGAAGTTTGAGATTCATGTATAAAGATGAAGAACTAAATAATACTGGCTGAGCCACCCTAATTTGAAAATCCAAAATCCGAAATGCTCTAAAATCCAAAACTTTTTCAGCACTGACATGACGCGAGAAGAGGAAAATTCCACACACAAGTACTTAACACAAACTTTGTTTCATGCACAAAATTATTGAAAATATTGCATAAAATTACCTTCAAGCTTATGTGTATAAGGTGTATGTGGAATGTAAGTGAATTTAGTGGTCAGACTTGGGTCCTATCCCCAAGATATCTCATTATGTATGTGCAAATATTCCAAAATCCAAAACACTTCTGGTTCTAAGCATTTAGGATAAGGGATACTCAACCTGTAGCATAAAATCAATATTTTGGGTTATGACTGGGTGCAGTGACTCACACCTGTAATCTCAGCACTTTGGGAGGCCAAGGTGGGAGGATTGTTTGAGGCCAAGAGTTTAGAACCAACCTGGGCAACATAGCAAGACCCTGTCTCTACTAAATAATTAATTAATTAACCAACTGTGAGTGGAGGTTCTTGCCTGTAGTCCTAGCTACTCAGGAGTCTGAAGCAGGAGGATCACTAGAACCCAGAAGAAGTTGGAGATTACAGTGATCTATGATTGTACCACTGGACTCCAGCCTGAGTGACAGAGACAGAGACCCTGAACTTAAAAATATATATATATTACAACTTGGGACTGAAATATTTGTTTGTATGTTAATAGTTCATAGCATTTAAGATAATATGACATATTACAGAAATTTGACAGATTTGCTTTGAAATGCTAATTTGAAACACGTAATTTTTTTTTTTTTTTTTGAGATGGAGTCTTGCTCTGTCACCCAGGCTGGAGTGCACTGGTGTCATCTCGGCTCACTGCAACCTCTACCTCCTGGGGTTCAAGTGATTCTCCTGTCTCAGCCTCCTGAGTGGCTGGGATCACAGGCACCCACCACCATGCCCAGCTAATTTTTGTATCTTTAGTAGAGATGGGGTTTCACCATGTTGGCCAGCCTGGTCACGAACTCCTGACCTCAAGTGATCTGCCCGCCTTGGCCTCCCAAAGTGCTGGGATTACAGGCATGAGCGACCACGCCCAGCCTAACATGTAATTTCTTTTAGAACTGTTATTTTAAGTTGGATCTGTAAGATAGTTTAGGTTTCAAAGCAATATTGCAATGTTCAAAAAACCTTAGGTTTCAGCATTTTCTTTTTTTTTTTTTTTTTTTTTTTTGAGACAGAGTCTTGCTCTGTTGCCAGGCTGGAGTGCGGTGGCGTGATCTCGGCTCACTGCAACCTCTGCCTCCTGGGTTCAAGCAATTCTCCTGTCTCAGCCTCCCAAGTAGCTGGGATTACAAGTGTGCACCACCATGCCCAGCTAGTTTTTGTATTTTTAGTAGAGACCGGGATTTCGCCAAGTTGGCCAGGATGGTCTCGATCTCCTGACCTCGTGATCTGCCCACCTTGGCCTCCCAAAGTGCTGGGATTACAGGCGTGAGCCACCACGCCCGGCCTGGGTTTCAGCATATTTTTTAAGTTTAGTTTATTAGATTTATAAGAGCTACTTAAGGACTTGGGAAGGTATAACGTGTTAGGATTTTAATTTTATCCTGTTAGCATTTGAAGTGCTTATAAAGTAAATCAAATGTGTTAAATTGATAAATGCAGTTTAAAGTGTTACAGGAGTAATCTGAACAGTGATTCCTCATAGGGGTGAGGATTGACCTGAAGAGCGGCTCGAGGGTACTTTCTAGGGTGATAGAAATGTTTTATGTCTTGATTGAGCTGTCGGTTATCAAAATCCATTAAACTGTCCCTTAAGATCTATGCATTTCCTTGCATGTAAATTTTACCGCAATTTAAAAATATGTGTGTAGGAACTTAATCAGCTAATGTATAGACAGAATTGATTGTTTAATGGAGTTGAGTCTATTCAACTTGAGTTAATCAAACATTGATTCAAGGACTCCCGAGAGTGATTATTCTTGGTTTCATAAAATTTATTAGATGTATGAATAGAATAATGAGATCATAATTTGAACTTAAAAGCTTAAGGGAAACTACATAGTGAATTGTTGACATAGATGCAGTTCTTGAACAAAAATCTTGATGGTCTGTAAGTCTGTGTCTATTCCTTCTCCTAGTTGGTTGGACTCCTGGGTAAATAGGACAGTCTTCCTAGTATGCTGCGTTTAGCATGCAGCACTTGACTATTGATGAGTGAATGGAACACCTCTAGAGGCCAACTACATCATCCTTCTGTCCTCCTTGTAGCACTAGCTCATTTGCATAGATCAGCATGTCCGATAAGCTCACACCTTGAAGGGCAGAAAGGACCCTTCTTGAGAAGACTGTACACAGCACTGTGTTTTTATGACAGCAAACCTCAGTAGCCACAAATCCCTGGAGGATCAGTAATGCTAGTGCACACAAGGAGCTCCCTCCCAGCCTGAGGGCTCTGCCACCCAGGTAGGGCTAAGAGGATGGAGTTGACAAAGGGAAGTCAAAAATGAGAGAGCTGTCCATCAGGAGTGTTGCTGAGCCCTGAATAGAGATCGATCGAGGTGGGTCTTTCCTTCCCCCTTATTATAAACCTGTACCTTTCCTTTTATTCTCTAGGATACCTTCTCTATCTTTTCTGGTTTGCAAAAGAAAAAAATAGTTAGATAGTCACTTTGAATCAGGCTTGGGAAAACACTTATAAATAATAATTCCACACATGTAAGATGGCTAATCAACCTAGGTCTGAAAATGACTTAACAGGAAAACATTTTCAATATCAGTCTCTCATGATTCCCAAACACACACACACACTCACAAACTCACCACAACTTCAAAATTAGCAACCAAAAGACATCTAAATGCTGTGATCTTTCCTTTTCTCTTCCAGATCAGATTAGCTTTGCTCTTCACTGTCCTTTTGTCAAAGCCCCTATTGTACAGCTCTCCAGTGTCCTTCCTGCCTGCCCTTCTACTGCCATTGTAACTTTTACCAGCCCCACTACCATTTCAGAAGAAAACTCCAGGAAAGCAAGTAAGCATGGATAGCTTTAAAGATCAATGCTGAAGGCCCACTAAGACCAGGATACAAAGGGAGTCAATTAGAAAAAGGTGGGGGTCAAGGAAGAACTCCCCACTCCCAAGTTAAACTCCTCAATTTGCTGTTTTGTTTTAGCCAGACTCTATGGAGCTCAGTCATGGCTAGCTCTCTGCAAATGGCCCCCAAAAGGCTTTTCACAAGGGGCAGTAAGATATAACTGGCTTCGGTATTTCTGTCTCCCCATTCCCAGATAACCAATTCAAGATGCATGCCCACTGTACCCTGCATGTTGTTGAAACAGAATTTTAATTTCCTCTGTCTTGCAAAAATGTTCTTTTGCCTCTCTTCCCTGGTGCCTTTTCTCATCTTCCTCACCCCTGGGTTTCCTAACTCTGTCTTGCCTACTCTGATCTCCAAAGACCAGTCTCTCCTTCATATTTGGCATGAAACCTTCCTCAGCTACTCACACAGTAATTGCCTCATTTCTCAAACTCTCCAGAGTCACATCATCCAATCAAAGTACTGTGTAATGTGAGCCACATATGTAATTGAAAAATTTTCAAGTAATCACATTTTTTAAGTAAAAATAATCAGGTAAAATTAATTGTACTAATACATTTTATTTGACCCCGATATATTTAAAATGTTATCATGTCAACATGTAATCAATGTAAAAATGATTAATGTATGCATTTCATATTCACAGCACATCTCAATTCAGACTAACCATATTTCAAGTGCTCAAAACCACAAGTGGCTAGTGGTGGCCATATTGGACCACACAGCTCTAGAACTTCTGTAGCCCATGGTTTAGCAGTTAATTATGTGTGCACTTGGCATGTTCGCTGCTTGTTCTCTAGTGAAGTCATTCTTTCTAGCAGGCCAAGTTCTGTTTCTACCACAGGTCCTAGCATGGTGCTTTGCACATTGTGGGCACTCAACAAATCCCTAAGATTTGCTTCATAGATGATCCCTGTACATTGATAGCATCTTCCTCATTCATGGAATAACAAGAATGACCTCATCTCCTCTCACTTTCATTCCTTAGCTACTAACACTGTTGCAAAGATCTCTGGAAACCGGAAACTTTGGTCACCTATACTTTAAATGGAGAGAGAAGTAAAACTTGCTGCTGAGAAGCAAGGACTGCATAGAAGGTTTAGTTTGCTGGTAGAATCAAAATAAGCACTGAATGAAGATGTGTGTGGTTCCCAGTTTTATAAATAGGTTTTGCAAGAGGAGAGTGTTTGCTTCTTTGTTTTTGGTGCGAAACATTTCTTCTTTTAGCATGTTATCTGAAAGTATTGCTGCCAAAGGGATGATTTGCCAGAGAAAGATGGTTTCTGTCCAGTTCCTTCATATGTCAGGCATAACCTCCAATTAATCTGAATGAAAGAGTGGGTGCCCATGCAGACAATGCCAACAAATGCCCCTGTAGAGAGGACACATACAGATGCCAACCTGAAATCAGACACTGGCTACTGAAACAAAGGATTGCTTTAATTTTTGCAGAATAAACTATTTTTTTCTTCTGCTTTTCACGAAGTGGCCCTAAAGAATTCCTCTTGTTTGTGGTCTCGAAAAAATTAGAACTATGCCAATGAGGCCTGCCTTTAAGGGTTCTATTAAACAATAAGAAGGCTTTGTTCTTGGCAATAAAATTAAAGCAAGCAGTGTTTCCATTACCTGGCAGGCTGCCCTCTCCCTTCCCACAACCCTGACCCCGATCCTGACAAACCTCAACAGACCATTCTGTTTCCCAGGTAGGAAGGTTAGATGGTAACATCTGTCAGGTTTGTTTATAGAAATATAGTTGACCTTAATGATAATGTATAAAGAGGGAGAGATGGGGGCGGAGGGGGGAGGAAAAAAAGGGGGTAGGGAGAGAGAGGGACACTTCTCCAAATAATCCTTAACTCAAGCTTTAAAAAAGTCAAGTTTACTGCAGAGGCTTCAAGTTCTCAAACCATTGTTCCAGAAAGACAATAATAATTTCACAATGAGTTGAAATGATGGAAGTTAGGAGTCACTAGATGAGGAAATATACATTTTGGTCTGACACGCTAGATGTCACGTGTTTTCTTTTTCAGGGAACTTTGCCTACCATTGCTCAAACTTAGACCCACTTACAGTCAGTTGCAAATGAGTGCTTGTAGGTAGATTGTGACCCTGAAGTCAGGAATGACCAAGGCCAGTACAGAAAGCACTGTCCGATGCAAATTCTGTTTAGCCCCACAGTTAGTCACAAGTCATTGGAACTGAAAAATTGGATGACTGTGATGCCAGCTCTCTCTGTCCTCCATGAGAGCTCAAAATGGTTATATTGTAGTCTCCTCTAGTGTAAGAGCTCCTGCCTACAGCTGTCAAGGCCATACCCATATTGCACTCACAGGTCCTATCTCCCTGGCCTGGGAACTTTTTCTGCCCCTCCCAGGACCAACTAATTCCAAAGGGAAGTTAATGCCTACCTTCCCCCAACAGCTTTCAACCAGCTCCTGATGGGAGATGTTACATAAATACTCTGCTTCTTCCCTATTAGCTGGAATGTTCTGTACTGTTTCCCAGAGTTGCCCAATGGGGTTAATCTCCAGTTGCCCAAGGTGGTCTTGGTAAGTCACACTTTACTGGCTTCGTAGTTGTCCCTGTTTCACTTCCTACCCAGTACTGGTGTTTTCTGGCAACAATTTGACCATCCATTCTTGTCTCATATCCTTCTTGGGGAGGATACAACTGCCAACCATGTCTAAAATGAAATGATAGCACAAGTCTCTTTTTCTAGTCATGGCTATAGCTCACATGTTCAATTTCTCTAAACTCAAGTCTCTTTCATTGTGTTTGAATAAACGTACATGTGAATCACTGGACATCAAAGATATTTAAAAATCAATCTACTCACTTCTCCTGATATTCTAGAATGACAACAACAGGGCAAGATATTTCATAGATATCACTTGTGGGTGCGTCATGAAGGCAGAACAAAGCTTAACATTTTCCAGTTGTACCTCCCAGTTAAGTTCTATCAGTGACGTAATCACGTGTATTTCACTCACTGTACGGAATACCAAAGAGCAGAAACCCAATGTTCATTTTCCAGAACTTTGCAGAAGCAGATGGCTTCTATACCTGAGTAACTGAAACCCAAAAAGGGGTCCAACTCAGTATTTTTCCAGTACATCACTTTTCAGGAATCATGGCACAACAACTAAAAGGAATGTCACTTAATGAGAAATAACATGTAAGATTGAAAGTGATTAAGGTAAAGTCATAGAGTAGAGGTTTCCTCTTTCCATTAGAAATAACTTCCCTTCCCTTAAACACGTCACCTCCATCTTTCCTGGCACTCCATTAATGGTCATCTGCTAAAAGTTATTGTTTACCCTCTGACCACAACATCAAATGCCAAACACATTTGTTGAAAATTATTTAATAGAAATCGCTACTTTTCAGAAACTTTATGAAAAAGACGTGATAGAGACAAACACCCATGGCAGGTTAAGTAGATTTCTTTTCATTCAGTGTGCCCAGCCCAAACGGAAGGGTGTGAAGCATTTGTTTTATAAAGTGTGTAATTAATAAGAGAAAGGAAGGGAGGAGTTTATTGTTTTTCAATGAATTATGAGCAACCCCTTCCATTCTGCTTCTTCATTTTGGAACTGCTTCTAACAAAGTTACCATTAAACACAAAAAGAAAAGGCTGTGATATTGATGCCAAGAATATAAGATTGAAGTCAGTTGAGTGTAGCCTAGGAAAAACATTACAGAAGGAGTAACATTTATTATAATTGTGACAGAAGTCAGCAGGACATCATGGGGAAAGTGAAAACCATACCGCAAGTATGTTGTCATTTTCAAATTGAAATTCCATTAATTCAGTACTTGTAGCTATTCATGCCTTAAAAGAAGAAAACTAATATTTATTGAGCATCTACTATGTACCAGATTGTTTACAGATATTTTCATCAAAAGTATGCAAATGAGGAAACATTCTCACAGAAATTCAAATATTTTTCATACCTGCAGTCCTCTGAATATAAAGTCCATGATTTTTCCTTTATGCCAGAGGTCAGCAAACTGTGACGCTCATGCTAAATCTGACTGTTTTTGTAAGTAAAGTTTTATTTGAACACAGCCACGTCCATTTGCATCCGTATTGTCTATGGCTGCTTTCACACTACAATAGCAGAGTTGAGAAGCTGCAGCAGAGACCGTCTGGCCCACAATGCTAAAATAATTACTATCTAGGCCTTTACAAAAAAAAAAAGTCCCCCAACTCCTGCTCTGTACCACGGAAGAATGTTCTCTACCCTTCTTCTTCCCCCATCCAAAATTGCATCAGGAGGCAGCCTTCAAGGAACCCAGTTAGGATTTAAAAGTAGCTTCAAAAATTCTGGAGTTAAGCCTCATGTTATAGCTTCCAAAGCTATTATTTTGATGATGTAGATGCATCAAAGTTTTGATTCATGCTAGAAAGTCCTCAGGTAACCAGCACAGGCTGACTGGTCCTAGAACCTCTAGTTTTAATTATCTATGGACATTCCAGATAAAAAGAGTTTGTTAGCAATAGTGATCGTTCACATTTATGTAGTAATTATTACATGCCAAGCATTTGTCAAGGGCTTTTCATGTTTTCACTCATTTAGTTCTCACCACAGTCTAACCCAGGGGTTCTCAATCTTGACACTAGTGGGATTTGGGGATGGACCTTTCACTGTTGTGGGGGCTGTCTAATGTGTTGTAGGATGTTTAGCAGCATCGCACCTGGTCTGCCAGGTAACAAATGTTATTTTCCTCATTATGCAGGTAGGGAACTTGAGATGTAGATAGTTGAAGTAAATGCCCAATAACATACAACTAGTAAGCAATAAAAACCTGGTGTTTCAATCCCGGGAAGACTTCCTCAAGTCCCTGAACCCCAAACCACTGCCTCCATTAGCCCTTGCTCCCTCTAAATTATTTTACCTGTTTGAAGATTTTGCTTTACTGAAAAACTAACAGCGACATCAACAACATCGTGAATGGCCATGTTCTGTATGCTACTATTGGAAGTAAAACTCCTTTATGTGAAGTTTCAAAGTTTTAGGCATTAGCAATGGCATTTTTTGCTAGGCAGTTTTATTGCCTTATTACAGTTGTATTTCATTCATAAGAAAGAATTTAATTGCTCTACTCACCACAGTGTGTTGCCATTTTTGATAGTGTCTTGCTTCCTTGTCCAGCACTCAAGCTTCATAATCTTAGAAACCTCAAGAAAAGAGGATTTATCATGAGGTTCCTCGGAGCTATTTTTTTAGTCCCATAGCAAATTCCCATCTGGATAATCAATATGTAGAATTGATCTCCTCTGGTCCAAATAATTTTCCACTACGTCACTATGCTAAAGCAGGATTACATGTAGCTTCTAGTTGTATCACTATATCACTGCTATTACTTCCCACCAAAAGCACTTTATGAAAGGATTCCATTTTTAATTTTTCTGAAAAGCCTTTCTTGGAGTTTAAAAAGATTTGATCAAAAATGTTAAATATTAAATTAACACATTAAACATTAAAAATATTGTCCCGTACTCTGGTTTGTCCTCCAAAGACAGAGACCTCAGGAGCCAGGCCATTCTCTCTCTCTCTCATTCACTTGAGCCAGGTCCACAAGTATTTGACTTTGGTGTGAAAGAGTTTCAGAGTGAAGATTACATATAAACATATCAGATGAATTACGGTAATATTGTCTGCTGTTCCTCAATTCTCCTTGGCTCAGTTTTATATACAGACTGAAGTATTAGAATCCCTTTCATTGTTCCTCTGGCAGCTCTGTCTAACTTTTGCCCCAGAGTCTGGAATGTTCATCACAGCTGTCTTTGGCAATAAAACCCAAAGCACCCTCATATCATCATATTTCTTTTTGCACCTGGTCAGTGGTACACAGCGGGGTGTAGAGCCCACTTGCATACAGTTTTCTCCCTGTACCCTCATCCACAGGCCAAATATCAGCTTATATAAAGCTCTGTTTTGTTTCAGTTACTTCAGCCTTGGGCAAATTGGAATTAACTCCTCCAATGTTTTTCCTTTGGAGTGAGATGGGATGGTTATGCCACATTATGTAGTACCACTAACCCCTTCGAATTTGGATGCAGACTCAAAATTACATATTCTTAGTTATAGAGAAAAGTCCTTTTGAGTCTAAACAATAACAAGAACATCAACCTAGCATCATGTATAAAAATGTTTCAGCCTTTCTCAAGATCACCTTAATTTGTGACCTTGGAATGGAAGGTCACATTTATTCACCGTGGCATGAAACAGCTTTTGTTTTTGCCATGAGGCCGAATCTAGGCAAACTTGTAAAGTAGACATTTGTCTTTTAAACTCCCAACTCCTTGGTAATGGTTTCAAAGATGGCAAGGTTCAGAATCTTAAACTAAAGGGTTCACAGTTTGATGGTGCAATTTCAAGAGTGCAGTAATGGTGGGCCGGGGTGAGAGAGGCACAACTCAAGGGGTCTACCATTCTTGCGGAATTCAAAGTGAATAGTAGCCTCCGGATTTGTGCAGTGCAGCAACCCTCTTCTCAACACCCAGAAATAGAATATCCTGTCTCCAACACGTTGGGGTTATCCTGTCCCAAGCTTACTTCAGTGTTTCCGTCTGTGTACGAATAAGAAGTGATATATCAAGTCAGTGTGTCATTTTCACAAGAGGAATTATAAGGCTGTATTCTGAAAGTCTATGGATGGCTAACTTATTTCAATAAAGCACTGCAAAGTGAGAAAATGAGAGTTTCTAAAATGCATGCTAGATCAATTTCACCTGTGAAAACTGGCCAGATATTTTTTTTCCTTCACTCATGCTCCATCCTAAGAGTTCCAAATATTTCTAAAGATTTTAAGCCCACACATGTCTGAAATCTAATGATGTTTATACTCTGCACTGAACATCTCATTTTGCAGTTGAATACAAGTCAAATTAAAAGAGCCAGGTTTTAGAAATAATACTTAAAAACCACTTACAGACTGCTAAAGAACATTTCACAGACACCTAGTCCAATTTCTAGTATATGTATGTAACTAAATCCCTTTAATGTTTATACATATATGACAAGGAAAAAATATTTGTCCTCTTTACCCCACCCATTCCTCAAAACACTGTAACACTATTACACCATAAAACTTAGCAGGGAGACTTTGGGCGTTGCTAACCAAGTGCCCTCGAGAAAATAGCTAATCCATTTATGTCATCATTAACTAATCTGGGGAATGATTACGCGTAACTGCATTTCTAGAAAGGGAAGGTAAACCGTGCACCCAGTAGCAACTTACATGGGACTGCAACTGATTATTGGTGGCAGATATGAGCATTAATGAAGCCGAGTGACCCTCAATGCTGAATTCCATCTCAGGACTAGGCAGGCCAGATATGATTGTTGTGCTTCTACATTCACATCATTATTCAATTTTGTAATATCTCTTTCATCAGACTGTAAAGGATCAGAAAGTCATTGGCAGAGAGAAGCAGCAGTATTACCCTAGGAATAGGAGAAAGTGGGTCAGCAACTCCCTACAGGCAAGACTGATGGGGAGAAG
The DNA here is from genome assembly GCF_000001405.40 of Homo sapiens. Lineage (NCBI taxonomy): Eukaryota > Metazoa > Chordata > Mammalia > Primates > Hominidae > Homo > Homo sapiens. Next base: position 10,501,452 of record NC_000023.11, on the reverse strand, counting down.
ATGCATTTCAAGACGCGAAAGAAAACTGACTCTAGATGTAGAGAAGGTATGTGCTGAGCAGATGGGTGAGGTCAAAAATGAGATGAGGTGAAAGTGACTGAGTTTCTCATACTGGTGGGCTAATGTGATATTTGCTCATGAGTGTACTTGAGGTGAGAAAAAACCATAGTATTGAGGAGCCTAGCCTGAGATCTCGGCTCACTGTAACCTCCGACTCCTGGGTTCAAGCGATTCTCCTGCCTCTGCCTCCCGATTAGCTGGGATTATAGGCATGCGCCACCACACCCAGCTAATTTCTGTATTTTTAGTAGAGACAGGGTTTCATCATGTTGGCCAGGATGGTTTCAATCTCCTGACCTCGTGACCCGCCTGCCTCGGCCTCCCAAAGTGCTGGGATTACAGGCGTGAGCCACCGCGCCCGGCCAGGAAGGCCTAATTTTAAGCTGTATTTCATCCTGAGAAGTCAAGTGCCCCATTTCCAGTGTGGTCCAAAGGCAGGAGACAGTAATTACCCACCACTGGACATCATTCCTAATTATCTTCATCTCACTCTTGCCGTTAGTTTAGGGGCCAAGGAGGAGACTGATGGCACAAAAGTGGAAAGAAGAGTTTGAACTTGTTTTCTGCATCCTTAGATTGGCCCTCCTCAGAGCACTTCCATCAGCCACAATGATTTCTGAATCAAAAGATGTGAATCAGAAATGAAAGCAAAAATCATAACCAGGAGCTGCTAGCTTCCAAACCAAACCTGGGAACTAGAAACACCAGAACATAACTGCAAGTAACCAATAAACCCTGCCATATTTGAACTAATAGAAATTAATGAGAAAGTCCAATCAAATCGTTAATTCTTTGTTTAAGTGACACATGAAACAGCAAAACTGTGGAAAACTTCTTTGTAGTAGAAAAAATTCTGAAATATAGAATAGTATTTAACTTGTTTTATTGTATCTTTTGGAATATAAGAATACTAGAGTTACAAGAATTTGGAAATTCATCAAAGTAGAAAACAAGATTCAACTTCCCTGGTTTCAAAAGGAAAGCTAAATCTGTATTCTCTGAAAGATCTAGGAAAAATACTTGGCCTAAAATGAATAGATCCTGTTCCCAAATTTCTAGGAATTTACATATTGGGGTGATGGTGATTGTGATACCAGTTTTCTCAAAACACATTTGCCTCAACAAGGAAGATTTCAGCCCACTTTTTTGGTAAAGCAAACATATCCATTCTGTAAATCAAATAGTCAAAATTTGGATTAAATTGAGCCCCATATTACAATGGCAACTGGGATACTTTTTCTACCATGCAGTAACTCAACTCCCAATGATTGTGAGAGTGAATGGACCCTAAACTAAATCATAATCTGTTTACAAAATCCCTTCTCAATGCAGACAACAGTACCTCAGATTTGTCAATGGCTTCATAAGTTTAGGTGTTTCTTCATATATTATTTCATGTATTCACCACAATAATTCCACACGGCTAAGAGAGCAGATATTATTCAGCTCATTTTACAAAATAGGAAAACTCATAAATGGAGATAGCCTAAGATTTTCCTAATGTCACCATGTGGGTATATTACACACCACATTTCATTTCACAGCCCGTACTCTAGAATTAGCAGTGGGTTCTCACTGGACTTAGTCAAAGCCAGAAGAGCTTGAAGTGTGGAATATGTTAGTGACAACATTAAAACTTGAGGACCTCACAATGTGGTCAATTGATTTTTGACAAAGGTTCTCAGACACTTCAGTGAAAGAAAGAATAGTCTTTCAAAAAATTGTGCTGAGACAACTGGCTATCCATATAAAGTTAGAAGCCTACCCTCACACCATACACAAAACTGACCTCAAAATGGCTCATAGACCTAAATATAAAATATAAAACTTATAGAGGAAAACAGAACAGTAAGTCTCCATGACCTTGGGATAGGCAATGGTTTCTTAGGTACGACAACAAAAGCACAAGTAACAATAGAAAAGTAGATAAATTAACTTCATTAAAATTTAAAAATGTTTTGTGCTTTAAAGGGTATCATAAAGAAAATGCAAAGATAACCCACAAAACAGGAGGCAATATTTGCAAATCACATATTTGATAAGGGACTTGTATTCTGAATATGTAAAGAAATAATACATTCTATTAATTAAAAGACAATGACCCAATTACAAAAGGAGCAAAAGATCCGAATAGTCATATCTCCAACATAGATACACAGATGTCCAGTAAGTTCACGAAAAAGATGGTCAACATCATTAGCCATCAGGAAAATGTAAGTCAAAACCACAATGAAATACCACTTCACACCCACTAAAAATAAAATAAAATTAAAAAGACATACGATAACAAGCATTAACAAGGATGTGGAGAAATTGGAACCCTCATGTATTTCTGATGGGAATATAAAATAATGCAGCCACTTTGAACAATAGCTTGGCAGTTCCTTAAAACATTAAACACAGTTATGTGACCCAGCAATTCCACCCCTATATCAAAGAAAAATGAATATATATGGGCACACAAAAACTTGTACATGAATGTTCATATCAATATTATTTATAGTGAACAAAAACTAGAAACATCAGTGTGCATCTATTAAAGAAGAGATAAAAAGTGGCCTGTTCATACAATGAAATATTATTTGGCATAGAAAGGAATGAAGTACTGATAAATGCTACCACACAGATGAACCTTGAAAACATTATGCTAAGTGAAAGAAGCCAAACAAAAGATTATGTATTATTTGATTCCATTTATATGAAACGTCCAGAACAGGCAAATCCATAAAGAGACAGAAAGTAGACTAGTGGTTGCCTCGGGCTGGAGCTAGGGCAGGTAGGGAAAATGTGGAGTGACTGCACACATTATGGGTTTCTTTTCTGGGCACTGAAAATGTTCTAGGCTTAGATTGTGATGACGATTGCACATGAAATCATCTGTGAATACACGAAAACCCACAAAACTGCACATTTTAAATGGACAAATTTTATGATATGTGAAATATATTCCAATAAGGCAGTTTTAAAAAATCAATTCCTGGCCAGGTGCAGTGGCACACTCTTGTAATCCCAGCAGTTTTAAGAGGCCAAGGTAGGAGGACCACTTGAGCCCGGGAGTTTGAGACTAGCCTGGGCAACATAGCAAGACCTCGTCTCTACAAAAAAATACATTTTAAAAAAATTTAGCCGGGAGTCATGGCATATGCCTGTAGTCCCAGCTACTCAGGAGACTGAAGGGGGAGGATTGCTTGAGCCTGAGAGGTCGAGGATGCAGTGAGCCGTTATGGCACCAGTGCACTCCAGCCTGAGTGATAGAGCAAGAGCAAGACCCTGTCTCAAAAAAAATCAACTCCCTTCCTCCCTCCCCCTCAAATAAAACAATCCTTAGGTCATAATTTTGTGTCTACACAGTCCTTGGAAACCAATCCATTACCTGCATGTTGAGTGATTACTAGTGATAACTACTTGCTCCATTACATTTTTGCCCTGTCTCTTCTTGGAAGGTCATTTTCCCTATTTATTTATTCAACAAATATTTTTTGAATGCCTATTTTGTGCCAGACATGGCACCAGGTGCTTGGAATAGATACCTTATTTAATACAACAGCTGAAGATCCCTGCCCATATGGAGCTTACATTCTATCAGATTTAACTCGTATTCTCAAGTACAACTTAGCTCTTCGGGTTTATTCTAGTAGATACTTTTCAAGTGTGGGGTCTGTCAAAGAAAAACTAGAGCTGGACAGTAGTTAAAGCTGTAAAAACATTTTATTCAGGACTATTGTAATAAGGGGAAAGAGACCTCAGTATAGAATGGGACTCAACTCCCAATGTCACGTGGACCAGTGGGGATTTACAGCCAAGGAGCAGGGTGATGATAAGTGGATGGAAAATTACTAAGAGGAAACATCAGGGGTAAGGGAGATTCTGGTTAAACTGACCTAAAAGGATTCTTGCTGAAGGTAGGCCAAGTTGATCAGACATCCTCTGGGGCATGGTGAAGGATGAAGAACCCAATCAGATACTGAGAGTGATCAGATATGGAGATGGAGGATTCTGGCTAAACCAACTCAGCAGGGTTCTTGCTAAAACTGGTTTACAAGAAAGTGCGCAGAAGGGCCCAGGAGAAAGTTCAACACTAAAGTTTGGTCGAGCAAAGAAGCTTCGTCAGTGCTACTTTCTAGAAATTTTACTTCCTCCATCATAATGTGCTCATGTTATCAATATGGTCCCATCCTTTTCATAACTCAGTTGTAGTCAGTTATTAAATTCAGTTTGAGGTCAAAAGGAAACAGAAGAAATTTACTGAGTGTAAGTTTCAAGTAAATATGTCAATAGCTAAATTTATTTGAGAAACCTCAAGGGGAGCTAGAAATGATGACATAAAAATAACAATAAGAGAAATGAAGCCTAATGATTATCCTCCTTGAAATATTAGCCTGAGTTCCACATTTGTACTTCTCAGTCAATGCATTTTTAATTTTTCTCTTTGTTCATTAAACAAATACTTAGCAAATAACTCTGTCTGCTAAACTGATGTAGGACATAATCTCATGGTTTACTGCAAATGGCCAATGACTATCATCTTCTCAATAAGATGTCTTGAGTAGTCTCTATGTTATGTCTGAACAATGATCAGGAATAAAATTCAAGGAATCCTGGGCCTCTGGAAACAGGACATGGTTTCTGTGAACAGCCATCAGTGGATTTTTATCTTGAACTCATGACCCTACTTCCAGTTTATCTCATTCATAGAGAATGAAATTACTCCAATTAAAGCCTTCCAAATCAAAAAGGCTAGGGACTGGGCCATGTCTCCTCCCTGAGATATGCTAGAATAATCAATGCCATTGTCATTCTTTGTAACATTGCAACTTCTCCTGTGGCTGTGTTAAAATAATAAACCTCATGCCTGCTATCTCCATCTCTCACAGCTGTGGTTTCTGGGTTTCTGTTTGTGAATAAGCATTTCAGAATTGCCATGAGATGGAGGAAATAGCATGTGCAGAGTATTTCCCAGGCCTAGTTGCCAAGAATGAGCTAATTGTAAGCCTCCCTTGAATGCAAGTCACAAAAACTTCAAATACAAGCCACTCTAATGATCCACCTTTCCACATGAATGTTATGCTTTCGTTGTAGAACCTTGATCTTTCAGAAGTATACTAGGAGTATAATTTTAAATTATGTCATAAGATTAATAAACTATTGAACCATCTTTTTGTGCTTTTTATGTTTTATAGTGATTAGATACAAAATTGATGTTTGTATTTAAGAGAAATGTCAAATGTGATACAGGCTTGCTACATTGCTTACGGAAAATTTGTCTAAAAGAGATTGATAGTAATCTGTCCTCCATAAAAGAATAATATTGATTTTTTTTAACTTACTTTTTTTATGTTTAACAGGGCAAATTTGATACTTTTTAAAAATATAAAAGTAGGAATTGCAAATATATTTCACATGACACATCATTTTCCAACTAATTGGTAATGGCTATGTACATGTTATGTTAAAGATTCTGCAGCTGAGTCTGGCTTAGTAGAAAAGACTGCTGTCATTGGATAATAATGTTTTCCAAGGATGCAAATTAGGAAGTGGCCATGTAAGTCCTATATTTGCAATCCTTGCGTAATCGGACAAAGAGTTAACATTTAAAATATCTTTTCAGAGATTACTAGAAACATCCTAGTATACATTAAAAATAGCACTTAACTGAAAAACAAAGGCCAAATTAACACTTACCATTGTACTTATCCTGTAGGTCAATGCATCACGTCAAGAAGCCAAATTGACAGAGGAGTGTGATCTTCTCATTGAGATCATTCAGCAAAGACGACAGATTATTGGAACCAAGATCAAAGAAGGGAAGGTATGATTTCTAGGGCAGAAGATTTCATATTCTCTACCTGGAGAAAATAAATCCTAATACACTCCAGGGACTTTGGAAATGTTGAGAACCCTCTTTTTCTATACATTCTATAATTCCCTCTTAAGTCTTTAAGACTTAGTTAAAAGGCCTTTGCTTGGCAGTTTTTTCTCCATCCTTTTCTTTGTACTATGGTCTCCTGTGAAGACCTGTGATACAAGGGCTGCTCCATTGCCCAGCGCCAGGAGGTAGCATAAAGGTCTTGTCTATCATGGCCATTGTTTTCTATCTCACTTGTCTATGAGAAGGTGGGTTCTGTGGAGGCAGAGTTTATTTTGTATTCATTGTGATATCCTAGAAACTAGCATAGCATTACATAAATTAAAAATGAATCTGACTTTATTTATAGAAATTATGAAGTACTTTCCCATGTTTTTGAGGAAATGTATACAGGTATAACTTCATGGTCCCAAAACCCCTGGGGTTTCACTATATCATATACTCCTTTGTGGATATAGTAATAATACTTCTTTTCTAATGTTCTAATGTTTCTATGTTTTAATTTCCTATTGTTTTACAGCAAACTATATTTTTAAGATAAATTGACATACATTCTTTATAGCTGCTTTCTTATTTATTCAAAATTCATTCACAAACTGTTGGTCACTTTATAATCCATCAGTTTATTCTATTTTAAAATTAGTCATGTTTTTATTGAAATACTTATGATCCTTTTAATTTTACCCAATTCTCTGCCACATTCAGGGATAATTTTTCTTTCTTTTTTCTTCTTCTTTTTTTTTTTTTTTTTTTTTGAGACAGTCTTTATCTGTCACCCAGGCTGGAGTGCAGTGGCACGATCATGGCTCACTGCAACTGCCGCCTCCCGGGCTCAGACAATCCTCCTGCCTTAGCCTCCTGAGTAGCTGGGACTACAGGCATGGGCCACCACACCTGGCTAATTTTTATATTTTTTGTAGAGACAGGGTTTCACCATGTTGTCTAGGCTGGTCTCGAAGTCCTGGGCTCAAGCAAGTCACCTGCCTCTGCCTCTGCCTCCTAAAATGCTGGGATGACAGGCACGAGCTACTATGCCTGGCCAAGGATAATTTTTCTATGGATTTTTAAAAATAGAAGCGTTTATTTATGATCCAATAAATTCATCCATTTCTATTATTATTGTTCATAGTTGTACTTTAAAACAAAATATATATAATTAAAACATACTAGCAAGTTTTAAGTGAAACACAGAGATAACCGTGGCTAATGTATGTGGTTTTCTGTGTTTTCCACAAAATTTAACAGGTACCTTCTAATATTGTACAATGTTTTAGATTACTCTGTCTATATAGATTACAAAATATTTATACACATAAATTATTAAAATGATCTAAAAAATAGTGAAATCAAATAGTTATTGATGCTGGTATAGTAGATTAACAGATTAACATGAAATTATTCCCTGGCCAAGGACTCACATGTGCCGAAAAGCTACTTTTCCCCACATACGAATTGTCCAATTTAGAAGAGCACTGAGTGTCCATCTGGAATCCTTACAGGATATATTTCATCTTCCATCATCATCGTGCATCATAGGTGCACATCTCTTAATTCTGGAAGTATTCCAGGTTCTCAGACACATGGCCACCTGAAGTACAGTCACAATTAATTATTCATATGCATACAGAAGGTAATTTGCTATCTTTACATGGTTGCATGCAGAGATTAGCTCTCAGTACACATATTAGTTTATTTTCATTTTTAATTTTAAATTGACAAACATTTATATTTATGGAGTGCAAAGTGATGTTATAATTTATGGATGAAATATGGAATAACTAAATCAAGCTAATTAACATATCCATCATCTCAAAGCCTTTTCTTGTGGTGAGAACATTTGAAATTTACTTGCTTAGTGATTTTGAACTGTATAATACGTTATTATTTATTTGCTGTTTTCACCATGCCATGCAATAGATCTCAAAGTAAAAAATAAATAAATAAATAATTTTTTTGAAAAAGCACTTCCTCTTCCTCTCTAATTGAGGTTTTGCACCTTACTCTTACTAGTTTCTTATTGCTGCAATAACAAATTACCTTAAACTTGGTGGCTTGAGACAACATAGATTTATTATCTCAGTGTGCTGAAATTCGGAAATCCAAAAATCGATCTCACTGGGTTAAACAAAATCGACAGTCAAGGTTTTGGCAGTGCTGTTTCTTTCTGGAAGCTTTAGGGGAAAATCCATTTTTTCTTGCCTTTTCTAGCTCTTACAGGTAGCCTGCATTCTTTGGCTCATGGTCTCTTTGCATCAATCTGACCTCTCTTCCCATCCTCACGTCTTCTCTGACACAGGCCTTCCTGCCTTTCTCTTATAACGACCCTTGTGACTACATTGGGATTACCTGGATAATTCAGGGTAACATCCCCATCTCGTGATCCTTAATCATGTCTGTAAAGTCCCTTTTGCCATGTGAGTAACATATTCAAAGATTCCTGAGATTAGGATGTGGGCAGCATTGAGAGCCCTTATTCAGCCTGCAAGGGCACTCCACCACAACTTCCTGGCTAGCTTGCCTTCCCTTCTCTTACTTAGCTTGGACTTCCCACCACCAGGGTTTCTCTCATGAGCTAGATCAGAGTAGTGCAGGTGTCCCCAAGTTCCAGCCATAGTGATGCATGGAGTTTATGCTTCGGTGCACTCGTTCTACCCCAAATACATGTCAGTAATAAAGAACTTAATAAAATGCAAAAGCAAAGACATATAGCTGAACCAAAAACAAGATAAACATCTCCACAGGCCAGAAATGAGACAAAACTGAAAAGCCATGACTGTGGCTGAGGATACAGGCTACTGGGATTTGGTCTGGAAGAGGCCAAAGTAGCTTTGGCTTTAGCTCCTGTGGATAAATAGTTCTTGAAGCTTTGGGGAAAGGACCTAGAAGTGCTCCAGATGGGATGGGGAATGGAAATCAGGCTCATTATTTAATGCCATGGGCTATAGAAGGCTTCATGCTTCAGTCAAAAATTATTGCCAACCTTTCCCTCATATCATAGCTTTTAGCAAAGTCACATTGTTAGCTTGAAGCCTGTGTTCACACTGTTTCTGATACCCACACAGAACAGGAGCACAGAGATAAGGATGGGATTCCTGAATAATGACCTCAAGGGCCAGGTGAAGGCAACTGGAAAACTATCAGAGCAGGGTAGGCTGAGCAAGGAGGGTGAGAGAGGAAAGAATTATAAATTACTTCCCTTTAAAACTGAAACTCTAAGTTTAATTTCAAAGTATATAAAGAAATCTTAAATTTCTAAACATACAGCCAGCAAAATCAGCAGACAACATTATCTTACCCCAGATAAAATTAATTTTATAGGAAAATAAGAAAAAGACTTTAAAAGAAGTAGTCTTAAGATGTTCAAAGAAAGAAATGAAGGAATAACTTCTCTTTCAAAAGAGCAAAAAAAGTGAAGCCACAAAAGAAGGAAATGAAATAAAAAAATAGATAGGAAAGCAACAAATTAGCAGTTTTGGAGGGAAAAATATAGATATTGAAATTAGAAAGAAAACTCAGCTGCAGTGGAAATTTGGAAACTGAGTTTTGGTCACCACCTTGGGAATGCCATAAAACGCATTCTTTTACGTCTGAGTGACATTAAAGTTTGACAAATGCCGACTGAGTTTGAACTCAAAAGATAGGAAAGTATATAGGAAAACCTACACATGGGGCATTTTTAAAATAATAATCATGCACTTGGTTGAAAGCAAGTATTTCAGCAAATTTCAAAAACTGAATACCATAGAACCCTGCCTCTAAGACCACACACTGTATCTCATTAGATATTATCAACAATAAAATAATAGTTTCTATAGTTTTTTGACACTAAAATCTATTCATATATAAATATATCTTCACAGTAATATTTTTTAAATGTAGAAGTAAACCACAGTAAAAGAACTATAATATATCATAAGTAGTAAGCAGCAAAAAAGTATCTGAAGGCAAACTTACAGGCTTTAATTCTTTTGAAAAAGAGGCTGGGCATGGTAGCTCACACCTGTAGTCCCAACGCTTTGGGAGGCCGAGGCAGGAGGATTGCTTGAGTCCAGGAGTTCAAGACCAGCCTGGGCAACACGGCAAGACCCTGTCCCCCCACCCCCAAAAAAGGTAATACTAAAAGTAAAAAATTAGCTTTCAAATAAAGCTAGAAAAAGCACAACAGGATAAACCCAGTGAAAGCAGAGGAAAGAAATAAAGGAAGAAAAGTAAATGAAAGAAAAACAGGAAACAAACAAGAACAGCTGTCAGCAAAGAACAACTCGCAGCCTAATTTTGAAACATCTGTGAATAAAAAAAGTGCCTTTTCCCCCATTTTTAAAAGGTTGTTAAAAAAAATAAAGAAAAACAATATATGTGTGACAGAGACAGTATGTGGTCTTCAAAGCCTAAAATATTGACTATCTGGTCCTCTACAGGAAAAGTTTGCCAGCCCTTAATCAGGAGGAGTTTTACTTGTAAAAAATAATTTAAAAGACCAATCTGTAGTTAAGGTTGATGAAGGAAAAAAGAGTGTGGGGCCCCATAAACAAATATACCATAAATACAGTAGAGACTTTTTTAAACATAAGAAAATTGTGTAAATGTCTTCATGCCAATAATTTGAAAACTTACATAAAGAAGTAGCGGAAAACCTGAATAAACCAAAAATTTAAAAGCAGAAGACATTTAATAAGTCATTGAAAATGTCCATCAACTTGCATTTCTGCCCCAAAATGGCACCAGCCTCCCACAGTTCTATAGCTTACTTTAACAGAAGTTCCAGGAACTAATAATCTCATTCTCATATAAACTACTTCAGAAAATAGAAAAAAGACATTTTATGTAGAGTGTATGATCTTGATACCAAATACATACAACATTAAAAAATCTAGAGTGAGAGAATATCACCCATGAATATAGACACAAAAATTTTTTTTAATATGAGAAAATGTAATCCATCAGTGTTTTATTAAACACATCAAAATAGCCTTTATTCTTATAATACAAGGATGGCTCAACTACAGAATATCTGTTAACAGAACCACATTAACAGAAAACATACATATGATCCCAGAGTAGGAGGGATTTTTCTTTTTAGACCAAACAATTTTAAAAAAACAACCATAAAGCAAAGACTGAAACATCTGACATAGAATAAGATCACAATACAAAAGCCAATTTCATTTCAATATATTAGTAACAATTGAAAATTGAAATTTAAAAAAAGAAATTCCATTTAAAACAGCCTCACAAATATGAAATACTTAGTGATAAATCTAACAAAAGATGGGTGAGACTTGAAAGACCTTGAAAACTACAAAATATTGCTGAGAGAAATTAAAGACGACTAAAAAATGAAGCCATGTATCATGTTATGGGGTAAAGACTCAGAAAAGTTATGATTTCTGTTCTTTCCACATCAACCTGTAGATTCAACATAATCTCAATGAAAATTCCAGCAGGTTATTTTGCAGAAATTGACAAGCCGATTCTAAAGTTCATATTAGAATGCAAAGGATATAGCATAATCATTTAAAACTTTGAAAAATAGACCGGGTGCGGTGGCTCACACCTATAATCCCAGCACTTTGGGAAGCCGAGGCGGGCGGATCACGAGGTCAGGAGATCGAGACCATCCTGGCTAACACGGTGAAACCCCGTCTCTACTAAAAATACAAAAAATAAGCCAGACATGGTGGCAGGAGCCTGTAGTCCCAGCTACTCAGGAGGCTGAGGCAGGAGAATGGCGTGAATCCGGGAGGCGGAGTTTGCAGTGAGCCGAGATTGCGCCACTGCACTCCGGCCCGGGCGACAGAGAGAGACTCTGTCTCAAAAAAAAAAAAAAAAACTTTGAAAATAATAACAAAGTTGGAGAACTAACATCAGCTGATTTCAAGATTTATTATAAGGCTTCAGAAATCAATATAAGGTGGTATTTGTATAAAGATAGACAAATAGATCAAAGGATCAGCAAAAAGACTTGAGAAGTAGATTCATACATATATGGACAAGTGATTTTCAACAAAGATGCAAAGGCAATTTCAGTGGAGAAAGGATTGTCTTTTTAGTAACTGGTGCTGGAGCAATTGGATATCTGTATGTAAGAATATGAAGTTTGATCCATACTTCACATTATATACAAGACTTTACTCAAAATTGATTATATATCTAAATGTAAAAGGTAAAAGCTGTAAAACTCCTAGAAGAAAACGTGGAGGAGATCTTGACCTTGGGTTAGGCAAAGATTCTTTACATACAGATGACAAAAGCATTATCCATAAAAGAAAATATTTATATGTTGGGTTTCATCAAAATTAAAAACCTCTTCAGAATGCACTGTTAAGAGACTGAAAAGACCAACCACAAACTAGGCGAAAATATTTACAAATTATTTATTTTAATAAAGGATTGTATCCAGAATATATAACAAATTCTCAAAACTCATTAATAAGAAAACAAGCCTTTCACCAAAATGCATAAAAGATTTGAAAACTTTACCAAAGAAGAGGTGTGGATGATGTATTACTTAGGGTTCTCTAGAGCGACAGAACTAATAGGATATATATATATAGAGAGAGAGGAGTTTATTAAGTATTAACTTACACAATCACAAAGTCCCACAATAGGCCGTCTGCAAGCTAGCAGGGAGAGCCAGTCCGACTCTCAAAACTGAAGAACTTGGAGTCCGATGTTCGAGGGCAGGAAGCATCCAGCATGGGAGAAAGATGTAGACGGGGAGGCTAAGCCAGTCTTGCCTTTTCATGTTTTTCTGCCTGCTTATATTCGCTGGCAGCTGATTAGATGGTGCCCACCCAATTAAGGGTGGGTCTGCCTTCCCCAGCCCACTGACTCAAGTGTTAATGTCCTTTGGCAACACCCTCACAGACACACCCAGGATCAATACTTGCATCCTTCAATCCAATCAAGTTGGCACTCAGTATTAACCATCACAGATGGTAAATAAGCACGTGAAAAGATGGTTCAGTATCATTAGTCATTAATGAAATGCAAAATAAATTTCAATGAGATACTGCTTCCTACCTACTAGAATAATTAAAATTCAAAAGATGGCGCATACCAAGTGTTGGCAAAAATGTGAAGGAACCAGAGCCTCTCACAAACTGCTGGAGGTGGGAATTAAAGTAGTACATGCTGGAAAGCTGGCAGTTTCTTAAGTAAGCATACACTTACCATATGATCCAGCCATTTAGGTATTTACCAAGAGAAAGGAAAGCTATGTCCATACAAAACTTGTAGGTGAGACTGGTCACGGTGGCTCACACCTGTAATCCCAGCACTTTGGGAGGCCGAGGCAGGTGGATTGCTTTGAGCTCAGGAGTTTGAGACCAGCCTAGGCAACATGGTGAAACCCTGTCTCTACAAAAAACACAAAAATTAGCCAGGTGTTGGTGGCTCACTCCTGTAATCCCAGCTACACAGGAGGCTGAGGCTGGAGAATCGCTTGAGCCCAAGAAGCAGAGGTTGCAGTGAGCTGAAATGATGCCACTACACTCCAGCCCGGGTGATAGAGTGAGACCCTATCCAAAAAAAAAAAAAAAAAAGACTTGTAGGTGAAATTTCATGTTAATTTTACTTGTAATAGCCCCAAACTAGAAATGGCCCAAAGTCCATCAACAGATGAATGGGTAAACAATTTGTGTCATAATCACACAATGAAATACTCTTTGGCAATAAAAAGGAATAAACTAGTTACACTAGTTATAATGCAACAACATGGATGGATCTCAGTATAATTAAGGTGCGTGAAAGGAGTCAGACAGAAAGTAGTATATTCTGTATGAGTAGATTCATATGAAATTCGAGAAACGGCACTTTCTACTAATCTACAGTGACAAAAAGCAAATCAATGATTGCTTTTAGGGATGGGATGACAGGAAAGGATGGGCACAGTTAATTACAAAGGGGCAGGAGTAAATTGTGGGGCATGATATATATGTTTATTATCTTGACTGTGGTGACTGTTTCATGGGTGCATACATATTTGAAAAAGTGTCAAATTTGCACTTTAAGTATGTACTGTTTATGATATGTAAATTCTATCTCAATTCAGCTGTTTATTAGACATATAAATTGTGTATTATATAATGAAAAAGTCTTCAGAAATTAAAATTAATGAACTAGGGTGATATGTATTAGCACGGACAAATCACAAAAACAGAAGAAAGTTATATAATTATTTGTACAAGCATTATATAAAATTTAATAAACTACCAAAAAATCCCATACATTGTTTAGGTATGTGTACATAAACATGTTTGGGAGTGATCAGCTCTAAATTTGAGAGGGTCTTTTCTTCTGGAGAGAGACATGAGTGAGATTATAAAGTGCCACACAGAGGCTTTAATGCTATCAATAATATTTTACCACCAGGTGTGGTGGCTCATGCCTATAATCCCAGCACTTTGGGAGGCCAAGGCGAGAGGATCACTTGAGCCCAGGAGTTTGAGACCAGCCTGGGCAACATAGTGGTTCCCCATCACTACAAAAAATAAAAATAAAAATAAAAATTAGCCGGGTGTAGTGGCATGTGCCTGTGATCTCAGCTAGTCAGGTGGCTGAGGCAGGAGGATTGCTTGAGCCTGGAAGGTCAAAGCTGCAGTGATCCGTAATCATGCTACTACACTCCAGCCTGGGTGACAGAGCAAGACCCTGTCTCAAAAAAAAATCTTTTTTACTTCCTTTTGAAAACTCTGAAGCTCATATGATGAAAATACTGAGATTTAGTAAACCTGGTACTATGTACAGGACAGTTCATTATATTCTTAAATTTTTTGTATGTATGGAATGCTTCACTTTTTAAAAAGTATACATTTGCTCAGCAACATTATCTCAGAAGGCAATCTTAGAAAGCAGATGTTACTTGGGAAAGATGAGGGCCGCACTCCTTTTCTCTTGAGCTAGTACTTTGGCACATGACCAAGGACTAGTTCATTCCAAACCCTGAAACTCACAGTGACTCAAGTCCCTAGCCAGGGCATATTGTGTCAGAGGCCTGTTTTTAAGAGGAAGGGTGTGAATGCCAACCCGTGGAAATCTGAGGTGCCAGACAGGGAGGGCAAGTGTGGACTTGGGGTTCACTGGGGGACTTGGGTCCCTGCACCCCAGGATGGCAGTGGCAACTGAGGGCATTGAGTCTAAAGAACGGATGGTGGGGCCTTCTGACAAGCAATTGGAAGTGGGCAGGTGGAGCAAGAACCAGGCAGAATTGTGGAGATCACAAAAGTGAGTTTCATCAACTGCCTTATTTTGCCCCTGTCTATCTCTGACACTAGTCACTCAGCTGTCAAACTCACCTCAAATTCTGCAATTGACGAGGTCACCAAGCAGGTGATATTATTACACGTTAGTACCTACTGATGATTCCTGCTCTTGGACCATTGTACATTCTCTGAAACAAATTAACTCGACAGCCTTTATAGGTGGGCGGACTGGAGAGTCTTAAGCCATGAGGCTCCCTGGAAAAGAATTTTCTTCTTTTTTTCAGTAGTCGGGGATAAGTTTCATGTCAACACACAAAGAGCTAAATTCAGATTGAGTTCATTCATTTAATGTTCAGACACAGAGATCTATGGTAGACTTCTGAAGGCCAAAGCTCAACAAAATAAGGGTCCCTTTTCTTCACTGCCTTTTATGTACACTAAATCTTAAAAGTTTAAGAAAATTAACTTGGACTAAATGTTGAGCTCTCCATGGCCTTAAAGAGATGGTGAGAACAGGCCTCATTTTCAGTTCAGATACTTGTGTGAATTGAGGATGCATTGTTTGGACCTAATTGTTTTGGGTTGTGTATCCTACATACATATAAAAAGATTTATATAAAAATAAGTGTTTAAAACGCATTTCAAGCAAAATAAAGCGGCTTTTAAAAGAATGTGTAAGGTATAATAAACAGCAAATAAAATGATATAAACAGCCCTGTGTCCCTGCTAAAAGGAGATTCCAGCAGGCAAACTATTTCCATGACTAGTAGAGAGTAAATTCCAAAAGTTGCAATGTGGTAATCTCACTTCCCAAAGGAAAAATGAAGAGTTGACTGGAAAATATTTCCCTTGCAGCATTAAGGCAGACACATACAGAATCTTTTTATGTGTCAGTATCTAATTTTTTTAAACATCAAATTTTATTCACCTTGTCAACTTTTAAAAATAATACATTAAAAAGTGTTGTCTAATAGAAAACTAAGTACTTCGCTCCATGCTGGGTGTCTGAGTTTGAAGTGCTGTGACAAGTAGGACAGTGTTTCAGAGTGTGCTGCAAATCAGGGCCATCTGACTGTAATCATTTAAGCCAGGGGTTAGCCGACTTTTCTGTCAAGGGCCAGATAACAAATATTTTAGGCTTTGCCATACGGTCTCTGTTGCAGCAACTCACTTCTGCACAACATTGTAGCAAGAAAGCAGCCATAGATTATGTGTAACCAATGAGTGTGGTAGTATGCCAATAAAGCTTTATTTACACAAACAGGCTGTATGCTGATTTGGCCCACAGATCACAGCCTAGGAACACCTAACTTAGAGCAGTGTTTTTCTTTTTTCTTTTTTTTTTTACTGTAACCCGCAGTAAGAAATATATATGACATCACAATACAGCGTGCACGCATGCACACACACAAAAGGTTTTACAAAACCCAACTTGCCTTTTCTACCAGGAATGCACTCTGCTATTTGCTTTTCTCCTCTTCTATTTGGTTTTTTAAAGGCTAGTCCTGACTGTCCTAATGATTCATCACCTGCAGGCTTAAAAACATTTGTTGCTTGTTGAAATGGAAATTCCTCCTGCTCTGCGAATTACAACTCCTTAACTCAAATATTGGAGCGTAGACCCAAACATCTACTGTTTTTCTTTCAAAATGATGCCCAGCTGATTCTTTTACACTAGGTTTGCAAAGCTCAAATCAGATGTATCAGATGAAATTGTACACTAACCTATAACTAAAATTATGCCCAAAATTGTTCTCTGTAGAACATTCCGATATTTTCACAGGCGACTCTCATTTTGTCTTGCTTTAATTTTTGCATGATTTAGGGCTCTTTTATTCTTTTTCCTGTTATGTCACTTTTAATGTTCAATATCATGATAGAAAAAGAAAAGAAGAAACTGGAGTTCAAGCATCATCGCATTTGAAATGTGTGTGGTCTTTAATAGGCATATCTAAAGGATAAGTAGTTGTCATGAAGTTATTCTAAAGGAATATTTTGACCTTATTTTCTTTTGCTGGAATTGTATTAAACATCTGCAATTCGGCCATGTAATTTAAATGATTCTTTATGCTGTGTGATTAAATATTCCATTCACTTGGTTTGTCCTGTGGACTGTAAATTAGTTTTCCTTCTGGAATTTTCCTTCCTCTGACAGTTTCTTATGAACATGTTCTAATATCCTGCGCGTACTGGATGCCTTCCTTAGCTTTGCCTCCAGATAGAATGATGCCAGAGGCTAAATTCTATTTGGTGTAAAATAAGTGTTATTTTATTCCACTAATGAATACAATTAATCCACTGGGGACAGTAACTATAATTATAATGCATTAAGTCTTTTACCAGGCTCACGATCCTATATTATTTGCCCTAAAGTTTTGACACTTCATTCTCTGACTCTTTCAGGAATTTTTTTCACCCTTGCCTGAAATCTTGTGCCTGCTGCTTCTAATTCAGTATGAATTTCCTTTGTTTGCTTATAGTACATACTTGGAATTGGATGTTCCTTAGAGGCCTCAAGTTCTGACATCTCTTTCCTTCCTTTTCTTAGATTAGAGTTATACAGGGATGGTAATGACGACTTGGAGAAAGAAAGAATTTCTTGGAATTAGCAGGAATTCTGGAGAGAGCCTTGGGCCAGCCTTGTCTGTAAGACAGATTGACTGGTCTCCTCCGTACCCTTTCACCCAGGGCTATTTTCCATTCCAGAATTATCATAAAGCCGGTTGAAACCTGTCCCTGGGTGTGTGGTTGGGGGCAGTAGGCACACAGCAATTCCAATTAGCTGTCTAATTTTAACTTGGCTTCTGGCTAGAGGACTTCATCTCACAGCACATTTCAAACACAAGAGCGAACGGTCAAGTGGGTTACCTTGGACTTATCTTGGCCTGCCCCGGAGGTTATGGTCAATTATGTTTGAGGGACATTTTCAAGCGAGACAGAATCAGGAATTGGAATGGAGGTTGTGAAGCAATCATGCGTTTTTATCCCAACTGGGAAATGCTTATCAAAATAGTTCCTAGTTATCAAGTAAGCACAAAGTGCCTGGAAATGACGTTCCCAGTGAGGGGAAATGGCCCAGCTGTGCTTTTTTTGGCTTTCTCTCATCTGCTCAACAGGAAAAATATTAATCAATGGGAAAAATGCTCCCTTTCTGTTAATTTAACACATGAGTTTTAGGTAGTGTGGGAAATAGTAACACTTAATGCTTTCCATTCTCGATTTTATTACATGAATTACAAAAAACACTTTTTAGAAAATGGTTTTCATTTAAACCATAGATTCACCACCTATAAAGATGTTTTATCTTCTTGATGAAAAGAAGATAAACCTGAGATAGAGAAAGTTCCAGGGTTCCCTACAGTCTTGCAGTCATTGTGTGGAATAGTCCAGGGAAGACGTCTGGTGACCCTTTGTAAGTTGCCACTGGGCAACACCTTTTTTTCCCATCAACAGGGAAGCAATTCACAATTCAGTGTTTCCTCGTAAAACGAATTAGCAATGCTTCTCCAATGAGATAAGGAATATCTAAACCAGAGTCCCATAACGGAGCTTTCCATATTTTGATATATCTCTATGCCTACTTTTTGAACTTTTATGGAAGGATAACACAACAAAATGAAGGATCCAGCCTGATGCCTTTTCATTAAGCAAGACCACCCATGTAACCATCTCTCTCCATGCCTCTTTTGTTCAAGGTGATGAGGCTTCGCAAACTGGCTCAGCAGATTGCAAACTGCAAACAGTGCATTGAGCGGTCAGCATCACTCATCTCCCAAGCGGAACACTCTCTGAAGGAGAATGATCATGCGCGTTTCCTACAGACTGCTAAGAATATCACCGAGAGGTGAGTGCAGGGGCCCCTGGGAATTTCTCGGCTGCTGGGCTCTTGTATCTGCGCTGTGATTGGTTGGTCTTGCCCTCGCCTTGCTTTTATTTTCATTTTCAAGGCTCAGTACCAGAGAGAATAGAGGCTTTGAGCTGTTTTGTTCCAGCTAAAGATGCTTCCTTTTGACATGTGAAAGCCCTTTCAGTAACAGCCTGGAGTCTGGAGTTCAAGGCCTTTGAAACAAGAGTCCACCAGTTAGAAAGAATAAAATCAACCTGCTTTTGGACGAGGGGGGAGCTTATGATGGCACAAAAACAGCATTTATTGTGACTCTCAGATGTGATGTTATCGTACACTTGATAACAAAGAGTCAAAATGAAGGCAAAAACATTAAAGGGAATATTTTCTTCCATCACAGGGCTCATCTATTTTTTTTTAAAATCACACAGGTGTTGTTCTCTGTTAGGCCCATTTTCATTTGGTTGAGGAGCTTGGCCTCACCTGAAAAGGTCAAGGCCAACTCACGCAGGAGAGAAAGGACCAAACTGTCAACCTCATACGGGCTTCTTTTAAAATACTCTTTATTCTCAGGTAGGGAGCTTTAATGTGATGTTATCTGAATGGTTGGCTCAGCAGTAAAACTGGCAAAGATAAGTATTTTTTCGGCACACATACTTGGTTGGTATAAAAATTGCTCATCTTCACTGACACAAACACCTATAGCAATTCTAGTGGATCCAAAGAAAAGCACTAGCCGGGCACGGTGGCTCACGCCTGTAATCCCAGCACTTTGGGAGGCCAAGGCGGGTGGATCACCTGAGGTCAGGAGTTCGAGACCAGCCTGACTAACATGGTGAAACCTGGTCCCTGCTAAAAAAAAAAATACAAAAATTAGCTAGGCGTGGTGGCAGGCGCCTGTAATCCCAGCTACTTGGGAGGCTGAGGCAGGAGAATTGCTTGAACCTGGGAGGCGGAGGTTGCAGTGAGCCGAGATCGTGCCACTGCACTTCAGCCTGGGCAACAGAGCGAGACTCTTTCTCCAAAAAAAATAAATAAATGAAAAAACAAAGAGAAGCACTAGGCTGGGCCAGGTACAGCCAATGCCACATAAATGACATCTCTAACTCAGGCTAATGGCCTTGACTTCATTCATTCTAATTTTCAGAGTCAACTGCCCTTTATCCAAAGCAATAATAGAATCCTATCTCTAGAAGACCCCAGAGAGCTCATGCATGCTGATCTTCATCCTAGAGCAGAGATCAGCAGACTTTTTCTATAAAGGATCATCAAGTAAATATTTTTCCGCTTTGCAGGTTGTAAGGTCTTGGTCACAGCTACTCAACTCTGCCATTGTAGCTAGCTCTAAAGCGGCCATAGATAATATAGAAACAAATGGGTGTGGCTGTGTGCCAATAAAACCATTACAAAAACAGGCAGTAGACCATACTTTGCCAACCCCTGGCCTAGGAAAAAAAATACTCGCCATCTTATGACTCAAATTTATTCAAAGAAAGAGAAAGGAAACTAACATTTATTGAGTGCTTGCTTGTTTCGGAAACTTGTGCTAATTCTCAAAATATCGCATAGAGGAGGAGTGATTGACATCTCCATTTTCACTCTTCTTAAAGAGTAATGTATCGTGTTTTTACAACTCTGGTCTACTGTCCAATCGGCTTGACTGTATTATTTCTTATATTTGAGGAAAATTCCTTTTGTAGCTGATTAGATACTTATCTCTTCTAAAAGGCATGGATAACAGCTGGCTATCATCCCTGTTATGTACTTAAGATGCTCTCCTCCTTACTCTGAGAGGCCCATTTCTTTCCTCCTGATTCCTTGGTTCCAAATGTTTATTTTCCCTGGGCCATATCCAGTTGCTCAATATTCACCCTAAAGTTAAAAACTGCAAATAGCACTAATACTCCAGTGTACCTAGGACACTAATAGATAGCGTTTACACTTAGGTCACGGTTTCCAACCGGAATCCAGGAGTACTTTTCTCCATCTATGAACTTTGAGATGTCCAGATGAAATGGCTATTATGAACTGCATTCCTCATCAATCCCTGAAGATTCAACCAAGTGTCACATGAATAAATTCTTACCTAGTGACCAGGGATGATGTGACCCCATAACAGTTATTGCTGAAAGAAGATATGCATCTGAAGTATAGCACAGGTGTGGGAATGCCCACATACAATCTCCCTCAGTTCCAGTGGGACGTATCTGCTCCCATTCAGCTCTCTCTATAACAAGCCCAACTCATCAAGAGCAGGAACATGACTTTGATTTCTCTTTCTACAAAGAATGTGCTTCTGTCAAGTTTGAATTCACAGAGCCTGTAAAAATTTGCCAAGAGCCTTGTCTCTGTTTCTGCAGTCCCCTCTCCTCCCATCACTATTTGTCAATCCTCTTGGCTAATTCCTGAGCCTTTCTATCCTTCCAGCAGCTAGGATATAGAAAAAGGACACTGGGCTTAGACTAGAAGTTGGCAGACCTGGGTTCCAGTCCTAGCACTGCCACTTTTTAACTATGGGTCTTTGAGCTATTTTCTACTTAGAAAATTGGGTTCAGGAACAGTTTGGAGGTTCCTCAAAAATCCAAAAATTAAGCTATCATATAATCCAGCAATCCTACTGCTAGGTACATACCCAAAAGAAACGAAATCAGTATATAGAAGAGATATCCTCACTCCTGTGTTTGCTGCAGCACTTTTACAATAGCTAAGATTTGGAAGCAACCTAAGTGTCCATCAACAGATGAATGAATAAAGAAAATGTGGTACATATATACAATGGAGTACTAGTCAACCATAAAAAAGGATGAGATCTAGTTATTTGCAACAACATGGATGGAACTGCAGATCATTAAGTGAACTAAGCCAGGCACAGAAAGACAAACATTGCATGCTGTCACTTATTTGTGGAATCTAAAAATCAAAACGATTGAACTCACGGACATAGAGAGTAGAAGGATGGTTACCAGAGGCTGGGAAGTATAGTAGGGAGTTGTGGGAGTGGGGGTGGGTAGGGATGGTTAATGGGAAAAAAGAAAGAATGAATAAGACCTACTATTTGGTAGCACAATAGGGTGACTATAGTCAATAATAACTTAATCGTATGTTTAAAAAAAAACTTAAAAATGTAACTGGATTGTTTGTAACCCAAAGGATAAATGCTTGAGGGGATTGATAACTTATTCTCTGTGATGTGCTTATTTCACATTGCATGCCTGTATCAAAATATCTCATGTACTCCATAAATATAAACACCTACTATATACCCACAAAAGAATTGTTTTTACTAATAAAAAAATTATTTAAAAAAATTGGTTTCAGAATAGCTGTCACTGTTGTGATGACATTGCTTTAAGTTCCTAAGAACAGGTCATTAGCATTATAGCTACTCCATGAGTGTTAGTTGGATCTCTGTTTTCACGTTTCAACATGTCAGTCTAGCCCGCCTTGTGTGTCTTTTTTCCAATGCTACTCTCTGTCTACCTGCCCCTATTCATCAACCTGTCACTTAACATTCTTCTCTAGGACATGACTTCTTTTTTCTGTCTCCTATTGTGCCTGCCTTGGGCTTTGGCTCCTGTATACTTCCAAACAATCTTTATTCTTCAATTCAGGTGTGGAGCCCAGAACAAACTTTTAATCCCGCAGGCATTCTTGAAGTGAGACTTAGATGAGATTTTCTGCATCGTTAAGCGACTTAAAGTGGATATGTCCTCCTACAAGCTGAATCAAAACTGTAAATTTTTCTTTCATTTCAGAAACATCAAACAACTCCAAAAGGGGAGAGAGCCTCAAGCTTTACATTGTAGGAGATGCTTTTGCTTTGGAACCGGTTGTTTGGCTCTGTGCTAATTGCTTAGTAATTATAGATAGCATTGAGGCTGCTCATTAACATTGGCTAATTTTGCTCATATACTCCAAGTAGGCAGGTACCCTAGCCACCTTGTTTTTACCATTATAGCCCCAGCACATTGCGAGCTGCCTGACATGAGTGAATGAGTGAATGAATGAATGGATCCATAAATCTGTAAGACGGGACTAATTATTCCTACCTAAGATGGTTATTGTGGGGATAAAATGCAATAATGTAGTAAAAACATTAGCCTAGTTTCTGTCACAAGATGAACATGCAACAAATACTAGTTCTCTTCCTTCCCACTCACTAGATGAATGCAAATGTATAATGTACTATATTCTCAAGCTACACTAGTAGATAGGTCTTTGGTGTGATTGTATATGCACCTTTATAGCATTATTTTAAATAAGCAAAGCTATTCACTAAGTCCAGGCATAAGAAAGTTGGTCTGCTTATGAAGAATCTAGAATTAAAATCCCTTATAGCAGTAACTTATCTGTATCAAGAAGGTGATAAAAAGAAACTTCCCTCTGAATAGTACCTATTGTTCAAAGCACCTAGGAGGTTCTCAGACTCCTCAAGGTGATCCTTCTGTTCCTCACTACAATAGGCAGTTCAAGGATCTTTTCCAGAATACAAAGCCAAGAACTCCAGTTGTCAATTCTGAAAAGATGTTGCTTGGTTCAAAGAATTAGAGCATATCTGATCAGTGGTTTTGGAAGTGTGTCTGCAGGGTGTTCATAGGCATTAAGATAACTGCACGTTTTCAAGGCCAAATGTGTTTGGGAATTCCTGGGCTGACCAAAGTAAACCTATCTTGTTACTGTGAGGCCTCACTGGGTTTTACTTTGGTGATGCACATTGTTTGGCAGAAGCCTTGTGAGCAGCATAGCTCCAGACACGTCCACCTTCTGGAAAACTGGCCCCATGTGTCCCAGACATGGCTGTAAAGCAAGAAGTTGAGAAAGTGGCATAGCGCTAACAGCCCTAGTGGATTTGGCAACTTATCCAAAAGGCCAGAAGATGGGCAATAAGGATTTGGGAAATAAAAACATGGCCTAAAATGTTGAATTTGGCAGATTTCCCCTTGCCTGTCACTCCAATTAGGAATTTGAAGTTGTAGCCAAAGATAAGTATCTTTCCTTCCATCAAAAAACAAATGTGTAGGTGTTAAAAGCTGCAGTAATCTCCACTGATTCTTGCTGTCAGCCTTTACCTCCCAGGCTAGGAACTTTGATCCTTTTGGTTCCCATGTAACAAAGTTCCTACCATCAAGATGGTAGACATTATTAACAGTGTCACTCAATTTAAAATGTTTTATTTAATTGTTTGTAGACCATGGAACCAGGAGAAACTTGGGAACAAAATCTATTTTGGATGAGACTGAATAAAGAGGTTTCTGCCAGTGGGCAGGGAAACTGCTAAAGCCAGGGAAATGCAATTGCAAGTTTGGTGCTTGTTTCCCAGTAGCTCAGAACAGTTCTCCCTGCCAGACATTATGATGGAGAATTAATTGGCGTTTCACTTTGCGATATCTTTTAAGGGTTCAAATGGCACCTTAGCATTTCTTTTAACTTTTCTGCATCGAATGCATATATTCTGGGCTCTTTGGTGTGTAGCATAGTTTAAGGGCTTCATAAATATTTGTTGAGAATAATCCTAGGACCTCTATGAAGTTTAAGGACTTTTTGTGTTCATGGGTCATAAGGAAAGCATTTTTAAAGTATAACTTGACCATCAATCAAAAATGCCTAGCAACCATCTCCGTATCCATCAGTCTAAATTAGCAGCTGTTGGTAACAATAATTAGCCCAATTCCCCAGGGTGCAATATTTAGTCAACAAAAGCACTCAACTCTGCTATTCACTACTTCTTGGTGAAAGGGTCAGGAGATGCAGTTAGATTCTCTACCCTCATTCAGACACTTGAAACTCGTTTCCAGAGCTTAGACCTCTTCACTTGCATCTTTCAATCCCAGTATCATTACATTTATGACATTGTTGATTAGGCTCTCTCCTTCCCTCCTGTACAACACTGAAAATCTGCCAGAAATACAACTATAGAAACTGTATTTCTATGAATTTTGAGCATTTTACAGGTATATTCTTTTTTAGATGGGTGAAATTTACACAACATAAAATTAACCATTTTAAGGCTGGGTGTGGTGGCTCATACCTGTAATCCCAGCACTTTGGGAGGCCAAGGCCTCCCAAAGGGTGATCGCTTGGGCCCAGGAGTTCAAGACCAACCTGGGCAACATAGTGAGACTCTGCTTCTGAATGCACGATTCAGTGGCATTTAGGACATTCACATTGTTGTGTAGCCACCACCTCTATCAAGTTCCAAAACACTTCCATCATACCAAAAGTAAGCCTTATACTCATTAAGCAGTTACTCCCCATCTCCCCTCCCCTCTTAGCCCCTAGCAACCACCAATCTACTCCCTGTCTTTATGAATTTTTGCCTTTTTTGGACATTTCATACAAATGGATCATACAATATGTGGCCTTTTTGATGGCTTCTTTCACAGAGCATAATGTTTTTAGGCTTTATCCACATCGTAGCGTGTGTCAGTGTTTCATCCCTTTTTATGGCTGAATAATATCCTGTTGTATAGATATATACCCACAGATGTAATTTTTAGAGCCAAGATATATTACATTTGTAAATCCAAAGCTTTAAGAGCCATTAAGAGACTCAAAAGGACATATAACCCTTGGAGTAACTGGCCTGAAATTTTTCTAGATGAAACAGAAGAGTACAGATCTGAAATTCTCCTCCTTGCTGCTGCCAGCTAGCTTTGTGGCCTTGTATAAATGAGCATCAATTTTCTTAATTAGAAAATAAGTAACTAGATTTAGTACTAAATTGTTTCAAGGTTGTTTCTTTGCTCAAAAATTCCCAGCATCCTACGCAATACTCCGCATATAATAGCTCTTAAGAGTGTTGTTTATGGAACTTAACAAAATACCAAACTCAACAAGATTACTAGTCCAGCATCATTTGATATGCTCAGAAATGGTATGCTTCATGCCACAATTCTCTTGTTTTTAAGAGAAGCACTTGCATTTTTGAATCAAAGTGTTCATTATTAATAACTGAACCTTCCAAATGAACCTGAGAGTACATAGAAGGAGATTGAGACACACCAGTGCCTTGCTTTTTAGTTTATACATGAGAACTCTAACCAGAAAACCTAAATGAAGAAGAGAAATAGTGCATCCACTGGGGGGATTTGTGAGAAAGCTCATGAATATTTTCCACAGCATCTGCTGGGAATATGGTGCAAGAAAATGAATACAAAGAGAAAGAAAATGAGCCAGACAAAAAACTCCCTTTTTAATGTTTATTTTAGAGAGAGGCTAGTAATTGATTAAACTAATCCAATATCTGGAAACATTCTTTTTTAATATTCACTTTGCCTTTTATGCAGTTTGAAATTTTGGAGACTCTCCTTTGAAGTGGATCAGGGTTGCGTCTGAAAGGAACAAACAGTTTCCCAGACAGATGTGTGAAGAAATGCCTAGAGCTACGCGCTTCTTGCTGGGGTTAGACGTGACCGGGCCAGACTGTTAAATACACAGCAACATGAAATATGAATATTCTTTTGCTTTCGCAGGGAATTTTTTTTCCTGATAGTAAAAAGGAAGAGGGCAAGCCATTTTGTTGTTTTCTCCAATTCCTTCACTTTTTTTTAAAGCTTGCATTCATTTGTTTTATGTTACTGTGTTGTGACATTTTGAGATGCCTCTTAAAACTCATGTGTAAAAAAGCACTTTTTAAGAGATATTTATTTTCCTTTTCTTTTTCATTTCTATGCAGTGATGTTGAAAGTCATCTTGACATTTCTGAAACATTGTTTTGTTTGCATTACAGAGTCTCCATGGCAACTGCATCCTCCCAGGTTCTAATTCCTGAAATCAACCTCAATGACACATTTGACACCTTTGCCTTAGATTTTTCCCGAGAGAAGAAACTGCTAGAATGTCTGGATTACCTTACAGGTATTGTCTTTTATGTTCTCTTTAATATTGTGCACACTTAGTGATATAAACACTTTGCCACCAGATCAGTTATTCCCCAATAACCAGAGGAATGGGCTTTTGACCTAGGAATGGCACTGATATTTCCATAAACAATTTCTGTGCATTGCCCTTTGTTTTTTCATCAAAACAACACAGCCCATTACTAAACTGGGGACAGGAGAAAAAGGAGAATCTCAACCATTAAAAGCATACTTACCACTGTTTCCCTCACTCTCAAGGTGTGGGTGCTAAAAATAGTATCTCTCTGTGGTATTTTTCATATCATAGTAGTAAGCAACTCACAATACATTGGCAGAGAAAAAATTGGCAGCTAACTGATTGGTTGTCTGTACTGCTTCATCTCCTTGTATTTGTGATCTTGTTTTAATTTGCACAACATCGAGTTGAGGTAAAGCATTATAATCCCCATTTTGCAAATGACAGAGATCAGCCGTCTTGCTGGAAATCAGGTAACTAGGGAATGACAGAATTAGAATTTGGCTGGGACCTGTACAAACTCCAAAAACTTCTGCTCTTTCTAGTAAAAGACTGAATTTTATCTTGGCAAATGTCACCATGGCAAAGGTCACAAATTTACATTGGAATTCCTAGTGCTGTGTTTCAGTGTGCTTCCTGGTTGGTGTTTTGTTTTGTTTTGTTTCTCCCTTGGTTGAGCTTAAAAAACAAAAACAACAACAAAACAACAAAAACCTCAGGCCACTCCTATTCCTAAGCATGCTTCTAAACTTTTCTTTGCTGTCAACTTCTAAAGTAGGAACTGAGAATATTCACTGGTAGAACCTGGACTGTTTAGACAACCTTATTCGTGTTAGCCAAAGCCACCAGTGCCTGCGACTTCAGGAAAGCACAATGTACACAGTGAAGCCAGATGTGCGCTGCACTTAAGACATACAGCCTTCAAGAGACCACGTCTCTAACTTAGCGTGACATGAGCTTCTCAATTCCAATTCTGTGTGTACATGTTTGTGAGAAAGCGATTGAACAAGGTGGAGCAGGAGAAAGGGAACATTGTGTGATGTTTGTTTTTACAGTCTGTGGATAGAAGGCCAGGGGTTCTATATTCAGGGAGCATTGTACCCAGAAGATGAGCATTTTTTCTTTGCGAGGACCCAATGTGCCGTTTTTAGCCTTTCTGCATTGTCAAGCAAGGCAGGCAGGCATTCCACAAACTTCTTATCTTATGTAACTCTCTCTTTCAAACATACCACTCCTATTAAGGAAGAAAGAAATTGACTAAAAAAGCATTTACCGTATGGAACTAAACTTGGTTTCAAATATTTGTGTACATAATGCCCTCCTATTTAAGCTTTTAACTCTGAGATTTATTTAAACTGACACTATCCAATAAAACTTTCTATGATGATAGATATGTTCTATATCTGTACTATCCAGCGTTAGCTGCCTCCCACATGGGGCTATTGAAAACTTGAAATGTGGCTAGTGAATTTTTACTTTTATTTAACTTCAACTAAATTTAATTGAAATTTAAACCACCACATGTAGCTCGTGGCTATTGTATTGAACAGTGCAGGTCTAGACTTTCTCCAGCTAAGCTGTTTTTCACAGTGGCATCCTGTTAAAAATCTCCTTTTTCTTATATCATTTGCGAATGAGTTTAGTTGCAAGCAACAAAAAATCCAACTAGCAGTGAATAAAACCATCAAGGAGTGTTTGTATTACAGTCACAGAAGAGAAGCCTGTGTTCCAGGGCTGGGCAGTGGTTCAGTGACGACCTCAGACCCCAGGCTCTTTCTTTTTTCCTCCTCTGCCGCCTTCATTGTGTTGCCTTTTTGCCACATGATCACAACATGACTACTCCACCTCCAAGTGTTGTGCTCAAGCTCTAGGCAAAAAGAAAGGGGTGGAGGGGAAACGATGGACAAAATGCTCTGCCAGTGAAGTTTGTTTATCAGAAAAACAAAAAGCTTGATCAGAAGACCCGCCTAGCAAACTTCCACTTATGTCTGGTGGGCTGTATCTGTGTTACAAGGTCATGTCCAGGGACAGAAAAGACTGGAAAATTAAGTATTTGCCTAGGCACATGGCCATTCTGCCCAGAATCAGTCTTATTGACAAGAATGTGCCCTTGCCATTTCCCAATAATTATTTCATAGTATTTCAACAACATATACCCATTTTAATCTCTATAGGAATGCAAAAGTATTGATTAAAGGGGAAATTGTGAAAGTAGTTTAGACTGAATTGTAACATACACCATATTTCATCCCGATGGCTGTTTATTTCAAACTAAAGGCCATATGGGGTACCTGCTATTATGTCTTCTGAGCTGTCAACCCCAAATACAAATTCAGTCCATTTCTAGACATAACATCGATCCTGACCATAACATATGATGCTTGGCTGATACTGCCAAGTCCAAATAGTTTATGACATTTGTAAGCAGGAAATGAAGTCTTTGTGGAGTATTAGCCCACCATTCCTTGGGTGGTGTTTGTGACAGAGACAAGAAAATAACACTTCTGGTACTGATTCCATGAGTATTGAAATTGGCAGCATGCTGCTGTTCTCATTTACACTAAATTGAGTATTGACTTCTCAGGACAAACTCATTGGGTTTACAGTCAAAATAAGGTTAGCCTGTCTCATTGTAAAAACAAGATTTTTTTTTTCCTATGACATGCCTCTAAGTGGTATATCAAGTTAATAACCCATAGAGGTGACATTTCCTTCCTGATTATGGCTACTACCATGTGTCTCACAGCTACTTGCCTATTTTGAACATACGTTTTCTTTCTATTTAATTGTATATTGCAATACAGAACAAAATTTTTCTACAATGGTTGATGGAGAAATAATTCAATGAACTGTTTAAATTGTGAGAGAGTAAGTATTTCTTCACTGGTCCATGCAGGAGTGATCCCACACCAACAGGGACCACACAGACAATAATAAGCACATTTTACGATGCAGCTGGACCTCCTCCGTGGAATGCATATCCTGATTGGTGTCACTGATTCATGCACATCCAAGTCATACCACATGACACTAAATCTCACATGTGAATACTTCAGGAGACAGATGTACAAATACATATTCCAGAAAGAATGCTTTAAAGGTTATGTAGAACCCTTCTGTCTTAATGCACAATTTAATGCCATGCCTGTCACGTTGGAGGTGCTCAACAATGTTTCTGGAATTCAGAACCAATAGATAAAGCTAAGCTAATTGACTTAATACCGTAGACTTGCTTCTGTGATACTTGTCCTAGAGGTATATTCAAAAAGCAAAGTGAAGACTACTAACGCAGAGTTTAAATTTACAGTTTTTATAAACTTTTCTTCCTCTTTGGGTTTGCTTAGGACTCATCAATTCTAATCATAATTTAGAGCAGGAAATAACTCTGAAATAGTACAAGCAAAGGTTGCTCCTAGTTTGTAGAGTGCAGGTATGTTTCTCCTTTTGAAGTGAGATTCTAGTGGGTAGAAGAGTGGAAGTAAAGGCCCTGGATCAATTCTCTAAACCAGAGGTCAGCAAACTTTGACTGCAAACCACCAGATAGTAGACACTTTAGGCTTTGCAGTCCATATGGCCACAACTACTCAACTTTGCTGTTGCTCCAAAGCAGCCATAGACAATACATAAATGAATGAATCTGGCTGTGTTCCAATAAAACTTTATTTACAAAAACAGGCAGTGGGCCAGACTTGGCCCACAGTCACAGTTTGCCAACCCCTCCCTCTAAAATATTATTTACAATGCAAAGCACTCATTTTCTCATATTTTCCTTGCTCACATACTCTTCTCATAAAACCAGTTACTGAAATCAATTCAGTAGAAGTCATTTTAAACTCATTATTTTGGTAGGACTTAGACTTCTCTGCTCCAGAATGTGTTAAAGAAATAAAACAGCAGCCTTCTACAATGATAAATTAACCAAATGCCAAAAAAAAGTTTTTTCCTTGGGGAAGGAAAATGTACCTTTTAGATATGATTGACTATGAATCATGGTCTTCTGAATTTGAAATATCGCATGAGTTGAGAAATGAGAAGAAAATAGGGCTGGACTAGTAAGTTCTTTTTTTTATGTAAGTCATCGAAACATCTAATGAAAGAAAAATTCAAACAATTATGTGGCTGATTTTTTGTAGGATAACAAACATAAGTATTTTTTCAATTGGGTGCCTAAAGATATAAGTATCTGGCACCACGTATTAATAGGTCAGGGGTTGGTGAACTTTGGGTTACAGCCCAAATCTGACCCTCTACCTATATTTGTAAATAAAGTTTTATTGGAACCTGGCCATGCCCACATGTATAAGTTGTGACTGTTTTCATGCTACAATGGCAGAGTTGACTAGTTGCAACAGAGACTGTATGGCCCACAAAGCTGGAAACATTTACCATCAAGGCCTTTACTGAAAAAGTTAGCCAACCTCCCAAAGTGAATGCAGCTATGAAACTTTATCTTGTTTACTTTTTATTTGACAAGTTTTCCTTCATGCACAAGAAAGTATTATTTGTTTAACCTCCCAAACATATTCTCATGATCTCATGATAAACACAGAAAGTCCATACTGGCTGACTCTAGTCACACTCCTTATTAAAAACAAAAGCAATAACCAGCCAATCAGATATTCTTTAGATTGGGGTCACCATCTCTAGGATAGTAGTCCTGATGGACCTATTGAGAAGGACCTGCTTAACTGTCAAACATCTCCTCTGAAATGGTATCCCAGTTGTGTGTGCTTTTCCACTGATAAGCATTCTTGACCCCCACAGCTCCCAACCCTCCCACAATTAGAGAAGAGCTCTGCACAGCTTCATATGACACCATCACTGTGCATTGGACCTCCGATGATGAGTTCAGCGTGGTCTCCTACGAGCTCCAGTACACCATATTCACCGGACAAGCCAACGTCGTTAGTGAGTATCTCATGGCCTATTTATTTCTGTCTTTGGTGGCTTTCTTCAGATTGATTGCATTCCTGAATTTAAACTTCAAAGGAAGACAAGGAAGGAAAGAACACACAATATTTATTGACTTGTCTTTCTTGAACAAAAAAGTGATAGCACTCACTTGTACTACATTAGTAAAAACAGCTGGCTAAATATTGATGAAAATTAATGACCTCTAGCAAACCACATGGATGTTAAGGGAAAGAAGCCAGAAACAAATATATAGAGAGAAACAAATATATAGAGAGATACATAGAGAGAGAAACAAATATATATATATAGTATTAATCCACATATAGGTTCATAACTTAAAGATCAAAATAAACTATTTTGCTTAAAGAAACATTCATAGGTGTTAAAACTATAAACCCTGGGCAACCTGGTGAAACCCCATCTCTACAAAAAATACAAAAAAAATACAAAAATTAGCGGGGTGTGGTGACACACACCTGTAGTCCCAACTACTCAGGAGGCTGAGGCAGGAGGATGGCTTGAGCCCAAGAAGCAGAGGTTGCAGTGGGCAGAGATCACACTACAGTACTCCAGCCGGGGCAACAGTGAGAATGCTGTCTCAAAAAAATAAAAATAAAAAGTCAGGATGATGGCTACCTCCAGGATTAAAGGGCAAGTGGCACCACTGGAAAGAAATATACAGGGGTTCTTGGGGTTAATGGCAATTTCTAGGTGAAAGTTACATGCTTTAGTCATTTTATCATACATTTAGTTTTATGTACTTTCCTGAGTGTTACTTCACATATTTTAAAAGAAAGGATTTAATAAAATAAATAGCCAAAGAAAGTTAAATACCTGGTCCCATTCAGAGGAGAGAGCTGGGCCCATCACTTAAAATGTTAGTAACTGGCCCCACCCGGGAAGAATTTCCAACCTTACCTGAAACATTAGAGGTGCCCCCTCTCACTGAGGCCTATTTGATATCTGGCATCAGAGATAACTTGGTGATTTCAAATAGCAGTAGTAGCAGGCCACAGAGATGATAACAGAGGAAGCAGTCCTCCAACCCACAGAGTTATTTAAATTGAACTGGGCAAATGGCAATGGACCAGAAGACATGGCTTTTCACGGGAGCAAGCTTGAAACTTCTTTAACAAAGAAAAATACAATATGTCAAAATAGAACAGAATAGAATAGCAGTCATGTTTCAACAAAGAGATGTTTTGAATAAATTCATATCAATTTAATGTGCTTTTATTATATAAACCTTTTCTCTCTTAACTACAAACTGCTCTTTCCTAGCACAAGTAATTCTGAGTCATACGATGCTTAACATAGAAATTTGATTTAGGATTAATTAAAAGAGTGATGCAGAAATACACCAAGTTCTAAGGGACTAAAGTATAAATGACCCATACCAACAAATGGCTCCCCCTACCTTCCTTATATCCACTCTCCCCAACTTCTCCAACTTCCTCTCCTCAACTCCCTCACCTTCTACCCTATAATTGGCCTGCCGTGGAAGCTTTTATTAAAATCTTGCCATTTACCAAGAATGTGTAATTTTTAAATGAAAGTGGAGAAAGTCATGCAATGTCAAGAACAGCTCTGGCAAGCTGCCTGAGTCAGTAGGGAATATAGAAAGGTCAGAAATGGTGAGTGGGACAAAAATGTCTTGGGGGAAGTTGTGGTTAAACTAAGTCTTGAAAAAAAGCGGGTGCATTTTAGCA
Source organism: Homo sapiens (assembly GCF_000001405.40). Taxonomy (NCBI): domain Eukaryota; kingdom Metazoa; phylum Chordata; class Mammalia; order Primates; family Hominidae; genus Homo; species Homo sapiens. Next base: position 10,467,981 of record NC_000023.11, on the reverse strand, counting down.
AGTTAAGGCTGTACCGGACAGCTATGTCATCATAAGCAAATCTATCAAGATGTAACGTAGCAGGGCATAGTGGGAGGTCTTGCCTAATTAAGCCTGGCTGGTAAGTGAGGAAAGGGAGACAGTGAGAAATGAAGATAGAGAAATAGAACCAGGGCTCAAACCTATATTGGCCTAGCTCCAAAAAGCACATGTTCTTAATCCTTAATCCTCAGTCACCTAATCCTAATTCACAGGCAAGAGCTAGATTGCAGAGGGCTACCCAGGCCATACCATGTTTGGATTTTACCCTGTGGGCTTGAGAGTCATGCAGGACAGTAATGTAATCAGAGGTATAACTAGAAGGTGACTCAGGAGCACTGTGGAGAGTGGAGAGGAACAGGGCAGGACCAGAAGCAGAGACATCAGCTGGGAAGTTTCGTAGTAATTCACTGAGGCAGAAATAGCCAGGACCTGCAAATGGCACCAGCATCAGAGATGGAAAGGAAAAGATAATTCCAGGAAGACTTCTCTGCGTCTGGCCCATTTTCCTGGGAAAAAATCATCAGTGTCCTCAGATATTTGAAGTGCTTTTTGGGGCAAGTCGCAGAAGGCCTGTATAGCAATGGTTTAGTAACATTTTGCTCACCTTCTAGGATTTTGAATTCTTCTGGTATCATTCCTCATTTCTGACTCTATATGCCCTACTGCAAATCATAAAGAAATACTAATTCTCTAAAATATTTTTCTACATGTGCATATCATACACAATGCTTTACCTTGTTTTTTTCAATAAATATTATGTCTGAGATATCATTCCATTTCAGCACAAATAAAGAACTGCCTCATTCCTTTTTGAGGCAGTATCATATCCTATTTTAAAGATATGCTCTAATTTATTTATCCCATCTTCTATAGATGTTTATTTAGCTTGTTTCCAATCTTTGGCCCTTACAAACAATGCCCCAGTATCCCCAAGGATGTTCAAGATATCCTTGAATATCTCTCCTTCCACACACGGGGAATTATATCTGTAGTATAATCTCTTGAGGTGCAATTTCTAGGAAAAGATTATTTGCATTTAATTTTACTTGACATTGCCAAATTGCCCTTCAGAGAGATGACATGATTTTTAAATGCATTTTTCCAGCTGTATGAGCTTATTGTATTTCACTGATCTTGGCTACATATACCATAAACTTAACGTGGAATTAAAGTCTAGTAAAATTTTAAACCTTGATTGTGCTTCACCATAAACCTGAAACACAAGTTAATCTATGATCACTAATATCATACTAAATAGTCACTCCTTCATATAAGCAGTGATTCTCAACAAGGGCAGTTTTGCCCCCTAAGGGACATTTGACAATGTCTCTAGAGACTTTTGGTTCTCAAAACCTAGGAGGAGGGTGCTATTGGCATCTAGTGGGTAGAAGTGAGGAAAGATGGGAAATCTCCCACAATGCACAAGAAATCCCCCAACAACAGAGAACTATCTGGCCCAAAATGTCAGTAATGTCGAAGTTGAGAAACCCTAATTTAAAACAAGGTAAATGTATAATATCTACATGATTACATGCTAAATACTGAGACCATAACACACTGATCCACACACACTACTATACTATGTAGCATGGAAGGAAAAACACAACAAAAAGGGGGGAATATAATTAATGTATTTTGTCTTCACTTAAGGAATTGTTTTCTCAATATTTTGTGATTAATATCACTAGCATATTTGGGATAAACTGAACCAGGGATTGTATCAAACTTGAAGAAGATGAAATTCAAAAGATGATCAGAAATTCCAAGGTAAGAGAAAAGAAGCACGTGAAGGTCTGAGAAGAGCAGGTAGAAAATGGAGAGATGATTCATTGTAAAACACCAAGGAAGGTTCTCTGAAAATACATAGAGGACTGATAGAACCAACGTCTGTTGATGAGTGAATAGTCTAACCGGAAAAAGAAAACATTTGGAGTCATTTTATACCAAAAGAGTGGTTCTTGGCCCATGTGAGAAATGCTATATTTCTCTCAAATCATTTTCGTCTGATTCAGGAAAAGTGCTAACAGTTTTCTATTGCTGTGAAACAAATTTCCAAAAACTTAGCAGTTTAAAACAATACCCACTTATTATTTCAGTTTCCATGGGTTAGGATTCTGGCATAGTTGAGCTGGGTCTTCTTCTTAGGGTGTCACAGTCTGAAATTAAGGTGTTGGCTGGGCTGCATTCATCTGGAGACTCAACTAAGGAAGAATCTACTTCTTAGCTCCCTCCATTTGTTGACAAATTTGTTTCATTGTGGTTGTGGAATTCATGGCAGCTTGCTTCGTCAAGGCCAGCAAGGGAGAGAGTCTGCTACTTCAAATCTGTCACCTCCAAACCTGTCTTTAAAGGACTCACTTGACTAGGTCAGACTCACCCAGAATAATCTGCCATTTGATTAGCTCCAAATCAAATAATTAGGGACCTTAATTATATCTGTAAACTCCCTTCGCCTTCGCCTTTGTCATATAATGTAATATAAAAACAGGAGTAATAAAAGTGATAGACCTTTGTCCTTTGCCATATTCTGTTGGTTAGAAGCAGATGACAGGTCCTGTTTACACTAAGGAGATAATATTACACAGTTATGAATACCAGGGAGTTGGAATCCTGGGGACCATCCTAGGGCATGTCTTCCTCAGATGGTTATGTCTCTCCTGAAATTTCTTTTGGTTTTCTTTTATTCTTTCATATATGTATGTGTGTGTGTGTGTGTGTGTGTGTGTGTGTGTGTGTGTGTGTGTGTATATATATATATATATATATATATATAAAATTTCAGACAGTCTTGCTCTGCTGCCCAGGCTGGAGTGCAGTGTCATGATCTCGGCTCACTACAACCTCCACCCCCAGAGTTCAAATGATTCTCCTGCCTCAGCCTCCTGAGTAGCTGGGATTACAAACATGTGCTACCACGCCTGGCTAATTTTTGTATTTTTAGTAGAGATGGGATTTCGCCATGTTGGCCAGGCTGGTCTCAACTCCTGGCCTCAAGTGATCCACCCACCTTGGCCTCCCAAAGTGTTGGGATTACAGGCATGAGCCACTGCACCCAGCCCTCTCCTGAAATTTCTTAAATCAAATCGTCATGGACACTTTGGGAGTACATGTAGCCTTGGCCTTGACTGATGGGCTCTGTATCCGTTGGCTTTTGCTGAATAGCCAACAACCACAGGGCCTAAGTAGAATTCATATTGCTTATGCATCTGGAGTCAACTGAGTGTCAACTAGGAAGCCCTGCTGATCTTGGCTCCCTCACATGGCAGACTGATAACTGTGGCAACCCGACTGCTGCACATCTGTCTCATCCTCCTACAATCCAGCTCAAGTCTGCTCTCACCCTGATTGCAGAGATGAAGGAGTAAAGGCAGGACCAATTACACACATTCTTTTTAAGCCCCTGTCTGTGTCACATTAGCTAACATGAGGTTTGTCAAAGACGTCCCCTGGGTGAGCCCAGAGTGAGAATGCAAAGACCTGCAAAATTACAAGGAAGGAGCAAGGAATTGGGGCCAAAAGGCCCTAACTCAATACCAGAGCTTCACCTCATCCCCAAAATGAAAGGAAGATATTTATTGCTTGAAACTTAGGGTTTCTCACTTGGCTAAACTGTGACCAACTTGATTTCTGTGCTATTTGCATCGAAAATAATACCAAACATGATGCATTAATAGAATAGATGATGCAAAAAGGTCATGCATAAAAAAACTCAACAAGAGCAAAACCACTCAGTATAATGAACTCAGAACTTTATGTTGGGTGATTCCAGAGATGTTTTGTTCCCAGAAACCAGTTGCCATAAGAAAAGAAATGCAAATGGCTTAGTGAAGATTATCAGCCTTTAACGCATAGATGCCAGAAAGGCCCATTCTCCCAGGATGGAAGAAAAACAGTGAAACTGCTGGTGCTGACCAAACTGGGATACTCTCACCGGGTTGTTTGTATCAGGATGTGTTCCTCCCTTGATGCCCATTAAACCAGAATAGTGAAGTCCTAATGCCTACAGGATCCATTTGCGACAAAGAAAGAATTCATTCAGATAAAAAGCTAACCGATAGGCAAAGATTTTCAAATTATTTTCTTCTTAAATATTTTTCACATTTGTAGTGACCAAAGGAGACCTGGATTTCAATCTTGACTTTGGACCTCACTAGCTCTGCAGTCTTGAGCAAATTATTTAATGTCCTCCGAATCCGTTTCCTCATCTGTAAGAAGGGATAGTGTTTTAACTTCACATGGTTGAGATAATAATAGTAAACACCTTAGTCTTGTGTTTGCCACAGTGGTAGCACATAGATATTCAAAGTTATTATTCCTACAAAAATACGGACTGTACTCACCCCATAATTGCATTTTAAAAGAAAGACCAGTTTTGCAATTTTCCAGGATTATCTACATGATAGCTTTTTACACAATCAGTATGTGAAAGGCTTTCCTTGAATGATGTTAAATAATCTGTCCTATTATTTGGAGAAGTATCCTTTGCAGATGTTGTATTGCGTGACAAGGTCTAATGGTAAAACTCTACTGAAAATGAGAAGATATAATGCTCAAAACCTGGCTGTAGCTCCTTATATCACTAGAAAATCTTTTACTGTCTCTAGGTCATGGTTCCTTCACTCATCCTAATAAATTGTAGTTAATTGCCTTCAACTGGCGTTAGTGAAGGAGACTTAGATAATATCTATGGAGCTTTTTCAATCTTACGAAAAGGCCCTCACTAATGAAATACATACATTCAAATGCAAAAGTAATGACATTAATTTTTATTTTTTATTTTTGTTAATAGAGTTATGACTATAGATGTTAATGAATTGCTTATCAATAACTAGATATTTATTTAATTTTACAACGTTTGCCACGTTTTCTCTAAAACTACTTTTGATGCTTCATTTTAAGTCTTAAATTGGGTCCTTTCCCCAGCAGCCTATTCTTATTCTTAGCAGAAATCAAAAGCTGCATTTTTTTCAAGCCTTAATGGCTAAGTAGTTATCTGTTTTTAATTTATTGTAGTCACTTAGAAAACATTCATGAAAATTATTAAACATATACTATTTTTACAGAGGAGAAGGAAAGGAATGTTCACTTCTGTCCAGTCTGTTGGAAGAGACAAAGGATGTTAGAAACCAGTGTGCAGCCTCTCCTAAGACTGTCCACATCATGTGACATTTTTACACATAATTTTTTGTGGCAAGATGACAGTTGCCATACAAGGCTCTGAAATCCCAGATGTAATTAAGATCTTATAATGAGCCACATTATGTAGGGAAATGCTTCTAACCCATTGTGAATGAAAAAAAAAATGTATAAAATCAAAAAACTCAATTAATTAGGTTTCATTGTGGACAAATTATTTTCCAAGCTCCGTTGTTATTTTAAACTGAGTCGGAGGAGGTGAATGTTGGAACACCCTCAAAGATGACTGAAAATGAGTTTGGAGAAAAGTGAAGTTTCAATCAGGATGGTTGTGTGGGTGTTTCATAAAGAGATGAATAAAGCCTGGTCAAGAGTCCTAACACAGTGGGGTGTCAAGGCAGAGAAGTCTTGCTTAAGCAAACTCAGTGCCATATGCAAGAAGTTAGGTGGTGCTGGCGTAAGACCAACACCGGTAATGGTGCACTCCAAGTCACCCCACTTACTCCAGCCCCCAGAAGAAAATTGTCAATGTTGCTTTCCTGGCATTTTTAATCAACTTCTCAATTATTATCTTGGCAATAATAATAACATAAAGGTAAACCTAAACAGTAATAGTGTTTGTTAGTATTCATGAAAGTAGATTGTCCCAGTATAAAGCTAACCAATGAAATTTTACTACTTCATAAACATTTTGTTCTTTTAATTTTCAAGGAAAAAATAGGGACCTCTTCAAAATAATCAGGATAGTCAGAGTCCCTTTTTGTTTGGAAAAGGTTTCTGAAACATAAAATCTTTGTTGGGTTAAGACTTTGGATTTTAGGCCAAGTTACAGTTTTCAGCAATTTCAGACATCTGCTTTATGATGTTACTGAAAGCGTTCCCCCACCACATTAAACCCAGCTTTTGGGTTGTACAGTGATGTAAAGTTTATTGAAACATTTTTACACTTGCTTTCTTTGACCACAATAGTCATTTTTTTGTAACATATTCAATTAAACAGGAACAGTATAAAGGCAGTGAAATTGATACGATTCTCATTTGAATCTACTGAATGCCTTAATTGTTCTCATTCGTGGCTGACTGCCATTGACAAAGATCTAGGAATATGAGTACACTATCCTACATAATAGAAAAGCTAATTTTTTGTTTTATTACTACTGTAATAATATTAAGTACCTAAAGAGAGTTATAGGCCTCTTGGGGCCCAGAACTCAGAGTTCAAAATGACCCTTCTTTGATTGGATCAAAATCTAATATTTGGCTGTGGCATTATCCAGAAGTATGGAGTTTATTATAGCTATGTTCAAGGAAAAGGTAAGGTGAAGGAAGATCAGAAGGGATATATAGTAAGGAGATTCCCATGTTACTAAACTATTTGTGGATGTTTTCCTGCATCATATGCAAATGAGAATTGGTAGGAAAACAGAGGGCTAAGAATTAGAGAAAATAAATTTGGGGAGGAGGGATGGATTGTGCCTCTTATTGCTCTGCTGAATCTCCAAATATAAACACACACACACTCAAACCCTTCTATGAGTCCTAAATTACATTCTTGCTTCAAGCTGGCTTTTTCAAATCTGGCAGTCCACTGGCGAAAATGTTTGCAGGTTAGAGAAAAAAAAAAAAAAAGGCAACAGAAAATTCACAAGACCAAATATGTGTGTGTGTGTGTGTGTGTGTGTGTGTATCTTTAGATATCTTTAGATGATATATACATACATACATATATATATATATATATTTAATTCACTGATGTGTACTTGAAAATATTATGCACCCAAGATGGAAATCATATAAGGTGAATTTTTCAACTGTGACAATACCATGAATAATTTTTAACTCAAAAGATGGAGTAAGTAAGTATTCAGTAAGATTCAAAGACAGGCTTCGGGAGCCTGTGACTACCTTGAAATTCTATGCATATATTTGTGGTTTGGTGTGTATATGCATTTGTGAATTTCTTACTACAGAAAGGTTTTATTAGATTATCAAAGAGGTGAGACCAAAAAAAGATTAAGGGACTGCTTCTTGAGAATCTGGTAAAGTATAAGTTGCCTCAAGATCAAAGGAACTAACCCTTTGACTTGCAAATCAATTGAAAGAGGAGTGGGGTGGTGGCTTTGGAGTCCTCTGGAAGTGGAGGGGGCCCAGCCCTCTCCCAGGGATCAGTGAAGGAAATTCAACAGAGTCAGGAAACTTCTTGACAGCCTGGTCACCAAGGGTTTGGAAAAAGGTTCTATTGGAGTGGAGATTGATGGGTGGAAAAAGGAGAGAGGGGAGTTGGACCTGATACCAAAGAGATGTTTTCAGCCATCAACCAGCTGCAAAACAAGATGGGCTTCCTTTTCCTACATATTCTTCCAAGCATCATAAATACTCGGTCTGCTCCCCAACCCACATCCTGCAGGATGCAGCCAGAGCAACAGCCCCACTCCACTCTGAAACCAGTCATCCTAGGGATGATGATCATTTCTTAGCTTCCCTGTTGGAGGTCGGTTGGGGTTGGCTGATCGCTGCTTGGTTCACTCCTGCACTGGCTGGGCGTTGGCTGCATGGTAAAGCTGTTCCCTGTCTCATCCTGTTGGGATAAACAGAGTATCCTAGGCATATTTTCTCCAGAGCAGTGGCAGACACAAAGGGTCAACAGAAACCCTCAAGGTTTTGTCATGCCTACTCTTGCAACTAGCACATTGTCATTTCAGCCTCATGCTATTGACCAAAGCAAGTCACTTGACCAAATTCAAAGCCACATGACAGGGAAATATATTGCACCTCTTTAGAAGGAGCACCTGCAAAGTTATTTGGGCCTGGATATACAGGGCAGGGAGAATTTTGGAGGCAAAAATGCAATCTGCCACATCTACGTTAGTGAAGTCAGTTTTTCGTACATGACTACCAAGACAAAGCACTTCACTTACCAACTCTATTCAAATAAATGGAAATTATTCAACCTAAAATTATGCAAACATTGCTCCCCTTGTGCCAAAGAACTGCACCATGTCTGATTGGCTTTGCAGGTCTGTGTAATTCGGCTGATAGCTGGATGATAGTACCCAACATCAAGCAGAACCACTACACGGTGCACGGTCTGCAGAGCGGCACCAAGTACATCTTCATGGTCAAGGCCATCAACCAGGCGGGCAGCCGCAGCAGTGAGCCTGGGAAGTTGAAGACAAACAGTAAGTGCTGTGAACTCAACAGAGCTGTCATGTCTTATCTGCTCTTCTTTCAGCTGACTCTGTCCCCCTTTCTTTTCCTTTTCTCTGTCTTGGGTATCATTGACAGCCCCCCAAAACAAGTAAAAAGCCAGTGTGGAATAATGGAATTTGCATCAGATACCTCTAGGTTCCAAAACTGATTCTATTCCTTCACAGCCGTGAGGCCATTACTCTCTCTGCATTACTCAATTTTAAAAAATTGAGTCTTCTCATTTTTTAAATAAATATTCCTGGAGGCATTCTTGTGAGAAGTAGATGATGTATATGTAAGACCTGACACACAGTAGGGGCTCTGTAAATGGTGGATAGTGTTATTTTTCATAGCAGAGTAGCCAACTAATCACTCTTCAGAAATTCTTTTATTCTAGAAAACAGTCGGAGTCTGTGGTTCTCAATCAGGGACACTTCTTCCTCCCCCTCCACCCCACCCTACCAGGACATTTAGTAATATCTGGAAGAGGTTTTTAGTTGTCACATCTGAGGTGGATGCTACCGGCATGTAGTGAGTAGAGGCCAGGGATGATGGGAAACATCCCCAATCCACAGGACAGTGCGCATCACAGAGAATGGTCTGGCCTATATGTGTGTCTCATGATACTGTCATCTCCCTCTCTCTGTCCACATGTGTTTTGTTTTATCCTCTCTTCTTTCTTTACATCCTTTTGATCTAGGAATATTATGTTATGTAACATGGTGTTTATTTGCATAAGACCTCCCAAGAGAAAGCAAATTGGAGTGTGTCGGTATGGCGCCATGTTGTGAGGTTGCCAGGCAGTCAACAGGAACAATTAAGTGCTTTTCAAGGGGAACCCTCATTTAACCTATATCCTTGTTTCTCAGTACAAGTGTTGTATCCTAGAGGAATGTGTTGGATCCTAGAGGAAGAACAAGGGATGTAAAGAGAGCACTGAATTACGAATGAGAAGACTGTGGCTTTCCCACTTGGTACCCATATAGCTATATGGCTAGTTTCTTCATATTTTTAAATAGATTTTTTATTTTGGAATAGCTGTAGATTTACAGGAAATCCATAGATAATACAGAGAGTTCTGTACACCCTTAACCCAGTTTGCCCAAATATTAACATCTTATGTAACCTTGGTACAGTTATCATAACTAAGAAATTAACATTGATGAATTACTCATAACTAAACTCCAGACTTTATTCAGATTTTACCAGCTTTCCACTAATGTTCCTTTCCTATTCCGGGACCCAATCCAGGATCCCACAATGCATTTAGTGTTCCTTCAGTTTTAAAATGGGAATATTTTAACAACTTGAGGGTTGTTATGAGTTGTCAAAAAGACCCTCTCAAAGTAATTCTAAAAGTACATAAGAGAATATAACATGATGATATATTTCTTTACAGTCATACAACAAATGGCACAATACCTATGCACACTTAGATCAGCATTATTTGATTTGCATTTGAACATGTAAATATTTGTTCCTTCAAAAGATATGTTTGAGCACCAAGTGTGTTTGGGATGCTGTGCAAGATGCTAAGGATATTATGAGTATCTTCAACTCCCTAAGGTGTGCTTCTCTCTCAAAAAGGTCCTAGACTATTGGGGAATAAAGCACATTAATCCTAATTAACATTCAATATGTGAAATCTCTGACTGGAATAACCATGAGAGGTTCTAAGTTGACAAAGCCAGGGTGCCCCAGCACAACCTTGAGAGGCTTTCCAAGGTAGGTTAGGAGCAGGGGATGTGAGGACACAGTGTTCCATGCAGAAGGAACAGCATGGGCAAAAGCCCAGAGACAAGGAGAATATATTTATGGAACAGAAAATTGATCCATGTGGTTAAAGTGTGTCTTAGGTTGGGAGGATAGGTGAGCCAGGAGGCTGGAGACAAGAACAGATCGCGAAAGCCTCCTGGGCCACACCAGGGAGTTTCTTTGTATACCAATGATTGGTGGAGAGATTGAAGAGTTTAAATCAAACAGGCAGGATGAAAATTTCCATGAAATAAAGCTCTCTTGCACTATGATGTGGTGAGTGGATTACAAGGAAGGAAGACTGGCTGCTGGGCACAGTATCAAAAGATTATTGAAAGAGTTGTCCATGTAAGTAAACAACGGCCTGAATAAGAGTCGTGTCCCATACAAATATTATAATGAATTGAATTATTTAGTAAAGTAAGCTATTAATCTCTTTCTTGAACTAATTTGTCTTCACTGAAGCAAAAGCCTTGAATTTGGGCAGAGTAGGTAGTGGTTTATTTGGGAAACATATCTGAGGCATGGGCAGAATTTGCTCACCAAGATTGCATGATTCTGCTCCACACATGCGTGGGTGAGGGTGTGAGCCAAGGCAGGCAGGATGTTTGAGGCAGTATGTCACCATCACAAGGCCGGTCTTTCCAATGGCTCTGACATTCTGATATATCTCACCGGAAGGAGGCCGAGCAGAACTTGGCCTTCATTGTAAATGATGGGCGCCATTAAGGAATTTCTTCCTGCTCTGCCCATTAGTATCCTATCAATCATTTTTAATCCATATTCTACCTTCCACCTTTAAAAATTGAAATATTTTAAGCAAAACTGTCTTCATACTCTTCTTGTCTTAGTTCATAGTTTATCTCTGATAGTTGCTAGCATGATCATTCCTAAGGACTTCTTTTTACAAGTCAAAATTTAAACTACACATGTAATCCAATAGATCTTACGGCCTCTGAGAATGTCCAATCCCTGCTCAGCCCTTGAGGGTTTTCTCTGCTCCCCCTTTAAAGCTTTTCTTTTCTTTTTTATTGTTATTTTTTTGAGACAGTGCCTCACTCTGTTGCCCAGGCTGGAGCGCAGCGGCATGGTCTTGGCTCATTGCAACCTCCGCCTCCCGGGTTCAAGTGATACTCGTGGCTCAGCCTCCCAAGTAGCTGGAATTACAGGTGTCCGCCACCACACCCAGCTAATTTTTGTATTTTTAGTAGAGATGGGGTTTTACCATGTTGGCCAAGCTGGTCTTGAACTCCTGACCTCAGGCAATCGAGCTGCCTTGGCCTCTCAAAGTGCAGGCATTACAGGCATGAGCCACCAGCCCAGCCTAAGCTTTTCTTTGATATGTACAGAAATAGATTTCTAAAACAAAAGCCAGCTAACTATAGCTCAAGGGCCAAATCTGGCTGCCTGATTTTGTAAATAAAGTTTTATTAGCATATAGCCACACCCATTCATTTACCTATTGTCCTGTCCGTGGCTGCCCCCTCACTATAGCAGAAGAGTTGAATAGTCACAAAAGAGACCACATGGCCTGGCCTGCATAGCCAAAAATATTTACTGTCAGGCCCTTTGCAGAAAAAGTATGCTGGTCCGTGACCTAAAAAGAAAGGATTTTAGAGGTGCTGGTGTTGTGTTGTGTTTGTATCCAAAAGGCAACTGGAAATCCTTTGGCCTACCCACATGTGACAACACACACTGTCCTATACTCACTGGGTCAGTTTCTCGCCCAGCATCGTGTATTGCCACAGTTGAATTTACTAGACCTTTTCCTGTGATTGAGAGCTGTATACTGGGCAGAAGGAACCTGCCAACTGCAACAGTGACTGTGGAGTTTGGACACCATGGCATTTGTATCAGGTTGCAATGCATTTCCTGCCTTTAAACGCCTTGTACCCAATGCAGTGTTGAATGACAGGCAGTACTCCAAACCAATATTGAATTGTCAAAGAAGAAGTAACAACTATGACAAAATGTCCAGGTGTGACTCTGCCAAGATTTTTTTAATACTTAAATCTTTAAGACACAAATGTGAGTAATGAAATAGAGAAGGCCTTATTATATATAAATAATTTCATGAGTAGAAAACCCAGGCATTGCTATCACATTTTTTCCTAATTTTGTGGCCTGAAAATTGTATTCTCATCCTAAATTCCTAAGAGTAATGCTTTAATTTTTAATAATCTCAGAATAATATAAACCTCTAGAATATTCTATATGTTAAGACCCAAGATCTTGATTTGTTTGGTTTCTGGTCTGAAGTCTATTGAGCATGAATGCATCTTATGCTGGATAGAACACTGCAGTGGTTGAAAATGGAGTCTTCATTCATTCCTCCTTTTCAGGATGCTATCCAGCCAGTATGTACCTGTGCTGCTTGTATACACCTGGAATCCGTGAAGCTAGCTCACCCTATGTTTTCTGGCTAAGCCTTATCCATGCTGTTGTTGAATAGTTGGCATGCCACCACTGGATCCCTATCTTAGAACTGGTAGACTGAAAGCTTATGAAGACAGGAACATGTTCTTTTTCACTCTTACTGTGTACTGTACTATACACAGAGTTGCTGCTCTCTATTGTCTTTTGAATATTATGAAAACTTTGCAAGCAAATGTCTTTGAAAGTTGCTTATAATGTTTAAATTACTATTAAAATATAAGATACCACTTTGTGATAGGAGGCATGACTCAGGGAGGGCTGGCTTGTTCCTGTCTTTTAAACCTGATTTTGAAAATATGCTATTGGTTATGATAAAATAAACAATCCTCTTCCTCTTCCTTTTTCTGTTTTGTGAATTTGTTTTCAGGCCAACCATTTAAACTGGATCCCAAATCTGCTCATCGAAAACTGAAGGTGTCCCATGATAACTTGACAGTAGAACGTGATGAGTCATCATCCAAGAAGAGTCACACACCTGAACGCTTCACCAGCCAGGGGAGCTATGGAGTAGCTGGAAATGTGTTTATTGATAGTGGCCGGCATTATTGGGAAGTGGTCATAAGTGGAAGCACATGGTAAGCAACTTATTTCTATTGTCCTGCAGTTATAAAAAGGCACATCTCATTCTGTACTTAGAGAGTCAACCCATACTGTAATGCATCTTAAAGAATAAAATGCAGAAAAGTTGTATTAGTCAGCTCTTGCTAGGATAATACTGCATAACAAACACCCCCAAACTCAGCAGATTCAAACAACAACCATATATTACTAATACCCACACCTGTGGGTTCTCTGTTCAAGATTATAGAGCTCTGATCATTGGATGAGCTATACCATGTTAACACTGCTCTTTCATGCCATGAAACATGGGTTGGCAAACCACAGCCCATGAGCCAAACCTGGCCTGCTACCTGGTTTTGTAAATAAAGTTTTATGGGAATACAGCCAGGTCCATTTTTTTACATATAGTCCATGGCTGCCTTTCAGCCACAACAGCAGAATCGAGTAGTTAAGAGAGAATCATATGGTCTACGAAGCCAAAAATATTTACTTACTTTCTGGTCCTTTCCAGAAAAAGTTTGCCATTCCCTACTTTTAAACATCACTCTTCATCATTACACAAAACTAATTTCTGTTGCCTTGTATGTTTTATGGTTCTAGACTGGACCAATTAGTGCAAATAGCTAAGGGTTGAATGGTGGGGGTGAAGCAGTGATCATAGGCTGGGAATAATTTCAAAAGGCCTGTTAGATCCAGCCCAGTGACTTTAGCCCACTGAGTTCTCTAAGAATAAGGGCAAAGGTCAGGACACAATTACATTGGAATTAGTTAACCTCACAAAGTTAACCTTGCCTAATCCACAGCCACAACTGCACCCCTTTGACCGTCTGTCTCACAAATGCCTGCTTGCTATTGATCAAAAAGGGAGCTATTTTATTTTTATTTAACAAGCCCTCATATGGTACAAGTATGTGCCAGGCACTGGTCTAAGCATTTTACAGATGTCAACTCATTTATTCAGCCTTACAGCCCTACAAAGGTAGGTGCTAATATTATCCACTTTACTGATGAGGTGACTGAGGTATATGCTGAAGATCACAGGGTTACAAAGCTCACAGGTGGCAGAGTCAGTAAGTCTGCAGTCAAGGGTCAGGCTCTTAACCAGCAGTCCACAAACATTATCTGTAAAGGGCCAGAGATTCAATATTTCTGGTTTTGCATGCCAAATGATTTTTGTCACTAATACTCGACTCTTCTGTTGTAGTGGGAAAGCAGCCACAGACAACACCTACACAAATGGACATGGCTGCGTTCCAATAAAACTTCATTTATAAAAACAGGCAGAGGGCCAGAGTTGGCCCCTGGGTAGTAGTTTGCTGTTCCCCGCTCTTAACCACCATGGTATGCTGCTATTCACAAAAGGGTGGTATATTTTTGAAATGCTATAATTACTCTCTAGGGTTTATGACAGTGTACGTAATGAGTGATAGCTGAATCCTTGCTTTAAAAAATAAAATCAACATTCAAAATTGCATAGCCTGAAGATGGTGAGTATAACAGTGTTTCTTTCAATATAAGCATGATAAAACACTTATTTATATATAAAAAAACCTTTCAATTCAAACCTATGCAAATAATGTGACATGGCTGAGTCCTTTATATTGTAGGTAGAAATTAGCCAAAAATCTAAGAAGTGAATTGTAAGCTTCCCATCTCTCCCAATAATGGTACATACTATATTGGCTGAGCGAGTAGGTTTTCCTTTGTTGCTATCCTCATAATTCTCTTTGCCTAGAAGAGTTTTCTGTTCCAACATCCTGCCAGAGGATGGAGGACAAATCCTTCACCCCACTAGGCTCTGGGCTAGATTGGCATTTGCAATTTTTAGCTGCAGTGGGGCAAAATTAAAGCACAAAGGAAAACACAATGGATGCAGGTACAAAAAAAGCAAATGTTTCTAGTTAATTAATGTGCTGTATTAATCTGGGATAGAATCCAGGGTCTAAATGATTATTACTCTATTAATAATTAATTATGATAAATGAAACCTGATCATTATGATCTCATTGCCATTGATGAATAGTTTGCAAAATTCCATCAGACCACTTCAGTTATATAAACACACATCAGCATTACCTTGAAAACACCCTCCAGATGTCAAAACTAACTCATGAGGGGGAAAAGAAATTCTAAAATTAATTGCTACACAATTAATCTTTACAAACCTGACGGTGTCAATTTCAGAAAAATCTTCATGTAGAAAGTCACTTTACATTTCCTTGGGGGGTATTAGCAAGGAAGGGGCACCCCCTACGATTAAATGCCTGTGACATCTTGACTTGCAACAGCTAATGACATATTTGCTTATGAAATATAGTCCTGACTTTAAATTGATGTGTACATTATGATCTGTGCAATGGGGCACGTTAACATTGCTCCGAGAGACATAATTTTTATACTTTGAATTCTCCGTGTCTCACTGCGTAACTTAATGGAACATTACATTCTGCCTGCACATTTCAAGCTCAATGGAAATATGTACCTAGTTTCACAGATTAATGATACTATAATGGTATTTTCCTTTGCTTAATGGACTATACACTTAGTATTTTCTTACTCTCTAATGCTAATGTGCACTTGGTGTTTTATGAAATGGTGTTAACTAAATGAGTAATAACGGGTTCATGCAAAGATTATTAGACCAGAAGGGGTGGGGGCAGCATACAACTCTGGATTTTGCTCCCAATTTTAATCTTCTGTTTCTACTTGCTACATGTAGTCAGCCATACCTGCCACAGCTATTTCATAGGGTTCAGTTAAGGTTCAAATGGGAAATAAACATCAAAGTAATAAAAAATAAAAATGCTGTGCCACAACAAGAAGGAAACAATACAGATGTGGTGATTTTGTGATGCAGGTTCCAAATTGTCTGAAAAGCGGAAATAGTATTCACTGGGGTATACAGAACATTTTTGGGGGGTGGGAGATACTGACAATTGCAAAATGAAAACCTTTCCAAAATGTATGTATTAGTCTGTTTTCATGCTGCTGGTAAAGACATAACCAAGACCAGGCAATTTGCAAAAGAGGTTTATAATGGACTTACTTACTTACAGTTCTATGTGGCTGGGAAAGCCCACAATCATGGCAGAAGGCAAGGAGGAACAAGTCCCGTCTTACATGGATGGCAGCAGGCAAAAAGAGAGCTTGTGCAGGGAAACTCCCCCGTTTTAAAACCATCAGATCTCATGAGACTTATTCACTATCACGAGAACAACACTGAAAGGACCTGCCCCCATGATTCAATTTCCTTCCACCGGGTCCCTCCCACAACATGTGGGAATTCAAGATGAGATTTGGGTGGGGACACAGCCAAACCATATCAGTGTATCAAATAAACAGATGACATTTGAGACCCTCGATGCATGCCACAGAAGGGAGCCAGAAGCTTACAGGACCCTGGAAGGGCTGGGGCATGAAGTCAGGGAGTCTGCTGCTCTAGTTCATGGAGTCATGATGAGCTGTAGCTGCTGCAAAGTTGCCCACAGCACAAGGCAGGTGTACTCAGGCGCTCATCTAGAAGCTTCCACCAACCGCACGTCTACTGTCTGCCATCAGGAAAGCGTGTTTCCCCTCCTCTAAGCACTTCTGGATCTTGTGCAAAGGCATCACAATAGCAGAGCCTGACCCAGACTCCTACAGGAAAGGGGATTCTGGGAAATGCAACTTGGATTCTCCTCATAAGCAGGAGAGGATGGACGGGAGGGAAGAGAGGATGCAACATTGATGACAGACAGGCCTGCACACTGGGCTTGGCAGATTATCAATTCCATCCTTCTTTTGGATTTAGTGATGGCATGTTGTGTTAATTTTCTTTTTAAACAAACACACCACTCTTAAAGTGATTGTATTTTAAGTCCAGTGTGATTTTTTTTAAAGAATGTCATTTTATTAAAGACCCATGAAATTTTTCTCTCTGCATTGGGTAAGGTACCATATGTTAATATCCAATTAGACTGGTTTCTGCTATAACATATTAAAAGTTCAACTGTGAGTCATTTACTCTTTATAAAGAGTGATGGGTTTTGTTTATCTTAATAACTGAAATACGATGAATATTACAGAGGCATGACTCAGAGGGGTAAAAAGAGATTAAGATGCTTAGAACATTGTAGAAAGCATTCTTTGGATTTTTTTGAGCAGCAAGAGAACATTTAGAATAACCAGAAGATCCGTCTGCTCAAACACGTTCAGAATTTTTTTTCCAGTATAATCAGAAAGGCTCTTGGCAGTGATGAACTGCACAATTTCTGGTTACGGATGGCATTGTAGAATGTAGTTCGTGTTTGTGGGTTTTGAGTCATCCTGAGTTCAAATTCTGATTCTGGTACTTATTGTTAATATGTGCCATCAGGCAATAATAATAAAATAAATAGCAGTTACTGAATATTACATGCCAGGTCCTGTGCCTGGGACTTAACATGTATTCTCTCCTTTACTCCTTAAAATAACACTGTATATTTCTCAATATACATGAGAAAATTGGGGCTGAGTAATGACAAAGGATTTATCCCTGCAAATGGGAATCATCTTCTGTGCTTGCCCTTGGCAAAGTGCATTCAGAATCAGAAAATGACAGACATGGTGTTAAATGAAAAATTATAAGAAGGTCAAAAGGAGAAGTCTAGGGTTGTGCTGTCCAGTATGGTAGCTATGAGCCACAGGCAGCTATTTAAATCATTTAACTTAATGAAAATTAAATAAATTTAAAGTTCAGTTCCTCAGTCTCACCAGCCGCAGCTAAAGTGCCCAGTAGCCATATGTGGCTTGTGGTTACCATATCGAGGAGAGCAGAACATTTCAGTCATTGAAGAAAGTTCTTTTGGTCAGCACTGGTCTAGCGAATTCATTGTGTAGATTTTTATAAGAGTGAAAAAAAGCAGCAAAACTCAAAGTTCAAATTCTCCGTAGTGTTTGAGCTGAAAACAGAAATGTGGGTAAATACGACGCTTCTTTCCACCCACTACTTTCCACCCACTTTCCATGTTTGGGAGGGAAGGAGATGAGGAACACAGATGTTGGGGTTCTTGCCAAGCTTTCACTTAAAGAAAATGAACAGGGACAACAAATGATCATGTTTTTATAACCCCTGAGGACCACAGAACGGATTTAACGTGCATGTGCAACATGGCTCATTGTTTTTGTTGTTGCTGTTTTGTTTCCGCAGGTATGCCATTGGTCTTGCTTACAAATCAGCCCCGAAGCATGAATGGATTGGGAAGAACTCTGCTTCCTGGGCGCTCTGCCGCTGCAACAATAACTGGGTGGTGAGACACAATAGCAAGGAAATCCCCATTGAGCCTGCCCCCCACCTCCGGCGCGTGGGCATCCTGCTGGACTATGATAACGGCTCTATCGCCTTTTATGATGCTTTGAACTCCATCCACCTCTACACCTTCGACGTCGCATTTGCGCAGCCTGTTTGCCCCACCTTCACCGTGTGGAACAAGTGTCTGACGATTATCACTGGGCTCCCTATCCCAGACCATTTGGACTGCACAGAGCAGCTGCCGTGAGCGTCTGGCCACATGGAGCTGCTTTCTGGGGAACAGTAAGGTTCAGGCCACTATTTAGGGGACTGAGAAAGCACAGGCTTCATGAGTGTAATGAAATCTCACCAGAAGTGTCCCGAAATCGGCTCAGATAGGGCTCAAAACAAGAGATTCCTCTCCTTTTACTGTGTCTTGTATTAAGTACGGGCTTTAATAATTTCTTTAATTTTTTTGTATTTAGAGGAAAATCTATAGATTATTTATAAGAGAAACATAATCAGGATTACAACTTTTAGGAATTACTTGGTTTTGCACATTAAGAGGCCCATAAGTTTATCAGCTATTTACAACCTTCATTTCATCACAATCTGTGGGCTTACAAAAAAACAAAAACTTTTGTAGTTTTGTATGTTACTCATCTTCTTACCTGATATCCCATGATGATCCCATGGTAGGTCTTCTCACCTCGATGGTGCATAACAGGATGTGTTTGAACCTAGTAGGGGAGGAAACAGGCTTTCTTACTCTGGTTTAATTTGAAGTGTTTTAATTGTGATGTCAAAAAGTTGTATCAGATCAACTAAAATGGAGAGCAAGACAGAGAATGAAAAGAGTTGATTTTGGACCTCGGACCTTGCCGTGGCTAAATCTTTACCTTCTCATAGCTGATGGGATAATGTTGGAAAGAAAGGTTCTGAATCCTTTGGCCACATTTTGCCCTGCTTCTCTCAGGGTTAAGGGTTCTGGAAGAACATTAAGAATGAGATTGCAATTGAAAATAGTCATTTTGAATCCTATTGATTATTCAAAAATTCAGGCTGATTTGTCTTTTATCAGAGGTAGGATTCTGTTTTATAGTATAGAATCTACTTTATCCTTCCTTTTAATAGTTCCTTTAGACCTGTGAAATTTCTTCACTACATTTAATAGTTCTCCTATTTCCCGCTCCCCCATATCAATTTTCCTTTTGTCTCCGGGGCTGAGTAAATAAACATGTTCTGTCACAAATAGCAGCACCACTTTGGATTGATTTTGCTCTCCAGGACATCAGCACATGGCCCTGATCAGCACTACCACATCCAAACATAAGTCACTGAAAAACACTTAATATTTATGAGTTGGTAATGACAAGGGACATTGTATAAAGTACTATTTGCTAGATTCATGCCTCAAAAGTTATTATAAACAGACCTTTATTAAACACATCTTGAAAGATGTAGAAGTCCCTCTATAGTCTAGTATAGTTTACAATAGAGTTGTAAGACCAAAAAAAAAAAAAAAAAATTCAAACTCGTTATTCAGGAACCTGCTTATAAAATGTCAGCTGGGATTCTTTGCATGCCAATCTGATGCGTTGGAATGGTCCATGAATTAAGGCTTTCTTGAGCAGTTCTTGGCCCAGAACTCTGGCATTGGTTCTAGTTTGATGAAGGGCATGACCTCTATAAATGGTTTCAATTGCTAAAATATTTACCTGGGATACTGGGTCAGCCATTTTGACTGAGCAGACTAGTGGATTTAGACATTGTTTTTAGTTATTTTGTTTTTAACCAAATCAACCAACTGCCTCCCTGAAATAAGTCAATGAACTCATTGTTTCAGCATCACGTGGCCAAAGGTCATGTGATTGCAAATCTGGATTTCAAGGGAGGCCAAGCCAGCTTCCTGGGTCCTTCCATCCTCTTCCCTAGCAGACACTCTCCTTTTTCTTAACAGATAGATTCTATATATTTACTATATTATTTATACCCAGATGAATATTTTGATAGATACCTAAGACAATTTCACATCTAAAAGATGGACGCCTCAATGGAAAAAAAACAATCTTTCTCTGGAAACCTTATAGGTTTTTCTTTTTATTACAATATAAAAGCAATGTGTGTTTGCCTTCTCTGAGTAAACTGAAAGGGTTGTCTCAGTAATTTTTACATACATTTTGGGTAACTGGATAATGGATATTTTAATGCACTTTGTACACTAACAGGTTCTAAATAAAAGGGTCTAAAACTCAGCTTCTGAGTTTTTAAAATCACGGTCTCCAGGTACCAATAAATGCTACAGTTTGCCTTATGATGTTAACATAAAACACTTAGTAGAAGGACAATATTTCCATGAAAATAATGTTTTTCAATATTAAGAAGTTACTACTCAAATTTTCACAGTAAGCCATTTAGGGTATGTTTGGCTATTTTTATAAGGACATGAGAGATTATGTCATAATTTTGTTGTGGAAGTCTCACTCTTGGCTAACTTAAAAGCATTGTGGATAGTAGCAGTTACTAGTTCCAGGTTGTCATATTTACAGGAAAATATGTATATGGTGAAAGGCCACCGTGTTTAATTACTATAATGATGTAGAAAAGATTCCCGTGTGAATTTTTTTTTTGAAAGTCTAAAAAATGTATGCTGTAAAAATTTGCTGCAGTGTAATTTTGCATTCTCTTTAAACTGATTGAGGTCACAGTATTTTATTATTTGGGGTCCTCACCACAGGAAACACTGCGATACAGGGGCAAAAGAGATGGCAGTGCCAATTAAATTAATACAACAAAATCAATGCAGCACCAACCAAGACTGCCAGGTCTGGTGTCATGGGTATGCCCAGAGCCCAGGAGTTCAGAAGGGCCCTAAGCCTGATTTAATGCTCTGCTGTTGATGTCTTGAAATTCTTAACAATTTTTGAACAAGGGGCCTGCGTTTTCACTTCGCACTGGGCCTTGCAAATTACATAGCGAGTGCTCATAAAAGAACTCAGAAACGTGGTACCTCTCTTCCTGGTGGATACAAATAAAGAAATCTGGATCCAAAGTTGAAAGTTGCTGGCGATATCATTCAAGTAGGACTCTAAATAGTGGATTAAGATGAGGGTGGGCCTGGGTGAAGATTCTTTCCAGCTTTAAAAGAAAGTGACTTCAAAAACTGACTGCAAATATTGACGATGGTTTCTGCTGGAGGAAAAGAAACAGCTTGAATACAGACAGGCTTTTTTATTACGGTACTGATATATTGACCTTAAACTTGCTGAGGAACTGAACTAACGTCCTCCAGTGACCGTGGAATTCCATCTCAGCTCCAGGAACATGCAGATACCTGCAAAGAGACACGCATATATGCTGGCATACATGTGCATTTGGTGTTGGGAAGTTGACCATCTGGTCTATCTTAATAAAATGGTAAAAAGCACACCAAGACAATGATGGGGGCAGGAGGATGTTTTTGAAAACAGCGCTTCTCAACCAGTGCTCGATTTTGCCCCCCAGGAGACATTTGGCAATGCAATGGCAACTTTTGGTTGTCGCAGCCGGGGAAGGGAAGCTACCAGCATCTAGTGCGTAGAGGTCATGGACGCCGTTAAACATCCTACAGTGCAAGCGCAGCCCCCGACCACGAAGAGTTGTCTTGCTCAAATATCAACAGTGCTGCAGTGTAGAAACTTGATCGTTGGTTTTCTTTTAATGCAAAACTCTCATAAAAACCTTTCACTTTTCCTGTCATTGATTATATGCTTGATACACCCAAAAAGAAAAGGGGAGGGGCACCAATTCACCTACACTCCAGTGGCTCCATCACCTTTAAAAATATTTATAAAATAGTTCCAAAAATCTGATATCTGAAAAGCAATCCAAGCCTGTGTAAATGGGAATCACTGATAAGTATCATCATCTGTATCAGCTTGGCTTGGACATGAAAAATTGATTCTCTTTATGTCACTCCTTGCACCTGGACAAATTCAATCCCCGGTACTTAAGTCACACTGCCAAGCCCTCGGCCCTGACTATTGTCTTGATTGCTGTTCCTTTCTGGTTCAAAATAAAATCATTTTTGTGGCACCAAGACCCTCTGTCTCTGCCTGTCTCTGTTGCCTTTTCATCATTTTGTGTTTTTGCAGTTATGATGTTGACAAATATTTATTCAACATCTACCATTTATTCATACTACTTTATGACATATAATTCATTTTCTTTTACTGTCTCTCATCCACTATTTGCCTTTCCCTATTCAAAATACAATTCTTTTGCAACACTCAAAATATTCTCCAGGGAATTTTTAAAACACAATAAAAGAAAGCCTATATAGAAGTGGAAACCCAGAACAAGGTTTGCTTGATTTCAAGTCTTATAGATGGGGTGAGGAAGAGAAGAGCAATGATTATTTGAACAGAGCACTGGGAGTCTTTACAGTGTGATCTAGGAGAATCCTAGCAGTTGGTCCATACATATATCCTCAACCCCATCCCATGGACCTGACTTTCTCTCACTAGAGATGCAAGCCTTTGGTCTTGGTCAGTGCTATGCAAAGTGTGGTCCAGGAATCTGCAGCATCTGCATCACCTGCGAGCTTGTTAGAACTGTCAGTTCTCCTGCCTCCCCCGAGACCTGCTGATCAGAATCTTTGGGGTGGGACTAGCAGTCACCCCAGGGGATTTTGATACTAGTGGAAGTGTGTGAAGCACTGCCCTGGGGAGCTGCTTCCAGTCTCATAGCCCATATAGAAAGGCACTTACCACCTGAGATGTGTTTTCAAGGCAATGTGCTTTTAGAGAGAGCAGGATGTAATGCAGTGATTCTTAACATGACTGAGCATTTAAACCATCTTTTCTGCAAATGAGGATTCCTGGATCCCATCCTGAAAGATGAGGGATGAGAAAATCAAGAGCACAAGAGCATGGCTCAGCAGCCTGTACTTTTCTTTTCTTTCCTTTTTTTTTTTTTTTTTTTTTTTTTTTTTAGCAATTCTGAAGTGCAACCAGGATTGGCAGCCAATGCAAGTCACAGGGCTCAGCATTTTTTTCTATAAAGGGTCAAATCGTGAATACTTAAAGTTTGCAGCCCATACTATCCCTATGGCAACTACTGAACTACTCCTCAATTCTGTGGCTATAGAGAAAAAGCAGTCATAAAGGATATGTCAATGAAGGGGTGTGGTTTTGTTCCAATAAAGCTTTATTTACAAAAACAGGCATTGAGCTGGATTTGGCCTGTGGACTGTAGTTTGCTGACCCCTACTGTAGTGGACACGGTACTGGACTGGCAGCTCAAAGCCCTCAGGGTATTCTCTAACTATCCCCTTACACACTGAGGGCCCAGCCATGTGCCTTCTTGTCTAGGCCTCTGTAAGCTCTTAAAGGTCCTTTCAACAATGACTTACCATAAATTCTGTGAAATCACAGAACTCCTGGAAAAGTAGTAATGAAGTACTTAAGACAGGGCCACTCAAGGGGTATTAGAAGATTGGTTCATTCAACAGACCAGGGTGGCTGTGCCAGCATTCTAATGATGAGCTTTACCTCCTTCCTAATTTTGACTCAAATCAGCCTTTCTCACAAATGACAGGTGTGTAAAATATATTCCCTTTGATACGAGTTTTGAAGGATATTTAATTTGAACTTTTGAAACTGAACAGACACTACCATAATTAATTACCTTTCAAAGTCAACTTGAAGGGCATGTCATACACTCCACAGGGTAGCCCACATCTTGCCTTTAAAAAAAAATACACAAGTGAAATATGTTGAAGAAGGCAATTGCTCACAATTATAATAGGAGGACAAAAAGGGAGACGTGGGACTAACAAAATCCCTTTTCCTGAGTACCATGCTCACTACGGAATGCACATTCAAAAATGTAAAATAAAAATGGGGTTAAGGACTTACAGAACAACCTTTCTTGTAATTGTTCTATCATCTTAGTAATGGGCAATTTATGGAAAGGAATTAGGATCTCTCTTTGGGTCTTCTTCAGCCATGTTCTCCTAAGAGAATCATTAAAGCATGGTTAAATAGGAAGCAGAGCAATTAATGAACAAATATTTCGTGGCCGAAAACCAATTACCAATTGAGAAGTAGCACAGAAAAATGATTTAATGAACACTGGTTCTTTTGCACAGTCTATTTATTCTCAAAGTTCAATTTTTATTATGGTCATTAAAAGCTGTTCATTTTCACTAAAGCATTTCAAAATAATAATGCTTATCTTACCTCTTCACCAATCTTATTTTCCCTCCAACTACTGCCCTCCCTTACCTCCTCTTCTCTGTCAAGCTTCTCAAAGGGCTGTTCAGACCCGCTGCTTCTGATTCTCACCGATCATTGTGAAGAATCAACTCCCCCACACTCTATTGGGAGTTCAGTGTCTTCACTCTACCAAGATAGTGCTCACTGAAATAAAAAATGGCATCTACATCAATACGTATTCTAATAGATGTTTTCTTGACCTCGTCTTGACATACAGCAGCTTTTGTGGTGTTGACCATTTCTTTCTTTTTAAATCTTTCCTTAGGCAATGCCATTCACGCCATCACTCAATCACCATTTTGTGCAGAAGCCTCCCAAATTCAAATCTCTAGGTCTGGTTTCTCCACTGAGCTCAGCCCTACACATTGACCTATTTTTTTGCAGTAATCAGTTTTGGGTGCCTAAAGTCCATCTCAAGTTCAACATATCCAAACTGCATTCATGATCTCTTCTTAAAACCTTGTCCTGGCCAATCATGTTCATGAACCAAAAACCAAAGGTTCAGGTTTGATGTCTCTCTCACCCTCCATGTCCAGTCCATCACCAAGTCCTGTTGATTTTATTTCTTAAATATCTCTTTAACTGGCCGAGTTCTCTCTACTTCTGCACTCAACCTCCAAGTATGAGCTTTCACATGTCACACATCTACAGATTAAATAGATGAAATAACCCGCTAACTGGTCTACCTGTAATCTACACCACATCTTCTCCTTTAATTCCTCTCCCAGAGCAGCCAAGGTAATCTCTGAATTATACCACATCATGCACGCTTCGGAACACTCTTTCCATCATTTTCGTCCCACTCCCAACCCCCATACACTGACTAAAAGTCCTTCCAAGTTTCTGACCTACCTTCCATGAAACTCTTCCATGGTGCTGATAAGCCCCTCCATTGTCTTGTGCTTGCATATCTCCTCAGCGTCATCTTGGACCATTCTCCTCTTTTCCCCTGCACTCTGGCCACACTGGCTGTTGTAGCCATGTTCTGGTCAGCCACAAACCTCCACTTGGACCACTTTTCCCTCACCTTCCTAACTAAGGCCAATATTTCAGATGGCCTCTCAACCACCATTTCCTGATCTCCCTGCCTAAGCCAAATTCCCCTAATATTGATCCAAAAAGCAACCTATGCCTCCCTTCATAGTGTTGTCACTGTTGCAACCTAGTATTTGTATACATTTTGTTTACCGTTTCTGTTTATTTGCCCCCATTAGACTGTAATATCCCTGAAATTTGAGACCAGGACTGGCTTAGCCCAATATTTGCCATATGGTAGGTGGTCTATAAAAATTTAGAGTGAAATTCTAATTTCTCATGAATGAGTTTTATTTGTAACCTTCTCTTAAGCCCACAGCTTCCACCATTCTCTTTTTAAGACTTGTGTTTATAAAAAGCGCTTCATATTTGCAGCAATCCTATATTTTACAAAATAAAAAATAATATTAAAAGAAAAGCTAGAACATCTACCTTCCAGCAAATTCTATCCTCTCTTTATAGTGGCTGCAGGTCATCTGATAAAGATAAAACCTTGAATTTGGGCAAGTAAGCCTGCCCATTAGTGTATTTTATCATCTCCTGCCTGGCTTCTGTCACTAAATTCTAAGTTGGAAATTGCACTTACATAATTGCTACTTGCTGGCTCAGTTCACCCTACACTTTAAGATAATTCACATGCAAATAAGGTGGGCTCTAAGGTATCACTATCTGCTTTTGTCTTGGAGAAGTGCCCTACCTCCTTGGTAGCTCCACCCAGTTTTCCGGAAAACAAACTCCCTATTCTGCATTGCAGTATCACAATCTCAACCTCCTTCTTTAATTCCCCTCAGTAGCTGGGTTCTCTGGCCTTGAACTCCTTCTGACTTGATTTCCAGAGTGATCTCTGGATTTTCCAGGCAGCAATGGATTTCTACTTGGAACTCCACTCAATGCCTATCTCAGATTACCAACTCAATGCTACTGCCCTGCTTCTTTGCATGGGCCAATTTCTGTGTCCTTCATCACTTCAGAACCTGTTACCATGTTCCCAGGGTTATTGCTTTTCAGCCCCTTTAAATGAATTAGTCACATCCACATTTCCCAAAGTAACTCAAGAACAACTCCAGGCTATTTGCAATATATAAGAAACTCAATTTAAATAATGAAGGCATAGATGGGTTAAAAGTAATAGGATAGCAAAAGATAATAACATCCAAACGCTAATTAAAAGAAAGCTGGAGTGGCTATATGAAGAGCAAAGTAAGCTTCCAAAAAAGGGACATTTCCAGGGATAAAGAGAGACATCACATAACAAAGAGGTCAATTCACCAAGAAAAGCTATCAACTCTAAAGAGTATGCATCTAAAAACAGACCTTGTGCTATGGTTTGAATGTGTTCTGCAAAAAGCATATGTTGGAAACTGAATCTCAAATACAACAGTATTGGCAGGTGGGACTTAACGAGAGATGATTAGACCACAAGGGCTCCTCCCTCATGAATGGATTGATGCCATTACCATGGAAGTGGGTCTGTTATTAAAGAGTGAGTTCAGTCCCCTTCTTTCTCCCTCCTTCTTTCTCTCACATGTGTGCACCTACGTGCGCATGCCTTCCACTATGTGATAACATAGCAAGAATGTCCTCACCAGATGCCAGCCTCCAGATCATGGATGTCCCAGCTTCCACAATTGTAAGCCAATAAATTCCTACTCTTTATAAATTACCCAGCCTCAAATATTTTGTTATAGCAGCATAAAATGGACTGAGCCACCTTCAGAATTCATGAAGCAAAAAAATGATAGATTTGAAACAACAGATTGGGCACAGTGGCTCATGTCTGTAATCCCAGTACTTTGGGAGGCCAGAGTGGGTAGATCATTTGAGGTCAGGAGTTCGAGACCAGCCTGGCCAAGATGGTAAAACCCCACCCCTACCAAAAATACAAAAATTAGCCAGATGTGGTGGCAGGCACCCGTAATTCCAGCTACTCGGGAGGCTGAGGCATGAGAATCGCTTGAACCCAGGAGGTGGAGGTTGCAGTGAGCAGAGATTGTGCCACTGCACTCCAGCCTAGACAACAGAGGGGAGTCAATGTCAAAAAGGAGGAGGAGGAGGAGGAGGAGGAGAAACAGAAGAAGAAGAAAGGATAAATCCACAGTCATGGTTGGAGATGTCAACATTCTTCACTTAGTAATCAATAGAGCAAGTAGACAAAAATATCATCAGGAAGTGACCAATATTTCCAACAAACTTGACCTGATTAACATTATAGATAACTGCAGAATACTTTCGTTTCAAGTAATCATTGAATATTCAGAAAGTTAGACTATATTCTGGGCCATAGAACAAACCTCTACAAATTTTTAAAAACTTGAAATTGTACTAAGTATACACCTTAATGACAATAGAATTAAATTAGAAATCAATAATGTGAAGATATATGTAAATCCCCAAATATTTGGAAATAAAAAAATTCCTAAATAACCCCTGGGTCATAAAAGAAGTCAGAATGGAAATTAGAAAACATTTTGAATTGAACAAAAATTAAAATATAACATGTCAAACTGTACAGGATGCAGTTAAATTGGCACATTAAATGATCCTATTGAAGAAAAAGAAGTGCTTCAATTGTCTAAGCCTCCACCATAAGTGATTACAAAAAGAAGAGAAAATTAAAAGCAAAGCAAGCAGAGGGAAGGAAATATTAAGAGTAAGTGCAGAAATCAATTGAATTTTTTAAAAATAGAGAAAATCAGTGTCATAAAAATCTCAGTTTTGAAAATTTCAATATAATTGATAATCTTCTAGGGAGACTAACAGGAAGAAAAGGAAAGGAAACAAAAATTAACAACAGCAGATATGAGAGGACCTCTCAAGAAATCCTATAGACATTAAAAAGATAATAAGACAATATTAAAATCTTGACAACTTAGATGAATGGAAAAGTTTCTTGAAAGATACAAACGGCAAGCCGGGTGCGGTGGCTCACTCCTGTAATCCCAGCGCTTTGAGAGGCCGAGGCGGGTGGATCACGAGGTCAGGAATTTGAGACCAGCCTGACCAACATGGTGAAACCCCGTCTCTACTAAAAACACAAAAATTAGCCGGGCGTGGTAGCGCACACCTGGAATCCCAGCTACTCAGGAGGCTGAGGCAGGAGAATCACTTGAACCCTGGAGGTGGGTTCAAGTGAGCCAAGATTGCAGTGAGCCGAGATCACGCCATTGCACTCCAGCCTGGGCAACAGAGTGAGACTCTATCTCAAAAAAAAAAAAAAATACGATACAAACTGCCAAGCTCACTCAATAAGAAATACATAACATGGGCCGGGTGCAGTGGCTCATGCCTGTAATCCCAGAACTTTGGGAGACCAAGGCAGGCAGATCACCTGAGGTTGGGAGTTTGAGACCAGCCTGGGCAACATAGTCAAACACCATCTCTACTAAGAATACAAAAATTAGCTGGATGTGGTGGCTCATGCCTGTAAACCCAGCTACTCGGGAGGCTAAGGCAGACGAATCACTTCAACCTGGGAGGCGGAGGTTGCTGTGAGCCGGGATAGCACCATTGCACTCCAGCCTGGGCGACAGAGTGAGACTCTGTCTCAAAAACAGAAAAAATTAGATAACATAGAAAGTCTTACATCAAATAAATAAAGACACAAGTAAAGCAATAAAAAGGAAGATACTACTCATATGTGTCTGAACTCAAACACATTATGCTAAGTAAAATCCACATCCTCTATAATTCCATTTACATGTCATCCTGCAAAAAGCAAAATTATGGAGACACAGAATAGATCAGTGATTGCCAGGGGCTGCCAGTGGGGCTAGTGGTTCATTACAAAAGGGCCTAAGGGAACTTTTGAGGGTGTCAGAAATGTTATCTTCATTGTAGTGGTAGTTACACAACTGTACGCATTTGCCAAAACTCACTGAATTGTATTCTTAAAAAGGCAAATTTTACTGTATATAAAGTATACCTCAATAATCTTGACTTTTAAAAAATAAAAATAAAATAGATGAGTTCCTCTCAAGAAAAATATTCTATATTTTTTGTCAGGAATGAAAATGGATATATAACCATAGAAATGGAAGTTTTCTATAAAGAGGGCATTATGCGACTCAATGACAATTGAAAAGCGAAAGTATTTAAAGGGAAATTATAATTTCCTGGCAAGATATGAATTACCAAAATTGGCCAGAAAAGAGTAGAAAACATGAAAAAAGTAAAACAATAATCATAGATGATATTGAAAAAGTAATTGGCAATGATCTAACAGTTATACACCAGGCCATAATAATCTTAGAGCTAAATTCCACCAAGCATTTAAAAAAACAGGTGCTTGCTATGTATTTAAATAGTTTCAAAAGACACAAAATACGAAAAATTCCCAATGAACTTTATGAATCTGGCATAAGCTTTATTCTAAACCCTGATAAAGATGGAACTAGAAATCCGTATAGCAATTTCATCATTAGCAACTTAGGTCCAGCATTATTTTAAAATGATTGAGAGAGAGAGAATAAGAGAGAGATAAAAGCACCATTAACAGGTAGGGTTGATTCTAGGCATGGAAGGATATTCCAATAGTAGGAAACCTATCAACATAATTACTTTTTTAAAAAAAGAAAAATACATAAAATATTAATAGATTTTCCAAAAGAAATCTGATACATTTCAACAACCACTTATAATAAAAATTTTATTTAAATAGGAATAATGGAAATTATTTGGAGAAAACAGACCTTACTTGTACAAGTCAATAGCAAGCATGATTTTCTTTCAAATCAGGGGTGAAACAAGCAATGCTCAGTTTTATCAGTACCATTCAACATTGTTTTATAGGTTACTGTTAATGAAACAAATGGAATAATCTAAAGAACAGATAAAAAGCAAGATTCAAAATTATACTCATATGTGAGAATAACTAAAGTGATTTTAAGGTTCATTTAGAAAATTAAATTCCTAAGAGGAGTCAATAATAACCAAAAAAGAGAGCAAAGAGGGAGAACTTGCCATATGATATTTTAAAATGTATTGGAAAGACCCTCTTATTAAAATAGTGGGGCAATGGTACAGGAATCATCAAATAGATCAGTCAAATCATTTTAAAAAGTAAAATAAATTTTAGAAGAAAGTTTGCATAAATAAGGGACAGGGGAGAGTTTCCTAAATAGGAAAAGTTGGATATGTTTGACTACTAATCAAGTAAAATATAGAACCATTCCTTGGGATTAGTATCCATTCTATTTTAAGAGATCTTACAGAATGATTAAAAGACTTTCAGAGTACATTCGCTGCTGAATTTGGAGCCTGGTCACTTGAGCCTGGTCGATATTAACCCTTAGTACATATTTACGCAATGTAGGAAAACATAATCCAGTCAAAAATGAGCAAAGAAGGAACAGAATGAATATACATGTCAAGAAGAGAAAATTAAAAAAAAAAAAAACAATAAGTGTTTGAAAAAATGTTCAATCTCTCTAGTTCTAAAAATTCAAATAGAAACAATAGAACGTGTAATTTGCCACCCACCAGATTAATTGAAATGAAAAGGAACAATAATATCCATCATTCATCAAGACTCTGGACACTCAACACTTTCCTGGGGGAGCATGACTCGCTACTAGTATTTTGGGAAAGTAATCTGGTAATGTTTATTAAATTTGCAAACTGCTGGCGGGGCGCGGTGGCTCACACCTGTTATCCCAGCACTTTGGGAGGCCAAGGCGGGCGGACCACCTGAGGTCAAGAGTTTGAGACCAGCCTGGCTAACATGGTGAAACCCCGTTTCTACTAAAAATACAAAAAATTAGCCAGGCATGGTGGCGTGCACCTGTAATCCCAGCTATGCAGGAGGCTGAGGCAGGAGAATCGCTTGAACCCAGGAGGTGGAGGATGCAGTGAGCCAAGATTGCATCATTGCACTCCAGCTTGGGCAACAAGAGTGAAACTCTGTTAAAAAAAAAAAAATTGCAAACTGCATAAGATATTCTCACTCTGTTGAAACCTATTCTATAGGACATAAATTGGCAACTTTTTCTGTAAAGGGCTAAATAGTAAATATTTTAGGCAATGAGGACCACATATGGTCTCTGTCACATATTTTTTTTTTTTTTAACAACCTGCTAACAATGCAAAAACTATTACAGGTAACAAGCCAGATTTGGTCCACAGACCATAGTATTCCAATACCTGCTAGAATGTACCACTTATTAAGCACCTATGTAAAAAGATATCAACTACAGTGGCAAAAACTGGAAACAATCTGAATGTAAATCAACCCCAGAAAGGTTAGTTACACTGTCATTTATGTGGAACCACAAATTCTCTACACATCTGTTAAAAAGTCATAAAAGCCACTTTGGGAGGCCGAGGCAGGCAGATCACAAGGTCAGGAGATTAAGACCATCCTGGCTAACATGGTGAAACCCCATCTCTACTAAAAAATAGAAAAAAAATTAGCCGGGCATGGTGGCGGGTTCCTGTAGTCCCAGCTACTTGGGAGGCTGAGGCAGGAGAGTGGCGTGAACCCAGGAGGTGGAGCTTGCAGTGAGCCGAGATCGCACCACTGCACTCCAGCCTGGGCAACAGAGCGAGACTCCACCTCAAAAAAATGAAAGTCATAAAAGCAAGCTGCAGGCTTCATCACTGGTATAGTGCCATGAGTAAAAATGCAAACAGCAATGACCAAGAACCCCCTATATAGTGTTGCAGACAGCTCTTGTACACAAGAATCACCTGGGATGCTGTGGTGGCTAGAAACTAGGAGGGCCCCATGATCCCTACCTCCTGGTGTTCACACCCTTGTATAACCGCCCCCCCCCCACCCCGAGTGTGGGCAGGCCCTGCAACTTGCTTCTAACTAGTAGAATATGGCAAAGGGTATGGGATGCTACTCTTGTGATATTACATCATGATATAGTTATATAAAACTCCACCTTGGTAGCACACACTAGAGAGACTCTCATTGCTGGCCTTGAAGAAGCAAGTGGCCATATTGTGAAAGCCATGTGACAGCAAACTCTCAGTGTCCTCTGAAACTTGAAGTGACCTCCAGCCAACAGCAAGCAAGAAACTGGCATTTCTGCAGCCACAAGAAAACAAATTCTGCCAACAACCTGAGTGAGCTTGGAAGTAGATTCTTCCCCAGTTGGGCCTCACATGAGAATGCAGCCCAGCTGACACCTTGATGGCAGCTTTGTGAGACCTTGAGCAGAAGACTCAGCTAAACTGTGCCCAGATGCCTGGCCCACAGAAACCATGAGATAATAAATATGTGTTGTGTCAAGCCAGTAAGTTTGGATAATTTCTAATGCAGCAACGTGTAACTAATAAATGTGGTTACTTGTATTTGTCTCTTTTTACATGAATGTGGAGAAAGCAGTGAAGGACATCCACAAAGCTCTTAACAATGGTTTTCAATGTGCAGTAGGAAGCGGGGCTGTGTGGATCGTTTAGTCTTCCTTTCACATCTTTGGTCGTTTCATTACTTACAAAGAGCACGTATTTTTCTAATTAAAGGAGGAAAAATCATCTGGCTCTGCTATAAGTCTTTCACCTGGAGTGATAGAATGTAAACCCTGATGAGCAATTTTTAAAACATAGACAACAAATGTCTCTAAATAAGACAATGATTCTGCATATTTTAGCTTTCACTTTATTGCTCTTCAACCTCAATTATATTAGGTTTTATCCATTTTCCAAATAAAGTATGATTCCCTTCTATTCCCATTTTCTTTCATCCCCAAAAGAATGAGAGTGAGAGAAGACAGGGTCAAGTGAGGAAGACAGAGTCCAGAGTTAGAAATTTGGAAGCAGGCCTATCCAAATGGAGTTGGCTGTGTAGCGGTCTGGTGACCCCGCTGTTTTGGGGAGTCTGCAGTCAGCACCCAATAAATAAGTTAATGCAGAGGGTGACACAGATGAATATTTTGGGTTTAAATCCCCAGGTCAGGCCTTAGGGTGAATCCATCTTGGTGAGGCCAGATTGAGAAGCAGCAAGAGATACAGATAAGAATAAACCTCCAGCTGTCAACTTGGAACTATGAGCTCAATCAAGGCTTCTGACCCTGGGGCCCTGGAGAATCGGGTGTAGGCAGAGAAAGGAGGGAGGGTAGCCACATCACAGCATCTGTTATCAGTTGTCTCTTGCTTCCTCCCTGCATTCAGACCTGGCACTCCCGACATCCTGAAATGGAGAAGGTTGCTGTCAAGGGTATGTTTGAAACCATCAAATGATTGACTGGAAGCAGAAGTACCAGTGCATGAGCCCTCAATCTTGGAGCTCACGGGGGCCAACCAGCCTGCAGAGCCCAAGCCCTTGATCCCATTGGAGAGGCAGTCCTCATTAAGCAATGCCACTGGATTTGATGCCAAAAACATAAAGCTGCCTGCTCCCTCCTGGGTTCTATTTCTACGCCCTGAAATACATGTATTCTTAACATTTCCAAGTCAATCTTTTCTTAGTGGACTTGCTCGAGCGATGCTAACATTTGCTGAGTACAACTGTCCTCACAGGTGGTGGCATGGGAAATGCCCCAGGCATGGAGAACAGCCAGAGAGAAACTCCACAGGCCTCCCGTTCCCCATGGGGAATCAGGCTGAAGAGACGCTTCTGGAATAACCCACAAGCAGCACTGTGGGCTCTGTGTGAATGACTTCAGAGAGCTACTGCACAAGCGGGCAAGGCTGATTTTCAAAGGCAGCTCATTCTTCCTCAGGGCTTGTCCTTAAAACCAGGAAATCCTCAGGGACAGCTCTGACTGGAGGAAAGTCAACACAGCTCATGACAGCATCTTAATGCCATTGGACACAGCCGTCAAAAACATCCCCAAAGTGGAATGGCCAGGCTCCGTGTTACAGAGAAACTCCACCGCAGGGAGACTGAAATCATGACACCTTTACAGCTCTGGGAGGAAATGAGATGACTGAGTGTTAAAATGCCCTGCTGAATTTGGGGAAATGAGGAAGCTGTTCATTCTTGCTAATTACAGTCTAGGTGTCAAGTTTTCATTTTCAATTTAGGCAGGATATTATGGACTTTGGTTGCTTATGCATTTGGGGTTTAATGAGATTGCCAAGCACAATCTTCTACCCTCATGGACATGCAGGACAAGAAAGCCGGGATCTGGTGAATATGCCTTGTCTTCCTCACCTCTACTTCTGAGGACAAAGTCTTCAGATGCCCTGTTTTCATCATCGCTCAGGCTTTTCTGTCTCTTTTATAAAGCAAGATTTCTCCACCTCAGCACTATTGGACATTTGAAGCTGGATCATTCTTTGTTGTGGGGACCTGTCTTGTGCATTGTAGGATGTTTAGCAGCGTCCCTGAGCACTACGCACTAGATGCCAAGAGCATCTCTGTCCCAGCGTGACAACCAAATGTGTCTCCAGACACTGCACATGGCTCCCGTGTGAGAGCTCATCCCCTGGCCTAGATGACCACTTCATTCTTCCTGCCAGTATGATAGAAACTTCCTTCTCCACAGAATCTTCTCATGCCACCTTCCTACCAATTTTCTGTCCTTTCCTCTGCTTCCAGGCCACTGGGTCACTTGTTGGATGTTTGTTGATGATGTAGCCATTGTCCAACTCACTGGGTCCATATTCTGCGTGTCCCCAGAGCGCTATCAGTAAGGTCAAGCAAGAGGGAGGCAGGGCTGTGGGAATAAGAAACACCTCCAGCATCTGGAGACCACCAATAAGCAAAATACCGGATTCTAGGCATATATGCAATTCAGATACAGGAATCTTTTGGCATAATTGCTTATAATATGTTAAAAGTATTATTAATGTGAAAAGAGAGAGATTTGGGTTGAAATTGTATTATTTTTAAGAGACAATGTTGTTAATTTTATATTTACATTAATTAATAAATTAAATTAATTAAAATTACATTGATTTAATAAATTAATTTAATTAAATTTACATTGACTTAATTTACATTGACTTAATACATTAAATTAATTAAATTTGCATTGAATTAATTAAATTTACATTGAATTGATAAAATGTGTGTTATTTTCAAGAGAAAATAACATCAAGCCCAAAGATGCTCAGCTTTTCCAGTTATACACAGTCCCATTAGCTTAATATTAGGAAAGAAAATATCTAAAAGGAGCTTACTTAAATTTCTCAAGATATTTCTTTGCACTGCACAGATTGATTATTTTTTAACTTTCTTGCAGTGCAGGAAATATGGGTGCTGCCACCTCTCAAATTAGACAATGAGGTGAGACACTGCCTCTGGTTATGGCCACCTCTGCCATACCAGTGCTCTGATGTTAAGAATGATTTTATTAATATTGCTTTCATTATTGCCATGAAGCTCCTCTTCCCAAGACTAACTTGAGAGAATACTTATGTGTTTGCTAATCACTGGAGACCTATTCTTCATAGAATATGGGAGGGGGACTATTTTTTGAAAAAACTTTGGTAGCCCCCAGGTATACCTCTCATATCTTCTCTTTTCTTTCTTCCTTCCTCCCTCCCTTGAACGGTTCAGACAAATTCACATATTGTTGTCTTCCCTTAAGGGATTTTTTTCCCTTTAGTACATAAGCTCCCTGAGGGTAGGGATTGTGCTTAATTATTACTTTTTAATATCTCTGGTGCCTAACAGAGTCCCTAGTTTGTTGTATGTCTTCAGTGAATGTTTTCTAAAAAAGGAAAGGAAGAAGGGAGGAGGGAAACAAAAAGGAAGGAAGGAAGGAAAGAACGAAGTAAGGAAAGGATGGGAAAGGCAGAGAGAGAAAGAGGAGGGATTGAAGCAAGAAAATATGATGAAAGGAAAAAAGCAAATGAGGGAGGGAAGGGGCATCAATGTTGCATTTGTATTTTATACTATTAAGATTGGTTCCAAGCTCTAAAGAATTTATGCAACTGATGTTTAGCCTAACCTACTCTCATATGTCACCATAAAACCCACAGATTAGTAGCTCTTCTGACATGCAGCATCTTATGTAGGACAAATGAATCGATGTGCTGGTTCAGGTGATACAAGAGATACAGTTGAATAAAAACTGACATCAAGAGAAAACAACAACAACAACAAGCTCAGAGATGCTCAGGTTTTCCAGTTATACGCAGTCCCATTAGCTTAATAGTAGGAAAGAGAACAAAGTTTTCTGCTTTGGAGCCACAAAAGATAAACAAAACCAGCATAAAAGAACAAGCTTAAAAGTCCTCCAATCCATCCCACTGCCTTCAAGTAAAGCCAAAACAAAAAAACTTTTTTTTCCTTTTCTACAGACTTTTGAAGACAACTCTCCACTTCTTGAAAGGTCTTCTTTCTATTACATCAATTTTTCAACTTTCCAACTTAGTTCATTTTCTCTAGTCAACTAATAAGTATTTATTGAAGAGAAATTTGAAAAATATCAAAGAGCACAGAGAAAAAAAGCAAAGCAAAATAAATGCCCATAGCATTCCAGGAATCATTTAATGAATGAAATTTTTCATTTCTGAAAAACCTCATTTTTGCTACATAATACTATATGAATCATTCTGCCTTTACATCCTGATTCAAGACTCAATTCTTTATTTGCCATTAATGAGAAGTGCTGTATATTTTTGAAGTGTGTTTAAAAGTCTTATTTTAGGACATGGGCCAAAAGGCAAGGCTCTCCAACTCGTTAACCTGCTCCATAAACTTTAAACCACTGTTTCCTACGGGAGAAAAACATACCTGGGAATAGAGTTACTATTTTAATTCTTTCCTTCTAACTATTTCAAGACCAGTTTACCCCCATTTCATCTGAATGAAAATTACTTGAGAACGTTTCCTCCCTTGTGCAATAAGGGACTTAACAATTTAATTCTGGTTAAGAAATCCAATTGCTGCTATTGGTCAAAGAACCAGAAGCTGAACAAAATTTAAGAACCAAACGAAGCCTCTCATGACGGTACACGGAGCCCCAAGGAGAAAGCTGCCAATCAGAGGGACCAACAAGCTGAACCTTCTGACCCCGTTACTCCGGCCTCTGCTGCAAGAAGAAAGGAGTCATGGCCCTGTGTAGTGTTCATCCAAAATCTTCACCCAACCATTTCCTTTCCAATGAGGAAAAGGAATTGTTGGATTCAGTTTGTATGAATTTCATTTGTTTTTCTACTTCAAGATTATGTTCTTTGGCTGGGAATTGGGGAATTTTGCTTCTGCAGGCCTCAGTCTGAAAGCTTCTCCCACTTCTCCACACAGGAACTGGTGTTGGGGCCACTCAGGAGACGACATTCTCGGCTTCTAGGAGACTTGCAGCCAGGGTTTCTTGCTCTGCTCATGGAAGTCTGCTCATGGACCAGGACAGTGGCTGCTTTCCCGGATCCGGGCCTGAGACCATGCCCACATTTTCATGACAAGCTGGAGCCAAGTGCCTTTGCTGACTGGGAAAGCTGTGTGCTTGCTAGGGGCTAGTCATAAAAAAGCCTTTGTAGGCATTGCTCCCAGACTGTTTCCACCTTGGCCTTGGGATTCTGAGGTAAATAGTCTGCACGCTGATATCAATGGTCTAAATATTCTGCCAGTGTATTAGGGCTTCTCCAGTGTGGTCTGCTCTTGTGCAGAATCAATAAAAGATCTGCCTCTGTTTCAAAGAGTTTGTGCCCCCAGAGACTGGTAAGCATATGTAGATATGAATGTCGACAATCAATCATCGAGAAACATCTGAAACGCAGTAAAACCTTGTTAATCCACTATTGCTGATCACAAATAGCATGTAATTCAAAGCAACTGCTGTTCCTGTCCTCCATTGTTCTTTAATGAAAATATTATATAAATCAAAGCTGGCGATGGGATTTTTTTTTTTTTTTGCAGGTCCCTGGCATTTCAAATCTTCAAGACATTGCTCTAATTTTATTTTCCTGATTAAATAACATATTATTTTCCTATGTCCACCACTCAAGTTCTCCCTAAGAAGTCTCATCATTGTTGGAGCTACAATTGCACTAGTGTTCTAATTAGAAAGCAGAGTCTCATATTGTCCAAAGAAATTACTAGTATCTTCTAGAAATCTAAGTGTGGATTAGTGTCTCAATTTTCACAAGGATTTTTCTGATTTAAAAAATGATATATATTTATTGCAGAAAGTTTTGAAAATAAAGAATAGCACAAAGGAAAACAAAAAAATATGCCCATGATTCCATATGTGGAGAAAACACTGATTTATTTACCTCAAGGCTATGAAGATGTCAACCCAGACAGAGATGGGGAGAGAGAGAGTCCCACATAATCTGCTTTTTATTTTTATCCCCGAAATGATATTTTTTACATACTAATTAGAATCCAGAGTAGAGAATCCAGTTATTGTTGCCAACACCATAATGAAGCCTATTTTCCATGAAGCAGAATTCATAATAAATTAGATGCAGCTTACATCCTAATTCCCAAAGTAAACAGAAACTCATCTCTAGTTGGTCCCACTGAGGATGTGAAAATAGAAGCTGAGCCCCAGGGACAATTTCTTATGCTCAAATGCTGCACTGGGCAGATGGAGTGAAACCAGTGGTTCTCACCTTGGGGTGATTTTCTTTCCTAGGGGACATTGGCAGTGTCTGGAGACATTTTTGGTTGTCATAACTGGGTTGGTGGAGTGCGCGTGAGGGCGCTACAGGCATCTAGTGGGTAGAGGGCAGGGATGCTGCTAAACATCCTACAGTGCACAGGACGGCCCCACCATACAGAATAACCTGATCCTAGATGTCAAGAGTGCTGAAGTTAAGAAACTCTGAATTAAAGTGACCCCCCATCCTTATTCACAGAGAACCACAGTCTAAGAGGCCAAGAAAATGCAGAGAGAACAATAGACCTCAGACTGACTACCTGCCCTTAGAACGACTTGGTGGGTGGACGAATATTCTGACAATGTAATATAATGTTTAAAAGCACTGGTGTGAAGACGAAATGAGCGTAAAATAGTTTAGCAGCTGGCACATCGTAAGTAGCTCAGTAAATGGTCACTGCTATCATCAGCAGCTAAACCCAGGAACTTTTGACACTTAACATCCAAACTATGTGATGCACAGCTATGTTTTCCTCTAGCCACGAACAAGTCAATAAAGGGCTCTCAGAAAACATTGAATCAGTTCTTTAAGAGTTCATTGGTGTTCTACACAGGAGCAATGAATCACGTAGAAAGAAGTCTTTTTTGGTTGCCAGCCTTCTGTAATCATAGTGTAATCAAATGGTTTAAAAAATTCTTCAAACTATAGGCTGTTATCTGGATGCTAAGCACCTTCTAATGACAAATGCTAAACCAATTTACGGTAAATATTGTAACGATATTCTATTGAACAGTTTTCCAGCCAAGTAAATCTTTGGCTTTAGAATTCTAGACAGCTATCATCTGGCCGTCCTTTCCAGCATTAACTAATCACCAGTGAAAAATACAAATGTCATTCGCAAATCATATCAAAGACGGGAACAGCTGGAATCAAATTCAAGAGACTGCATCATTTTATCATTTTGACATTAATCATTCTACATGGATACCACAGGCAATCTGGAGCAAATGATAATTTATGTTGCAATATAAACGTTAACCATTTAGGGCTGGGAGACTCTCTTCCTACTGCCTCCTCCAACCCAAAACACCGCTGGAGACTCAAGCTCAAGGACTGCATGAAAATGTTTTAAGAAACATCATTTATAAAGTGGCCATGGGAGCTAGGAAAAACCCCCAACATATACAAGGCTGAGTTTTCTGACACTCTAGGTTAGGGGTCAGTAAACTATGGCCCTTGGGCCAGATCCCACCCATTGCCTGTTTTTCTAATGTAAATAGCTCAGAATGACTTTTACATTTTTAAATGGTTGGAAAAAATCTTAATGATTAATACATGGTGACATGTGAAAATTATATGAAATTCAAATTTCATTTTCTATAAAGGAAGCTTTATCAGAACACAGCCACACCCATTTGCTTACATATTATCCATGGCTACTCTCCTGCTACAAAGGCAGAGTTCAGTAGTCACAACAGAGACCATGTGGCCCACAAGTTCTAAAATATTCACTGCCTGGCCTTTTACAGAAAAAATTTTGCCCACACTGATCTAGGGATAGAGAGACTCAATACTATATTTTTTTTCCTATGCAATAATTACAAACTTTACTGAACATCTGTTGGGTTTTGCCTGCCTCAACACTGTCCCCTGATAAGATAGAACTCTAGTAACCTTATGGGCAATGAACTTTCCCTTGTTGTGAATGGTCTTGGTGGAAAAGTAATTTCCAGCTCCACCTAACTCACATGTCTGCTACTTACACCTTCGTGTCCCTCAACCCGTACCTGTGACCTCAAGGAGAGCTCCCTACAATGAAGTTTTCATGTATTCATTTGATAAATATCTATGGGGGCACATCCTATTGTTTAGGCACTGTGCTAGGCTCCGCACAAGGTAGACGAAGTCTTAGCACTGTGAAGTACATATACTTAGTATAGATGATAAATAACCAAACAAATAAGTGGACAGGTAACATCAGACAGTGATAAATATAAAAGTGGATATTTGACAAAAGGTGAGAGAAATTGGCTAATGTAAATGGGTAGTCAGGAATGGCATCATTGAGGAGGCCATGTCAAATTTGGGCTGCCCATTGGCAAGGACCTGAAAGTGTCAAGTTTATAGTTTTTAGCTCAAAAGAAAAATTAAGGTTAATGATAAAAAACTGGAAGTCATAAATATGTAAGGAGAAATGTATCACTCATCACCTAAAGAGAAAGGATTGAGGAATGAGGAAAATGTGGTATCCAAGGAAACCAGAGGAAGAAATGGTTTGAGAACAAGGAAGTGACTCTGATGAGGGAAAAATCAAGGGTGGGTCTATAAGAGATATGCCAGCACGAGTCTGATGCAGATTGCTGGGTGTTACAGTCCCAATGGCAGAAGGCCCTGAGGGACAGTGGAGAAAAGACATCCCTTCAATGTGCAGTCAAGTGGGACATCTCGTTTCCCCATTTTCCTGGGAAGATGGATGGCCTGAATTGGTTTCAACACTGATTCATGGGTGGTGGCCAAGATCTGGTTGGATGGTTCTTGAGTGGAAGAAGCAAGAACAGAGGTATTGGTGACAAGGTTGGGAAATAATAGACCTTGCTGATGGGCTTAGAACTTTTCATGTCACATTTAAATGCTAGCCTGGCTACCCCACTGCAAATTGTTCAGTTTCCCAGAAGTAGTGTGGCAGAAAGTGTAGCTGTGAACCAAAAATTCTTATGCCTGCCTCCTTAGTATAGAGTTGTCACTAGGAAGTGGCCGCTAAGCCAAAGGGTACTTTTCCAAGCATCCCTTAATGGTTAGATGTGGTCAGTTGACTGAGATAGGGCCAATGGAATGTGAGCAGAAGGACTGTACCCCGCCTCCAGGCCTGGCCTATAAATCTTCTATATGGAACTCTATGTTCTCTTCCCCTTCCAGCTGGCTGGAATAAAGATGACCCCCTCCCCTC
This sequence comes from Homo sapiens, assembly GCF_000001405.40. Taxonomy (NCBI): domain Eukaryota; kingdom Metazoa; phylum Chordata; class Mammalia; order Primates; family Hominidae; genus Homo; species Homo sapiens. The sequence goes on along the minus strand of NC_000023.11, from coordinate 10,425,956 downwards.
TTCCCAGAGCAACCTCAGAAGTTCTGCGTTTAAGATGGCAGATTTTCTGTCATTCTGGGCCCCTGAATGTATGAGGCAGGGAGGATTGCCAACCTTTTCTTTTACCCAATACTGTTTCATGATCAAGAAATAAACTTCCATTGCATTAGACCCAATATACATCGTGGGACCTTTTGTTATAACAGTTATGCTGCCCAAACTAAAGCAAACCTGAACCCCAGATTAGATGTATTCTAGGATGATCTGGCAGGCCACACTGCTATGGACTGAATATTTGTGTTTCCCAAAACTTATATGTTGAAAACTGAATCCCCAGTGTGACGCTATTTGGAGACGGGGCCTTTGGGAGGTAATTAGGTCATGAGGGTGGAGTCCTCATTATGAGATTAGTGCACTTATAGGAAGAGGCAGGAGAGAGCTTGCTTCCTCTCTCCTGCTCTTTACTACATGAGGAAACAGCAAGAAGGGAGGCAGATCAGGAAGAGGGCCCTCACCAGAACCCAACCATGCTGGTAACTTATCTTGGACTTCCCAGCCTCCAGAACTGAAAGAAATAAATTCTTGTTGTGTAAGCCACCCAATCTATGATATTCTGTTATAGCAGCCTGAACCGACTGAGATATACACAAACATTTATCACCTACCCCTATCTGGCTAGCAAATTGAAGACTACAACATGTTGAAACTTAATCATGGAAGTGACTTCCCATCATCTTTGTCACATTATATTGATTAGAAGCAAGTGACTATTGCAGCCCACACTGAAGAAGAAAGGATTACACAATAGCATGAATATCAGGAAGTGAGGGTCATTGGGGGCCATATTAGAGACAGCCCGCCAGCCACACTAAGTAAGACAAAGTAGTTGCAATAATGACATATAAATTCTCTTTTCTCCCGTGCAATAAACTGATTGCCTTGACATAGAGGAATTAGCAAAGAGCTAGCTTGAAAAAGCATTAGGGAGAATAGCATAAAAGAACAGAGTCCCAGTCAAAGGATGGGACTGCCACATTGCACAGATTTCTTGATCAGATAAATAAGTTCTTCATTAGTTGACATGTTGAGATTCAATGTGACCTTCCTGCCTGTCTCTTTACCCAACTGACTCATAAAACAAGCAAAATAGTGAGACTCTAATCAGAACCAAGTCACAGTCAAAATGTGTCACTAACTTGAGATATATTCATCTATATATTTTTCATAATTAAACAATGAAATAATTTTAAATAACTTAGTAAAAAGAATGTTCAAATCCTGAGAATCTTCTACTTTGGGACCAAAGGCAGGAGATCTGGAGCATCTGGCAACATTATCCCAGCAGCAATTAACCTCTTTTGGTTATTATTATTATTATTATTATTATCATCATCATTATTATGGTTCTTGGTGTTAAAAAATTCTTAACTAGGCTAAACCATGGGTGGGAGATGAGGAACTTGAATGAGCTTTCTCTAAATTATTTGAGGATGTTTAGAAGCCCTTCTGTAACACTAGCATTATGAGGATCAACTGAGGTGAAAGTGGAAATGAACCATAAAATGTGGAGTGCTTTGCTAACTTTCAAAAGTTCTTCAAATTAAAGCTAGTGAGGAAGCCTAATCCATGAACAGATAAACCCAGAGGCATTCTGATTAAAATTTGGCTAGGTACACAGAACTCCATCTGCCATGGCCCCTTTCCTCTCCACAAGTGGGCATTAAAGATGTTCTGTGGAGTGGATTTGAAAACCTCTGGGCTAACACAACTGGAAGGTACTCTTCATTGATTTTGTTGTGTGCTTAACCTCCAAGGTAAACTTAGTCTGCTTATTCACCCTGAGGACCCTGGCAGGCTAGTGGTTGTCAGAAAAGACCTAAAAGTTCCATTCATAGAAAGGTATCTTGGAAGAGATTAGATGCTTTGGAGTTAAGAGTCAGCCCCACTCTGAGACCCAAAAGGAGATAGAAGCAAGGACTCCATCGTTGCTTAACTTCTAAGTGGGTGGAGTTGGAAGAAGGATGACGCATACAAAGAAATGCTTTGTGGGAGATCCCGGAAGATACCACTCAAAACCGCTTCTGATCCTGCCTTGGAAGCACACATCTCCAGTTTCTTAAGAGAGACACTTTCAGAACCTAAAAAAGCATATTAGATAAAACATTTTAAGAAACTGTGGGAAGCTACCCTGTTTGGATTTTTGCAACCATGTCTCTGAGTGGCCTCCACCAATTCATATTGTTCCTTCTCTTTGAATTCACTTTGCTATTTTCAAAACATATACATTTTCAAATTTCTTAAGATTTCCTATAACATTGTATTTTGTTTAGGTACCCAAAACTTAAACCATTTGAACAAATTTATGGAATCCTTACATACGGTGTTTCCTTGTTTGTCACACATTTTCTCTGTGTTAGTGGTGATGACTGTATTTCTTGATAAAGTCAAATTAAGCACTATTCAATACAAGTACTTTCCCAAAGAAAAGAACTTTCACAGCTGAGTTTAACTCAAACATTTTTCTACTACTTTTTCCAGTTAATAATATCGACATTTTACTATATTAGTTCATTAGAGCATGAAACTTTCTGTCTTATTTTTGAAAAGCTATTTTAGTACTTCATATAGAAGTAACTCTAAACCACTGGGACGTGGTGAATGCAATGAAACGATCAACCACTCAGTGAGAAAGAAACCATTGCAAGCCCCTAATCATTATTTTAAATGGAGCACATTTTAGACCTCTCACCTCATAGAGGCAATCCATGCTTTTTACAATCGGTTCCTCATAATATCTCTGATCAAAAACGCAGTAAAAGTAGATTTTTTTTTCCTGTTTTGCTTTATTTGAAAAAGCTTTCTCTCCCTCCCCACAGGTCAAGGTAGTGTGTTGATTTTTCTAAAAGAATATCTACCTAACTGTGGCAGGTTCTATTTTTGTAAAGATGACCACAACTATATTTCCTACCCCACATGCACTTCTTAAAATGTGTCTTAGGCTCTTCTCCCATCAAAAGGTGGGAGTCTGCATTCCTTCATCTTGAACTTCAGTGGGCTTGTGACTGCAGTGATTTCCAAGCCTGGTTATTTTAAGGATAGTAACTCTTGGAACCCAGACACCATGCTGTGAGGAAGCCCAAGCAGCCACAGAGAGAGGCTACATGTAGTATTCTGGTCCCAGCCAGAATCACCTGCCAGATGTATGAGTGAGTGAGCCTCCAGATGATTCTAGCCTCAGCTGTGGAGTCACCACCATCCCGCCCAAAACCCCCCAGCCTTTGAATCTTCCCAGCTGAGCCCTAGACATTGTGGAGCATGGATAAGCCATCCCACTGTGCTCTTTCCAAATTCTTGGCCCAAAGAATTGAGAACATAAAAAAGGGTTGCTTTACAGCACTAAATTTGGGGTGGTTTGTTAGGCAGTATTAGTAACAAGGAACACTGACTTTCCCTTTGGTATGGACACAGTGGTATTGTCCTTTCAGTGCTTGAGTATCTACTGAGCACCCAACAATGTCCCAGCCACTGTGCAGGTACCATACATGTGAAACATTGCATTCCAGGAGTTCAGTTTAGCCAGAAGACTGCTTGTAAATCAGATAGAGCAAGAATGGTTAAGTGACATGATAAGTTTGCAGGGCCTAGGCAAGAGTTTAAATAGATGCCTGTTCAGAGCATAGCCCCTTCTCTTCCTGTCCCCAGCTCCATCACAAACTACAAGGGGCCTCAGACACATAAGAATGGACACCTTGTCTTGCATAGCCAAATGCCATCTGAACTCTAAATATTCTGCAAACTGCCACCCCCTTGGGCAACTCTCAGGCCTGGGAGTATGCACAGCAGCACAGCCTGTCCCCCACCCTTGAATAGACAAGGGACATCAGGAAGAATCCAAGTAGGCTCAGAAGTGGGCTTAGGACATTTGGGCAGTGAATTCTTAGGTCTAGGTTACAAGGGGTATGTTCTAGAAGGGGGCTCCTCATCTACTTAGCCGAACAGAATCCTGGGCCTGGGGAGAGGTGTGGACAGAGGAGGACCCTTGGAGCTTGAAGCCCAGGAGCCTGTCTCCTGGGTCTAGGAGAGAGACACACTGGAGGTACAAAGCAGAAGTGTCATTCTCACTTAGGCACTTAGGAAAGGCCTCATGGACTAGATGAGACTTGTATTGCATTTTGAAAGACGCATTTGTCTGGAAATGTGATGGCTTGGCATTAACGTGGATGTTGGTATTGGTATTATTCAGGTTAACTGGTTAACAGACAACCAGGTGGTTGACTAAATATATTCCTTTTACAGTGGTTTTTGCACAAGGTAGAAATCACAACTGCAAACACAAATCATCATCACAAGTAGCATGACTTTGCAATTGTGAACCTGAGGTCTCCTCTGGGCTCTCTACCATTTGTATGTGCAACTTTACGAAGGCCAATTAACCTCTCTGAGTTTGGAAAAAGAGCTTATGAGCCTTGTACCAGATATGCATATCCATAGGCAAACAGACTGAAAATTCTTTACAGGAAGGTATCATTAAAATGCACTAAAAAACTACCAATTGCTTATTGCTCAAAAGGAAATCAGCACCATAGAACCAAATCAAATCAAATCAAAGCTTAGACATTATTAACTGCCCTTCAAGTTAAGGAGCGGTGTTTACACTCTGTCAGAGGTCAGCAAATGCTTTCTGTAGAGGGCCAAAAAAATATTTTTGGCTTTTCTGACTATATGGTCTCTGTCACAATTACTCAATGCTGCTATTGTAGTGCAAAAGCAACAATAGACAATATGTAAACAAATGGACATGGCGGTGTTTCAATAAAACTTTATTTACAGATATAAGCAGTGGCCCAAGTTTGGCCTAGGGGCTGTAGTTTGTCAACCCCTGCCCTATATTAGAAATAATATCTGGGGTCATTCCATTCTGCTAAGCAGTGTGAAAAATTTCAGTCATTATGTTAAAAATAAAACTAAGTAATATGTCTCTAATCTTTGGTAGGACCTCCAAAATGTGCTATAAATAATCAGCAGTATTAATGGACACCTTTGCCTTTTTTGTGAGATGGTTTGTTTTTACCTGAAACAAAAACATCCATCATCATTAGTTACAGCACAGGTCATTACAATTCTGTGCTTATTGAGTGAATCATAAAGGATAAATATAAAAGAACAACATGAAAAGGAAACATTTTTTCTAAAAATAAAAAGCTATTTTTATTTCTGAGATAACTTACTTCTCTTCAGAATGTCTTTTTTCCCTAAATTCATTTCCATCTCCACAATAAGAAATATCAAAGCAGTAAGCATGATATATTTTTTAAAATTAAAAATATTTATGCGCCAGATACGTGAAGTCATGGACCTCAAAAAGATCACAATCTAAAAGAAGAAATAAAATAAGAATGAAAGCTACTGTAATACAAGACAGAGCAAGACAAGCAAACAGACAAGTACAGCTTCTCAAGATGGGAAGAGCCCTTAAAATCCACCTGGCCCAACGTTTTCCCTGTGCTTGGATTGCTTTATTACATCCCTGAAGGGGAGAGCTTTCAATTCTTTGCAAATGTATTGTCTTCCAGGGACCCTGCCTGGTCAGGAAAATGCAGTTCGTGGCAGGAAAACCAGCAGTGGCAGGCAAGCAGGCAGTGTTAACGTCGCAGGAGAAGAGCGGGCAGGGACAGCTGTGACAGAGGCATTGTATCATGTTAATGGCCCATACCTGGCATGCAAGACCTGGGGCAAGGAAAGCAAAACTGGTTCCAGAGCCCTTCACTAGTGGACTTGAGATTGATGAGACAGTCTCGATCCTGATTAGGGCTGGTCCAGAAACATCTCTGGAAAGAACATATTGTGGCAGCCTCATGAGTAGGCTGGGGAAGAGAGGCAGGGCTGACAGCAGGTGACAATGACTTGTTATTCCTGACAGTTTGGGGCCAATAAGTTTAGTTGATTCTTAAGACTCCTTGTGTGGCTGCTTGGAAGGATTAGCAGTTTGCATGGAGAAGGTTCCTGTTTAGTGTGGCACTTAAAATCTCCAAAATTGGAAATAAATTCTCTGAGTATAATTTTAACTATGCAGAGACTAGGAAGCAATCATAGTTCACACCACTTAAGGTTAAAATTTGCTCTACCAATAGCCCATTCTACCCTCTCCATTCTCATTTTCATAGTGCTATTTTGACTCACTGTGTAATTTTGAGCTGGTTGTTTAATTTCTCTGTGCTTTAGTCTTCTCATCTTCAAAAAATGAGGGGAAAGCAATTGTTCCTCACCTCGTAGGGTTGTTGGAAGGATTCATTAACTCATGCCTACAATGTGCTATTGTGGGCAGCTGTTGTTTCTGTTGCCCACACTTCAACTACACTGTACCCCCAAATTTTCATGAGGCACTGTATTAGTTATCTATTGCTGCATGACAAACTACCACAAACATCCCAACATAAAACAATATACATTTATTAATGCACAGTTTCTTTGAGTCAGGAGTCTGGGCATGGCTTGGCCAGATTCATTGCTTCATGTTCTGTCATAAGTCTGTAATCAAGTGACCAGCCTTGGCTGGGGTCTCATCTGAAGTCTTGGCTGACGAAGGATCTGCTTCCAAGCTCACCTAGATGACTATTCCCAGGATTCAGTTTTTTGAGAGCGGTTATAATAGGGATCTCCTTTCCTCAATGGCTATTGGCTGAAGACCACCCTCAGTTCCTGGCCATGTGGGTCTCTGCAGTATGGCAGCTTGCTTCATCAAAATGTGCCAACCAAGAAGGCAATAGAGAGAGTCTGCTAGCAAGATGGAAGTCACTATCTCATGTGACCTAATCCCATCATCTCTGCCGTATTCCATTGGTTAGAAATGAGTCACTAGGCCCAGCACACACTCGAGGAGAGGGGATTACATAAAAGCATAAATACCAGGAGGCATGGAATTTTAGGGGCCATCTTAGAAACTATCTGCTAGAGGGACCAATCCTCCTTAACGCTTGGCCTGTAAGCTGTGGGTGGGACTGACTCCCCCGATTCAGGAGTGGTGCATGTGTTTAGGCCTCAGCCAGTCAGAATACCACATTCCCCAGGCTTTGTGATTGGTGATTAGATCCAGGATAGGCACATTACCCATTCAGCATCAATAAGATTCTGAAAAGGCACTTCTTACTCTTCCCTGTGGGCTTGAACCTAAGAGGGTGCATAGTCTGAACCTGCTGCCACCATCTTGCTATCACGTGAATTTTGAGGTGAAACCGACACAAAGTAGATGGAGCCAAGAGATAGCATGTGATAAAAGGAGGAGGCAAAAGAGGTTGCTGGAGAGCTAAATAATTCAATGGAGCTGGAAACATTCATCAAGTATGATGAGACCAAATGTGCACCTTTCCATCCCCAGCCCTTTTTAAAAGCTGAGCTGAACACAAAATGTCTTATTTTTGATTTTAAAAAAAGTACCAAATCTCCCATTTAACAAATAAAAAAGCAATGTACATTACTTGGCCAAAGTAGACACAGCCTAAGATATTTTAATTTCTGAAAATAAAACTACATAAAATCCTCTGTATAAAATCTGACAAAGGGCTAATATCCAGAATCTACAATGAACTCAAACAAATTTACAAGAAAAAAACAAACAACCCCATCAAAAAGTGGGCAAAGGATATGAACAGACACTTCTCAAAAGAAGACATTTATGCAGCCAAAACACACATGAAAAAATGCTCATCATCACTGGCCATCAGAGAAATGCAAATCAAAGCCACAATGAGATACCATCTCACACCAGTTACAATGGCGATCATTCAAAAGTCAGGAAACAACAGGTGCTGGAGAGGATGTGGAGAAATAGGAACATTTTTACACTGTTGGTGGGACTGTAAACTAGTTCAACCATTGTGGAAGTCAGTGTGGCGATTCCTCAGGGATCTAGAACTAGAAATACCATTTGACCCAGCCATCCCATTACTGGGTATATACCCAAAGGATTAGAAATCATGCTGCTATAAAGACACATGCACACGTATGTTTATTGCGGCACTATTCACAATAGCAAAGACTTGGAACCAACCCAAATGTCCAACGATAGACTGGATTAAGAAAATGTGGCACATATACACCATGGAATACTATGCAGCCATAAGAAATGATGAGTTCATGTCCTTTGTAGGGACATGGATGAAACTGGAAACCATCATTCTCAGCAAACTATTGCAAGGACAAAAAACCAAACACTGCATGTTCTCACTCCTAGGTGGGAATTGAACAGTGAGAACACATGGACACAGGAAGGGGAACATCACACACCGGGGCCTGTTGTGGGGTGGGGGGAGGGATAGCATTGGGAGATATACCTAATGTTAGATGACGGGTTGATGGGTACAGCACACCAACATGGCACATGTATACATATGTAACAAACCTGCACATTGTGCACATGTACCCTAAAACTTAAAGTATAATAATAAAAAAAAGAAAGCTTGAAAGAAAGATATAAATGTTGAATTAGATTGGCAACTATCTTTTCTAAGGAAGAATTTTCTTTGCTTAAAGATAAAATGTCCCACTATTTTTTATTCTTGCTCTATTAAAATACTCTTGTTTTATGAAATGTTAAAAAAAAATCCTCTGAGGTGTTTGCTGGTTGATATTTAGGACTGAGGATTTGAAAATAATCAGCATCCATGAAAAGCAATCTCCCCCTCTTTTTTCTTAAAATGCTTTTTTGACCAAAAGTGTTTCATAGATTGAACTCTCTAATGAAGGAATATTTATATGACATACCAAAGCAGATGTGAGTCTCGTTTTATGAAATCTAAACCCAGATGGTCTTTTCTTTCCATTGTCTTATGTAATTTATATGAGAGCAGAACATGAAAAAATTCAAATGTAATTTCTTTTCCACCATTTATGCTTAATGGCCCTGTAATCACTTTCATGGCCTCAGTTTCTCTGCTGAGTCTCCAGAGGTTCTGTGGATTAGTTCATGTCACAGAGGTGCTTTACAGCAATTGGAAATGCCCAGCAAGAGTGGAAATGTCTGTTATCATGAAACATGCATTTCCAATTTAGGTTATTCCACCATGTGTCCTCTGTAGAGTCGAAAATACTCTTCTAATTTGAATCAGCCCAGAGGGTACAAACTAAAAGAAAGATCCATAGATGGAAAAAAATAAAATAAAATAAGACTGACCCTGAACTCAACTTCTTTAAATCAGTTTTCTTGGGGAACGTTCTATTTTGTTTGGTCATCTGTGGGGAAATGGAAAAGAGGATTGAGGGATGAAAGAAAGGAGGACACAAAAGGCTCTGAGAGGTGTCTAGGAATTTCTTTTTGCTTGAGGATTCCTGGAATATGACGGAGAGAGGGTTTAATTTTTCCACTTGGCTTAGTGACAGTTTCTGCCACCTTCCCAGACATTACCTTGACAACCAATTCATGCTACGTTCTTGAGAATTCGTTAGCAGGCTCTGAACAGAATAACAACACCCATTTAGTTATCCTCTATTTAAAATTGTATTTGTAATGTTGGCTTCAAACACTCTAAAGGGCATTTGGAGCTCCATGGATTGCATGAAATTGTACTGTGTAATGTAGTATATTTGCCAGCACCTCGTAAATTGTACAGTATTCATATATCCACAGTGTAGAGATACCTGGGATTCTTTTTGAAATTAAAAATTATTTTCTACTCATTTCTCCTTGAATAGAATTCCCCACATTCCCAAGCATGGCTGAGTGAGTGACTGAGGACTGAATTCAACATTGATTTCCTCCACCAAACAGTGACCAGATACTTTGGAGAGCTTTGAAAAGGAGAAAATCAGTGATTTGGGATCCTAAACAACGATAGGTAGATAAGGTAGGGTAGTCTGAGCAGCCAAAAGAAAATTAACATCAGGGCCCTGGGAACCTGGAGTCCGGAAATTTCCACAAGCCAAGTAGAGTTGGCATTTGGATGTTTTCCTGAGTATAAAATTCTCAGCGCATTTCACTCAAGGCGGTTAGTGCTTTGTATTTTCCTCTTTGTGCTTCTAAAACTAAATGCAAAAAAGAAAAAGAAAAAAATGGTTTTCCACATTTGCAAGGAGCAGCTAAGAGGCAACAAGAGAGTTAAAAAAAAATTTTACACACCATTAAACTTCGAGTTCCTCATAGCACTGTGAGCCTTTATGACAGATGCTGAAAATATGTGCAGCCTGAATAGTGCCGGAGGATTGGGTCAAGTCCTCCATCATTTCACTCTTTTTTAAGTTTATTTTTTCAGGAGATGGACCTTAAAATGTCTTGTATTTCCCCTTCACCAAGTCTGTCCTTCCGACAGCACCTTGATTCCCCTGACAGCATCCTGTCAGCAAATATAAGTCAGTAGAAGCCATTTCTACCCAGCAGGTCCTATGACTCCTTCCAGATCTGAGCACCAGCAGGGCTGCATTCACTTTCCCTGGCTTAAAGGCATTCCCACTGGACTTGACTGTGAACTCAGAGTCCCAAGGAAAATTTAAGTGGATGAGGGCTACAAAATCAAAACTGTTGAATATTCCCAGTATGTGATTACTTTTCCTAAGGGCTCACAATGGAATGGGCCCAGGTCTCTGGGGAATCATGAAAATAAATGAAAAGCACACGATGCGTCAGAGGTCGCTGGGTGGACTCTTGTGCTTCGTAAACCTTGGTGAATTCGAAGCAAAATCTTCATGCCTTTGGTGAACTGTCCACCCAACAGATCAGGATTCTCTGCGCAATTGTGATTTAATCGTACACAACCGATATACCACTTTTTATATTTATTTAGCTGCTACTGCACGCTGCAGTTTCCACATGGATGTCCTGATGTCACCACAGTGACTACTATACCCACTAGCCCGCCATTAGAAATAAACTTACCTCTTCTTCCAATTGCAGAAGAAATGAGGACATTTGGCAGTCGGATGATTTATATCTCATAGGCAGCTTCACATATTTTTGGAGTTATATCAGTGACTAAAACCACACAATAAATACCTCCAGATTCAGTGAACTCTTAATTTTTTTAAAACACAAACCCTCAAATCTAAGAAATGTTTTGGTCATTGCCATAAAATACAATTGATTTTAATAACTAAATTAGCCCCAAAGAGAGCCTTAATGAGTACCACTGCTCGTCCTAAATGGAAAGAGTATCATTCTCAATTTTAAGATCTTATAAACATAAAGGTATCTTATTTATTTTTCATGTTAATCATTTGCCTTGTATGTTTCAGCAGCCTGCCATTTCCATAGCAAATGCATTTCAGTAGTGAAACCATATTTTCCCCATTAGAAATTTTGTCTTAAAGCCTCAGCCATAAAAGAAAAGATAAGCATCTAATTGGAGAACCCTGGGAGTTTCAAGCTAGAATTTTTATCGCGCGGCTTATTGCCTTCTTTGGCGAAAAATGTCTGGATGTCTGCACACAAAAGCAGACTGCTCTCTGCTTGTCATGTTTTTAACTTTAATCTCTGCTATAAAAAAATGCATTGTTGGCCCCTTGAAAAGCTTCCACTGTCAAAAGGGAATATAATAACCTTTCCTGCTTAGAGGCCAGGTGTCCTGCAGTAACAAGGCGTGGTGATAGAACGGAGTGTTGTCTCTGTGGCTATGCCTTCATGATAACGCTGGGTTGCAGTCAAGATGCTAACAACCTTGGTATAGAGAATGGCTGAGCCAACCACACCATCTCACACAATGGAGCTGGGCTGTGGGGGAAACTGCTGGGATACTTGAGAAATACAATAAGCTTGATCTCTCATGTGGGAAAATCCATGGTGTTTAATAGCTTCGTAAAGTGGCACGCTTTTGTCTGTGTATATAAAGTCCCCAGTAAATTCTTACATTACCACTGTTATAAAATGCAGCAACGGAAACGTTGAGCTGTGCTATTTGATCCCCAGTGGCAAAGGTTAGGAAGAACCAAAATTCATAACGACTTCCAAGGAAATACTATTAGGGTGTAATTTAAAGAGGTTTTGTGGCCATAATTTTTAGTGTGGTGCAGAACGTGCTTTCGTGACATACACACCCCCACCAACACGGTAATGCTTCACAATGAAAATTGACAAGAATAAAAAAGATGAAAGGTCAGTAGGGAAATGAAGAGTATAATCATTTGCGCCAACTGGCTCCGCCACACGAGTTCAAGAAAGGAGACCACATGTTGTTAGATACGATTCTCATGCAGAAGGTTCCATTCTCCATTCTGAAAGAACACTGTTTTCTGTGTAACTGTAATTTCAGTGTATATCTTCAGCCTGTGATTTGAGGCTGAGACAAGCATTTCCATTTAATCATCATGGCTACTGCTCACCCGCAGTGGAAATTTATCTTGATGTAGAGCCCTGCTAGTCACTGACACATATATGAAAGTAGTAATCCAATTTTCCCAGGTTTGGTCCTTAATTCATGGGTGGGCATTAACTGCACTGTGTGGCAGGGACAATCAATGAGGAAGTGAGCACAAACTCTCAGAAGGATACTGGCATGATAAAACTCATAAGGAAATTCTCTGCTACCCACTAATTTGAGTAACAAGGTGTTATGATAATTTAATCACCCAGCTTAATATAGGATTAGCCTAAATGCATTCATTTTCTATTAATTAAAATGCTATAATATATATTTAATATTGAACAATAAGTATTCAATAAGTTTCATAAGTTTAAAGTACACATTTTAGGCCGGACACAGTGGCTCACACCTGTAATCCCAGCACTTTGGGAGGCTGAGGCAGGTGGATCACCTGAGGTTAGGAGTTTGAGAGCGATCTGGCCAACATGGTGAAATCCTGTCTCTACTAAAAATTCAAAAGTTAGCTGGGCCTGGTGGCATGCACCTGTAGTCCCAGCTACTCAGGAGGCTGAGGCAGGAGAATCTCCTGAACCCGGGAGATGGAGGTTGCAGTCAGCCGAGATCCCATCACTGCACTCCAGCCTGGGCAACAGAGCAAGACTGTGTCTCAAAAAAAAAAAAATACATTTTATTTGATAGTCTAGAAGAGAGACCAACAAACCTTGTTTGCAAAGGACCAGATAATAAATATTTTGGGTTCCCCAGGCTTCTCTGTCTCAAATACTCAGCTTGGCCATTGTAGCACAAAAGCCATCACAAACAATATGTAATCAAATGGTGTGGCTGTGTTCCAATAAAACTTTATTTACACAAACAGTCCTCAAGATGGATGGGCCTAAGTTGGCCATAGTTCTTCAACTCCTGGTCTAGAATAGCCCTGTCCAATAGAAATATAATGTGAGTCATATAGTTAACATTAAACTTTCTAGTAGCAGCCTTAAAAAATATTAAAAAGAAACAAGCAGAATTCATTTTGATAATATATGTTATTTAACCCAATATATCAAAAATGTTATCATTTGAACAAAGAATTGATAAAGAAATTATTGAGATTTTTATGTTCTTTATTTAGACTAAGTCTTTGGAATGCGATATGTATTTTACAATGACAGCACATTTCAATGTAGACTGGTCATGTTTCAAAAGGCTCAACAGCCACAAGGGCCAGTGGCTACTATTTCGGACAGTGCAAGTTTAGAAGCTTCGCCATAATTCTCAACGGTTCCCTAATAAGATGATGTTGTCCTCCGCTATTGCTGATTGATGAAATTAGAATTAGTGTTGTGAAGTGCTGAGTGGGATCCTTCTCCGGAACTGGAAGTTAGGACCCACTGCCTGGAAAGGCATGAGGTTCTCCTAGGCTAAGCTCAGAGGGCCACCAACTCGGGGAACACACTGAGTGTTCCCCTAACAGAATGAGCTAACATCCCCTAATTCCAGAAGATGTCAAAGAGATCATTCTCAGGGATGTAGGTTTAAAGACAAGCTACTCTTCTCTCTCCAGCAAGGGGTCAGGCCTCTAGACCAGATTTCTTCTCAAAGCCAAGGAGAAGTGCTCCCTGCAAAAATCTCTCACAACTGCCTGCAAGATGGGAGCTGAACATTCTATTCCTAGGTGGAATAATTTCTTAGCTACTAGACCTTCAGCCCTCCCCGCCCAGGTTCCAGGAGTAGAAAGGGGAGCCCTGGTGAGGGGTGAAATATTCAGATGGACAGAGAGAGAGGGAACAGCTCCTGATAGGCTTGAAAAATGGATCCCACCTGTGCCTATCAGCACCTGAACTGATGTTGCTGGGAATTAATTGGCATTAGAGTTGCAGGCTTACCCAGGGCAAAGGGCAAAGAGGCATGCTTATCTGAGTGACTGATGCTGTTAGAGCTGCAGGCTGCAGTCAAAAGATTGCAATTAGCTGCCTGAGGTGGTCGTGAGGGCCACAACCTCAACCTTGGGCTGCAGGGAAGGAGAGCTGTGAACAGACTTGGACAGTGCTGCCTCAGTGCATACAACTATATCTTCTCAGCCAACAAGAGACTGCTAAAATAAATGCCAGTGACAAAAGTCATGAAAATAGGTTGAATTAAATATTTGGAGAGCCCACTGTCCGGGGGGAAAGCAGTACACTGGTTAGCAGTTATTACAAAGAATAAGGCTGGGCACAGTGGCTCACACCTATAATCCCAGCACTTTGGGAGGCCGAGGTGGGCGGATCACCTGATGTCGGGAATTCGAGACCAGCCTGACCCACACGGAGAAACCCTATCTCTACTAAAAATACAAAACTAGCCAGGCTTGGTGGCGCATGCCTATAATCCCAACTACTTGGGAAGGCTGAGGCAGGAGAATCGCTTGAACCTGGGAGGTGGAGGTTGCAGTGAGCCGAGATCGCGCCATTGCACTCCAGCCTGGGCAACAAGAACAAAACTCCGTCTCAAAAAAAAAAAAAAAAAAAAAAAAAAAGAATAAAATCATTTGATCTCTGTCCTATGGGTTAGGCCTCCTCCAATAACTTGGTCTCCACCAGGAGGGATTTTCGCTCAATGGATACAGGAAATTGGAAGTCTGCTATAATTATAAAGGCTTGAGAAACTGAAACCATTATGGAGAAACTTTTCGGTTTAAGTGAAAGCTGTGACATCAAAGATGAGACAATTTGAGAATGCATTACTGGTGAGAGAGAGAAAAGCAACTGCTGACATTGCGGAGCTGATGGGCCCTCACAGTTGGGCCTGGGTGTTCTGTTGAATGTGAATATTTTCACCAAGCATCAACCTCAAACAAGGCCACTCTGTGACCATGACGAAGCACGACTCCTCCGTAATCATGTCTGAACATAAACAAAACAAGAGCATTCTTCGAGCCACAAAATACACAATATTTCCCTACCCCAGCTAATGTAAGTGACTGCTGCTTCTTTACCAATTACAGCTTTGGCCTTGTTCTAGTCCTTGTTGTAATCTTCCCTCCTCCTGGATAAGATTTACTGAGATACCCAATTATAGAATTACCACTGCTCCTTGAGATGATGTGATCCAGAGCAAAGTCTCACACCCTTACATCCTCCCCAAAGTCACCTAAGGTAAGCTCACATCTTATAAATGTGCCAGTGGTATCAGAAGATTCAGCATATTGGCAGACTCACAGCTAAGACTTATTACTGTGAAAGAATACACAGCAAAATCAGCAAAGGGAAAAGGTACACGGGGTGATTTTCGAAGGAAACCAGGCCCAAGCTCCCAGCAGAGTCGCATAAGATGTGCTTAATTCCTGCAGCATCAAGTTGTGACAATAGTGTGAAATGCTGTTATCAGGGAAGGTCATTAGAGACTCAGTGCCTGTGTTTTATTGGGGGATGACTCCACAGACGCTTTCTGCCTAGCACAAACCAAAATACCAGACTTCCAGAAGGAAAACAGGTGTTAGCATAGACCATATTGTCTGTACAGACACTTTAGGCACAGTGGGCTGCTCTTATGAGTTAGGGAATGGTGGGAACATTCCCCAAATCCAGCTTCCCAGACATGGGCCAAGGGCCAACCTAGCAAGCAGGCCTTTGAAAGGGTAGCAGTCTCAGGCTTGCTATGTTAGCTCTTTTCTGCACAGTAAGTCTTTTCTAGCACCCTTTTCCTTAAATTTTCCACTGTTCCCCAAGGTGTGTATACTCCCTCGCTACAAGTAAGAAATTCAACTTGTTCAACTACAGATATGTTTTTAGAGGTCTTTGGCTGGAGGACATTGACACTGTCCAGAATCAGTCCGCAAGGATATGTACCAGGAAAAACCCTGAAATCAGTCCTAATCTGTCCAGTGGTATACCTAGAAGCCCTCCCGGAGTGGGACAGCAAACCTGACCAGTCAACAAGACCATGGGCAGCAGGCAGCATGATGTCAATGAATAAAGCAAAATGAGCCCACTCTATGGCTGTGAATATACACCACGAGCTGACAATCAATCAATATATATAAACATATACATACATATGTATGTACACACTGAGCACCTACTATGGATAGAACTTTGCAAAGGCTGGGGTGGAGTGAGGATGGGGCCTCAAGCTTTTTCCCTGCAGGGAGGCAAATAAGGCATCAGTATATAAGAAGATAAATAATAAAAGATTTAAATGGTCACAATATACAAGATGCACATGGCAATGACTGCTAAATGAGGAATAGGGAAGCTGGATAATAAGTGTCCCCAGAGCTGTATGCCTAGGATATATCATCTGCCTTGACCCTCGTAGCTATTTCCAGAGGCAGACATTGCATCCACTTCATCCTGGCTAACTGGGTGCTCACAGGGACAAATCACTTGCCCAAAGTCATACAGTAGGTGGCAGAGCTGGAATTCGATGCCAGAGCCAACCGACTGGAAATCCTGCACTCTGGGAATCTCCATCAGCTCTTTCCATTCTGCACCTCCTATCATGCCATGTCATAAGGGAAGTGGGTAATGGGAGCAGAGGTATGAACGGAGGAAAAAGCTAAGTCTTTGTGGAAGAATGTCCCAGGCAACTCAAACTCAAGTCAGGGAACTTAAAGAGAAGAGGAATTTATTTGAAAGTTGCCAAGTGTTGCTTGCTGATAGACTCAATGGGAAGGCTGTAGACATAAGCCCAGAAAACTGGGGACTTAGGGGTGGGAACAAGGGGGGCCTAGTTAGCTGAGAGCAAAGCCTGGTATTTCCACCCCACTTATCTGATTTCCTTTAACCCCCTTCATATGCTCATCTCCTTGTCAGAGAGGGCCCCTCAACTCATAAGGCACAGACCAGGGTGCTGAGGGCTGACGGTAATTGAGCTGGAGCAATGGAGTACAGTCACTGCCCTCAAGGGTGTTGCAAACTAACAGGGGAGCGGTAACCATGTAAGAACAATAACAAAGGCAGTAGCCCTGTAACAGTGCTCATAAAATGCTCATGGCAGTAACAAGAAAGGAGCAATTAGTCCCACAAGAGGAGCACAGAAGAGATTGATGGAAGTGTCTATATTGCCTGAGAAATGCTCTATTTTCTCACCTCTTTGGGTCTTAATTCCCAAACCAGACTAAAAGCTATTCAAGCATAAGGAGTGTAATTTCTAATCGCTTCACAGAAAGGAATTCCTAGCATGGTGTGGGAATGCGTGTTGGTGCCAAGGGCAGACTAATCAGTTTGATTAAAGCCCCCTTTCCCTGAGTGAGAGTGGGTCTGAGCATCCTGCCCAGCACAGCCGTGGGAGTCAACTGTAATTGACACAAGACATGAAATGTATTCTTCATGGCTGGCCTAGGCACATTACAGAAAAAATAAAAGTTTGCTGCTTTGAGTTACTGGCATCTCACACATTTTTCTTAAAACTCAGATTAATAAAATGCGAAATCTTTCTCTTCAAGTTAACTATTATATTTTTATTGGCAATAGTAATGTCCTTCAGTAGTTTAACTGAATTTCGTGGAATTCTTTGATCTACACCAAAAAACTAGGAACTTTCGCATGTAGCCTGTAAGATGATTTCATTAGCCCACTTTAATCATTTAAATCATCATGCCCCTGTTTTAAATTCTTTAACTTTGGGTTCATATAAAAAGTTTCTTTTGGAAACCAGATACTTTGTGCTGTTTCATGGAGTATTACTTTTACTGTTGTGAAAGTTAAAGCCCTTGCAATTAAGTTGGTGAGAAGTGTGATTCACAACCTGGAAAGTTAGCATCTCCCAAGTAGGATGGGGGTCAGAATCATTTGGGGGACTTTGACATGGTACATTTGTCCCCAGGAAATTCTGATTCTTCTGCTTCCAATGAGGTTCCCTGCTAGAGTAAATCCCTGTTGCTTTGGGGGAGAGGACAGTGTGGATACTCCTCAAAGAAAGGTGGGACTCTCTGTTTATTCAGAGAGAGAACGGCTTGCAGCTGCGACAGAGTCTCCAGGTGTACACACCTTCTTGGAGTGCCTTCTCTGAGGTCCAGGTCTTGACCTTTCCTGAAGAAGCATGTCTGACGGGTGGTAAGAACATCATGTCATCCCAAAAGTACCGACGACATGAAGGCAAAATCCTTACAATTTTAATAGACAATCTCCACATAGCCCATCCCTTCCTTATTCTGGCAACATCGTCCTGGTTCTGCCACCATAAATAAAATCGCAGTTTATTTTAATTTCCTCGATGAGATTTGGGGCAACTCATACATAGCGTATCGGCAGCTTATTTGCAAGCTATCTCTTTGGTTTTACCAGTCTTTTCCATTTTTTATTTTCATTAGCTTTGTTTTCAGAGATTTCCATTTCTCCATCTTGTCCTGAATGCTGGATGAACCTATTCCTGTCCTAGAGCTTCTTTGTACCAACTATAATAGCTGATCCCAATAATCGATTCTTGTAGAGCAAATGGGATTGGTCATCTAGGTCTCTTAATCACTGGTAAGCAATAATAATAGTTGCCCTTTAAATGCAAAATACATTATTTCCTATTGTTTCCAATACTTCAAAGACCATCTCTTATTATTAAGCCTGATCCTATAGGCATGAGGTCAGCATTAAATCCTAAATGTTTGTATATTTTGTGTTTTTTAGTTTTTGGTTTTTAGATTCTCTATGTGATTATTGAATGTGGCCATCAGAGCGAATCAATCTTGGTCTAGCTCTAACTTTTTCTGGAAATAGTTGGCTTATTTACAGTTACCTATAGCTAGCCTTCTCTACAAGAGATAGGGGAAAAAGATATAAATGATATTATATAAATAAGCACATGCTTAATAGAAGTATACAACGCATTTTAAAATGAATACTGCCTCATATAATAAAGATAGAATGAAACATTTCCTATTCTGATCATCCTTATTTTTTCATTATGATTTCCTTATCCCTGCTTTATATTAATTGTTCTCTTTTTTAGTATTCATCAAGGACTCAGACTTAACTTTCTAGTAAAAACAAATGTTTCATACCCACCTTATTTTTCCCTCCAGACAATCTCCACATAGCCCATTCCTTCTTCATTCTGGCAACATCGTCCTGGTTCTGCCACCATAAATAAAATCGCAGTTTATTTCAATTTTCTTGATGAGAAATGGGGCAACTCATAGCATATCAGCAGCTCATTTGCAAGCTATCTCTTTCATCCAGCATTCAGATATAAAATCCAATATTCACCCAAAAAAAGCTCTTTTCAAAAAATAAAAAATAAAAATAAAAAAGGCCAGGCAGGGTGGCTCACTCCTGTAATCCCGGCACTTTGGAAGGCCAAGGCAGACAGATCGCTTGAGCCCAGGATTTCGAGACCATTCTGGGCAGCATGGTGAGATCCCACCTCTACAAAACTTAGCCAGGCATAGTGGCACGTGCTTGTAGTCCCAGCTACTCAGGAAGCTAAGGCAGGAGGATCACTTGAGCCCTGGAAATGGAGACTGCAGTGAGCCATGACTGTGCAACTGCACTCCAGCCTAGGCAACAGAGTGAGACCCTGTCTTAAAAAAGAGAAAAAAAAAGAAAAAAAAAGCAAAGCTCTTTTAATGGACAATAGGTTAGAAGCCTAAATCTGGGCTTTGGGAGCACATATTAAAGATTTCTACCTGTGTACTAGCAGTTGGCGTCCAGGTCACTTTAGTAACAGAACTGGAAATATTTTTTTTTCTTTTTTTTTTTTTTTTCAACGTGCAGGTTTGTTACGTATGTATACATGTGCCATGTTGCTGTGCTGTACCCATTAACTCGTCATTTACATTAAGTATTTCTCCTAACGCTATCCCTCACCTCCTCCCCCCTTCCCCGACCCCAGGACAGGCCCCAGTGTGTGATGTTCCCCACCCTGTGTCCAAGTGTTCTCATTGTTCAATTCCCACCTATGAGTGAGAACATGCGGTGTTTGGTTTTCTGTCCTTGTGATAGTTTGCTCAGAATGATGGTTTCCAGCTCCATCCATGTTTCTACAAAGGACATGAACTCATCCTTTTTTATGGCTGCATAGTATTCCATGGTGTATATGTGCCACATTTTCTTAATCCAGTCTATCACTGATGGACATTTGGGTTGATTCCAAGTCTTTGCTATTGTGAATAGTGCTGCAATAAACATACATGTGTGTGTGTCTTTACAGTAGCATGATTTATGATCCTTTGGGTATATACCCAGTAATAGGATGGCTGGTTCAAATGGTATTTCTAGTTCTAGATCCTTGAGGAATCGCCATACTGTCTTCCACAATGGTTGAACTAGTTTACACTCCCACCAACAGTATAAAAGTGTTCCTATTTCTCCACATCCTCTCCAGCACCTGTTGTTTCCTGACTTTTGAATGATTGCCATTCTAACAGGTGTCAGATGGTATCTCATAGTGGTTTTGATTTGCATTTCTCTGATGGCCAGTGATGATGAGCATTTTTTCACGTGTCTGTTGGCTGCATAAATGGAAATAATTTTCTATTTAAGACCATGACTTTATATGGTTATTACCATTTTAATATTAATACTAATAAATCCTTTTACAACTTTTGCTTGCATCTAACAACTTAAAC
The DNA here is from genome assembly GCF_000001405.40 of Homo sapiens. NCBI lineage: Eukaryota > Metazoa > Chordata > Mammalia > Primates > Hominidae > Homo > Homo sapiens. Next base: position 10,405,148 of record NC_000023.11, on the reverse strand, counting down.
TTTTAACTCCTTTCTCAAACTGCAATCATGTATTCCTTCTCTCTAGAATTCTCCACACGTCTTTTTGACTATCATTTTGTAATCACTTTTTTTTTTTTTTTTTTTTTTTTTACAGAAACAGAGTCTTGCTCTGTCACCCAGGTTGGAGTGCAGTGGCCTGATCACAGCTCACTGAAGCCTTGAACTCCTGGTCCTATAAGCATGATCCTCCCACCTCAGCCTCTCAAGTAGCTAGGACTACAAGCATATGCCACCACTCCTGGCTAATTTTCTTTATTTTTTGTAGAGACAAGATCTAGCTATGTTGCCCAGGCTGGTCTCAAACTCCTGGCCTCAAGAGATAGCCTCCCTCTCCAACCTCCCAAAACATTGGGACTGCAGGCATGAGCCACCATGCCTGGCCTATAATTACTCTTTTGACCTGTATGTGTCTGTTGGGAATTATAATATCTACTTCACTGGGTTGTTTGAAGGACTCAGTGAGATGATGTAAGTGAAATATTTTTGGTAAAGTGCATTTTTTCATTTAGCATACTGATGTATAAAACTAGTCAGATGGATTTCCTAAGAGCAACATTGGGAAGAAGACATATTCCAGTTGAAGTGAAATAGTTTTTGATCTACTCATAGCCAGTCCTATATGTAATCACTTTTCTCCCTGTTTATATGTATGTATCAAACCTCATTACATTAAATTATGTAATGAGAAATGAAACCTGGACTGTTGAAATATACTTCAATAGCACATTTTTTTTAAAACAAAGCAAGTTTTCTGTTTTTGTGACAAGTGAACCAAATGAACTCTGAAGCCATTTTCAGTCTTAGCCATCTATGATTCTAGGGTTACGGATTTACATATTTTCCAAGAGGCAAATATTTTTGTATTTGAAAATATATTTTCATGAGGAGCCCACGAGGAAAGTGAGAAGCAAAAGGTAGAAGTGTAAGAAACCCAGAGGACTTCTTAGAAAGAAGAGAGGAGAGGCCTTGTCTAGGTTCACATAGAACAATGAGACAACACATTAAAGCTTCCTTTAGCCTGGATTTTATTTGAGAATATTTTAACCCTGTTTTAAGAAGATAACTGAATCAATGTAACACATCATATTAAAATAATGAAAAAAAACTACATGATTATCTTAATTGATGCAGAAAAATAATGTGATAAAATTCAACACACTTTTATCATAAGAATGTTCAACAAACTAGAAGGAGAAGGAAACTACTTTAACATAATAAAGGCCATATATTAAAAACCCACAGCTAATATCACACTCAATGGTGAAAGACTGAAAACTTTTCCTTTAGGATGAGAAAGAAGGTAAGGATGCTAGCTTTTGCCCCTTCTATTTAACACACGACTGAAAGTCCTAGTCAGAGCAATTAGGCAAGAAAAAGGAATAACAGGCATCCAATTTGGAAAGCAAGAAGTAAAATTATCTCCGTTCACAAATGACATGATCTTGTATATAGAAAACCCTAAAGATTCCACACACACAAAATCAGCACACAAAAAACCAGTTGTGTTTCTATACACTAACAATGAACAATCCAAAATGCAAATGAAGAAAGCAATTCTATTTACATTAGCATAAAAATAACAAAATACTTAGGAATAAACTGAACTAAGGAAGTAAAAAACTTCTCCACTAAAAACTACAAAACATTGGGCCAGGCGCGGTGGCTCACGCCTGTAATCCCAGCACTTTGGGAGGCCGAGGTGGGCGGATCACAAGGTCAGGAGATTGAGACCATCCTGGCTAACATGGTGAAACCCCGTCTCTACTAAAAAATACAAACAAAAAATTAGCCAGGCGTGGTGGCGGGCACCTGTAGTCCCAGCTACTCGGGAGGCTGAGGCAGGAGAATGGCATGAACCCAGGAGGCGGAGCTTGCAGTGAGCCGAGATTGCGCCACTGCACTCCAGCCTGGGCGACAGAGCAAGACTCTGTTAAAAAAAAAACAAAAAAAACAAAAACAAAAAAAAAAAACTATAAAACATTGCAGAAAGAAATTAGAGAGGCCACAGATACGCAGAAAAACATCCCATGTTTCTGGATTGGAAGACAATATTGTTAAGATGCTCTCCCCAAAAAGACCACATATTCAATGCAAATACTATTGAGATCCTAACAAATTTTTTGTAGAAATAGAAAAATTCACTGTAAAATTAATATGGAATCTCAAGGAATTCTGGATAGTCAAAACAACTTTGTTCAAGAACAAAGTTCTTTTTCAAGAACAAAGTTGGAGGTCTCACACTTCCTGATTTCAAAACTTACTGCAAAACTGCAGTAATCAAAACAGGGTGGTACTCACATAAAGACAGACATATAGGCTAATGGAATAGAATAGAGATCCCAGATATATAAACCCTTACATATATGGTCAAGTGATTTCCAACAAGGGTGCCAAGACCATTTAATGGAGAAAGAAGAGTCTTTTCAACGAACGGTTTTGGGAAAACTGGATATTCGCATCCAAAAAGATTAAATTGGATCCTTATCTTACACCATATACAAAGATTAACTAAAAATAGATAAAATATCTGTAAACATAAGAGCTAAAACTATAAAACTCTTAGAAGAAAACACAGGGGAAAAGCTCCTTGACATTAAGTTTGGCAATGATTTCTCGAATATGACACCAAAAACACAGGCAACAGAAGAAGAAAACCCATAATTTGGACCACAGAAAAATTTGAAAACTTTTGCCCATCAAAGGGCACTATCAACAGAGTGAAAAGGCAACCCATAGAATGGGAGAAAATATTTGCATATCATATATCTGATAAGGGGTTGATATCCAGAATATATTCAGAACTCCTACAAGTAAAACAACTAAAAACAAACACAACCCAGTTTAAAAATGGGTGATTTTGTTTGGATTTGTGCTCCTATCTAAATCTCATGTGGAATTTATAATCCCAAATGTTGGAGGTGGGGCCTGGTGGGAGGTGATTGGATGGGGGTGGATCCATCATGAATGGTTTAGAACCTTCTCTTTGGTGCTGTTCTCATGATAGAGTTCTCCTGAGATCTGTGGTTTACAAGTGTGTGGCACCTCCTCATTCTCTCTCTTCCTCCTGCTCCCACCATGTGAAGTGCCAACTACCCCTTCACCTTCTGCCATTATTGTAAGTTTCCTAAGGCCTCCCCAGAAGCCTAGCAGATGCCAGCATCATGCTTCCTGTACAGCCTGAGGAACCACGAGCCAATTAAATCTCTTTTCTTTATAAATTACCCAGTCTCAGGTATTTCTTTATAGCAATGTGAGAATGGCCTAATACAACGGGCAAAGGACTTGAATAGACAGTTCTCAAAAGAAGATATATAAATGGCCAATAAACACACGAAAAGGGATTCAACATCATTAATAATTAGGGAAATGCAAATCAAAACCACAATGAGATACCGCGTCATACCCATTAGGATGACTATTATTTAAAAAGAAGAAGAAAAACAGAAAATAACAAGTGTTGGCAAGGATGTGGAGAAATTGGAACCCTTGTGCACTGCTGATAGAAATGTAAAATGATGCAGCTGCTATGGAAATCAGTAGGGTAGATCCTTAAAAACCAAAAATAGAATTACCACATATTCCAGAAGTCCACTTCTAAGTATATACACAAAAGAATTGAAAGCATGACTTGAATAAATATTTGTACACTTGTGTTTATAGCAGCAATATTCGCAATAGCCACAAGGTGGGAGCAGCTCAAGTGAATGGGTAAACAAAATATGGTATATATACTCAATGGAATATTATTCAGCCTTAAAAAGAAAGGAAATTCTGGCACATGCTTCATATAGATGAACCTTGAAGACATTATGCTAAGTGAAATAAGCCAGTCACAAAAGGACAAATATTGTATAATTCCACTTATATGAGTTACTGAGAATCATTAAATCCATAAACACAGAAAGTAGAATGGTGGTTGTCAGGGACTAGAGGGAAGGGAGAATGGAAAGTTATTACTTCATGAATACAGAGTTTCAGTTTGGAAAGCTGAAAAATGTTCTGGAGATGGATGGTGGTGATGATTACACAAAAACGTGAATGTACTTAAAGCCACTGAACTATACGACTAAAAAATTGTCAAAATGGTAAATTTTATGCTATGTATATTTTACCACAATAAAAAAATGGAATTAAAAATTTCTACTTTTTGAGATGCCCTTGAAATATTAACCAGTATGTGAAACTACTTACTATAGTGTTCTTATTTCATACACATCTTGACCAAATGCAGAAATCTACACAACTTCAAGAGGCCAAATTCATTCTGTAAATTTGAAAAACCATTTGATCAAGGTTTCTTAAGCTGGGATTCAGGCAGGTCTTGAAATCCTTGCAACTTGATGCATATTTTAAGCATGTAGATCTGTTTTTTTTTCCTGGAGTCCATGGTTTAATTCAGATTTTCAAAGGATTAGGACACCATAACATTTAAGGATGCTTGAAAGCATTGGAATCTGTAGCTTTGACTAAAATGTAATCACTGAACTGACAGCAGGGCTGACATTGAGATGAGGAATCAGGTGAGGAAGAGAAGACAAAAGCAGACCCAGGGTAGGACAAGCTAACACGACATCTCCTGGTTCCTATGCTGATATTCAGTCCCATTCTCAAAGCTCTGCTTCACATGGAAAAGCAAACACATACCCTGGCTTCATACTTAACCCATGTGTATGTGATTATGATATATTCACTGGGAAAAGACTCTCATTGCTTTAGTTTTTATTGCCTTCGCCTGATTATAATTAGTTTTATCTTATTATTTAGTGGTTGTGGAACAGATTTTTCACATTGCTGCTGTATAAAAAAGGAAGAATCAAACTCTTAATTGTAAAAATTTCTTGATATTAGCTTGGGAGTCTTTGGTAATGGCTTTCAAACTGTCTTCTAATAAGATTGTGATAAGGTGTTTCAGGAGTCTACAGGAAGGAAGGAGAGGCCAAGCTAGGACTCCAGACTCCTAACCCCACGTCAAGCAAAGTTTTGCTTCTATGTCTTACACACACATGCACACAACATACCTATTCCACTGTAAAATATTATGAACATTTCTGAATTATACAGTCTCCATCAAAAATCAAGTTTCTATCAGTCAGCAAATGCTAGATTATGCCACAGAAACAAACAGCCTCCAAATCTCAGTGCTTCACCCAACAAAAATTTCATTCTTATTCATATTACATGTTCAAAATAAGTTTGCAAGGGTGTGTTCTCATTACAGTCACTCAAGAAATCAGGCTGATGGAAGATCCATTTGGACAGGCAGGCAAGGGTAAATGCTAAGTTACACACTGACTCAAAGCATCTCCTCACTTTTTTTTAAAACCAATGCAAATCATCTGTCTATACCTACCTTCAGAGAAGTCAGAGGAGTGAAATCCTATGGCATGCCAGGAAAGAAGGGAATTAGAAATTGCTAATATTCTAATATTAGAAACAACTTTCATAATATTTGGCACTAACAACTTCCATAATATTTGCATTACTTAAGCCACAATCATGTGAGATATGTTGTATAAAAAGATTAATAGGAGGCTACTCAAAGTTCTGTTTGGGATGATCTAATCTCAAAGGATGAAGAAAGTCTGTATCAGCAATTTTCCTACAAAGTATTATTTTGATTCTCTTTTTTGGAAGAAGAGAGGTTAAGAAGTCAAAGTAATCATATTTAAGATTCAGGCAGTGAGTGTGTTTTGGCAGTAAAGTGTATCCCACATCAGTGATAAATTTGTACCAGTCAGTATAAGCTAGTCAGAAGACTGCTCTGATTTGCTGGTTTTGTTTCCCTGAGTTAGATAAAGCAGCTGGGCCACAGTAAATAGACTCATCCTTCCACCCACTGCCTGGCCTGAAGGGAAAATAAACCAATGAGAGGACAGAATCTGGAGCTGTGGAAGGGAGGGGCCAGTGAAAAACTCCCTACCCTCTTTGGAATAGACAGGAGGTGGGGGTGGGGCATGGAGAGCAAGGAAAGGTCTGAAGCCAACACAACTGGAATTGATGTGTCACATCCACTATATTCACATGTTCTCCTGAGACCCAGTTCTTCTCTGCTTTTCTCAGGCAGGAAAGATGAGGACAGACCCTCATAACCCAATTATGGAACACATGAGGGGATTAGTACCACACCACTCTAAGCCACATTCTAAAGGAAAGAGAAGTTCATGTATTAAAGAGTCCTATCACGGAGGCAAAGTGGGAGCCAAGTAATTGGTGTTTTCTCTGTCTCTACTCCACTTTTAAGTGCTTTGTATGCTGTTCGCATAATTTGGTGGAAACATGACACATTGGGTGATCTTGGGAGTATTTAATAGGCTGACTTTAAATTATTTAAGCTAGTACAAAACTATTATGCAAAATAACCAACATTCATTCATCCATTCATTCAATACATATCCATTGAGTCAGCACTAGCCCTTAAACATGGTGGGCTGAATGCAATTATTAGCCACTGCTCCTTCCTGTTGGAGGAATCCTTAAATAGGACAGCTCTCTCTCCCTGCTGCCTCCTCCCTACAAAATTATATTATAGACTACATTTCTACAACTTGAAAATGATAGACTCCACTTCCCATTAAAGACAGTGAATTAGAATACACATGTGTACTCTTACCTTTCCTGAAATCCCTTACTTAACTCCCATGACTGTAAAGACATTTGCAAAACAAAAGGCAGAAGTCCAGGACAACAAAGAAAAAGAGAGGAGATAATAAGAACAAAATTTCAGCAGCTGGTAAGCAGATGGATATGCTAATTGATTTAGCAGGCCCAAGAAAGCAGGAACCTCAATCAGCAATGGAGAAAGCCAAGGAAAAACCGAGTATTATGGAACCCCCAGAGGCTCAGGAATTGATTGGCCCAGGTACTTCGTGGTGGGGAGTGGGGGAGTGCAAATGGGGATCTAACAATAGAAGGGTTAGTGGAATATTTATTGAAGAAACAGTTAAGTCTCCAGGTCCTCTGAGCAACTGAAGATCTAATGTCCACCAAACCCAGAAGAGAAACAGATGTTTATTCTTAGGAAAGGGACAAACAGAGAGCCTCTCGTCTTGGAAACACACGGTGGAGTTAGGGCAGTGCTTCTCCACCCAGGGTGAGTTTACTCCACAGGGAACATTTGCCAATGTCTGCAGACAATTTTGGCTGTCACAACTGGGGTAATGAATGCTACTGGCATCTAGTGAGTAGGGGCCAGGGATATTGGTAGCATTCTGATGCACAGCACAGCCACACACAGCTGTCATGCCGTCCAAAAGGTCAGTAGTGCTAAGGTTCAGAAACTCTAGGTTAGGGAGAGGATTCCATATTGAAAAGAGTGAAATTAATAAATACATGTCTTATACATACTGAGACACCAACACTACTTCTGCCAGCTTCCTCCACTCAGCTCCCACAATGCTGGTACCTTAGCATACTTCTACCAGATAGGAGGGTGGGAGTCCTCTCAGAGGAATCCTACCAGCTTGAGAGAAATACATCTGAGAGACTGACATCAGAAGGTTCCCAATGAAACAGGCCAACCGTATCTCTCTAGAGGGAAGCCCACAGAAAACTACTCCACCCATGTGTTCAGAGCTTCCTGTCAGTTTTAGTGCCCCATTCTTACACACAAGCACTCAAGGATTGCCAAACGTGTGAGGGAGGTGACATGTAATATAAAAGAGAACCTTACGAAAGCAATTTGGAGCAAAAAGATGCTATGCAAGAAGAAAAGTTCAAAAGATATTAATATCCTTGGAGAAATAACAGATGATATCACATGCATGAAATAAGGACAGATGCTGTGAAAAAGGGAACACTTGGAGAATAAAAATAACAGCCATTAGGAATAAAAAATGTAATAGCAGAAATGAAAGACTTGATGTATTGGAAGGATAGTTGAGGAAATCTGTCATGAGGTAGCCTTGAAAGATAAAGATAAGGAAAATAGGAGAAGAAAACAAATATTTTTTAAGGGAGAGGACAGTCCAGAGACACAAAATTCAAAAAACAGGGGCTGCAAAGTATAGAGCAGTTAAAACAGGGAGTTGGAAATTATCAAATAAGTAAACCAAGAAAATTTCCCAGAAATGAGAGGAATGGTTTTTCAATTTGAAAGCATTCCCCACAGTTCATCTAGTACAACGCTTGACCACAGATACACACAAAGATATCTCATCATGAAATGCAAGACCATTAAGCACCAAGAGAAGATCATCGGCCGGGTGCAGTGGCTCATGCCTGTAATCCCAGCACTTTGGAAGGCCGAGGTGGGTGGATCACAAGGTCAAGAGATCGAGACCATCCTGGCCAACATAGTGAAACCTCGTCTCTACTAAAAACACAAAAATTAGCTGGGCATGGTGGTGCGTACTTGTAGTCCCAGCTACTCGGGAGGCTGAGGCAGGGGAATTGCTTGAACCCGGGAGGCGGTGGAGGTTGCAGTGAGCCGAGATGGTGCCACTGCACTCCAGCCTGGGGACAGAGTGAAACTCCGTCTCAAAAAACAAAAAAAGAGAAGATCATCAAAGTATTCAGAGTGAAGGTGGGAGGGGGCAACAATTCCATTCAAAGGATCAGGAATCAGAATGGCATTGGATGTTTCAATAGCAACAGCAGAGCTAAAAGAAACTAAAGTAATGCCTTCAAATTTCTGAAGGAAATAACAGCCAGCATGGCACTCCATACCAAGACAAAGCTATGGATAAATAGCAAAGACATTTTCAGCCATGAGATGTTTCAAAAAATTTACAACCCATGCACTTATTCCCAGGAATCAATCAGGGGATGCACTCTACCTAACAAAGAGTAAATGGGAAAGAAGGAGAGGAAATAGGAGATCCAGGGCCAGGGGCTGAGAAAATCACAACAACATTGAGGAAGGGATACATCAGGGTGGTGGAGGGACAAAGCTGGCTGAAGCTTTGGGAGACATTTTCCCAAGAAGATGAAATGGATAGAACTCCCAATGTGTTTGAATATGATGAGAAGAGAGATAGGTAGCCAGGGTAGTGTTTGAGAACACATCTGATATGTGCATAGAAAACTAAGCCAACTAGGAAAACAAAAAGACCATTTCCATCTCCAGAGAGAGAACAGTTGGGCGGGCTCGATTGTCAACAGCATTGCCTTCTCACGATCATACAGTCTGAATGATGATCTGACTGTAGTTACAGAATGACTATATTCGAGGATGGGAGGACAGGAGGTACGTGTGTGGGTGGTGGGGGCAGTGAGGCGGTGACATGAAGAGAGCTCTATCCTCAACCTTCAAAATGGGAAGCTGATGGATAATGCACAAAGGGGAAAATGAGGAAGTGGTGATATAAGCATGTTACCTAGAAGCATGAAGATGGATTTCAAAATAGTCAGTTAGGGGAGTGGCCTGTGGGCAATAGAAAACAAGCTGTGGGGAGATGGGGAGGGGAGTGCTGCTTTTCAAATCAAGCCTGTGGAACCATACAACCGTCTAAACTGTGTGCCTGCATGGCTGGCAGAAAAATAGTAACTACATTGCTAAAGAAAGGCTACTGAGTGTGTGTTTTATGCCAGATCCTGTGCTATTTGGAGAATCCAATAATTAATAACACATAGTCATTAAACTCAAGTTTACATCACAGGGGAGGTAAGACACACAAATAAATAGCCACGTGTGTGAAGAGGAATCCTAAAGGAAAGGGAAACCACTTCCTATTTGGATGGGAGGTTGAGTGCTAGCAGTAGCAGCTTTGTGGAGGAGGTGCATTCACCCATCTCGGGATTATAGTGACCAAGCTGAATGATCACCTAAAAGCATTCAGTATGGCACTTTGAATTGAGTTTGTGGGTTTGTGGCTGAGTTCGTGGTTTTCAAACTGGCCATCAGGAAACCAAGAAATAAATGCTGCAGGAGAATCAACAAACCTCCTAGTCTAAACCTTGACCTCTGCAGATCAAAGGTGAAGGCAGGTCACTCTTCTGCCTGCTTCATTTTATACATAGAAGATTCTAATCCTAAACCGCTGCCAATCACAGAATCAACACAAACACTAAATTACCTAAACACACCAAGGATCTTCTCTCTCTGAAGTGTTGTGTTTTCTTGTTGTTGCTGCTTGTTTGTTTGTTTCTGGTAAATCATTTTTTCTGAAATCATCCATTTCCCTGAAAATCATATTTCATCAAATTCACAGTTGTCTTTTTCTATAGATTCCAGGTAAGAGGAGGACTTACCAAAATTCTGAAGGCTGGTTATTGCTCTCCTTTTATAAATTGACACTGAAATTACGCATAATGGAAAATTGATAGGAACAAAAGCTAAAACCAAATAGCTTTCCTTTCTATATTTTGTCAAAATAAATATGTGCCTTATTCCATATTATAAAAATCACGAGCATTAGAATAAACCTCCAACACTATGGAAGAACACGAAATAGGTCAAAATATAGAAAAGCTTATAAACTACCTCCTAGAAACCAACGAGAACTGGTAACACATGATGTACTATTCCAGGCACTTTTATATGCATGTGAGTATATTTTTAAAACAAAGCTGGGTTCATTTAACATATTCTGTTAGGAGACTTGCTTCTTTCATACAGCGAATGTTTTTTCCTGTCAATTTAGCCCTGGTTTCTCAATGCAGAAAATATGTAAAAGGCAGAATTTTCCTAAGTGATTGAATTTTAAAATTTCCCTCTTATTTATCTGATTGCTGTAGAGTTGCTCGATCTTCTGCTCCACAAAAAGTAGAAAGGTGGTGTAATGGCAAAGTTACTTAGCTGAAAATCAAGTAACTTCAGTTTTAACTCTGGCTTCGTTTGCTTCTTTGAAGCAATCAGAAAGATTGGAAGAAATTGTCTGTAAGATAAGTTTTGGAAGGGGAAGAGCCCAGCCTTGGAGTCAGGGGTTTAGATCATCAGCTCTCCCCTTACTAGTTGAGTGAACCTGTGCCAGTCACTTATCTATGCGCCAAAGTTCTCCTAAGCATACAGCGACTGGAGTGAATTTACTTTCACCAGCTGTTGTATGGGAATTTCCCTGTCTGGAACTTTGGCTGGGACCCAAAGCTAAAGACAATAGATGACACTAGACTCTCCATGAAAGATTTGCTAAGTGACTTGAAATTGACTCTGTGACCCTGACTCATCACTTACTAGCTGTCTGTATATGAGGGGAGCCCGGGCACAGAGGAAAGACTTTGGCATGAACGGAGGAAAGAACAGTCGTGAGTTTGTTCTCCTCCTTTTCAGGAGAGTGTTGAGTGCGTCCTCTACCTCCTGCAGGGGTACAAGGCAGCCTCAGGGACCTCTGATCCTCCCCGTGTCCCAGCATTGGGCCATAGAGACTGGGGCCTGACTCTTGTCTGAGCAAGTTTAAAGATGAAGTACTGGCTGCTCTTACCAATGATGGCCAAGAGAACTCAGAAGCTGGGATCGTCACAGCCCGCACCACCAAAGCTTGCCAGGTAAAGGGGCTGACTTTGTCTGAGGCTAAGAGAGTAATGCTGAAGGTGGATGGGCTAGTGTGACCTGCCCGAAGACATGCCTGCCAGAGCCAGGTGACCCCAACACAAAATAGTCATGAGGGACACATGGTCAGAGGGAAGCTAGAGAGAGCATGGCTGGAGTTGGGAAGCTGAGAAGATTCTGATGTCCCACAGGAGTCTGATCTCTCACATCCCACAGGAGCATCCTACATGAGAAAGAGCCAGCTTTTGGACAGCTGCCCCAAAGGGGCCCACACCCCACCTGTAAAAGCACAAGACAAATAGAAAGCTTTGCGCCCTGATCTCTCCTCCTTCACACAGCTGGCTGCTGTGGAGGAGGCAGAAGCTGCAGGCCGCCAGAGAGGAGAAAGGTGGAAGATGGAAATGAGGAAAACACACCCTGCCCCTTTGCTTCACTGAGGTTTCCACAAGATGCAGCTAAGCAATGGGAAAGCCGAGAACCTTTGAATTGCATTTAATACAAAAATATCAGTGTAGATTGGACTGGACTTATTAATAGCTAAAAATGAGACATTTCTAATGCCCAGGAGAAACAACAACAACAAAAAAATAGGGGCTTGTTGAAGATCCGGTAGGACAAGGATGGGAAAAATAGACCCACCACAGTAGATTTGAGGGACCTGATGGGAGGAAAATGGAATCGTTTCCTTATGAAACCCTACGCTATTCAGCTCAGCGCAGCTCAAACTTTAATGTGCCCATGCATCATCTGGGTCCTGTTCAAATTCAGATTCGCTTCAGGAGGTCTCAGATTCTGTATTACTTTTTCTCTTTTCTTTTTTTTTCTTTTCTTTTCTTTCTTTCTTCTTTCTTTTCTTTCTTTCTCTCTCTCTTACTTTCTTCTCTCTCTCTTTTTTTTTTTTTTTTGACATTCTGTCATCCAGGCTGGAGTGCAGTGGCACCATCTCGGCTCACTGCAACTTCTGCCTCCCCAGTTCAAGCAATTCTCGTGCCTCAGTCCCCTAAGTAGCTGGGACTACAGGTGTGCACCACCATGCCCAGCTAATTTTTGTACGGTTAGTAGAGACGGGGTTTCGCCTTGTTGGCCAGGCTGGTCTCAAACTCCTGACCTCAAGGGATCCACCCGTCTTGGCCTCCCAAAATGCTGGGATTACAGGTGTGAGCCACCATGCCCAGTTTGGGTTTCTGCATTTCTAAGAAGCTCCCAGGTGATGCTAGAACAACTGGTCCATGGAGCACCCTTTGAATAGCAAGAGTCTAGACCACAGGTCAGCAAACTCCAGCCCACAGACTAAATCTGGGCCACTGTCTGTTTTTATAAATAAAATTTTATTGGAACACAGCCTCGCTTAATTCTTTTATGGGTCATCAATGGTTGCTTTCATGCTGCAATGCAGAGTTGAGCAGTGACAACAGAGACTGTGAAACCCATAAAGCTGAAAATATGTACAACCTGAGCTTTTACAGAAAAAGTTTGCCAACTCTTAGACTAGACTATTAGGTAACTCATTTACATTATCACAGTTTATTGAGCATCTGATGTGGTGATGGTATTTTGAAACCCATATAAAGAGCCTCACACTTTTTGCATGATAAGGTTCTGCAATCCCAAACAAGTGTGGCCCAGCAATGATGTCCTCTGCCTGTCTTCTCTTATTAGTAAATTCCATTCCTAGCTTGCATTCTAAGTCAATCATTTAGGAAACAAAGACTCCTTTACTGCTCTGTGGAGACTCAGAGGGGTCTTGTTTTCCCATTGGGCTCAGTGTAACATATATCAGTCATGGGAGGTCATGGGCTCCCACACCCAAGGTCATCCTGGGAACTGCTCCTTTTTCAGAAGAAGCAATACTCTTTCTTTCTTTACTTCAGGTTGAAACTCTCTTTTCAAAACACCAGAACATTTACCAGGCAGTTCTCCAGCAGTCTGTCCACATAATTTCTTTGCTTTAGGGTCTCCCTTCCCTATCCCAAAGGCCAAGGCAGAGACCCTGTGGAAGCTCCTGTCTTGTCTTCTTTGGTCCTTTGTTGTTTCTGAAATAAGATCCTTGGATGTTCACACACCCTTAACATCTCCACCTGCCACCAAACTGCTGCTTCTCTGGCCTAACACCTCTTTTAAGTCACCATCCTTTCAACAAGTATTAACGGAGCAGGTACTGTATGCCGGGCACTATCCTGGGTGCTGGAGTTTCTGCAGTGAACAACACGAAGCACTTAGACCTGCCTTCGGTGACCTTCCAGTTTCTGGGTTTATTTAATAGTCTCAGAGGCCACTTGGGGTTCCAATGACTTTCTCCATAAGATATTTAAATGAAAGTGCCTTTTATTTACTCCAGCTCCACATCAGCTGATCTGGGGTCCTCTAAATTCACATATGATTTCGGGAGAGGGGTGCTTCTTAGAACTCTACAAAAGAATGTGCCAAACTTGGGAAGAATTATGATGCTAACAAGGTGACTTAGACAACAAACCAAGAGATAGAAGATAAGAATCTAAATACAAATACTAGAGAAAAGTAAACATTTGCAATGTTCAGAATGACAGTTGTGTCAAAGTGGAAGGGAGCCCTCCCTGTGAAACATGACTAATGGTCTCTGCAGTTGACACCTTCTCATTATTATATCCAATAGACATGTCCTTCCCAGGGATTGGCAAATTCTCCAGTCTCTTAACATATTACGGAGTGAAATTTTCAAAGACATATAGAAGGTGTCAACCACAGGCTCCAATGATTTGAAAGGCTTGAATTTGATCAAAGCCAGGTTGGTATGATTTCAATTGGAGTTTTCTAAATGATACCCCAGTGTCCATATGCCTGGATATGGTGTATGGACCAAATGGTATATGCCATTTATGTGGTATATGAATCACATGGCATATACCATATATACCACTTCATTCTGCAGATATGAACATTCTGATATCACTAAGTGACAGGCTGGAAAGGTGTCCATGCCTCTAGGACATCATCATGTTCTTTCCCCAGTCTGACCCTGCTGAAGCCCAGAGGGACTCTACATTGTCCTGATGCTAACAGCATTATCATGCATACCTTCTGGCCATTCTCTTTTATGTATCCATGTTTTCAGATGCTCTGCCCCCCGCCTTTATTTTTTAGTGTCTGGGGGTGCTCCAAATGTGCTCATAATTCTGTTTTATAGTAGTTAGAAATAAGAGACAGAGCTCCACTGACTTGCCCTGAGTCAGACATCAAAGCAGATACTCAATTAGAACGCAGGTCTCCAGGGTGTTTTGTTAAGCTCTTCCCTTTATTAAATGTTACACATAATAAATTTTCTAGGCAGCACCATTCCGGGAATGTACAGTATACATTATCCAGCACCCAGTGGAGTTAACTTTGCCACAGATGCCTTAAGACTCATTTCTGTATTTGCTTCTCTGTTGGTCAGTTTTCAAAAGAAACATTAAGCTTTTCACCCATGTAAGGCAGAGTACATCATTTCCCAAAAATGGTCTTTGGATGTGCTTACTCCTTTTCCACGTTTCCCGTCTTAGAGGTGATTCTTTTACAGCATCTGTCAGCCCACTAGAAACAACAGAATAAATTGTCCGAATACAGGAACCTCTTATCTAAATAAGTAAACAAACTGTTTTCTCTCCAAAGCCTTTGACTTTCTATGGGCCAGTTTAGTTAATAATAAAAACACATGAAATGTGTTTAGCGCTTACCCTTTAATATTAGCCACTTTACATGAATTTCTTTGCACCTTGCGACCACCATTCAAAGAGACTATTATTATCATGATTCACACTTTACAAATAAGAAGCTGATGTTTGTTTGTTTTTTGTTCTGTTTTTATTATACTTTAAGTTCTAGGGTACATGTGCACAACGTGCAGGTTTGTTACATATGTATACATGTGTCATGTTGGTGTGCTGCACCCATTAACTCGTCATTTAACATTATGTATATCTCCTAATGCTGGCCCTCCCCCCGCCCGCCACCCCCCCCCCCCCCACAAGGAAGCTGATGTTTTGAGAGGGCAACTAATTACCAAATGTGGGGGGGTCAGGATTTGAACCCATAGAGTCAACTCCAGGAAGTCTGGCAGCAAAGCTGTGCCTCACGGCCACCTCTGTATCACCTTCTCTGGTTACCACCAAGTCCATGTTTTGAAGTTATTTTCAAGGACTGCTCCAATTATCTATTGCTGCATGAAAAACCACTCCAACACTTAGTGGGTTTAAAAGCATGTATTATTATCCCTGTGGTTCTGTGGATGGACTAGGTTCAGCTGATGGTTCTTGCTCAGAGTCTCAGATGGTAGCTGTCTGTTGATCTTGAGGCTGGGGTCATCTGAAGCCTTTGCACTCATATGTGTGGTGTCTGGGATGGCTGGGATTGCTGGGGTTGGTCAGGCATCTCTCTCCATGCAGTTTCCCCGTGTGGCTAGCTTAGGCTTCCTCACATGGTGGCATTCTTCCCTCAGAGCAAGAGTTTTAAGACAACTTGGCAAGGCTTCTTGTGTTCTAGCCTTGGAAATTCCAGAATATCAATTCCATCATATTAAGTTGAAATGTTCTCTTTTGACTATTTTCTTTTATTTTGGAAAAAATAACTTTTTCAAAAATTTGGGTTTTCCTTTTTTTTCTAATGGAAAAAAAATTGAATCCAACTCTGAAAAGAGATTAGTTACATTTGTAAATGTAGTAATATAGGAAAAAACAAAGCGTTCTTCCCTCTCTCCACTCTCACATAGTCACTCAGCACTTCTGACACCAGAAGTATGGGGTTTTTTTACCCCACACTCAAAGCAATTTTTCAGCCAAATCTCCAATGGACACCAGTTAGGTATCCTCTAATTTGATTCAATTTCGACATGATCTACCTAGAGATAGCATCAGATCCCACAGTCCCACAAGATTGTGCCCCACTTCAGATGCCAGTAGCACACACAGGTTGTAGCCTGGACTTTTGACCTACCAGCTATAAATGGAGGCTCCCATAACCCCTTCCTTGGGCTTGATTAATTTGCTAGAACAGCTCACAGAACTCGAGAAACTACTAGTTACATTTACCAGTTTATTAATAAAGGACACAGACGAATAGTCAGATGAAGAGATACATAGGGCAAGGTCTGAAAGGGTTCTGTCCCCATGGAGCTGGGGTGTGCCACCCTCCCAGCATGCAGATGTGTTCACTTACCCTGCCTGAGCCAGTCCTTTTGGATTTTTATGGAAGCTTTATTATGTTGGCATGATTGATTAAATCGTTGGGCATTGGTAATCAACTCAATTTCAGCCCCTCTCCCTCCTATTGCTCCTACATCCTCCCAGGTTGAGGGGTGGGGCTGAAAGTTCCAACCCTCCAGTCATGCTGACCTTTCCTGTGACCAGCCCCCAGCCTGAAGCTATTTAGGGGACCCCGGCCATCAGTCATCTAATTAGCCTACAAAAGACACTCATCACTCTGGAGATTTTTAGGGTTTTAAGAGTTGTACGTAAGGAAACAAAACAAAGACCAAATGTGTATTTCACAATATCACAGAAAAGATGACTGGTTTCATTTTTATTGCTCTTTGTATGTGTAGATTTACATTCTGTTTCTCTTCTTAATCTTCCTGATCTATTTTTGAGCAAGTTGAAGACAACTTTTTCAAACAGAGCTCTAAATTTCATTCCATCCCCAGGAACACCACCACCAACAACAAAACAACAAAAAGTTCTATTAATAAATTGAGTCCACCACAAAAAGAATGCCACACTGTCTTGAACTTTATTGACAGAATCATCTGTCATTGATTCCTCAGCTCCACCCTTGCCTGCAGCTCAGCACATGGGGCTTGGCCCCCTAAAGCCATTCTATCATTTATCTGAGAGAATGAGCCTTTGCATCTGAACATTTCCAACAGTAATGGAAATACAAGAACCAAGGGACTTTGGTTTTCCCCAAATTCACCCAAAAAAGTAGACAAAGAACTCTTAGCCAAAGCTCAAATCCTTCGGTGACGATCAAAATAATGTATCCCATTTTTCCTACTCTAGTCATTTCATGGTTCTGAAGATGGTATCAGACCCTTATCTGCCAATGTCTTTGCTTTTGTTTCATAAAGCAGGTTTTCTTTAAAGGAACCCAGAAGGTAAATCTGAGAACAAAGATGCTTTTAGACCAAAAACCTTGTCTCTGTGAAAACACCTGTGACTAGAGAATACCGGCTCTAATCCATTGCTGCATCATAGATCACTGTGTCAGCAGCGGTCCTTTGTCTCTAACAGACAACAAAGAGACAGGGGTTCCTCTGCTCCAGCGCAAGCATCTATAGAATAAAATCCACCTGTACAATAAAACAGCCTTTTTATAAAACAAAACTTTCAGAGAGATGGAGTTAACTGAAAGAGGGATTTTGTTTGTTTTAATGAGATTTCAAAATGTTGACCTATTTGGGAAAGAAGGTTTAGCCCAACAATAAAAATTACCAGTTTCAATGGATGAGTCAGCCGTGTCCTCCTTCTTCCAGTTGCTTGGGATTAAGTCATTAGTCACTTGATTATTTTATCAGGAGAGCAAGAGTGGCCATTCTCCTTCTGGTTTGTTGTCTTAATGTTGACTAAACAAGATTGGCAGTGATTTATACCAAAACCAAACTCTCCTGGCTCACTGGAGGAGTGGAAACTATTGAAAGATGAAATGTAAGACATGATTTTCTTAAACTAAATTGAATCATTGTGCTGAACTTAATTCTAATTGTTGAAACAGCTGCCATTAACAAGCCAATTCTGCCTCTCTAGATTTCCACCAAATCCCATATCATCTTGTTTCCCATCTTATCTGGGACTGATTTGAGGAAATCATTTGTTTTTAAAAAATTGGGTTTTTTTCAGTGGGTGTCAAACATTCCAACCTGGTCTGAATCTGTATTTAAGTGATAAGTAGCCCTAAGTTTTAGCCTTGGGATCTAGTCCATTCACAGTCTGCCCCTTATCTATCTTTAAATTTCACCTGATTGTTCTCTTGTCTAAACCGCCCATGACAATTTGCCTAGTCTCACCACTGTAGCAAAATCCCATCTTTGTCCCACTGCAAGTGTGGCTTTCTTATCCAAAATGCCCTTCTTCTTCTTCTTGTCCATCCTTCTAGGCTCAATTCTAGTCCCAAATCTTTCATGAAGACATGCTTGGCAGCTTCCCTCCAATCTCTTTTTATTCTCAACATCTAATACTAATTGCTTGTACCTATTCAAAGATACCCTCCCCTATTGCCGGTATTATATCTGCTACAGTTCATTTGTAAGGACATTATTGTCTAGTTACAGGGGTTGCACAAGTCTTATAATTTAATTTTCCCACCTGTATTGTTTTTCCTCTTTTAATGTTCCTTAAAGTTTTGTTGAAATTTCTTTTTTTAATCCTCCTTGAAGATGGAGACTCTTTAATTCAGTTCAACAAACATTTATTGAATGCAATGACCTATTTACATTCATTTGAAAGAAAAACATTGCAGATTCCTCTAAATTCATTTTATACTTCTTACAAATAATTCCCTTCAAGTACAGTACCAAGCTTTCTTTGTGGCATCTACTGCTCAAGACTTCTTTTTTGCTATAAAAATTTTTACTTTCTTGAATTAATTTTTGTAAAAGGTGTAAGGAAGGGATCCAGTTTCAGCTTTCTACATATGGCTAGCCAGTTTTTCCAGCACCATTTATTAATGTTAGACCTAAAACCATAAAAACCCTAGAAGAAAACCTAGGCAATACCATTCAGGACATAGCCATGGGCAAGGACTTCATATCTAAAACACCAAAAGCAATGGCAACAAAAGCCAAAATTGACAAATGGGATCTAATTAAACTCAAGAGCTTCTGCACAGCAAAAGAAACTACCATCAGAGTGAAAAGGCAACCTACAGAATGTGAGAACAGTTTTGCGACCTACTCATCTGACAAAGGGCTAATATCCAGAATCTACAATGAACTCCAACAAATTTACAAGAAAAAAAACAAACAACCCCATCAAAAAGTGGGCCAAGGATATGAACAGACACTTCTCAAAAGAAGACATTTATGCAGCCAAAAGACACATGAAAAAATGCTCTTCATCACTGGCCATCAGAGAAACGCAAATCAAAACCACAATGAGATACCATCTCACACCAGTTAGAATGGCGATCATTCAAAAGTCAGGAAACAACAGGTGCTGGAGAGGATGTGGAGAAATAGGAACACTTTTACACTGTTGGTGGGACTGTCAACTAGTTCAACCATTGTGGAAGTCAATGTGGTGATTCCTCAGGGATCTAGAACTAGAAATACCATTTGACCCAGCCATCCCATTACTGGGTGTATACTCAAAGGATTATAAATCATGCTGCTATAAAGACACATGCACACGTATGTTTATTGCGGCACTATTCACAATAGCAAAGACTTGGAACCAACCTAAATGTCCAACAACGATAGACTGGATTAAGAAAATGTGGCACATATACACCATGGAATACTATGCAGCCATAAAAAATGATGAGTTCATGTCCTTTGTAGGGACATGGATGAAACTGGACATCATCATTCTCAGTAAACTATCACAAGGACAAAAAACCAAACACCACATGTTCTCATTCATAGGTGGGAAGTGAACAATGAGACACATGGACACAGGAAGGGGAACATCACACACTGGGGACTGTTGTGGGGTAGGGGGAGGGGGGAGGAATAGCATTAGGAGATATACCTAAAGCTAAATGACGAGTTAATGGGTGCAGCACACAAACATGGCACATGTATACATATGTAACAAACCTGCACGTTGTGCACATGTACCCTAAAAGTTAAAGTATAATAATATTAACATTAAAAAAAAGAAAATGGAAAAAAAAATTTTTACTTTCCCCAGATTTCCTTTTCCCATCTTTTCGTCCACACTTATTTCTTTGAGTGCATATTTTTGAGAAATTATATAATTCAATTAGTAAATTAAATCAGATACTGCATGCCCAAGGACAGTTTTATATACAAAGGAATGGTATGAAGAATTCAATTATTTTCTTATTCATATTTGTTGTAGAACAGAACTTTCTAAGAATCAGCTTTGATTCAAATAGTAACATGTTTGCTTTCAGTTTCAATCCATTTCATTTTCCTAATGTAGTGTTTTTCAGAATGAGGTTTCCAATGCCTACCTCACAACCACTCCTCATTCTTATCTACTTTTGGTGGAAAGAGGTTTTTAAAAATGTGTAAGTTACTCAGGGGAGTGTCCGAGAGTGATGCAAGGAAACAGTTTGCACTTGTCTTCAAAGGAGGGGTGAGAAAGTCACAGGCAAGGAAGAGAAAAGTGGGAAGGAGCCACCAGAGGGAGAAGGAACTCAGAGATGCATATCTGATGCTACCTTGAATGTATGGAAAATAGAGTTGCCAGATTTAGCCAAGAAACAAAACCACACACTCAGAAATGACAACAACAAAAACAGGATGTCCAGGTAAATTTGAATTTCTAATAATGGATAATAATTTCTAATAATGAATAACTTACAACATATGTCTCAAGTATTGCCTTATGGCATTGCTAGCATCCTACAATTAAATGGGACATACACTAGAAAACTATTTATTGTTTACGTGAAATTCAAATTTAAGTGGGGGTCTGCATTTTATCTTATAACCTTAACTACAAAGCCACTCATTTAAAAAGTGAATACTTTTTCTTGCCACCCTCTCTGTGTGTTTGTGATTGGCTTTCTGTCTAGAAATGGGTACCCAAAGGTCTACTGTTCTAGATGTTGTGAACTAGGATGGAGGGTTAAGTATATGCTATAGTTTGGATATGGTTTGTTTGTCCCCACTAAAAGTCATGTTAAAATTTGATCCCCAGTGTAGTGGCGTTGGAAGCTGGGCCTCATGGGAAGTATTTGGGTCATAGGGGTGGATCCCTCGTGAATGGCTTGGTGCCAGTCTCAAAATGGTGAGTGAGCTTTCATTCTCCTAAGGCTAGATTAGTTCTCATGGGTGTGAACTAATTACCAGGACAATGGGTCATCATAAAGCCAGGATGCCCATCAGGTTTTCCCCTCTTTGTACATGTCTACTTCCTTTTTGACCTTCTCTGTCATGTTGTGACACTGCAAAAAAAAAAAAAAACAAAGCCCTCACCAGAAGCCAGAGCCACGTCCTTGAACTTCTCAGTATGTGGAATTGTGAGCTAAATAAACCTCTTTTCTTTATAAATAACCCAGTCTCAGATATTCTTTTATAGCAACACAAAACAGACTAAGACAGTATAACTCATACGTGGTCCTATCCTTTGCTGCTGGGCTAAGGTGTATATTAAAGAATCAAGAAGCACCATAAAAAGAAATCATTATTTGGCTGCCCAGAAGGGAATGGTCTTGTTGGTGGCACTGCCTAGAAGGCAGTTCTTTAGAACCCAAAGGATGACTTTCCAGTCAGTGGTGAAGAGCCCTGGCCCTCCTCCAGGCTGAAGGGACTGGAACAGGCAGAGGGGATGCCCCATGCTTTGTAAGAAGTGTAGCAGCATCCAGAAGCACCCCTTTCCTCACTCGCTACAACCAAAAGTGTCTCTAATCATTGCCAAACGTTTCCTGTTGGGTCATATTGCCTCAGTTAAGAATTCCCATCCAAAGGGAGAGAAACCAAGGAATCTAGAGCAAGAACAGAATGGAAACACATACCTGAGAAACAAATGGGGTGGGCAAGGATTTGCAGAAATGGGAGCAAAACCTCATAATCATAGTAAAATCTCACCATTGAGTTGTTTACCCAGGAAGCCAGCCCTAGAGGACAGGGATCTAGTCTGTCATCTTCACTCCTTTTCCCTTAGTATCAAGAACAGTGTCTGAGCAAAGATAAATACTTGTTGAATGAATTATTATGTAAGCACAGTCATTCTATTATATAAACTTGCCTTCATACTCCCTAGAAAGTGAATGATGACAAAGTATTCCTTGTGTAATAAACAGAGAAGGTGATTATGTTGAGGGACACATGGCTGACCACCCCATCACACACACACACACACACACACACACACACACACACACACGGCTGACCACCCCACCACATACACACACACCTTCAATTATCACCCAAACCCCCTCCATCCCCAAGGGCTACAGGGCCTGAAATTCTCCCATGTGTGATGCATTCTTTTCAGGAAGGGAGGAAATCCATTGAGATTTGTTGAGCATCTTTTTGTTCTGTGCCAGACACAGCAGTGAGCGCTAGAATACAAAGTTGCTATCTTCAAGGTAGGAGAGCAAGAGGTAAAATATTTGTTTCAACTCATAGGATTGAAAAAACTGTGTACCCTTATAGTAAAGCAAGGTGCTCTGGAAGCCCATAGGAAGGAAGCCTCCATGGAGGAGATGATTATTGAGAGGGGTCTTGAAAGTCATAGAGAGATGACTGTGATAGTGCAGCAAACTGTTAGAACAAACAGCCTGAAATCTCAGTGGCTTAACACAGTGAAGGTTTTTGTGCAGACACAGAGTCCAGTGCAGATGTCCTCATCACATAGCTCTCCTGGCCAGATCTCTTTCAACCAGGCTCCTTCTATTTTGTGGTTCCACTAACCTCTACATCCTCAGAATCCTGGAGAGCCTTGAGCCACACTGCTGAATCCTCTCTGACTGGTCTCTACATGAAGGGAGGGTGGAGGTAGAAGATGTTGTGGGACTTTCAAGAGGCCAGGTCTGGAAGGGGCTACAGCACCATGACCACAAATCTGTCATGCAGACATCAGCCCATGGCCTGCTCCATGCAAGAGGCTTCCCATTGGCCCAAGAAGAAATGGAAGCAGTTTAGTGAAATTTTTTGTTGATAACCCTGCAAGCAGCAGAAATGGGGGAATAAACTAGGCAGCAGAAATAAGCAGTGAGTCCTGATAAAATGAAAACAGAGGGAAACCAAGAGGGAAGTTTAAGAGACAAAGTTAGAGAAGTAGAGAGCTCTGATGGAAGGTGGCAAGGTGTCATGTGCCAGATAATATCAGGAGGGAAAGTAACTCCCAAAAGTAAAGGCAGAGGGGAAGAAGTATATAATGACCAGAGAGGGGGAAAATCTACAATATTTTCCAGAAAGAGAGATACAGAAGGCTACTGTCATCCCAACTGCCTTCTAGAGTTCGGTTATGAACTTATGAAATCTTCCTAAGATTCTGTTAACACAGCACTGATCTATATAAATCTAAGACTTCTTTATATTTCTGACTTTCTCTTTTCTGCAAGTTATAACAAGAAGCTTTGAAAGCTGCTTATAAATATACAGGAATGTGGTCCTTCTGGAAAAGCCACAGGGAAGGGACTGAGTATGCCTAATATTTATGTAAATTTTAACCACATAATGGGCAACTCAAGAAATAATGATGTGACTGCTGGGACCAATCCCTTGAACTGCAAAAGCTTTTGATTCACAAGGAACAGTGGTGATGATTGCCCCTTGCTCTGTCAAGAGTGTACGTTTTGCATTTAGATCAGTTTGGGTGAGAACTGAAAATATAAAACCTAAATATAAATGGACTTGGGTGATGTTTGTAAGAAACATGCAATTTAAAAATTGACATCTAGCATGAAGAAGTGTTAAAAGTGCTAATCTAAAAGTGCTAATACAATAAGAATGTTATTGAAACATGAAAGAAGTTGACCTTTGAGATGCCAGATTTACATGTTTCGCTATTACTGTGCCCTTTTTGTGGCATGAAAGAGTTGGAGAAATTGATACAAAAATATAAAATTCCCCTTTCCTGGATGGTTCTTTGAAAAATGAAATGCTTTGAGAGACAATAAAATGAATGCTTTAATATGTTATACAAGGCTGGCAGGGAAACAAGCAGTGTTCATTTATTTCCCTCTTTTTATTTTTCTATCATTTTCCTCCTCTCTCTCACGAGTATTTATTTATATTGTTTTTTCTTCTGTGTATATAGTGGGCTTGCATCTGTTCTAATTATGCTCCTAGATTTCAATATTTAAATAATGCCCTTTTGTTTCCCTGTTCTGCCAGAACTAAAAATTTATTTGCATCACTATAATGTACTCTTCAATTTTATTACCATCTTCAATTCTTTGCAAATGGCTTATAGATCTTCTCCTACCATAACTTTCATTTAAAATTTAAATTCGCATGAGAATTACTTGCATATTCCAAAACACTCCTAATTCATAATGTTATGTTTCCACTAAGGAGGCCCATGTATTATGTTAAGAGCAGAGCACAGACTCATTGATACAAGGCTCCCAGTCTGGGTTTGTGCCTACTCCACTATCAGTTTGATTTCTACGACTGAGAAAAACTGCAAATTGCAACTAGGAAAGTATTCCTTGGTGTATAATCCTAACAATCAGTTAGTCAGTCCCACTTGGTTTTAAAACAGCAATGTTTGTTTCTGCAAATGAATGTGATCTAAGAGAAAACCTTAAAAAACCTAATGTATTTTTTAACGGTGCATTTATTACCACTGTACTGCTCTCATTACAAATACAAAAGGTCATTAACATGTAGAAGGCTTTTGTCAGATTATTTAGTTCTCAGGACAAAAATAAGTATTTCATAGCCAGTGGAAATTAACGACTTGATTCCATACCAGGAAACACGTCAGTTCCTCTCTATAATTCTTCTTAAGCATCATAACTAGTCAAAATAGATTTACACTTGAGAAGGTCGCACATATTCCCCTGGGAAACACTTTCTGCAAAACTACATTTTGCTGCATGACTTTATGGAGAACAGTACATTTCACAGCACATTCTGACTTCCCTTTCAAGACTTGGGAACCAAAAGGCATGAACAGCAATGAGAGATGTCTTTTTCAGTCATTTAAACCAGGGACAGTTGAATTTGGTTTCATTTAGAGTTAATTGCACATTTTGAATGATTTGGTTTTGACAAAATCCAAAGCATATTTTGCAAATCGCTTTTCCCATTAAATACTAAAACGCTTTATTTTTAAAAGGAAATCTAATCCATATGTTTGGAATTTGTTTACACTAAAATTATAAAAAAATCTATATTTTATTCATGTCCCAGAAGCTTTCTGCACCATTTTGTAAACCTCTTTCAAAAATCAAGAAGTCATGTATTGCCAAAAACTAATGAGATCAAATCCATAAATGTTAGAAATATTGATTTTATGATTCCTTATGGTCTGACCTTAGAAAAACATATCTTTGGTGTTCAATCATCCCTTGCAGAGAAAACGACACCCTTTCTTTTGAGAAACCTATACCAAAAGACCTTTTAGGGGACCGAGTTTTTGTTGTATAGGAAAGTTTTGTTTTGCCTACACTTATCAAGCTGCTTGACCAAATTCAATTTGAAAATGATTTAATTCAATAAAAAGTAAGCAAACTAGAAACTGAGAGTTTATTAAATGCTTGTTTATTAAATACCACATCCAAAATTGTCAAGTTCAACTCATGGGGTTCACTAAACATGAGGTGGTTTCACATACTAAAAAATATCCCACCTGAAAATAAAGAAGGCCAAGAGGAGATAAGAGACCTCATATATTCCTTCATAATGAGGCTGAATATGAAGATGAATTTATCTTCCCCAGTATGCTGAAATCACCATTGGCTTAGAGCAGGGATCAGCCAACTTTTTTTCTGAGAAGGACCAGAAAGTCAGTACTTTAGGTTTCGTAAGTCATGTGGTTTCTGTCACAATTTCTCAATTCTTCCACTTTAGGGCAAAAGAAGACATAGAAAATATATAAATGAAGACCTGTGGTTGTGCACCAATAAAACCTTATTAACAAAAATATTAATAGATGGCAAGAGGGATTTGGCCCATGGGCCATAGGTTTTCTATGGGCCCTGGCTTAGAGTTACTTAACAAAATGCCCAATTGTATTTGGTATGCACCTGAGGTCACATTTGGGAAAAAAAAAAAGACTTTAGATGTTGAAAGACAAGAATCAATTTTTCATCCCTTCTCCTACTACTTTCATTCTTGGAACTTTCATTTTGCAGCCTAAAAAGTTAACTTGTGAAGAGACTAAAAGCTTGTTCATTGCACCCATAGAAATTAGTCAGATGCCTAAAGTTATCAATGCAAATTTAACCCTCCTGAAATTGGCATGTTTCCAGCCTATTGTGCACTTTCAGACCTTGCGTGATTGGTAGTAGTGTATTCTTAATGACCACAAACAACATTAAAATGTTTGAGAAGAAATAGCTTTCTACTAGCATGAGCTAGTGTTTTTATGACCCTGGTGTGGTTATCTTGTTGCTAATGTGCTTTATATAAACTTTTTGCTTAATCAATACACTATGGTAATTTCTGATCAATGGTTGAAAACTTGAACCTTGGACCACACATAGTCTTCTACACACACGTATAGCATAGTGGCTGACAGCACAAGCTGTGGAGTCAGGCCATGATGACTCAAATATCCAATCTGCCACTTATTAGTTGTGTGACCTTAGAAAGTTATCAATGTCAATGTCACTGCTTCACTTCTCACTTACGGTAATAACATTCTCAATATTTGTTGGCGCATATAGCTCTGAATAAATCATAGAATAAAAACTACATTTCCCAACTTCTCCTGCAGGTAGCTGTACCTATATGACCAAGATCTGGCCAATTACAACAAAAGTAATATGATTTATTAATTTTTTCTGATATTTACTAGGGTGTATTTATATGTGGATTTTTTTTTAACTTGCTTGGGATCCAGTGGCTTCTGTGTATTAATGTCTTTCATCATTTCTGAAAACTTCTCAGCCTTCATCTCTTCAGAATTTCTTATCTCCCAATCTCTCTTTCTCTTTTCTATTTCTGAGATTCCAATTAAACAGATATTAAACTTTATCACTATCTCTGTCTCCCTGCCATTCTAAATATTTTATTATTTGGCTTTCTGTGCTTCATTTTGAACTATTTCTTTTAGCTTACTCTGAATCTGCTGTTAATTTTGTTATTTTCTATTGTTATATTTTTCAGATCTAAAGTTTCTATTTGGCACTTTTACAAAATTGCTGTGTTGATTTTTATATTTTCCAGTTCCCTGCCAATTTACTTAAAATTTGTTTTTATATTCTACAACATGGTGATCTTTGTTGTTTTGCAGTCTGTATCTGACTATTCCAATCATTATAGTCTGCAGGTGTATTTCTATTGTCTGTTGTTTTTGTTGGTTCTTGCTTATATGGTCTTGTCTACTTGTGTGTCCAGTTGCCTTTGATTGTGTCCTGGACATAATATTAGAAATATTATTTATAGAAATAATTTGAAGACTAAGGTGACATTTTCTTAGTTATGTTCATGTCTGTTAAGTGTCTGAGACCAGTGCTTGCAGTTTAGTACCATCTTGATCCACGTTTCAGATTTGAGATTTTCTGATGGAAAATCAGGTTTTTACAAAGCAGGGCTTCAGGTGATGCAAGAGTTAGTTTACTTTCCATTTACCTTTACTTCTAGGGCACAGTCCTTTGGATTCCAGCCTAAAGAGCATTTATATATTTATTCCCCTAATCCCTTGGGGTCACCAGAAGACAGCTAAACATCTCAGCTGAAGATGCCCTTAAGGCAAAGGCAGTTTCAAGTCTTTGCTCATTTTTTTCTGGGTTCCCAGCCTGTCTAAGATGTCAGCCCAATAATTGCTTAGTATCTTATTAGCTCTTTGATCTTTTTAGAAGATTTTAAAAATAATCCAAATAGCTTTTTAAGCTGCATTTACTGGGAGGATTGGTCCTTATTACCTAGTTCACATCACCAGAAGTGGAAATTCTGAGATTTCTACTCATGTTCTTAAGGAAGACGAGGTGCATGCTTTTATTACCTCCCTGATCTCCATCTTCGCTTTGGAACATTGTTGGAGTTATGGCCAATCTTAGGCCATGCAGATGAGAACACCACTTGAGAGCAAGGCGGAGCAATGAGACAAAAAGGGCCCAGGCACCTGGAGGATTTGTCGAGCACAGCAAGCATATAAGACTGGACTGCCTACCTGTGGACTACTATATGGTGTAGTAATATTCCACTGTTACTTTGGACTTCTATTACACACAGTCTAACCGAAATCCTAACTAAAAGAATAAGTTACTTAACCTCTGTGGTAGATGATGCAATGATCATCCCAATTCTTCCCTTGACTTTGAGAAAGCAGGATGTAGTGGGCTTAAAAAGTACTTGTGTATTTTTTCTTGTCCTATTGCTTGTTCTTGCATTCCTCCCTCTACAAGGCAAAATGTCTGAGCTAGCCTGCTGGAGGGATGTAAGAGATATGTGGAGGAGGGCCTACATGTAGTAGAGTCACCCCAGATGAGGCCATCCTACATCTACTGCCCAGGTAGCTGACTGCAGATGCATAAGCAAGCCCAGCCAAGATCAGCAGAACCACTGCCTGACCAAACACTTAAGAGCCATAATAAACAGTTGTTATAAGCCATCATGTTTTGGGAAGATTTGTTATGCAACATGAAGTGTGGCTAGAGCTAATTCTTACATGGAGATAATTATAACACCTTATTTTTTTATTTTTAAACTTAAATGATTTATTTAAGTCATTCCTTTTACTACAGTCACTGATATATAGTATGCACACAAGAAGTATTATCTCCTTATATGATGTTTACTGTTATAATTACTGTAACTATTACTGAGACTATAACTCCTTCAAGTCAGGAAATTCAGTGATTATCACATACAACTGACACCAATGTCTAAATCCACAAAACTTTTTAGGTATTGTTATTACCTTCATCCTTCTTCTCCCTTTTTATAGAATCTCACCTCTCATATTTAGTATCTTGAAGAACATTTAGCTGGTTTCTTTTAAGCATTGCATAGATGAAATATCTGAATACTTGGATGAGTTTACCAGTGTTTTTCTCTGACTTGCTATAAAAAAACATAGTTTGGGTGTCAGATTGCTGAACCAAGAGTCATGAGGCTGGGACATTAGTTTGGCTTTTACCACTGACTAGCTGTAAAACTTATATAAGTCACTTCAGATTTCCAGGTTGAGTCTCTTCGCCCAAGGACTGAGATATTTGAAGGCAAACTGGGTCTTATCATTGCATCCCCAGGGCTGATATATAGTAGACTTAGTGAATGTTTGTTGATTTTATTCAATTGAGTTGAACATGGATTAAATTAAGGAAATTTGCTAAACCTCAGCAAGTTCTTTTTCAGCTTAGTCTTTCTATAATTTTACCACCTCTTTTCCTTTAAACCTCCTTTTTCAAACAACCCCTCTCCATTACAAACAAACTAAATAAAATTAAATTGGCTTCCAGTAGTAATCATTTTCATCCTTCCTTCCCAATGGATGTTCTTTGATGCAAACTGTTTGGAAAAGATGCTAACATTATCCATTTTCTGTGTGTCCATGTACTGTTTTCCTGAAGTGACAGGCTAATCTCCTTTATCTCCTCAGCCTTGCACCAGCAACTGTGCTGTGGGACCAAGTTGGGCAGGGCTTCACTATCCAGAAAAAAGGCTTTACTTTTTCTGTTAGTATTTTAATACAATAATAAATTATAATAATGATGGAGAAATCATGACATGTGAAAGCATAGGGGCCTTCAGTTTTCCATCTTAGAACTTCAAACCACGGGCAGCAAGTCTGTAATCTGAACCTCAAACCAGCCTCTTTCACAATGTTTCTCTTCAATGTGTTGACTTCAGCTCTTCAGTGAATATGTGTTTCCTGTGCATTGTTTTATCTGAATTAAAAAACTTTTAAAATAGTTTACAGTAAATATGTCTATGTGTCTGTCACTTTTGCAAATAAAATAAAATTTTCTCTTACTAAAGGAACCAAGAAGTATTTTTTTAAGGTTGTTGGGAAGGTGGGCAGGAAGTTAATGGAAAAACTGAATGGTATAATAATTATTAAGATAGAAGCTTTGGTGTTGAGTGGAGAGCAATTTTGTACAGATTTATTTCTATTAGTATTTCCTGATACCAATATTAGGAAACGCCAGGTCTGAATTGTGGTTAACTGATTTTTTTTTTTTTTTTTTAGAGAATTTTCGACACTGACCTCATGAGGCTTTGAAATTAATATAAGCAAGATGCCTTCATCAAGAAATGAGACTGTGATTCCTCAGTGCTATCACATTGTGCCACTTACGGGAAGAGAACCAACATCATGCTCCACCTCCCACAGGAAAAAATGACAAGGAAAGCTCAGCAGCACCATATACAGGCAGTAAGCTAGGCAAGCCCTTGGGCAGGCACACTCATGTAAGGGGAATTTGAGGGTCTTATTCCTGCCTATATCTTCTAACACCCATTTAGTCCACATTATTGAACTTCATTAAATTTCCTTGCTGTGAATTGAACTGAATTAAGGCCTCCTTTGGCCTTAAAAATCTATAATTTTATCCCTTCTCCTCACATCTGAATAAACCCAACTCTAGAGAATTTGAAGTTTGGGAAGCACCTGGAGATCATACCTTTGGTGGTATAGACACAAGTCTCTGAAAATGTGGTCATACCAGCTATAAAATGTCTCCAGTGGCTTTCTGAGCAATGAATGAATAAGTTAGATGCAGAGCCAAAGAGGAAAAATTGGAGATGCTCATGGGGACTGCAGCAGATAGACTGCCTTGTGGTTGCATGTGGTTGCATGCAAAGATTCTGAGAATCTTTGGGGATTCTCAGAAAATCCTAGGGGATGCATGGGTATGAGGGAGTTGAGGGTCTCCTCTTCCAAAGTTGGTGGCAGTTGAACTGGGAGGCTGGATGGTGTTCCTCTGCATCTCATCAGGAGATGAAGCCAGGTAGAAATAGGCTGGGTCTGCCTACCACCAGCTACTCATTTCCAAACTGAGCTGCTCTTCTGGCCCATATGGGACACCTGGATTTTTTTTTTTTTTTTGAAGAAATGGTCACTTGGCTAAGAGAGTGGACAACGTCCCCTTCTAGCCCTGTGGTTCTCCCATCTTCTCTCCATGACCCAGATGAGTGACTGAGGAACAAACTAACAAGTATTTTTACATTAAAGTAAGCTAACATCCTCAGGGCCTGTGAAAAAATGTCCAGAAAGCCATAAATGCACCAGTAACAACTTCTCCTGGTTTATAACAGGAAAATTGGATTCAGATTCCAAGATTCTCTTAGTGATGAGTGATGAAACCACCACAGCAACATTGAGGGTACAGTTAGGTGATAACCTCCAAATTCTATTCTAATTCCTGACTTGGGCACTAGAAACGGGACTAAGAAGCTGAGAAATGTTGGAGAGGTGCAAAAAAGACAATCAATCAGAACTGGGGGCACCCAGCTTAACGTAAAGTAGAAGTCTCAAAATTATGTGATCGAGATTCTTCTTTCCTTCTATCTCTTTGGGTCAGTCCTCTTGTGATGATTAATTTGCTCCCTAAAGCATCCTACATCCTGTTATATTTAAGGCTCTATTGACTTCCTGTGCTCAGAACGATCTTCTTTAAACATTTGAGATAAGACTCTTAGAATGTGTATATTCTTGGTGGTTATTATATAGGAAACATATGAATCCAAATGTTATCCTCCAAGACAAATTGGCAGGAATGTCAGGATCCTTTTGGGGCTCTGTTTTGTAAACACGGAGAGGTAATGCATATATCTCATTTCCAAGAGCCCAAAGAAGACCCTCAATAACTGTTGAATTGAGGGTAAAATTATAATTTGGAGGCTTACCCTTCCAATCTTCATAGATGCAACCCCTCAACTTATGGCAGGATGCAGGATGTGGGTTGTTAGAGTGATAGAGTTGGGGAGGGCTATGAAAACAGGTTATATGGTAGATAGGGATGAATCTATGACATGCTGCTAATTACTTATGCCTTGGAGTTGGGCTGGAGATACTGCATCACCTCCTCCAATGATGCTGAGGGGCATCATTGGATCAGCAAAGTAACAACCCCAAGCCAGACTGTGCTCTGTCTCTACTATGTTCTCCTGGGGAATCCAGAGAGGTCCCAGCTACTAAAGGGAAGGGGATGTGTAATGGTCCCCAGTACCTTAAAGCTTACAACTTATCTGTCATTATGTTTAGCAGATGTCATCAGGACTCACCTGAATATGACACCTTTTATTAAGCCTTTTCTCATTGACTCATGCAACTACACCATAGTTCTGTATTTTGGCTCCCACCACCTTCCAAATACTGTGTGCTTGTCTCATGCAATTTCTCAAACTCTATTTTGTGTTACAATTATTCATGTATGTGTCTTATCTTCATATCAGAATAAAACATTCTTGAAAGCAGAACCTGTCTTACATAGTTCTGTTTGTTCTGGTGTATCAAAGTTGGCTCCATCCTCTTAACAAATGTTTGACAAATATTAGTTGTTTTGTTTTGAATTGAGTATAATGGTACCCCTCAAGGGAAGGAGTTTTATTAAATAGCTTTTGGAGCACATCATCACAGTCCCCTCTCCATCTCTGTAATCTCTTCTCATCTCACCAAATAACTCCTCCTCTTCTCAGAGCATTGGCTTTTATGGTATTCTGGTTATCAGCCTCATAACAAAAGATCAACCTAAAATGAATTGAATGTGGCCTGTTTCTTCTTTCTGCTTATTTACACATGGGGGTTGGCTGTAAGATGTTGATATGGAGAAAAGCAGATATGAGCAGCTATGGTAGGTAGTATGGATGTACAACAGAGACTAATGCAGGGTTCACCACACTATATCTTCTTCCTGGGCATACAAGAAGTCTACATTTCCCAGCCTCCCTTGCAGTTAAATGGGGCCATATGACTAAGTTCTGGCCGATAGAATCCGATAAGTAGTGACGGAAGCTACTTTCCTTCTAGTCCTTAAAAACATCTCATGAAACCCTTTAACCTTCTCTTCCTTGCTAGGAATATAAAAATTCTTGGAGGCTGTGTCTATAAGTCCATCTCTGTTGCATAATAATCACTCTAAAAGTTAGTGGCTTAAAACAAAAACAACTATAGTTATGTCTTGGTATACACAAGGGATTGGTTCCAGGAACCCCATATATACCCAAATCCCCACATAATCAAGACCTCAGCCAGCACTGCAGAATCTGCCTATACAAAACACCGGCCCTCCCTATAGGAAGGTTCACATCCCTCAAATTCTGTATTTTCAATCCATGTTTGGTTGAAAAAAAATCAGTGTATAAGTGGACCTGAGCAATTCAAACCTATGTTGTTCCGGGGTCAACAGTATTTTATTTGCTTGTGATTCTGCAGTTTAACACTTTGAGAAGGGCTCAGCTGGGCAATTCTTCCATAGATTTTGTTTGGGATTACTCATGTGGCTGTATAAAGCTGGGATTGACTAAAGAATGGGTTGATCAAGAGGGCCTCAGAACTTAGGAGGGTTTATCTCTGCTCCATACGGTCTCATCCTCCAGCAGACTAGCTAGGGCTCTTCATGAGGTACAGGAATAGATTTTAGTAAAAAGAATCCATGTGGAGGAGACTAGAAAAGGTGATGGGAGAAAGAATTTAAAAGGAGGCATAATTCACTGGGGGTTTGTCACTGCAACAATCTAAGACTTAGATTATGTTCCAGGTGAAAAACTAAGATGGAACTATTTCAGATCCCTGAGTCATCATTTGGTAGAGCGTGTCCTGATCTGCATCAGTCTGTGATGCAAGAAAATGTTATCGTGTTGTCACTAATATTTCAAGGTTTATTTGTTGGCACATCATAGACTAAAGTGTTATCCTAACTAATACAGGGAGAAGGACATTGCTCTCAGGTTTGGTAAAGTATGTCTATTATTAGTATATGTAGAATATAATCTTAATATAAAACCATAAATTACTTTCCTGATATGTAGAATACAATCTTAATATAAAACCATAAAGTACTTTCCTGAGGTAATTCTTTAGTTGATAATACTTCTATTAGTGTCGAGGTTTACCATTTATACAGTTATTACTGTATAACCAATTTAATTCAGGTACCAACAGAAGAAATACATAAGAGAGTCAGGTGCTCTTCAGTGACAAAAAAAAAAAAAAAAAAAATTCAGGCCTGGTGTTACATGTTGCACAAAGATCACAAAGGTAGAATTAGCAGGGCTGATACTATCCTTTATTTCAGCAGACTCATCACTCTTACACAGGGTAGTCTTGGGCCATTCACTGTGCTTGGTATAGGCCAAGCATCAATAGGTCTTAAGATCAACCTATGAACTAACATTCCTTGGAGAAGAAACAAGAACTAAGTGAGAGCCCCCTTGTCATAAAAAAAAAAATAGGAAGTCAGTTTATGACTGTGCTGATTCCAAGAGAATTAGGATGTATTGTCTGTCTGTCTGTCATCAAGTCTGGCAGAGTCAAAGCCTAAAAGCTGGCTGGGACGAAGATGCTGAGCTTAACCAAAGAGAGGTGCCAAGTCTCACACTAGCTAGGGAAGGTGCTTAAGGCATGAAGAGCCCATGGAGAGAAAGGAGGCTGCTGCAAGGTCAGTTCCAAAGCCTACAAGGCACAATGGAAGACGCTTTAGAGTAGATGTGGAGCCTCCTTCCCAACTTGGAGAGTCAGGACCAGGCCAGGACCCAAGGGAGTCCATGCAGCTACAGAGATGAAATGAGAGCGACTGGGTAGAGTTTGAGCATGTGGCTATATAATGTCTGTTAACAGAGAAGACTTGGAAACAGGATCTTGGTGGAGCTGGAGAGTCTATCAACCATCAAGCAGGGTCTGAATGGAGGACAGCAGGAGTCAGCAAACTAAGACTCCCTGGGTCAAATCTAGCAGCTGCCTGGCTTTGTTTTGCTTTGTTTTGTTAACTTTTTTTTATTATAGTATAATTTACATAATATAAAAGGAACCATTTTGAAGTGAACAATTCAGTGGTATTTATTACATTCACAGTGTTGTGCAACCACCTCTTTCTAGTTTCAAAACATTTTCATCACCCCAAAGGAAAACTCCATAGCTATGAGCTGTTACTCCCCATTCCCCTCCCCCTAGCTCCTGACAACCACCAATCTGTTTCTATGGATTTACCTATTCTGGATATTTCATATAAATGGAATCATACAATACATGACCTTTAACATCTGGCTTCTTCAACTTAGCATAATGATTTTGAGGTTCATCCATATTTTAGCATGGATCAGTACTTTATTCCTTTTTATGACTGAATAATATTCCATTGTATGGATATACCATAATTTGTTTATTCATTCATTCATTCATTCATTTATTCATGGATTTGGGTTGTTTATACTTTTTGGCTATTGTGAATAGTGCTGCCATGAACATTTGTGCACAAAGATTAGGTTGAGTACCTGTGTTCAATTCTTTTCAGAATGTACCTAGCAGTAGAATCACTGCCTGTCTTTGAAAATAAATTGTAATGAAACACAGCCATGCCCATTCTTTTGAGTATTGTCTACAGCTATTTTCATGCTACAATGACAAAGTTGAATAGTTGTGACAGAGACCATATGGCCACAAAGACAAAAATATTTACTATCTGGCCCTTTATAAAAAAAAAGGTTGCCAACCCCTGGGGTAGAAGAAACACCACCTGCAGATTAATTTTCTCCTGGTTTTTGAAATGGTAGAAAGGAACTGGAGTTTCCCTGTGATCTCTGTTGCCCAAGACTTGATGTGGCATGTTTTAAGTTAGAATAAGAAATAAGTATTGGTAGCTGGGTGCGGTGGCTCATGCCTGCAATCCCAGCACTTTGGAAGGCCAAGGTGGGCGGATCACTTGAGGTCAGGAGTTCAAGGCCAGTCTGCCCAACATGGTGAAACCCTGTCTCTACTAAATATACAAAAATTAGCCTTGCTTGGTGGCATGGGCCTGTAGTCCCAGCTACTCGGGAGGCTGAGGCAGGAGAAATGCTTGAACCCAGGAGGCGGAGGTTGCAGTGAGCCAAGATTGTGCCACTGCACTCCAGCCTGGGTGATAGAGTGAGACTCCGTCTCAAAAAAATAAATAAATAAATAAATAAATAAATAATAAAAAAATAAAAAAAGAAGAAAGAAATATGTATTGGTGGCTATTCCTCTCATTCTCTCCACCCTTCCCTCTTCCTCTCCTCTTTCTTTCTGTTCCTTTGAAAAATTCCAATCTTCTCTCAGTAAATGAAGAGAGGAGACAGGACAGGCAAGAGAATCAGTGCTCTGCTTTTTGCCAGGTACAGAGATCCACTTTGCTTAGAAGTTAGGAAAGGGTCCACAGAGCTGGGGCCCATGGTGGGTGGAAACCTGCCACTGTCCTGTGTGACTTCTATCCATACTTTAATGTGCAAGTAAATCACCTGGGACCTAGTTACAAAGTAGATTCTGATTCAGTAGGTCCAGGGAGGAGCTTGAGACTGCTTTTCTCAATTTTATTTATTTATTTTTTATTTTTGAGATGGAGTTTCACTCTTGTTGCCCAGGCTGGAGTGCAATGGCGTGATCTCGGCTCACTGCAAACTCTGGCCTCCCAGGTTCAAGCGATTCTCTTACCTCAGCCTCCCGAGTAGCTGGGATTACAGGCATGAGTCACCACGCCCGGCTAATTTTGTATATTTAGTAGAGACGGGGTTTCTCCATGTTGGTCAGGCTGGTCTCGAACTCCCAACCTCAGGTGATCCACCCGCTTTGGCCTCCCAAAGTGGCTGGGATTACAGGCGTGAGCCACCGCGCCCAGCCTGAGACTGCATTTCTAACCAACTCCCAGTAGATGCCAACACTGCCAATGCAAGCACCACTCTGAATAGCAAGTTAAGTACTGGTACCCCAACAAGGCTACTTCTTGCAATCTGCTGAGAAGATGTAAAAAATCCCAATGCCTGGGTCCTGCCCCCAGAGATTCTAATGAACTTGGTCTGGAGTGTGGCCTGGACATCTAACAAGCTGCAAAGTTTGAGAGGCAATGTTCTAGAGTTCAGGAGATGGGGGTTTAAGTTGGATCAGTGACGGCTGTTTTCAAAATAGGTTATTGGTAAATACAAATAAGGCTAATATTAATTCAAAACTCAAATTGACCATCTACCTATCAAGTGATTTCTATAAAATATTCTATTTTATATAACTAATTTAGGCTATCAGGGGAATCCATGTAATTCAAAGCTGGATGTACTTTACAAATAAGTGATCTGATTTCATTACTCCTTTTCCTGGGAATTGTGCCTGGCCAAGCTGTGATCAGCTTCCTGCCTCTCATTGTATCAATAAATACGTCAGCATCAGGCCGCTGGGACCTCATCTACACTGACAGCAGAATGCTCAAGACGATCCAACAGTAAATGTTTTAGACTTGTCTCTTCCCATTTCCAATTACACGCTTGTTTTCAGGCAAATCAACATGAGGCCAAGTCTGCAGATGTTTGAAAACTTCCAGATGATTCCTTAAGTTGTTCGTTTTTCATGCTAATGTAAAGATGCCCATGTTCATGGTCTTTATTGTGTATTTTAAAAGTGACCCAATAAGCCCAAGTTTTCCAATCCTATCTTCCATGTCTCCAGACTAGAACATAAATAAAAGTTTTGTTAACAAGACTAAAATACCAGTCGAAGTACCACCACCTCCAATCTGGCCTCTTAGTGCCTGGGTCTGCATGGACTACTCCCCTAGATTATTGTGTTCAGAGCCTTGTATTCCACTCCTTCAGAGGCCAAAATCCATTTTTACAAGATTCTCCCACTCCACCACTCTACCACCAGTACTATTTGTATTCTCTCCATTGTGGTCTATTTCCTCTAAGTAGTTGGTTCTGTTCTCAGCTCATATCATATCAAAAAGTAGCTATATCTAAAGAGCTCAATCATTTCTATCTGTGCAGCATATCTGCTGAAAATGGTTAATCCCATTAGTATCCAGTGATTTCTATCAGTGATTCTCAAAGTGGGTCCTTGGACCAGCAGCACCAGCAGCACCAAGAAACTTGTTACAAATGCAAATTGGGGGGGAGGTCCCAACCCAGACCAATTGACTTACACTCTCTGGGGTTGGACCCAGGAATCTGTGTTTCACAAATCCTCCAGGTGACTCTAAACGGAGCTTCAAGACTGAGAAGTACTGGAGAAGATTAATCACCGTTTTCTTGTAACATCTGTGGGCATGCTATCATTAGGTGTGTTACATTAGCTATGAAATATGCTGACATGAAAGCTCAGTGGCATCATATGCAATGACAGTCGGTTCTTTTTCATGGCTTGCTCATGGCTTCTGCTTCAGATGGCAGGTTGAATCCAAGTGTGCTGCATACATCTTATTCTGGGACTTAGGCTGAAGGAGTGGCAACTACCTGGGCATATGTCTCATGGCAGACGTCAGAAGCTCCCAGAGAGCTGATCTTCTGAAGACTTAGCCTCAGAACTAAGACATCTCTTCTACCCTCATTCCATTGGTCCAAGCTGATCACACGGCCAAACCCAATAGGGTAGAGAAATATCCTTCTACGGAGGTGTTGGGGTAAAGGGGCAAGGGGAAAGAATATTTGCTGAACAAAAATCTAACAGATCATGCTGGAACAATGGGTAATTATACTCAATGCAGATCTTGCCAGCTATTAAATACAATTAAATTATATTAGACTAACAATGGTAATCAAATGAAAACTGCAGATATTTCAAGAGAGCAGCAGTCAACGTATAGATAATTTTTGTCATTCTTTTCGTATTCATGTGATAAACCCTAGACAAAGAATTTCCGTTCACATTTCCTTTCTGGTTCTACTTCTAAAGTACATATGCAGTATAAGCTCAAAAAAAAAATCAAAGGAAATACCTGCTACAGCACTTTCCCCCATGGTTATTTCCACTTTGAAAAGCTGACCAAATATTTTTCTCTCCTAATGTGTGTTTTTTTTTAAAAAACTCTCTTAAATTCCCATCATTGATTCTTTAACCACATTTGACTAGCAAAAGCCAAAAAGAAAAATACGTTCCCTGAAGATACAGTGGAGCCTGCCACTACTAACAGAATTAATCATGTGTCCAGCATGGAATCATTATGGTACTGGGGACAGCATGATCATACTCTAGGAGATTGAGAAGGCAACTTAAAATCCCTGATGACAGGATTTAAAAAGCCCTCATTTCCTTAGCTTTCCCTTAGCTCAGCAATTAAAACACCGGGCCCAATAAATGTTTGCTGAACTAAAAAACATGAATTCTGCTCAAGATGCCAGGTAGCTGGCAAATTCTAAGCTCAGTGTCCTTTTGAAAGGGGAGCAAAGGGAAGCCCATTCTAGAAAGATTATTGTCCACCCAGCTGCTATGAGACAGATACCCAAAGGTGAACAAGTCACCACTTAATGGGCATGTAGAACCACATGCTTCAATGCTAGAGGGCAATGCAGTTTTCTAACCACTGTTTTGTAGATTAGGGTTGGTTGAAGAATTTCTAACAGGATGTATTAGTCCATTCTCATGCTGCTAATAAAGACATACCCGTGACTGGGTAATTTATAATGGAAAGAGGTTTAATTGACTCACAGTTCAGCATGACTAAGGAGGCCTCAGGAAACTTACAATCATGGCGGAAGGGGTAACAAACACATCCTTCTTCACATGGTGGCAGCAAGAAGTGCTGAGCAAAAGGAGGAAAAGCCCTCTATGAAACCATCAGATCTCCTGAGAACTTACTTACTATCCCGAGAACGGCATGAGGGTAACCATTCCCATGATTAAATCACCTCCCACCAGGTCCCTCCCACGACATGTTAAGATCATGGGAGCTACAATTCAAGATGAGATTTGAGTGGGGACACAGCCAAACCATATCACAGGGTGAGAACTTTTGACACCTGTAGGGGAAACCACCTTCACGGGCTGTGTGGATGACCCTGATTTATTTGAAGAAGAGCTGTGGACAGGACAAGTCAAAACAAAGCAAAAGCCCAGCTCTATGAAG
Organism: Homo sapiens; assembly: GCF_000001405.40. Lineage (NCBI taxonomy): Eukaryota > Metazoa > Chordata > Mammalia > Primates > Hominidae > Homo > Homo sapiens. Next base: position 10,364,941 of record NC_000023.11, on the reverse strand, counting down.
AGTAAAGTGGGAATTTTGTGGGAAAATCCTTGGTCTTGGGTCCCAGCCCTGGCCCTGATCCTTACACTATTAGACACCAGGCAAGTTATATAAACCTTTCAACCTCAGTTTCCTCATCTGTAGGGTTAGGATAACATACCTGCCCCAAAAACTTCTAAGGGTGACCCCAAAACTCAGTTGGAATTTTGTGTTAAATGTCCCCCCATTAATATGCACAATATTCTTACTAGGAATAATAACCGGGGGAGGGACAGACAGTGTGGTTTTGTAAACAGCACTCCTGGGGTTGTACAGTGGACAGTCTCTACTACTATATGCTGGACTGCCTCACTTTCCATGCTGTGGCCATGGTGGCATCTAAAAGCTACATTGATGAACGAATTTTCAAAAATGGTACAGAGCTACCAAAAGTCACCACCATGTTCACTGAGTTCTTGATTCAAGTTAATTAAAAAATATTGTTCATAATTTTTTAAAAACTCTTCAGACACTAATAGCATGATTCTCCCCAGTCATGTGATGGAAGCAGTGAGACTGATATTTTTCTTATGATTTTGAAGTTTTCTTATAACTTTATAGATGTCATTATTTGGCGTTTTATTTGGGAGGCAGCACAAGAAAAGTGTTTTCTCTTTTACTCCTTCCCGTTTGCCTCCAACATCATCCTTCAGAGAGGGGAGCAAAAGGAAGCCTATTCCAGAAGGATCACTGTCCCTCCATGCATTACACTTCTGTTATGAGCCCGGCACTACACCTCTGTTATGAGCCCGGCACACAAAGGTGAATGAGGCACTGTGTGGAGGGGATGTGGAATGAAGCAGAAGGATTCAAACAAAAACAGCAATGCAGTGTCCCAGCTTTTGCCTCTATTTCTCATTATTTGTGGTGGACACACCCTAAGGTAGCCCCCAAGGAGTCCCACCCTGGTATAAACCCCTCCCTTTGAGTGCGAGTGAAAGCTGTAGTTTGCTTCTAATCAATAGAATATGGCAAGGGTGACAAGATATCACTTCTGTGATTTCAATAGATAAGATTCCATCTTAGTGGACTGGAGAGACTTTCCTGCCAGCCTTGAGTAAGCAGTCATGTCATGAACCACCTATGGAAAGAACCACATGGCCAGGAACTGCCAGCAGCCTCCAGGACTTCAGGGCAGCATCTAGCCAACAACCAGGAAGATGCTGGAGACCTCAGTCCTACAACCACAAGGAAATGAATTCTACCAACAACCTGAGGAAACTTGGAAGCAGAATGTTCCCCAGTCGAGCATCTGGTGAGAATGCAACAACCTCCCTGGCACCTTGATTGCAAGTTTGTGAGACCCTGAGCAGAGGACCCAGCTCAGCTGTGCCCAGATTCCTGGCCTAAAAAAACTGTGAGAAAATAAATATGTGTTGTTTTAAGCTGGTAAATTGGTGGTAAGTTGTTAAGCAGCACTAGGAAACCAACACACCACTGTATTAAATTATAGTAGTATTATTATAACTAATCATCAGCTTAATTATCTAATAGATTAGAATGTAGGGTATGTCCTATTCAGAGAGAGAAACCTGCTGTGGGCTTTTAACATAGAGCAGGGAAAAGAAGCTGATCTTCCCCCCTCCCCTTACAGCTCTTTTCCTATAAATAACATGCACACTGCTCAGAGGTCTTCTTGGCAGAGTGGAAAATCTCTAAGGGGCAACCCCCTCACCAGCGGCCCATGGTCAGAGGCCTACCAATTCTCTGGGAATCATGAATCCACACAGACTCCTTTGTGATTATCAAGTTCAATTAATTATTACACTAAAGTTACCCTGAAGCAGAATTCTCAACTCTCATAGCAGTCAAGGAGTTTACTGTCTGAAAATATTCTCCTATAGCCAGGTATTAGAGAGACTCCACAGGTATGAATTCTGAAGAACTGTAATCTTCAGCATGTTTTGTGCCATTTGAGTTGTTTTCCTTAATAGATTCTGGTTTCCTCAGTTGGGACTTTAATAGCTTACAAAATATAGAAATGTTGCATGTGGTTTTAAAATTTTGGTCCTTCAGAATAAATTGTGCATAAACACACACTCACAAATTATAGCCACTCTGATGTAAAATAGTTGTTTTGTTCCTAAACTTAAGTTGTGTTTTTATATCATGGGTAGCAGTTTCCATTTCAAGCCAAACTTTCAATCTGGCTTGAGAATTCTAAAACAGTAGTAAGATCAAGTCTTTTTACTACATTGAGAACTGATTTAATTTATAAATATCCCCCAATGCCCTATTCTTATCTGCTCTACTGGCATATGGTCACGTACTCCTTACACAATTGGCCACGAAGTAGTATCAAACTACACGAAAGTCTTCTATGAAATATCAACTTAGGTCACAATTCAAAATAACTCACTCTATTCCAAGTGTTATCCTTAATATAATGTGTGACTATGGAGGGTGTTTTCAACTCTGAAGTTCAAAAAAGCCATAAATGTTTCCAATATCTTCTAGGACCAAGTCCCGTGGTAAGTGTTCCATAAATTTTAGTTTACTTCCTCTCCAGGATCTTAGAGGCTAAACTTAAATTATCATAATTGGTTATCTAAATGTATTATATGTTTAGCAATATTTAACTAATTTCAGAGACCGTTCATATAGTCTTGTGGTGGACACACCCCAAGGTGGCCCTCAAGGAGTCCCACCCTGGTATAATCCCTTCCCTTTGAGTGTGAGTGAAAGCTGTAATTTTCTTCTAACCAATAGAATACAACAAAGGTGACAAGATATCAAAAGAAATACACGAGCCAGTGATGCAAATCCGTATTACAAGAAAGAACAGTATCACTTTGAATTTTCACTTGATTCTGGCCTTTGGATTAGCACCAACTGTGGCAAAGATGGCTCCTTTAATACCATTTATGACAACCGCATCATGGCCAGTGAAATCGTCTTCATGACCTTGTGACTCAAAGGGTGGTCTATGGACCAGCAGTACAAGCATCAGTGGGTGCCTATCAAAAATGCAGAATCTCAGGCTCCACCCAAAACCTGCTAAATCAGGATCTGCATTTGAACAAGAGTGTCTCATATGTACAATGACATTGGAGAATCTCCATGCTATGGTATAGTGTGAGTCCAGGGGGATTGGACATCTAGCCTTTGTTGCCAAGCCCTCCTCCTTTCCCCAGGCTGTGTGAACTAGGTGTTGAAATGTTGGGCTTATGTTCACTAGGGGCTACCTCCAACAAACTGTACCTTTGATTGGCTCTTCACATTTTAGCTATGATCTTCACACACCATCCAAGCACATCTAAATTTTGACACACATCAACAAGAAACAGCAAGGCCAGAATGAGTTCTACATGGAGCGAAGGCTGCAGGCAGCAGATGCTTCCATGTCAAAATAAATAGTAAGATTGGATGCAAAGAATAAAGAAAGCTATTGCTGTCAAAATACAAATACCCTCTATTTATGAGAAGATATTCTCCAAGTATTGATAGTACATGATATTTTAAGGTCCAATATTTCTTTATAATTTAGGTGTTATGAGAAATTAAGAGCAATGCCACGATTATGTAAGGTATTAACATTGGGGGATGCTGGATGAAGTATATGGGAACTCTGTACTATCTTGGCAACTTTTTTTTTTTTTTTTTTTTTTTTTGAGACAGAGTCTCGCTCTGTCAACCGGGCTAGAGTGCACTGGCACAATCTCAGTTTACTGCAACCTCTGCCTCCCAAATTCAAGTGATTCTCCTACCTCAGCCTCCTGAGTAGCTGGGACTACAGGCGCACACCACCATGTCCAGCTAATTTTTTGTATTTTTAGTAGAGATAAGGTTTCGTCATGTTGCCCAGGCTGGTCTGGAACTCCTGGCCTCAAGTGATCCACCCCCTCTCTGCCTCCCAAAGTGCTGGGATTACAGGCATGAGCCACTGTGTCCGGCCTTGGCAACTTTTCTATATATAGAACATTATTTCAAAATAAAAAGCTTATTTAGAAAATAACAAAAATTTGGCTTGCAATTTAGGAAAACGAGAAAAAACTTTTTGAGTGATATTAAAAAGTTAATATATAACAAGTGAAAAAAACAGAGCAATTGAAATAAACACACATAGATTTGCCACATTTTCTCACTGTATCTTTGCAGAATACACCTATTTGCTTAGCAAACCCAATGGGGCACAAGGATGTCAAAAAGCCAAAAAAAAATAAAAAAAGAACAAAAGCAGCATGAAGAATCATAACTGCAGTGCCAGAAATTTGATGAAGATATATTAGGAACATGAAATTAAGACAAAATCTCCCTTAAGCAGTTTGACTGTCCTCTCCTTGCAAATAGCTATCAAAAGATGTTTTTAATAGAAAAAGGCAGTTAAAAATCATATACTTAAAAGGAGCTATATCCATCATCCATATATGAAATACTCCAATTTTATTTTATTGGTCAGGATTCTGACTGGCAAACAATGGAATCCATTCTCTGGCAAGTTTAAGCTACTGAAAGATATTCAGTAGCTCCAGAATCACTGGTAGGGCTGGAGAAATAAATCCACGGCATCACTTCCAGGAAAAATGCCAAAACCATGCAGCAAATTAGCCTGATTTGGGGGCGGGGGGAGAAGCCGCTTCTGCCTTACTGCTGCCACCAGCAAGCCCCAGGTGCCAGGTCCTCAGCCTGATTACAAATGATAGCGCTTCTAGCCTCCAGCTCTTCTGCATCAGGGACTCTAACTTGCAGCCACTGCTCCCGCCCCTGAAAGGCAGCCAGCTGGACTGCTATCCCTGCTGGCAACATGGAAGCTCACTGCAGTGTCTTTCCTTCCTAGCTCAGCTTTGAACTGAGGGCTGGGGTAGCTTTTTGATTCTAAACAGCAGAGACTTGGTTACATGCCACATCCTAGCAGCAAAAGAGCTTGGAAATTTGAGCTCTGATTCTACACCTAGGAGGCAAAATCTAGGGTGATCAACTTATCCCAATTTCGCCAGGACTTGCCTAGTTTTAGCAATATTAAAGTACCATATCCCAGGACAACCCTCAGTCCTAGGCAGCCAGAAACAATAGGTTGTTCTGCTGAGGACTCATGACCTGTGAATTTCCCCAAGTACAGAAATGCTCTTAAAAAGATCATGGGTAACCACAGCTATGATACATATCCCCTACAGTAATCAATACACATAAATGAAAATATAAATTTGAAGCGATTACACCAGTAGTCAAATTGGTCACTAGACCAACTGACCCATTTTTGAGATGAATTGGCATCTCCCTCTCTACTCTCCTCATCCTTTCCTAACTCGCGTGCCATAGTTTGTTCCTGTTCACACATAATTATTTGTATAAAGTGCCCAAAATTTTCCTGGTCACGTTGCAATTCTTTTGTAGGATATATTTATATCTGACAATTACTAAATTGGTTTAAAGTGGCTTACATTTTAAATACCACCACACACACACACACACACACACACACACACACACACACACGCTGGGCTAGTTTTCAGCTTGTTAGCATCTGCTTTTCCTTTATTATTCTGATTTGCCTCCTCTCATTGAGGTAGGAGGTAAGACTCGACTCTGGAGGTGGGAATTGGACACTGGACCAAACTGAGGACTAGCTAAAAACAGGGAGGGGGCAGAAATACCTTTCCATAAGACATGCCCACCAGTGTGCCATGTCAGTTTACCATTGCCATGGCAACACCCGAAAGTTACTACCCCTTTCCATGGCAATGACACAATGACTCAGGAGTCGCCACCCTTTTTCTAGAAATGTCTGCATAATCTGCCCTTTAATTTGCATGTAATTAAAAGTGGATATAAATATGACTGCAGAGCTGCCTCTGAGCTGCTAGTCTCAGCACACTGCCCATGGGGCAGCCCTGCTCTGCAGGAGCAGTCATGGAGCTGTAACACTGCTGCCTCAATAAAGTTGTTTTCTTCTACCACCAGCTCACTCACTCTTGGATTCTTTCCTGAGCAAAACCAAGAACCCTCCTAGGCTAAGCCCCAATTTGGGGCTTGCCTACCCTGCATCACCATTTCTTACTATACAAAGGAGGTACTGAAAATCATCTCTCCAATGCTCATTCCATTTGACTTTCAGCATGATTTTCTGTAATAAAGAGGCTGGAAACTTGAATATTTTTTCAGATTCTTTGCATTTTGCATGGGACCCAGGATTCTGCCAAACAGATCGACTAGCCCAAGATTTTGGAAGGTAGCAAAAAGAAACGTGATTTGATTGACATGTGTAGGATATTAAAATTGTTTGGTGGAAACTTTTGGTTCTTCTTGGCTAACTTCTAGGAAGTTACTCCATTTGAACCTTAGCAACATGGGTATTGATGAACAGGCTATGACGGAAGGGTGGAAATTTCTTCTAGAACACTGTTGGATCAGTGGCCCCTGTCTCCTTGTATTACACCTGTCTATGTAGCTAAAGCATCCCTGGTCCTCTAGATTCTGAGAGCTAACTAATACCCTGTAATCAGTGATTTGTTGGAGCGGACTCACACCAGCTTATGAAAGCCAATTGTGTGCATCTCTTTCTAATTCCTTATCAGTGACATAATATTGGTAGCCTGAAATCTGCCATGAAGCAAGTATATTTACACCATGAAAACTGGAAAATGCTACAAATCAGGATTTTTTTTTTGAGACAGAGTCTCACTCTGTCACCCAGGCTAGAGTGCAACGGCAAAATCTTGACTCACTGTAACCTCCACCTCCTGGGTTCAAGCGATTCTCCTGCCTCAGCTTCCAGAGTAGCCAGGACTATAGGCACACACCACCACGCACACTTATTTTTTGTATTTTTAGTAGAGACAGGGTCTCACCATGTTGACCAGGCTGGTCTCAAACTCCTGGCCTCAAGTGATCCACCCACCTCGGCCTCCCAAAGTGTTGGGATTACAGAGTGAGCCATCGTGCCCAGCCTAAATCAGGAATTTTTTGAGAGCTGATAAACATTTACCAGAACACCACTGCCTGTGATACATCTCTGTCTGCTACTATGGAAGTATAGTCTGTTACCTGGAACTGAGTACCCTGACTATACTCCATCTCTATTATAGTTATGTTTCCTATTTTGTCTCCCTAGCTTTAGATAATTGATTAGGTCTACCCAACTACTAATTGCAAAAGTTTTAAAATAACTAATCCAGATAAGTTGTCTAACTTCTAATGAGTAAATATGTATCAACTACCTCCCCAGCACTGTGCTAGGTAATACTGGAGATTTAAAAAGAAATTTCAATTCTAATTTGAGGGGACAGCAGTAGTGATGTTCAAGTAGGCACTTGAACCATGAAACTTGAGTCTTTGCATATAGTAGTAAGTCACTCTTAACACATTCTCAAAAATATGATATAACTTCCTTCCTTATGGCAGATTTTAAATAGATAACCTGGCTATTAAATTCCTGTCTAAGAAATGTGACTCAAATAACCTTCCTATGTTATCTAAAGCAGTCTTTTTAGTTTGGAGGTTAAATCAATTCAGATACTTTCGTTTGAAAGTACCAGAAACTCTGCCATTCCCAGGTGTTGCTTCGTCTTTAGACAGGTAGCAGGAAGGTTACTGTGGTTCAAGCATGATATCCAATTTGACTGTCTCTATCCAAAGAAGAGGCACCATTTATTCCTTATACCTCTAAGAGCTAAGGAATAATTCTCAGAAACTCCTCAGCAGAGTTCTTATTATTTCATTGGCCAAACTGAGTCATATCAATACTTAGATTAATCACTACCAAGGAAAATGTAACCACAATGACTAATTTAGACCAGGGTTTCTAGCCTCAGCACTATTGACATTTTGGGCTAGATAATTCTTTGTGGTGAAGGGATGCCTTTGCATTATAGGATGTTTAGCAGCACCCCTGATCTCCACCCGCTAGATGCCAATAGTGTGTACATGCATGCGTGCGTGCACACACACACCCCAGTTGTGACAACCCCAAATGTCTTCAGACATTGCCCAATGTCCCCTGGGGAGCAGAATCATCCCTGATTGAGAGCTACTAATTTAGACCAATCAGGATTTACCTATTAAATTAGAGAGGGTCATCCTTTCCTAAGTCACATGGGAATTGGGACTGCATCAGAGGGATAAGTTTGTCAGATAACTGTCAATGGCAGCTACCTCGAAGATCTGTCCTAGAGTCTCCTTACATTCTCTCTTAAACCTATTCCAATTAAGCCCTTCCATGATCTTACTCCTCTGCAAGATCACCCTTGATCACCACTTTGCTAAATCCAATGATCAAACCTCAGTACTTGTTTAACTTGACCTATCAGCAGTATTCAACATGGCTGACCACTTCTTCCTCCACGAAACACTTTCTTCACTTGACTTCCAACAAACCACAACATTGTTACCTCTTACCTTGACTGCACTGTTTGCAACTTCCAAGTCTTCTGTGTTCCTCCTTAACCCCATCCCCACCTCTTAACTTTGGAGCATCCCAGGGCTTAGTCCTAATACCTCTTCTTTCGATCTACATTCACTAACTTGTTGACCTCATTGAGTCTCATGTCTTTAAACAGCATTTATATGCTGCTAACCACCAAATGTATATCTCCCTGGGCTCTGGAATCTTCTATTCAACTGCTAACAAGACAGTACCACTTGTTTGTAATAGGCAAGTCAGACTTTACATATCCAAAACAAACTTCTGATCCTTCAACGCAAATCATCTCTCTTCTATGATCTTTCCCATCTCAGTAAATGGCAGCTCTATTAATGCAGTTGTTTAGGCTAAAAATCTTAGTTATGTTTGACTCCTCTCTGTCTTTCACACCCTGCTTTCAATTCATCAGCCAATTTGGTCAATTCTCATATACACAGCCTGACCACTTTTCCCTCACTTCTGTTGCTACTGTTGTCCTGAAACATACCACCATCATCTTGTGGCTAGATTGTATTCATAGCCTTCTAATAGGCTTGCCCACTCCTCCACCCACACCTCCTTGTCTCCCTTTCCTTCTATAATATTCCCAAAATGGCAGCCAAAGGATCCTTTAGAGCCAAAGTCAGATCATATCAGTTCTCTCCTTAAGCCCCTCCCAACAAAGCCTTCTATCTCATTCATAATAAGCCCCAGAGTGCTTAGAATGGCCTACCAGTCTCTGAATGCTCCAGCTCCTGTTACCTCTCTGCATCATCTCCACCACACTTGGCCTTGTTCGTTCTGCTCCAGCCACACTGCCTCCTTGTTGTCAGTTGGATACTCCAGAGATACAAGGGCTCCAGACCTTTGCGCTAGCTGCTCTCTCTGCCTGGAATTCTCTTTCCAAATATCCACATGGCCTGCTCCCTCAATCCTTCAGATCTTTCTCCAGTGGACCTTCATACTGAGGCCTCCTCTGGCCACTTTTCCTAAAATTACAGCCAATTCCCACCCCCCCACCCCCCAACTCCTAATGACCAGTCTTGGCTTCAATTTTCTCCTTAACACCTATTACCACCTAACATACTATATATTTGTCCTTCATTTTTCTTATTTATTGCCTTTTGCCCACCTAAAATGTAAAGTCCTCAGGAGCAGCACATTTTTTTTTTGGCTGTTTTGTTCTCTGCTCTATCTCTCCACTCAGAACATCACAGACACATAGTAAGTGTATAATGAATAGTTGTTGAATGGAAGACTAAAGAAGTCAGGTTGCCCTGAATTAAACCAAAAGTACACAACATCCCCAATGAAAATGTCAATATTTTTTAAATAGAAGAGCTAAAGCTGATATGGAAAACGAAATGAGAAAAAAATAGCCAGAAAACTTCTTGGAAAAAAAAATAGAAAAATAAAGGAAGACCAGCCCTAGGACATATTATAAAACCACAACACTTGTTTTGTTAAATGCATCTCTGCTTTATCTATTAACATATTCTTCTGTCCCCTGTATTTTTAAGAAATTAATAGTTGGATCTAGTGGCTTGATAAGATTCATTTTCATTTTTCATTTTTATGGTGAGAGTAATTGACAAGTGGTGTTGTAGACATCCATTAGGATGTACATAATGTCTGTCCTTATGCTATGTTAGTGACCATTGATTACAACTACCCAGATGCACTGAATTAATTAGATGGCAATAATTCTTTGTTATCTGAAATGCATAAATAAAATAAATCCATAAATAATAAAGAAAACATCTCTAAATCAAAAAATAAAAATAAAACCACAGCACTTTCAACAGGGTGGAGTATGGAAATATAAAAAGATAAATGAGCCAAAATAGAAAGTTCAGACCCAGATATATCCAGGGATTTCAGTATCTGATAAAATTGACATCTCAAATCAATGAAAAAGCTATGAATTAGTTGATAAATTGGGCATGGTACAACAGGTTAAAAATCAGGGAAAAATAAAAATACAAAAGTTTCCATAACTCATCCATCATACAAGGATGAGTATCAGATAAATACATGAAATATGTATATATACTTTCATGGTTACATTATACATATATTTAAAAAATAAAAGTACTAGAAGAAACCACAAGGTAATTTTTGAGGTCTGAGAATGTCAAAGAGCTTTCAAAGTATGAAACAAAACTCAAACTATTTTACTACGTATATGTAAGTTTAGAACTGTTATACATCTCTTATTAAACCTTTTGTCATTTCATATATACCCTCTTTGATTATACATTTTGTAATAGTATCTACTTTTTCTGATATTAGTATCAGTTATTGATATGCTCCAGCTTTTTTTGAATTGTCATTTGGCTTGAAAATTGTTCTCCATTCTTTTTCTTTCTGTATTCTTATGTTTTAGATGGGTACCTTGCTTTTACAATCTGTTCTTACACTGTTTGTTTCTTCAGTTTATGTTTATCTGATCTTTTTCTTTCTTTTTTTTTTTTTGCTATCTTTTGATTCCATTGAGTTGTAGGTATTTGGGGCTTTTATAGGTTGTTTGATTTATTTTATTTTCTCTTCTACTGGCTTAGACATTAAAGCCTTAAAAATATACCAGGCATACTAAACAAAGTATAAAATTAATAAATATCTAAACTCTTTTCTTAACAAATTCAAAGACCTTAGCACTCAAATCATTTCTTCCCACTTGCCACACTACTTTTCTGAAGATTTTTTAGATAATATTTTTATCAATGTATTGTTAATTTATAAGGATAATGTTCATTTATATTTCCATATGCTTTTATAAGCATATGTATAATTTTTTAAGTTTATATAATCACCATTTGTTCTTGCACCTCAAACATTTCTTCTGAATTTATTTTTCTTCATCCTAAAACAAACCCTTTAGAAGTTCCAATAATTCTCAGTAGTTCTAGAAGTATACTTTTGCTGAGAACACAATTCTAGGTTGAGAGTTGTTTTCTGGCAACTTTTTAAAAGATATTCCCCATCATCTGACTCCCATTCCTTTGAGGAAAATGTCTTTTCTCATCGGCTGCAGCTTTACAACTATATGTCTATGTGCAGGTTTCTTTTTATTTCTCATTCTTGGTATACATGGTGTTTCCTCCATCTGTGAGTTCATGATTTTCACCAGTTCTGGTTAATCTCAGCCAGTATCTGTACAAATATTTCCTCTCCTCTGTTCTCTCCTTATGGAACTTCAATTAGATATACATTAGACCTTCTTTATCTTCCCTGTCTCTTCAATCTCTCATATTTTCCAGCTCCTTGTCACCCATTACTTCATTCTGGGTTATTTATGTCTTTATTTAATTTCATTAATTATTTCTTCACCTATGTGGATGCTGTTTAAAACATACATCATTTACTTTAATCATTTTTATTGTGAAATACAACATATATGCAGAAAAGTTTCTGAAAGATAACATTCTGCAAATTAAGTAACCATAAATCAAACATCTGCACAACCTCCCCACCCAGGTCAAGAATTAAGACATTATAAGTACTCAGAAATCTCCACCTATCACTACTCATTCACACTCTTGCTCTTTCCTCACTATATGAACCACTTCCCTGACATATCTTGCAATCTCTTCCTTACTTTTCTTTATAGTTTTACTACCTATGTATGCATGTGCAGTTTTTAATTTCAATGATTTTTTATTCCTAAGAGATTGATTTGGTTATTTTTAAAATCTGCCTAGGTATTTTTTTAAATTATCTCCTGCTCCTTGCTCATTGTTATTCCATCTTTAAACATTTTATAGACATAAAGCCCTTGCATAGTCTTTATCTGTTAATTCTAACATCTTCAGTCCTAGAGGTCAACAACTTCTAGTTATTGTTTTGCTGACTCACTCATATTGGCTTGTTGCCTTACGTATTTAGTAATTTTTTTTATCATGAGCTCATAATTGTTATTTCCTTTAGCAAATATTTGTATTTACCTCTGATAAACTCTTAGGAGCTACTAATCTGAAACTACTTTAATTTAATTTATCCACATTTAGGACTAGTATAAGTTTGAACACCAGAATCTAAGTGATACCAAGTCTGTGGTTGCAGATTAACAAGGGAGACCTCATTATAGTCATTATTGTCATTATCTTTATTAATATTATCATCAATGTTATTTTTAACCCAAAACCTGTCCCAGGGGCCTGGCTCAATGCAGGAGTCTCTGAGCCAACACCCTCATTTTCAAGAAGCCTGTGGTTTGCTATTCAATTTTCTCCTCCCACCCAGCCCTCCCCACCATAATAGTGGCATTCATGCCCAAGATAACTCTAAAACTTCTGTTTGCTTCCTGCCCACTTCCCTGGTCTCATCACTCTTGTTGTTTTCATCGTTATTATTATTATTACCAGTTTGCCTTCATAATTTTATTTCCCTTTACTGCAGACCAGAAATTGCATTAAAAAACAATGTTATAATTTATCCAAAATCTGGATGTGTTACACCAAGAGGGCTTTTTAGAACTTCTAGTACCCTTGAAAGCAGATTTCCCATGTCAAAAATGACTTTCAACAATTGAAAAGGTAATAAGAGAAATGCAAATTAAATGCACATTGAGATACCGTTTCTCATGTATTAATTCAGCAAATATAAAAACAAGTTTGATAATAGGCTGTTGATGAGACTTGGGAAAACAAGTGCTCCCACACATTGCTGGTGGGGGTATAAAACGGTTCCACTTTTATGGAGCAATCCAGCCATTTCTGTCACAATTGTAAATACATATACCTTTTGACCCAGAAATTCTATTTTTGAGAATTTATTCTACGAATACTCTACAAATACTAGCACATGTGAATCTTATTCATGGCAACATTACTTGTAATAGCCAAATATTTGAAATAACTTACATACCTATTAGGAAGGAACTATTTAAATAATTTACAGTACATCCATACGATATAATATTATACATTATATTTACAAACGAGAAAGTTTTAATATACTTGTATGATGCAACATCCATGATATATAATCAGTGGAAAAAAGTTATTGAACCATGCACATATTATTCTCTGTTTTTTTTAAATACACATTCATATATTCATTTGTATAGCCTTAACATATTTTTGGAATGGTACATAAAATATTCCATCAATGTCGACTGCCTCTAGGTTGGGGACCCGGGTACTTGAAGAAGGAAGCTGAAAGGGAGACTTCTCATTGTACACCCTTTTGTACGTTTTGCATTTGAAACCATGTGATATACTGTCGATTTTTTAAAAGGGTTTGTCAGCTTGTGGTTGACCTTACACGGAAGTGCTGAAGAGGGCAAGCCAAGGATGACAAACTTTGCTTTCTTCTTGGTTTTGCCTAAGGCTGCTCTCACCCCAAGCAGAGAGGGAGTATGGAGAAATCTGGAAGCCAGGCTGTCCAAGAAAGACTGGGTGAGCTAGTGCTGATTTATCATCCATGTGATCTACCTCCTGACCTGGTCACGTGACTAATAACAAATCCACTGGCTCTTTGTTTTATTGCTTTTCACCCAGAAATTTGGAATGTCACAGATGGTTGTGTTTTGACAGGAATTTGGTGTACACTCAGACATACAAAATTCCAGAATCAAAGTCTTCAAAAGCAGCAATTCTCTCTCCTTCTCTTGCCTGGGCCCTGTGTTTTATGTTTGGTGCTACTGACTGACAGCTTCGACTAGAAACACACTACTAGATAGCAGTCCCGGACATCTTGCTGAACCAGCTCCATTTCTTGGTTCAAAAACCCAGAAAGGGAAAGGAAATAATTAGGTTGTAAGTGAATACAATCACACAGTATGCACAACATTAGAATTCAAACTTAAAACTAGAAAATTCAAAATTGAAACCACAAAGCTCAAAATTCAGACTTCAATTCCATTGCAGGGAAAAGTCCAAATTCCATCACTCTGTTACCTAATTTTGTCTTCAAAAAAAAAAAAGGCAAAAATGTAAATGCTAAAAAACCTATATTTTTGTGTTTTTACTTTTTCCTGTTTTAGTATGTTTCAGACATACAGAAAAGTACAGAGCATGTTCTAAAGAACATCATCCATCAACCCACCAAAAAATTGTCACATTTAAAACTTTTGCCATATTTGCTCCAAATAATTGTTCTAAAAAATAAATAATTTTGGATGCAGTTCAAGGTCCCTGTGTCTCTCTTTCCTCATCCCATCTGTTTCCCTTCCTCCTGAGAGGTAACTGCCTTTCAGAATTTGGCATTGATCACTCTTATTAATGCCTTGTGCTTTTACAACATGTGTAGATATGCATAAACAATATATAATACTGTTTTGCATGCTTTAAACATGATATACATGATATGCTGGATCCATCATTCAACACCTTCCTTTTTGCATTTAACTTTTTCTATTACAGGACATATGGTTGTTTCCATTTTTTCCCTATTGCAAAAAATGCTGCAATAAAAATTTGGTACTTGTCTCTGTGTGCACATATGGGACACTTTCTTTAGGCTAGGAGAGAATTGATCAGTCATAGGATATGCCTCTCCTCAACATTTCTAGAGGAAAAAAATTACTGTCAAATGTGACACTACCACTTTACCCTCTTTTAAATAGCCTCCCAAATTTTCTGGGTATGCTTCCTAGCTTCAGAGAGCAGTGGGAGAAAATATATTTTGGATCCAAATACTAATTTGATGAAAGAGTCTGTAGCAGAAGCTGTCTGTCAGTGTCCCACTCATATCCCCTCACTCCTATTACATCAGCACATGCCAGCCAACCCCCAACAGCCAGCACCTGCATTGCTTTTTGCCTGAACACATTCTCTGGCTGCCAGTGATAGTGTTGCTATTGGGGCAGCAATAACAATTGGGGCAAGCTGGGAATTTATATCCTTTCAGAACTACCCTCAATCAATGACTGATGGGAGTTGGAGTATCAATACCTCAGCTCCCTCATTCTTGAGATGGGATGACTCTGAAGCACACGCTTTATCCAGATTTTTGGGGTGCCCAGCAGAATTAAACCAGTTTATCACAGTGATAATCTACTTGATATCGAACACTATATTCAACAATGCTTTGCCTTCCCTTCTCTATCTCACTTCCCCTCACCCCACCAGCATCTTGAGGCCACCTCCCAGATAAATACTTGTTCCCAAACCCTTGTCTTACGGTCTGTTTATTGGGGAACCCAGTTGGACTCCAATTAGCGCTCATGTGTATGTATTCAGATGCTGGTAATGGTCACAGGGATGGGGAGAAATTGTTACCAGTTGTAGAGTTTACTATAAACAAACCACAAAAAAGGAAATAAAAAGGGGGTTTGCATATTATTCAGAGACAGGAGACAAAAAACACTTTGCCGTTTGGCTCGTGGAGGAGATTAGGCAAAAATCCCATAAATAAAGTGTTAATACCTGCTGGGCCAGGAGGCTTTCCTTTGAAAGCCATATCTTTAGTTTCCATTCTAAAAATCTCCAAGTTCAAATATGGCATATAAAAATCACCATATTTGGGCCGGGTGTGGTGGCTCATTCCTGTAATCCCAGCACTTTTGGAGGTCAAGGAGGGTGGATTACTTGAGGCCAGGAGTTCGAGACCAGCCTGGGCAACATGGTGAAACCCCCTCTCTACTAAAAACATAAAAATTAGTCAGGCATGATGGCACATGCTTGTAATCCCGGCTGTTCGGGAGGCTGAGGCATGAGAATCACTTGAACCAAGGAGGCAGAGGTTGTAGTGAGCTGAGATCGTGCCACAGCACTCCAGCCTGGGTGACAGAGCAAGACTCTGTATCAAAAAAAAAAAAAAAAAAAAAAAAAATTGCCATATTTGGCTGTGTTGGAAGAAAATGTGTTTTTTGGTTTGGTTTGGTTTTTTTTTTTTTTTTTTTTGTTAAGCCTAGGTTTTGGTGTAGCTATTTATGAAATTTTCCTTTTAGTTGTGCTACGTTTTTATTTTTAAAATTTTCACAAACGACAGCAGCTCTATGCATGAATATTAGGCAGCAGTTTTATAATGTCTTCAAAGACTCCACCTTGATCCTTTGTTTTGTGCAATATAAAAATTGGTGGTTTTCTACACCCTTACCTTTAGCAAATTTTTAATAAGTAGCATTTGTTGCAATGGGCCTTGAGAAGATGTAGAAAGGTTTCAAGGGTTTTTTCAGCTACAAATCTAGTCAACATCACATCAGTTGGTAGAAGGCTATGTTTTGCCAGCCTGGGTAAGTTGACAGGACCAAAGCAGGAAACTTCTGAACCATCACAGAGCACAAAACACTCTATACTAAATAGCAGACAATCAGACTTTCTAGTTCCACTTTTCATATTGCACAGAAACAACTTCGGGCAGCAAGATGGATTGTGTGTTTCACTGCAGGGCTGGATTAACTGACTTGTGAAGGCTTGTCTTCAAATTCAAGAGCTTGTTTTCATGGTTAATATTCTTTCACTGCATTTATTAAGACACATACCATGTTCATTGGGATTAGAAAGTTCATACAGGCATTCCTCAGAGACATTGTGGGTCCAGCTCCAAACCACCACAATGAAGCAAGGAGTCACACAAATTTTTTGGTTTCTCAGTTCATATAAAAATTATGTTTGTACTATACTGTAGTCTGTTAAGTGTGCAACAGCATTATGTCTAAAAAAATCATACTTTAATTAAAACTACTTTATTGCTAAAAAATGCTAACGTTTGAGCCTTTAGTGAGTTGTAATCTTTTTGCTGGTGGAGGGTCTTGCCTGCATACTGATGGCTGCTGACTGCTCAGGATGGTGGTTGCTGAAGGTTGTGGTGTCTGAGGCAATTTCTTAAAATAAGACAATAAAGTTCGCCACATTGATTGTCTCTTCCTTTTTCAAAATATTTCTCTGCATCCAATATTATTTGATAGCATTTTACCCACAGTAAAACTTTTTTCAAAATTGCAGTCAGTCTTCTTAAACCCTGCCAAGACTGTGGCAACTAAGTTTTTGTAATATTTTAAATCCTTTGTTGTCATTTTCACAATTTTCATAGCATCTTCACCAGGAGTAGTTTCCATCTCAAGAAATCACTTTCTTTGCTCACCCATAAGAAGAAAGTCCTCATACATGAAAGTTTGATCACGAGATTGCACCAATTCAGTCACATCTTCAGGCTCCACTTCCAATTCTAGTTTTTTGCTATTTCTACCACATCTGCAATTACTTCCTCCACTGAAGTCTTGAGCCCCTCAAAGTCATCCAATGAGGGCTGGAATCAACTTTTTCCAAATTCGTGTTAATGTGGATATTTTGACCTCCTTCCATTAATCACAAATGTTCTTAATGGCATCTAGAATGGTGAATCCTTTCCAAAAGACTTTCCATCAACTTTGCTCAGATCCATCAGAGGAATCACTATCTATGGCAGCTATAGTCTTATGAAATATATTTCTTAAATGATAAGACTTTAAGTTTGAAATGACTCCTTGATCCATGGGCTGAAGAATGCACATTGTGTGAGCAAGCATGAAAACAACATTAATCTCTTTATAGATCTCTTGGGTGACCAGGTGCATTGCCAATGGGCAGTAATATTTCAAAAGGAATCTTTTTTCTGAGCAGTAGTTCTCAAAAGTAGGCTTAAAATATTCAGTAAACTATGCTCTAAACAGATGTAGTGTCATTCAGGCTTTTTGTTCCATTTATAGAGCACAGACAGAGTAGATTTAGCATCATTCTTAAGGGCCCTAAGATTTTCAGAATGATAAATGAGCATTGGCTTCAACTTAAAGTCACCAGCTGCATTAGACTCTAACAAGAGAGTCAGCCTATCCTTTGAAGCCAGGCATTGACTCTAGCTATGAAGCCAGGCATCCTCTCTAGCTATGAAAGTCCTAGATAGCATCTTCTTCCAATATAAGCCCATTTCATCTACATTGAAAATCTGTTGTAGTGTAGCCATTTTCATCAGTGATCTTAGCAAGGTCTTTCAGATAACTTGCTGCAGCTTCTCCATCAGCACTTGCTGCCTCACCTTGCACTTTTATGTTATGGAGATGGCTTCTTTCCTTAAACCTCACAAACCAACCCCTCCTAGCTTCGAACTTTTCTTCTGCAGCTTGCTACCTCTCTCAACCTTTATAGAATTGAAGTGAGTTAAGGTCTTGCTCAGGATTAGGCTTTGGCTTAAGGGAATGTTGTGGCTGGTTTGATCTTCTATCGAAACCATTCAAACTATCTCCACATCAGCAATAGGGCTGTTTTGCTTTCTTATTCATGTATTTGCTGGAGTAGCACTTTTAATTGTCCCTGAAGTAGTTTTTTTGTTTTTGTTTTTTTATTTTCAGCTTGGTTCACTGGCACAAGAGGCCTAGTTTTAGGCCTATCTTGGCTTTTGACATACTTTCCTTACTAAGGGTCATCATTTCTAGCTTTTGCTTTAAAGTAAGGGACATGTGATTCTTCCTTTCACTTGAACACTCAGAGGCCATTTTAGGGTTATTAATTGGCCTGATTTCAATATTGTTGTGTCTCAGGTAATAGGGAGGCCCAAGGAAAAGGAGAAAGATAAGAAAATGGCTGGTTGGTGGAGCAGTTAGAACACACAACATTTAAATATTTGCTGTCCTGTGTGACACAACAGTTATAATAGTAACATCAAAGAGACTGATCATAGATCACCAAAATAGATATAATAACAGTGAAAAAGTTTGAAACATTGTAAGAATTACCAAAATGTGACACAGAGACATAAAGTAAGTGCATGCTATCAGAAAAATGGTGCTGATAGACTTGAAGGACGCAAGATTGCCACAAACCTTCAATTTGTAAAAAAACAAAAAAAAAAAACAAAAAAAAACAAAAACAAAACAAAACAAAACAAAAAAGCCCATCATTTGCAAAATGTGATAAACCAAAGTGCAATAAGACAAGGTCTGCCCATATTTTAAAACTCACTTTGTGAAGTAGAGTATGAGTTGGGTATTGTATACCTGGCTCTGTAGACCCAGCTTGGAGTCCCAACTCTGCCCCCTTTTTTGCTATGTCTGATGGTAAAATTACTTACGTTCTCTAAGTTAAACACCCTCATCTGTAAAATAGAGATAATGATAGTACCTATGTTGCTGAGCTGTTGATACAGTAAATGATGTTCTCATAGAATTCTTTACCTTATCCCATGGCCTGTAAAATGGACAGGAGACTGTTCTAACTTGTGACTCTTATAACAAAAGCGAAGAGGCAAAGTTGAGTTTTGAAAGAATTTTTTCTAATTACCTAATTAACTCATGTTAATGAAAAAATTGCAGAATATATGAAAGTACAAAAAAAGAAACATTCTATCACCTGGAGAGAAGCACCAGTAATCACTCATTTGTGCATATGTTGTGGCCTCTGATTTTTACACAAAAACTAGAACTTACTGAGTGTACCATTTTATAAGCTATGGCTTCACTAAAAGTATCATGAAAAGTGCCCCATATCATTAAATAATCTTTGAAAGCACGTTTGTTTGTTTTTATGACTTGGCATTTCATCTAATGAGGTTCCATAATTTATTTATCCAATTTAGCCTATTTTCTAGACCTTTGAATTGTGCCTTCCAAATTTTCAATGCTTCAATGACATTCTTTGATGATATAGCTTTGTGTATGTACATATTTGTTTCTTTGGCCTGAATTCCTAGATGAGCAATCAGTGTTTCAAACGATAAGAATGCCTTTTTTTTTTTTTTTTTTTTTTTTTTTTTGAGACAGAGTCTCGCTCCGTTGCCCAGGCTGGAGTGCAGTGGCGCGATCTCAGCTCACTGCAAGCCCCGCCTCCCGGGTTCACGCCATGATAAGAATGCTTTTAAAACTTCTGATACCTATGCCAAATTGTCCTCCCTAAAGGCTGTTCCAATTTACACACTGATTCATGGTGCGAGGATGTTTGAAGACACAAAATATTTTATCACGTCACAAGAGTTGCAGCAAATGCTATGAGAAGCGCAAAGCCTCCAGGCCTATTCACACACCCCAGCCTTATTTTAAGTTTTGCTTATATTTGCTCTTCAACACAATTAGAAATTCCAACACGTCTTGATTCTCTGGAAGGCAATGGACAAAATTAGAATGTTAAGTTTATTTGCTTGACACTGCAAATATTGTTCAAAATCTGTGACTACTGCTAGATTCTGGAGGGCAGAGACCACTCTGATTTAGTTTTTCATCTTAAGTACCTGGTACGTTTTATATCCTGGCTTCACTGAAAGAAACTCTCTTCCAATACTCATGAATCCCCAGTCTGATTATGAAGTGTGCTCTAAGGTGATGAATTAATTCCCAATTAGAAGTTAATAGATAATGATGGGCTTTCCTTCACTCAATACCTGTCACGTGCCAAAAACCTCTACTAGGAATAAAGATGTTTTACATGGCTTTAAAATGAGCACCTTCAATGTTAAACTCAAAAATTATCATATTACAAAAGAAGAGATACAAATGACAAAAAGGGAAAAAGAAAGAGCTGAGTATTTCTGAAAGTGTCAGTATGCTGATCAGCTGCACTAAGTCACTTGTGTTCACAGTGCTCATAACTCATGTCCTTCAACTGGAGTCCTGCATGAGAGCAAGGACTCCAGTCCTGTCCACTTCAGGCTTCTCCCACTTCCCATGCCTTCTTTAGGAACTCCTGAAAGCACAGCTTTCTGACACTAACAAAGCCACATTGGTTTCAGCTGTAAGGGCGCCTTATGGGTGGCATGCCTGTTGTTGTCTGAGCTGCAGAAGCCTTCAGTGTCCTGCAAGATGACGAATGCCTCCCCAGGCTGCCAGGTCTCCCACTTTCCTACTGTCTGCTTCATGGCCTCTCTTCAGTGCCATCATCCCCTCCTGTTCACTTCCCCTAAGGGACTCATCTTGGGATCTTGGGACAATCCCACACTTCTGTTACCTGCACAGTCCAGCAATAACATCTCTGTTTCTTTCTGTCCAGCCATCTTCCCAGTCTTTGCCCTTTCATTCCACTACTCTCCCATGTTCTTTCTGCTTGTCTGTGTTCAGTCACATTTTTCTCTTTTTCTAACCCATAAAAGCACCTCCAGAAATATCTAGAGCACAGCTACGAGTTGCTGTATTCAGGAAGCCCTCAAATAGAGGTTATGATTACTGCATATAGAAGTCTTACAGGAGCTTCAAAAATAAAAATATCACCAAGATATTTTCCTACATAATGATCTTATTTTTCAGCTATGGTGCATTTAACTTGAAGATTTTTTTTCATCGATTTTGAGGATACACTTGCTTGTGGCCATTCTGTGCTTCAGATAAGTTAAAAATCATGAGCCCAATGCTGTTGACAGTGTTCTCCCTTCATCCTCCAGAAACAGCTTCTTGGAACAACTGATTGCTTTAATTTCCATTGAGGAGTGATTGCAAGGTCCATAATTCAATGATTATTTTCATCTTCTATAAATTATAAATTTTATCTTCACTCTACTTTTTCTATATTTCTCTCCTCCTACTAGCATGTAGACTTGTATTTCCTGCCAAATAAGTTGACTGAAATGAAAGAATCCATTTATTCACATTGATAACACCATGAAAAGAAAATAACTGCTTATATACTATGCTACAGCCTGCTAACATAAAAATCAGATGGTTTACACCAAGGTTTATGAACCTCGGCACTGTTGACATTTTGAGCTAGACAATTCTTTGTTGTGGGTGGTGGCCCTCTACATTGTAAGATGTTAAACAGCAACCCTGGCCTCTTACATCTTACTAGATGACACTAGCACCTCCTACACAGTATGACAATAAAAAATGTCTCCAGACTCCTAACGTCATCCCATGTTGGGAACTGTTGGTTTATACTACATGGAACATGAATGTTCGCAAACAGACATAAGCTTAGATAAAGCCACATTTTGTTTATTCTCCATGAGCTCTCTGGGCGCCAATTATCCTGTTATAAAAATCAGTCAGATTCATCAGGCCAAGATATCTATGTTTGGTATTTTACAAATATAAGGATATTTATAATCATATCAATAACTTGGGACTTTGAGGAGAGCTAAGTGATTATTTGAGAATGACTGACCTCACCATTAAATGGGATGACAGAAAAAAATGAGAAATAGTACATAGAAGTGGACAGCACCCCTTATCTTGGTGTTTGAACCCATGGGACCTAATTAGTCTCAGAAAAAAAGAAAAGCTTGATCAATTAATTGGGCCAGGATGGGCTACATGGGTTGGCTATAGTGTTCAGAATGCTAGCACCAGGAAAAGACTTTCAAAGGAAGGCGTATTGGGCTCCCTCAGACTCCGGTATGAAAATAGGGACAGCATGGTAGACATGGGGCCAGAGGTTAGGAGCGCATTACAGTAGTTCAGATAAGGAACAATAGTGCCCTTGGGTTGAAGTGCTCTCAGTATATGGCATTTCCTAAAGGGAGTAGCTAAAGAATGAGAACACGTGTGAGCATAAGCTCTAGAAGTACTAGCTCTATAGTCATTTGGGGAAAAATATTTCATTTTTCTGGGCATTAGTTTAGGGATTTATCAGATTAAGGGCCCAGAGTCAATATTGCCTAAGGGCCTTTCCAATCCTTTTCCCTACCTTCCCTCCTCCCCCACCAAAAGCTTCAGGTCCAAAAACAGACTGATGTATGTGATTCAAGGACTAATTACTGCTCCTCACACCTATTGTCTTGTAGTAAAATAAGAAGACAGGTGAACAAGTGCCAGTCTCGGCATCCACTGGCTCCAGGTATGTGCAATTAGCAGAAGAAAGTTAACAGAGCACCTTCATGTTTGCTTTGGAACCACAAGCAAAAGACCAACATTTCTGAAGCTGACAAAGTTGTGAAAGAAAGTTCTGATCCTCTCAAATCACCAAGTTCACCAAGTAGGTGGGGCAAACATGCTTCAGGACACATTGACAACTCATTTTCACCACAATTCAACCAACCATCCTCAAAAAAGTGGTGTCCAGTAATGGATCCAACAGCACGGGCCACCATCTATTCTTGGGAGAGTCGCTGGAGTTACTGAGCAGTTCATGTACATCAGAATCCAATAAACCATTTTCAAAGAGGAGTGGCTGGCGACAGAAAATAAGCAACAGGCTATTCCTGGGAGACTCTTCTGGAGTCGCTGAGCAGCTCTTTTGGCTCTCAGCCACACCACAAACCAAGCATATGTGATTCA
Source organism: Homo sapiens (assembly GCF_000001405.40). NCBI lineage: Eukaryota > Metazoa > Chordata > Mammalia > Primates > Hominidae > Homo > Homo sapiens. The sequence continues at coordinate 10,341,467 of NC_000023.11, read as the reverse complement.
GGTGAATGGTGGAAAACACTCACAATTCTATACTATTTACATATGCAATGAATTAATCTTTAGTGCCATATAAGACCATGATTTGGGATTTAGTTATTCAATAAAGACCTACTTAGTACAAAGACACGTAGTAGGTCTGTGTTAAACATAGGACCAAAAAACAGATCAAAACCTTGTAGCTTGTGCTCAAGGAGCTAACAGTGTATGTCTTCAGGCCTCTTCTGGTAACAGTAACAAGTGACAGAAAAAGCACCTCAAACTGGCTTAAGCAATAAAGGGGATTTATCAACAACTTTCTGTAAATTCCAGAGGTAGCAGAAGCTCCAGGGTGGCTCAATCATGGTGCCTAGTTTCTTTCAGCCCCTTCACTCTGCTTTCTGCAGGGTCAACGTTATCCTAAGGCTCATTTCTAGCATGTTGGGAAAATGGTTATAGAATTCCAGGTTTCATAGATGTACCCCACACTACACAAGGCAGGGCGTGGGGGGCGAGTTCCTGGAATATCAGCAAAAGTAGTTTCAGCTTTATTCTGATGGGACAGCTCCAGAATGAATCTCTGTAGCTAGGGATTGCCATGATCTGATTGACTTAGGTATGAGTTACCGACACCAATCATGGAAGCCATGGGGTTAGGATTGGTTTATGCCAGTAGAGCCCTCACATTGAAGCTTGGAGTGGAGTTGATGCTGCCAACCAAATAGCTCCTACACAATGGAATGGGGTAAAATGGATATTGGGGAGTCCACCCCCATATCCACTGTATGGTGTAATATTTGTGTGCATAAACATCTAATATACAGAGCAAAAGAGAAGCCTGTCATAAGAGACAGCCCAATAAAGTGTTATGGGTATTTAGGACTGATCCAGGAAGTACATTTTAACTTGAATCCAGGGTTCCTTCCATTGTACTAGTGTGGCTCCTATGGTTGTATGTCTGCAATGAGTATCCAAATGGAATTAATCTGTGGACAATTAGCTCACAATACCCAACACTCAATAGCTACAAACACATGAGCAAGCACAGTTGATTTACTTCACCCACACAGGTGATGCAAATGTCACTACAAAGTTAGCACTGAGCCCAAACAGACAGTCAGAGGGCAAGGCCAAATGGCTGCCTAGGCAGAACCTTCATGGATTAGAATTGTTTTACTCATATACTGATCTCATCCGTTACCTGTGGATATTTCACACTTTATCACCAGAGGGTGTTCTTATCTTCAAATAAATCATAATATTCCATTAAGCAAATGTCAATGTTGAATTATTTTATACTTATAAATTAAGAGTGTCTTATCAGAAAAAGATACTTGAAACTTAAAAAAACCCTTGCAAAACCCCTAATTCTCCTAATTATTTAATAATATATAAAAATAAAATATACACAATCTGATATTTTTGATAACAAATAAAAAACTGATAATGATCCCTGCAATGACCTAATGTAGACTTTTCTCATGTAAGTTAGTGTTTCCCCACCTTGCCTACTCATCATACTTGCCAGATAAATTTTAAAAATACCATTCCCCAGGTCCCATCCCAAGATTCCTACTTAGTAAGAAGTCAACCAAGGCATTTTATTCACAAAGATTCACTGCTGCTAGTGGGCGGGGGTGGGAGTGGAGAATCAGACTTCTCAGCCCCACCATTAAGCTGCACCCTGTAACTTGCCCTGGCCAATGAAACTGAGCAGTGGTGGTGAGAGTCAATTAGCAGTCAGCCAGACTCTTCTCTTCTCTATGCCATGACAAACAGCAATGCTCCAGCTAGAGGCTACTCTGTCACCTTGATGTCACAGTGAACATAAGATGGAGAAGAGCCACAGGTAACCCACAATAAATCCACATTGTGAGGAAGAACTAAGTCTTTGTTGTAGTAAGTCATGAGATTTGGGTACCATTTGTTATTGAAGCATAACCAATCCTATTCAAACTCAATCATTCCTAGAAGTGATTCTGATACACAGTCACAATTGAGAACCATGGACCTAAATGTACTTGAACATCACATATATACACATGTTTGTATGAGTTGCATTCATAAGACAAAATATGTGAGTTCTGAGATGGTGACCTTTCTCACTAGGCTTGGAGATTCCTGTGTGATATATGAAATTCTGACAAATGAACTTTCTATGAAAAAGTCTGCCCATCACTGCTAAAGAGTACAAGGCTACAGTAACCAAAGCAGCACGGTACTGGTACCAAAACAGAGATATAGACCAATGGAACAGAACAGAGCCCTCAGAAATAATACCACATATCTACAACTATCTGATCTTTGACAAACCTGAGAAAAACAAGCAATGGGGAAAGGATTCCCTATTTAATAAATGGTGCTGGGAAAACTGGCTAGCCATATGTAGAAAGCTGAAACTGGATCCCTTCCTTACACCTTATGCAAAAATTAATTCGACATGGATCAAAGACTTAAATGTTAGACCTAAAACCATAAAAACCCTAGAAGAAAACCTAGGCAATACCATTCAGGACATAGGCATGGGCAAGGACTTCATATCTAAAACACCAAAAGCAATGGCAACAAAAGCCAAAATTGACAAATGGGATCTAATTAAACTAAAGAGCTTCTGCACAGCAAAAGAAACTACCATCAGAGTGAACAGGCAACGTACAGAATGGGAGAACATTTTTGCAACCTACTCATCTGACAAAGGGCTAATATCCAGAATCTGCAATGAACTCAAACAAATTTACAAGAAAAAAACAAACCACCCCATCAAAAAGTGGGAGAAGGATATGAACAGACACTTCTCAAAAGAAGACATTTATGCAGCCAAAAAACACATGAAAAAATGCTCATCATCACTGACCATCAGAGAAATGCAAATCAAAACCACAATGAGATACCATCTCACACCAGTTAGAATGGCAATCATTATAAAGTCAGGAAACAACAGGTGCTGGAGAGGATGTGGAGAAATAGGAACACTTTTACACTGTTGGTGGGACTGTAAACTAGTTCAACCATTGTGGAAGTCGGTGTGGCGATTCCTCAGGGATCTAGAACTAGAAATACCATTTGATCCAGCCATCCCATTACTGGGTATATACCCAAAGGATTAGAAATCATGCTGCTATAAAGACACATGCACATGTATGTTTATTGTGGCACTATTCACAATAGCAAAGACTTGGAACCAACCCAAATGTCCAACAATGATAGACTGGATTAAGAAAATGTAGCACATATACACCGTGGAATACTGTGCAGCCATAAAAAATGATGAGTTCATGTCCTTTGTAGGGACATGGATGAAGCTGGGAACCATCATTCTGAGCAAACTATCACAAGGACAAAAAACCAAACACTGCATGTTCTCACTCATAGGTGGGAATTGAACAATGAGAACACATGGACACAGGAAGGGGAACATCACACACCAGGGACTGTTGTGGGGTGGGGGGAGGGGGGAGGGATAGCATTAGGAGATATACCTAATGTAAATGACGAGTTAATGGGTGCAGCACAGAAACATGGCACATGTATACATATGCAACAAACTTGCACGTTGTGCACATGTACCCTAGAACTTAAAGTATAATAATAATTTTAAAAAATAAAAAAGTTAGCTCTTCCCCAAGAAAAAAGTCTGTGAAAACATAATGGCTTTCTCTTAGGCTTTGTTCAATTCTCTTTGAATATGAATTAATTCCGCATGGTCTTATAAGGAATTTAAAAATGAATGGAACCAATTATTCCCTGCATTTTCTCCACCATACCCCTGCAGAAATGAGCCTTTCCTTGACTCCAAATTCCCCTGGAAAAGAAGATAAGATAATTCAGCCTCATTTCAACTAATCCGTTGGTTGTAGAACCAGGCTGAAAGTTATAATAAAAGCTAATCTTTCAGTTATTTAATAAGTATCTTTCAATAAACTAAAGTCTTCATTAAAATTATTGAAAAATTGAATTGTCCTTGGTGAAATCAGGAATAGACTTGTATCTCTTTAGCAGAACAAAAGCACTTCAGCTTTACAATAGTTTTGAACAGAGACAAACTTACTGATAAAAAAAATAACCAGCATGCTTGAGAAGCTATTGATTCAGACCCTCTGTGGCACCACCTCTCAATCATAGCATCCTGGACAAGTTGCCAGGGTCAATGAAGCAGCAGAGGGCAGATGAAGGAAAGGGGCTGCCAGCAACAACAAAACTAGCGTTGGCTTCCTTCCTGCAAACCCTGTCTCCACCAGTAACTCTGACTCTGTGAGATTCCTTATTTTGCTCTTGTGACAGTTCCTGGACACACTCAGACCTACAACCAACAGCTTTGGCAGTTTATGTTCTCAGATGTCCATGGAATGGTCCTGCTTCCTGACACCTAAGCAGAAGGGTAGGCTGAGGCAGCCGTGAAGTGAGGGGCTGTGAGGACCCGTGGGGCCCAAGAGATGATTCATTCTGGGCTGCAGAGAAGGGTCCCCAGTCAAAAAAGGCACCAAATGACTCATCAGATCCTAAGTGGACTTAGGTTTTATAGTAAATAATGCAGCAGAGGATTCCTTTTGATAGCTGTAAATCAGGAGTTAACCAGGGGTGGGAATAGGGAGATGGAGGTCAGAGGATACGAAGGAGCAGGTATGTAGGATGAACAAATCTGGAGATCTAACACACCACCTGAGGACTACATGGCATAAAATTATACTGAATTTGGGATTCATAAGAAATGAGTAGATTTTAGCTGCTCTTGCCACAAAAATAAAAACGAAAAAAGGCAACGATGTGATTTGATAGATATGTTAATTCGCTTCACTGTAGTAATCTTTTTATTATCTATGTATTCCATAACATCATGCTGTATACCTTAAATATACACAATAAAATGTATTTTAAAACAAGAGTAATAAAAAATTAAGTTGTAAATCAAGCAACTTTTAAGTTTTCTCACAGGACTAGTATTCCTCTTAAATGTGTAGATTTAAAATCCTAAAAGATGGAGTTAGATGCACCTATTATTAGAACATAAACTAGGAAGTAGCCATTTTGAGCTCAGTAAACATAAAACATTTATCTTGTGAATTCCAGAACCTTTTGTGCTGTGTAGTCCAAACTATAATTCATGTCAAGCTATGGCACTGAATTCCCGAATCTCATTCATTACACTGAAAATATATCTAAGAATTCTTTATGGATTTTGTAGGCACTATTCAGCCTGAAAACAACTCTTATTTGTTTCAATCTCAGCAATTCTCTGCCTCTTTCCCACTGTCATCTGGGTTGGATAAATCAACTCTGACATGCTTGAGATCAAATCAAACATAAATTGGCTTATTGAGTCTCTTGCTTGTGCTTCAGTTAACACACAAAAAACTATTCCACCTTTTCAAAGGTCAGAGCTTCCCTGACCACTTAAGCAGAGAGAAGATCATCACAAATTCATTATTTGGAGCTTTTATGGAGAAATGTATGTTTCTAGGTTCATTTAAGCACAATTTAAATATCAAAGGAAAAAAATGTGAAGGAGGAAGTTTTTTTAAGAGCAATGTCTCACTTGTACAATAAAAAGCAACTCAGAAATTCCAAAAGAAAGGCTCAAAATGGCCAGAAAATACATAATTATTTTTATCCACTTCTGCAGACATTATTTCTAAAATAGTATTTGAGGCTGTGCCTCTTTGCTGTTCTCCCTCAAGTAAAAAAAATTGGTGGTTTTTAAAATATTAATATATAATAGTTGTACATATTTTGGGAGCACCTGTAGTATTTTGAAACCTGTATACAACGTGTAATGATCAAATCAGGTAATTGGGATATCCATCCTTCAAACATTTATCTTTTTCTTTGTGTTGGGAGCATTATAAATCTTGCCTTCCAGCTATTTTGAAACATACAATAAATTATTGTTAACTATAATTTCCCTACTGTGCTACCAAATACTAGAACTTCTTCCTTCTATCTAACTGTATTTTCGTACCCCTTAACCAACTTCTCTTAATCCTCTCTCCCCTCTTCCTTTCCTAACCTCTGGTAATCACGATTCTACTGTCTACCTCCATGAGATCCATTCTTTTAGTTCCCACATATGAGTGGGAACATGTAATATTTGTCTTTCTGTGCCTGGCTTATTTCACTTAACATAATGATCTCCAGTTCCATCCATGTTGCTGCAAATGACAGGATCTCATTCTTTTTACGGCTGAATAGTATTCCAGTATGTATATATATGACAAGAAAATCTGGTGGTTGTATTTATTTATTTTATTTTTTGAGATGGAGTCTGTTCTGTCACCCAGGCTGGAGTGCAGTGGTGCAGTCTCGGTTCACTGCAACCTCCGCCTGTCAGGTTCAAGCGATTCTCCTGCCTCAGCCTCCAGGGTAGCTAGGATTACAGGCACATGCTACCACGCCTGGCTAATTTTTGTATTTTTAGTGAAGACGGGGTTTCACCATGTTGGCCAGGCTGGTCTCAAACTCCTGACCTCAAGTGATCCACCTGCCTCAGCCTCCCGAAGTGCTGGGATTACAGGCGTGAGCCACCACACCTGGCAACCTGGTGGTTTTAAATAAATGTTGTGTTTTTATTCTTAAGATTCCTTCCAGAGACCTTGTGAATTGGTTGGACTTAAATATTATTGGCAAAGTAAGGGGATCTTTCTCATTTTTCTTCTCTGAAGCACGTTACAAGGCAGAGAGAATCCTGCTATTGTCTTTGGACATTTCTTATTTCCAAGCATGATGCAGCTATAAAGAAGAAAGGAAAATATCAGTGTTTTTAAGTTTCAAGGACTTACCATTAAATGAAATTTAAACTGACATAGAAATGCACGTTAGCAGGATTGATATTTGTCTCTACCTTCGTTGGACTTAAATTACATGCTAATTAAGTCAGTTGTATTAGCACGATGGAGCCCTTCTGTCAATAAATAATAAGTCTGATTTCACTCACAAACTACATTTGTATATGAATGTGCACAGAAATTTGTATCATCAAAGGCTTGCCTAGACATACAGGACTCATAAAGGGAGGAAATACATGCCTTAAATAATGGAGTTTTAAAATTTGAAACAAATTCGAGTTATAAATTTCCAGCTCTGAGCAGGAACATGAGATATGGGGTGTCTGAGTGATTTTCCTGCATGATAAAGCATTGTTTTTTGCGTCGTTGTAACCCAGCTCCAGGGGTAGTGAGCAGAGTCATAATGTAGGTGTTGTGATTCCTGCAAAGAAACTTAATCATAATAGATACTGTGTGCTAAACACATCATCCTTCAAGCTCTCTTAATACATCAGACAAAATACATCAATTAATGTAACAAAACACAGAGGAAAAGTAGGAAAGAGAAAATTGCTGGTGGTACTTCAAAGGTACCACATGTACCCAGCATCCCCTGGAGGATTTCCTGTATGGTAAAAATGCAGCATGAGTGAACATGCTTTCCAGCTGCAAGCCCAAATGCGGAGACCGATTAAGAGGGCTCAGGTTGTAGCTCTTCAAATAAAACACCACGTGTTTACCTTAAAGATTGCCTGGAAGAGACAAGTACAACTGGATGTCCAGAAATGAGACTAAAGGAGCTTCAACATGAAGTAAAAAACACACTTCCAGAATCAACTTGAGGTCACAGCACGGGACAATGCAAGTTTGACTTGGTATCCAGTCTGGACTCTCCAGTACCTGCTTGACATGAGGAAGAATGCTCTCTAATGCCAGCCCTGAGCCAGGCCCAGGGCAAAGCATATGCCATTCCACCCCACCCTGCACCTCCAAAACTGACTCTTCACAAATTAGGTTATGCAGACTTCAGGAAAAAAGAAACTCTAGTGACATTTGGTGGTGATGAAATCTGCTTCCACGGAAAAGACTTTTCACAAGTGTGCTATTAATTTAAAGCGCATCTGGCTAAACCATTTATAAAATGTAACTTCCCAGAAAGAAAAAAAAGAATAGGGATTCACTTTTCTTGATCTTTAAGAAAATGGCTTCTATTTGCTTGCAAAGTTAGGGACTCGAGTCTCTAAATACACTGCTCTGCCTTTTTTGAGTGTATCCAAGAAGATATGCTAAAAAGAATACAAATGTTGGGCCTTATTAAAGTTGTGGGAAGGACAAGGTTCTAGAAATAAGAACTGCAAAAACTGTGATGTTCCGCATGCTAGCCATGAATACTACAGTAATTTCATCAAGTGACGAAAGACTAAGGATATACAACCAAAACAGCAGAGAGGGAGACACTGGCATTTCGTTTTATGAGAGGAATAGTTAATTCAGGGTTGGGTTCACTGCCGAGTCAGGCTGATAGGTGGTGGAAACAAATCCTTATTACTTTCACGAGGGCACTAAATGGTTGTCATTGTGAATGCAGTCACTGCGTTATTGACTGTGGTGTTCCAATCAATTCATGTTTGAGGCTACTAATCTATTCCAAATGAAAAACTGGCTTTTCTTTTGATCAGTGAAGATGACCAGGATCATAATTCAGATAATCCAACCTCCAACTAGGGATGCCAACAGAACTTTCAGCAGGAGCTAAAACTTACATGAGGTCCAATTCTGTGCCTTGATGAAGTGAATATCTGAGAGTTCTCAACATTCCTGTCTTCCATCTTTTTATCTCGTTTAAGTTTCATCAAGGTTTATTTTCTAAACTTTCTATGGTTATTTTGGCAGTTTCATTATATTTGGCATTTTTTTTTATAATTCAAGCCTGATTTTTAAGCTCATTCTAGTGATACTTAACAGGCATTGATTGAGCTCTTAGGCGCTAGTCCCTGCCTTCAAGCTCCTTATAATTCTAAAGGATATTTATATTTCTGACTCCCCCAGTAGATGACGAAATACCACAGGGCAAGGGCACTGTTGTACACATCTGTGAGCTCACGGTGTTGGGTATGATGCCTGACTTATATCAGAACCTTAACAATTTTTTTCAAAGGACTTTTCAAATAAAAAATTTCAAAGACTTTCTGCAGGAATAAATACATGATGCACTAACATCTAGTTCAACGCCAAGTGAAACACTTCGGAAACTGATCTTTTCACAATTTAGTTTCGCTTAGTCAGAAATTCTAAAACATTTTGTAAACACAATTTACAAAAAGAAACAGATTCTATATTTTCTAGCAAGAGAAACTAAAGCAACACTAATGTTTGTAATCCACAGAGTCAAATTTGAAAAGTGAAAAATTCAGCAAACTCCATTTCCTGGGTGGAGGCAGAGGAAGCCCTTGCTGGGAATGATTTGGAAATATGTAAATAAACTCCTCTGACATCTTTTTCACAGGTGGCTACTAAAGATATGTAAAAGGAAGAAGCACTACATGTGAAACACAGGGGAGAGGAAACCCAGATCTGTGCCCCAAGGGGAACTGGATGCTCTGAGAACCTGGATGTGGAGACACCTGAGCCCAGATAGCCATGGAACGTAAATGTGGCCCATTCTTCATGTTGCCTGCATGCCCTTTGCCTAGTGATGTTACTGAGGGGATTACACAGGACTCTGAAACTGTTTTGCCTCTTTCATGCCTTCATTTTCTTTTATAGTTATTCTGAAATCCAGGGAAGCATTCAAAAAGATAATAGAACTAAGAGTTACGTTAATGAATCTCCACTACCATTCCCAAACGCTTCTAATGAAAATTCATCACTTCATGGATGCATTTGAGGGGTTGGTTTGTCGGGGCTGAAACTGACTAAGTCAATTCTATCACACAGGTATTTCACTAATAGTGGCTTCCTGCCCATCACCCACCTTCATCCAGTGGGTAAAGTTTCATTCTGTTTAAGTTTCCTGAACCCATCTGTGACCTTAGCATTCATTCTATGGGCAAAAATTTAAACATATAATTCAGCAAAACAGAATCAAAGGAAAAGGAAGAAGTGTGTGTGGGGAGGGTGGGTGAAGAGGAAGAGGAAGAAAGGAAGGGAGGGAGGGAGAAGTTTCCACCTCTCCTTTTTCTATTTGCAGAGGGTATACACGATGGGAAGAGGGAGAGCAACCACAGTAAAAATGATAATGTTTATAGACAGGAGTTGAAAAAGTCTCCATCTGGCTTATCTTTCCATTCATATTGTTTCAGGTTGTGACTAAATAGGTAGTCGATTCTCTTCCTTCAAGATCTCATCATTTACTATTTCTGGAGACAGGCGGTGGACTCTTTAGTACCCAGTGGAGACTTGTGTGGGGTGGAGCCTTCTCTCTTTTGCTGCAGAAACTGGTACTCAACAACAAGCATCTAAGGCATCTAGATGTACAATATCACTGACTAGATGATTCTGATTAAAATTGTATTTGATAGGAAGGGGTTTCCTTTAATTTTTTACCTTTTTTGCAACCAGTATGGGCACTATTTGAGGCAGACAAGGTGTACCCTCAAGAAGTTTCTAGTTCAATAATGGAGACGGGAAACCTGCAATGCTTGCCCCTTCCTGATCACTTGCAGTGCCATGCAAGAAACATAGAGTCCAGGTTTAGCAGGGTTTTCAGTCTCAAGCAGTGGTCCTCAACCAGAGGCAATTTTGTCCCCACCCCCAGCCCCCGCGGGGACAATTGGCAATGTCTGGAAACATTTTTGGTTGTCACAACTAGAAGGGGGTGCTCCTTACATCTAGTTTGTGGATCCCGGGGATGCTGCCAAACATCCTGCAGTGCACAGGATGACCCTCACCACAGAGAATGATTCGGCCCCAAATGTCAATAGTGATGAGACTGACAAACCTGTTCTCAATCGAAATTCTAAAGACTAAGTTAGAACTCATACTAAGGGGAAATTTAAATACAGTGTTAGAGCAATATGTGAAATGGGGCAATTAATTAATGTCCCCAGGTCCCTTGCCCTGAATATAACTCCTCTGTCTCCAGAGCTTCCCTCCATGGGGCTTGGTTTGATGCCGCACCCTCACTAGTCCCCACAACCTAGTACCATGTCTCCCCTGACCTATAGGTTTTTCCTCAAAATCACCTTCACGTGAATCATCTCAGATTCCACATCTTCTGAGAAGGGGTGTGACTTACTTGCAAAGGTGGATGGATTGGGTCTAGAGAAACCTTGAGGAACATGCAGCATCCCCACCCCACAGCCTGACCTACCACACCAGCAGAGGTTCTGGAAAAGAGCTCTGAGAAGGGGCTGGATGGACTCCGGGGAGGGCCCTCTGGCTCCTGGGAAGTGAGTCAGGGCCGAGCAGGGGCAGCCCGGCCACAGGTGACCAAGAGGAGGAGCTGCGAGCTTTGGAGGCCATTGAGACAACACACTCTGAAGGCTGAGGAGCTCCCAGCCAGCCTAGCAGTCCCGAGTGGAGGAGAGTGCCAAACATAGGCTCAGCACAGCTGCAGCTGCAATGTCACCGCAGTCACCCACAGAACAGCAGAACTGAAGTGTGGGAGGAAGCTGGCATCCCCCCCTCATCTGGGTACTCCCGCAACAGGGACCATGGCTCTTTTTCTTTGTGTGCTCTAGCACCCAGCACAGGGCCAATCTATGATAAATGCCCAGTGGATGTCTGTTTAGTGGATTAGTGGCTTGATTACATAATTAATTATCAGGGACCACCCTGGGAGTAGCTGGTGTGGCAGATGGGCTCTAGTGTGGCTCCCCGTTCCCCCCTGCCTCGGCCCCAGTGTCCACGCTCTTGTGTAACTCCCTCTGATTGAGTGTAGGTAGGACTTGCAACTTGCCTCTTATAGAGTGGTTAGATTCATTATGGCAAAGGTGATAGGAGGGACATGATTACCTGTACCTGACAGAGTGCCCGTCTCCTTGGCATCTCCCTCTCTCTTTGCTGGCTTTGAAAAAGCAAGCTGCCATGTTGCGAGCTGCCTGTGGACAGAACCATGTGGCTAAGTGGCCATCGGCCTGGGAGAAACTGGGGCCCTCAGCTCAGCAACTTGCTGGGAACTGCATGCTGCCAACAACCTGAATGAGCTGGGAAGAACCCCCACCTGCACCTGGGAGGCCCCGACCTCCCTGGCCACCACTCTGATACAGCCTTGCAGTGGACCCAGTTAAGCCATGCCACGAGACACAAACACAGCAATAGATAAGCAATACAACTGGACTATGATAAATTTCAGCCATGCTCGCTTCCCACAAACCAGACATTCATGGAGTGGTTTTGCTGTCCTCTGCCCAGCACCAAGTACACGCCCAGTCTTGTCTTTCTCTGTGAAGTCTGGGTAAGGTCTGTCCTATTCATCCATCATTTTCTCTGTGCACTGACTGGCCTTTAAACAAACCCAAAGAAGGGGCTAAATCTCCCTTCATTTCTTCCATTTCCATCACCACTTCCCATCTCTGAGGTCCAATGACCCACACCAAAATTTGCCAAAATTCATTTGAGCCACTTCACATACATTGGGCTAACAGCAAAATTTATAGGCAGTAAGCCTTATAGATACAATTTTTATAGCTTCATATGAACCCTAAAACGCAAGCAAAGTGGGAGAAGAAAGAATATTCTGGCAGATGAAACTTCATTAGCTGTTAGAATCATGGAGTGCTACAGATGGAAGGGACCCCAGAGATTACAGGTCTGAAACACTTATCTCACAAAATAGGAAAGTGGATCAAGAGCAAGGAGGAGAAAATTTCAGGATCACACAGGGACTTAACGGGTGGGACAGAATTCTTTTAATACCCAGTCTTTCATTACATACATTCCTGTCCTTCAAATTCAGGGTAGAAAACTTTTCAGTCTCTGCCATTCTGTGACCCAAGAATTTTCCCAAGCATGATGGCTACTTCTGAAAGGGATCTTTCCCTCTTTTTCATCTTTTATATATTGAGACTTTCAAAACTCTGCTGAAATCCAGGAAAACAATCCTATTAGATGAAGGCCACAGCTGTTATCTTTACCAGGGGAGTGTACTCAGGTAGGGATCCCATTTTCAAATATGGCACATGTTTTAAATGGAATGAACCGTGAGCGAGCTCTACCTTCGTGGAGCTGCTGTTGGCTTGGCCTTTGGACTCACAGCGTATCATCCTGCTGTGCCCAAACCTAGCATTGGGCAGACTTTTTCCCCAAAAAAAATTTGGGTTGAGATTGGACAGCATTTCAAATTTCTGTAATGAGGGTCATTACACATTTTTAAGACTTGACTAGTCCCACTGCCTCCGGGTTGGCTGTTTAAAAACACAAAGGGTTGGCAGAGTTTAGGTGAGCTGCTCACATTTGGGGTTTTTACGTATAATTTTTAGACTTATGAAAGATAAAATAAGGTGCAAACCCCTTTCATAAAAGGCCCCATCTGCTGCAAGAAAAATTATTGTTATCATGTGTGAAAATTCAACTACATGGTTAAGGGGGAAATCAGAGCATAATCCAAAAGTAAAAAAGATCACGTTTCCCTAAATTCCATATCTCATTCTGTCTCCTCCGGTTCATTCCAGTATAAGATACACATAGCAGACCTTCAGCTCTCTGCACCTGTGGCACCAAATATAGCATTTGTTTGTAATCACAGAAAACTTGATTTTCATTCATTTAAAGCCCAGGGTAACCACGAACTTATGTGGGAGTTCAGAATGAAGCCAGAAATGCCCTAGGCCCACCCCCTGGAGAATCTGATTGGTCTGGGCTTTGGGCTTACTGGGAATTGCTTTCACCTGCCTCCATCCTCTAGTTGACGCTGACTCATGCTGCCAGCTAGCTCCGGGAGGGCATTGAAGCCAGCTAACGGGCGCCTGAGCTGTGACATCTTGGGGGCCTCTGCTCATTTGATGTTTCCAGTGCTAAAAGGTCTCGGCCTCACTGCTGGATTTACTCTTTTGACTCTCCCCAAGGGAAGGTGAAACAGTGACTCATGGCCAGCAGGATTTAAAACGACATTGACTCACAAATCTCAAAGTTAGTAGGTTTGTCGTAGTTCACAAATGCAGTCTGCATTTACGGTCATCTTCACAATATTTCTAATTGTGAAGAGCTGTTTTTCCGTCTCAATAAAATGCTAAGTGTCTAGAAATAGGTTCTGAGCAGCCTTTTCTTTTAGGAAAAAAAAGCGTAGTCTTAAATGGTACCACCATTTATCCAATTGCTCAAAACAGAAAGTTCATCCCCAACCTGCATGTCCAAGGAGTCCAAAGTTCTGTTGACCCAACATTTTCTTCTTATTTATTTGAGACAGGTTCTTACTCTGTCACCCAAGCCGAAGTGCAATGGCGTGAACAAAGCTTACTACAGCCTTGACCTCCTGGGCTCAAGCAATCCTCTCACCTCAGCCTACCGAGTAGTTGGGACTACAGGCATGTGCCACCACATCTTGCTAATTTTTGTATTTTTTGTGGAGATGGGGTCTATGTTGTCCAGGCTAGTCTCAAATTTCTGGGCTCAAGGAGTCCTCCCACGTTGGCCTCCCAAAGTGCTGAGATTACAGGCGTGAGCCACCGCATCCAGTCCCATTTTCTTCTTTATTGTGTTTATTAATTATTGAGTAGAAATTTTAAAAAACTACATGTTTTTAAAATCATTTCAAAATACATTCATGTGTTTGCATCACTGAATCAATTTCAGAAAATGAATGTTACCATTATTTTGTTCCCTATGTGCCTCACCCCAAATTCACTCCCTTTCTCAAGGTTTCTTAACCTCAGCACTACTAATCTTTGAGACCAGATAATTCTTTGCTGTACAGGCTGTCCTGTGCATTGTCAAATGTTCATCAGCGTCGTCCCTGGCTTCTACCCACTAGATGTCAGTAGCACCCTCTCCCCCAGTAGTAACCAGACATTGCCAAATGTCCACAGTAGTCTCCAGATATTGCCAAATGTCCACAGTAGTCTCCAGATATTGCCAAATGTCCACAGGAACCAAAATCACCCCTAGTTGAGAACCACTGCTCTAGAGGTAAATCCTATTCTGAATTTTGTGTTTGTCATTTCTTGCTTGTAGTTTTTATCACTTGTATTTGTGAAAATATTGTTTGGTTTTAAGTTTTTTGAAATTCTTATAAACTTAATTGTTAAGAAAAATGTACACACAACTTACAACTGACCTCGTGTCCTTTCAATGCCATACTGGAACATTACCCAACAGGCTAATCAAGGAGCATTAAATTCTCTAGATGACTATAATTCTCTTTATCTACTATTGACCAGGGCCCAGGCTCTGGAAAGTTACATGTTGACTTGCACATTTTTTTTCCAGTATAGATGAAATGTATTTCTGCTGGGTAGAGAAGATAACCCCAAAGGTTATTATTTTATTGCCCTGTGGGATATAACCAGTTTTGTCTCTTAACTTTGCAAATGCATTTCAGCCTTCTCGCGACTACATAAATCTCTGTTCCTCAAGTGGTCTTAGAAGCAGCTTTGCCATCCTGCTGGTTCTCTTTTGTGAATTGAATAATTTTTCCTTCTACACATTCCTCCCATAATTGTATGAGTCATGTATGAGAGGAATTTTTTGAAAATTAAACACAATCATCCTAATGTATGATTCTACAATTTACTTTTGTTAATACTATGTTCCTAAAATTCATGTATGCTGTTGAGTGTAGTTTTAGTTTATTAATTTTTATTGTAGTATAGTCTCCTATTGTGTGAATATATTGCAACTTTATTTATCTGTGCAATGTTGATGGATGTTTAGGTTGTAACCAGTTTTATTGCTGTTATAAATATACTGCTTTTTAATTCATGTTCATGTCTCTTGATATACAAGCCCAAGAATCTCTCAAGGGATTGTACTTTAGGATGGAACTTCTGAGTCATAGAGCATGTGTATCTTCAAGTTTTTGAGATAATGCAAACATATTTTCCCAAGAAAATGATCAAGTTTACAGCACCACCAACAGTGCAGAAGTGCATTATTGCTCCACTTCTTAAAATCTCGTAGGTATATATTAAATTAAAATTGTTCTGTCCTAGATTAATTTGTACTTCCCGATTATGATACAGTTGGCATATGTTCATATGTTGGTTGGTTTTTCTTCTGTGAAGTTCTTCCATAAATATTTTCTCTTTTGTTTCTATTGGATTATTTACCTCTTTCTTATTCACGTATAGGAGTTATTTTTATACACTGGATAATAATCCTTCTTCAATTTCTTGAGGTTCAAGTATCTTCTCCCAAATTTTGGGTTTTTATTTCACACACTATGTGGCAGCTTTTGCACCTTTCATGTTAAAATCCTGTTTTTATAATATATTTAAAGTGCATCTCTTATCTAGTCTGGCAATCTTTGCCTTTTAATTGGAATATTTAGACCATTTCACTTAATGGGATCATAAATATGGTTGGGTTTAAATCTAACTAGATTTCTATTTATTTTCTATTTGTCTCAATTTGTTATTTTTTTTTCTTTTCCTGCCTCACTTTATCTCCACAGTGAGCTTATTAGTCATTCCTCTTTTAGTTTTTTAGTGGTTACTCTTGGGTTTGTAATATGCATCTTTCACTTGTCCCACTCCACTTTAAATACCATCAAGACACTTCACAGATAGTGTGCCAACATTCACACAGGAGCCTTCTGGGTCCCCCTTCCTGTTCTTGTGCTGATGCTGCCATACATTTTATTTCTATGTAGGAGACAACTTGACTTGCAATACATTACTTTTTTTTTCTTTAAACGGTCAATTATCTGTTACAGAACTGTGGTTTTTTTTTTTCAAAGGAGAAAGCCTATTTTGTATTTACGCAAATATTCACCACACCCTGTGCTGTTCATTCTTTTGTGTAGATCCACATTTCCATCTGGTATTATTTTTCTTCAGCCTGAAGAACATCCTTTAAGATTTCTTGTAGGACAGACTTGCTGGCAACAAATTCTCTCAGCTTTTGTTTGTCTGAAAGATTATCATTTCACTTTTTTTTGAAGTATATTTTCATTAATATAGAATTCTAGATTGACCAATTTTTCTTTAAGCCCTGTAAGATGTGCCTTTTCTTCTGGCTTCTGTTGTTTCTGTTGAGAGGTCAGCAGTTATTCTTACAACATTTCCTATATATAACATGTCTTTTTGCCCTATCTGCTTCTTTAATTTTTTCTTTATTACTGGTTTTCAGAAAGTCGATTATGATATGCGTTGATATGATTTCCTTTGTGTTTCCCCTGGTTGGGTTTTGTTGAGATTCTTTGAATATATAGTTTTCATTAAATACAGAAAATTTGGGGACATTATTTCTTCCAGTATTTTTCCTGCCTCCCTCTCTTTCTGGGACTCCAACTGTCCATATGCTAGACTATTTAATATTGTCCCACTGGTCACTGAAGTTCCATTTTCTTTTTTCAGCCCTTTTTCCTCTGTGTGCTGTAGTTTGAATGGTTTTATTGCTATGTCTTCAGGTTCTCTGATATTTTCCTCTGCAGTGTCTAACCTGCTATTAAGCCATCCAAGAGAATTTTGAAATCATATTTCTCATCTACGGAAGTTCAATTTTGCTCTTGTTATATCTTCCATTTTTCTCCTCATTATGTTCATTATGAAATTGCTCACCATATTTATAATAACTATGTTTTAAAGTCCTTGTCTTCTGCTTATTACATCATCTCCGTCATTTTGGGGCTTGTATCTATGAACTGAGTTTTTGCCTGATTATGGGTCATATTTAAATGTTATTTGCATTTTTTGTAATTTTGTAATAGATCCCAGACATTATGAGTTTTACATTGTTTTCCAGATTTTGTTGTCTTCTTTTAAAGAATGTTGAGTTTTTATTTAGCATGTGATTATATGTTAATCTGTTCGATGCTTCCGAGGCTTGGTTTTAAATTTTATTATGGTGGGTTTAGGTTTGTCTAGGGCCAGTTTTTATCTACTACTAAGAAGAGGTCTCAATCACATGCTCAGCACTTTTAGGTCTCTACTGAATGCCCACGTGTTTTGTGAGGTCTCTCCACTCAGGTTGGTCAGCCCCATGTGAACTCTGAGAATTGTGCAGCTTACCACTCTCTAGTAGTGGTTCTTATGGAATCTCATCCTACGTGTATGCAGTTGAGCCAAAACTTCAAGGAGTCCATGGATATTTCTAGAGCTCTGTCTCTGCAAGTTCTCTCCTCTCCAGTACTCTGCTCTGCAAATTTTAGCTGCCCAATCTTCCTGAACTCTGATCTCTGTTTCCTCAATTTATAGAGACTGCCATGATCTACTTGAGTTCCCCAATACTGTGTGATATTCCAGAAAGTGACTCCAGGTAGAAAGCCAGAGCAATCACAGAACCCACCTTGTTTATTTCTCTTCTTTTTATGGATTACAACTTTACACCTATTGTCCAATGGCTAAAAATAGTTGTTTTCCTATATTTTGTCCAGTTTTGTAGTTGTTTAAGGTGAGAAAGCAAGTTGATTGCAGTTGCATTGCATCAACATATTTTTTGGTGAAAGAAAATCCTCATAAAACAGAAACCTTGCTTGCCCAGTTTGAAAATTAGTATGGCTTAAAGTGGAAGTCTATGATGTTTTTTGGTAAATAAAAGTTCTTAATTTATTAATAAAAGGAGCCATATTTATCAATCTTCTCCTTAATCATTTGTACATTTTATGTCTTATTTAAGAAATCCACATGTCCTTTAAGGACCTAAGCGGATCCTACCTTCTGAGATGTGTAATTGAGAAATTTCTATTTTAAAGTTTTACCTATTTATAACGTGTAGAACTTTTCAAAACCCACTCTTTATTCTACAACTCTTAATCATCCACTTAGTATTAGAGAAAAATAGATCTCTTTGACTGTTCCTGATTGTTAAAACGAACAAACCTTAAATTTCATCCTGGAGTTCTTAGAGATCTCACTAAAAGGTATAGAACCACAAGGAAGAACAAAAATACTGAAAGCATGGATGTCAAATTGTCTTTACCTTTTCTTGTATGATCATGAATAATACCTTTTCAATGTGACACAATGTAGAGATGTTCTCATCTCTGCCCTCCCTGTGCTAGATTTTGAGTATACAAATAAAAGATATTCATGCCTTTCTCTTAAAAAAAGAAATTATTTTCCTATATTACATTCTACAAGTCTTATAGTCTGCTTTTTTCATTTAGATTTATCATCGATTTACAAGCAACTTGTATGTAACTTTTTACATATGGATAAAAAATTGTCACCAAATCATTTATTGAAAAGTGTACCTTTTCCCTATTGATTTTCAATGCTACCTGTTCCAGAAATCAGATTTCCAGATGTGTGGCTCTATATCTTGTGTTAACCTAGTCAACTTCTTTATCTCTACGCACTATGTCACAGTCTTAATTATTAGAGCTATAGAATACTCTGAATTTCTAGAAAGGCAAGTTCTCCCATCACGTTCTTCTTCGGACAAGACCATATGGGCTATTCTTGACCGTTTGTGCTTCTATATAAACGATCAGTTTGTCAAGTTTTAGACTATATCCATTAAGCTTTTTATTGAGAGTCATTGAATCTATGGATAAATTGGTAGACAACTGCTATCTTTATAATATTGAGTGTCGTGGTAGTTTAAAATATGTCCAAAAACTCTTTGACATCTCCTTTAAAGGATGGAGACTAATTCTCCTCCCATTGAGTGTGAGCTTGACTTAGTGACTTGTTTCTAACAGTTAGAAAAAGCATAAATGATGATGTATGACTTCGAGACTTTCTCTTTTGGA
Organism: Homo sapiens; assembly: GCF_000001405.40. Classification (NCBI taxonomy): domain Eukaryota; kingdom Metazoa; phylum Chordata; class Mammalia; order Primates; family Hominidae; genus Homo; species Homo sapiens. The sequence continues at coordinate 10,321,940 of NC_000023.11, read as the reverse complement.
TCATCGATTCTGGAGGAAGCCAACTGTCAAATTGCCATATGGAAAGACCTATGTTTTGAGGAACTGATGCCTCCAGTCAACAGCCAGACAGGAACTGAAGTCTCTTGCAGACAGCAGTGTAAGTGAGCTTGGAAGTAGATCCACTAACCCCAGTCAAGCTTTCAGGTCGCTACATCCTCAGCTGACATCTTGATTGCAACCTCACAAAAGACCATGAACAGAACCATATAACTAAGCTTCTCTTGAATGCTTGACCTGCAGAAACTGTGAGTTAATAAATGCTTGTTGTTTTAAACACTAAGTTTGGGGTAATTGGTTCTGCAGCAAGAGATAATTAAGTGTTCACATCTATGGATATTGTGTGATACTCCATTTTATTAATGTTCTTTAATGATATTCAGTAAAGCCTTGTAATTATTTCCATAAAACTCTGTGGAAATCATTCCTAAATACTTTAAAATTATGATGCTATTATAATTGTTCCTTTTCTTCTATCTTCTGTGTGTTACTGGTAAAAAGAAACACAGTTAATTTCGTGTGCTTATTTTGTATCCAGCAATTGTAAAACTTTATTTGCAAATGATCTGCAGTTTTCTACATAGATAATCATATTATCTATGAATAATGAGTTCTTTTTTCTTTCTTTCCAATTCCTATAATAATATAATGATGAATAGAACTACTGACAGTAAGAACTTCTTCTTGTACACATGATTTTTAAAGGAATACATTTAATATGTCATCATTAAGTGTGAAATTTGATGTAATTTATTTGTAAATATTCTTCATGAGACATTAAAGAAGTTTTCTTCTATTCCTTGTTTATCGAGATTTTAAAATCATGAATATTGAATTTTATTAAATGCCTTTTAGGCATCTATTGACATGATTACATGATATTTCTTGTCATTAACAACATTAATTGATTTTTCTCTTATTAAAAAAAACTTACATTCCTGACCTAGGCATTCATTTATAAACTAATTATGTCTCAATTTTGGAAGCAGAAGTAAGAGTTCAAGATTTAACTCCCCCCAAAGTGGTTGACCTATCCAGTATATGATTATAACACTAGGGAGCAGAGAAACATAAAGGATTTTTGGTTTTATAGATATCCATAAACAATTGTATTTAATATTGATGGTCTGCGTTACTTTAAAGGGGAATTTGCTCCAACTGTATGACACTGCGGAAAAGGCAAAACTATGGAGACAGTAAAAAAATAAAAAATAAAAAAAAATCAGCCAGGGGCAGGAGAGAGGAAATGAATATGCGGAGCACAGAGGATTTTTAGGGCAGTGAAACTATTCTGTATGATACTATAATCGTGGATACATGTCATTATACATTTGTCAAAATCCATAGAATATACAACACAAAGAATGAACCCTAATGTAAACTATATATGGACTTTAGGTGATAACGATGTGTCAGTGTAGATTTACCCATTGTAACAAATGTTCCACTCTAGTGGGGGATGTTGCTAGTTGGGGAAGCTGTACATGTATGGGGGCAAAAGTTATATGGGAACTCTGTGTATCTTCTGCTCAATTTCCACTGTGAAACTAAAACTGCTCTAAAAATCGTCTATTTTTAAAAGGGAGAGATGGAATTTGGTTCTTGTTTCATGTTGGAACTGCATATTGAACTGATTAATGGACTCTGGGTTTGTCCCTAAAATTGACACATACTGAAACATGCTTGACATATGCTTTTATGTTTTTTTTTAATTTTGTAAAGGATGAAATGGGGGTAGAGGGGAGGGATGGGGAAAGGAGAGAGGTAAACCATTTTGAGTATTATATTTCCATGATTTGAAACTTTAACACTATATTATTACTGGAAAATATTCATGTTTGCAAAAGCCTGCAATGGGCAGGATTGTTTTGATTTGTATTGATTTGTTTTTCAAGAAAAGAGAAACAATTGTACGTAACAACCCACTCAATGCCACAGATGAGTTAATGTTGCCAGATTTTGTGATACTATGTACTTGAAATTATACTGTAAGACTATATCACAGTGTAAGTCTCTGTGATGTATCTCTTTGTCATTCACCTTTTCTCTATCCTGTTTCCTGCTCCAACTGAAAGTGAGAAATCGAAAGCCACAATAGACTGGGTTATAATGGTTCATTTATTGAGTGTGTAAGATATGCAGGGCACTATGCAAAATGCTGTGTTTGACCCCTCTAGAATGAACTGGAAGACCTCATCAGAAGTTTAACAAGCTATGCAACCATCTAAACAATGTATCACTCACAGTCCCGAATCAAACAAACTATCTGGCAATGCTAATAACAATGCCAGATAGTGCTTTTTGTGTAGACATTACTTATGAAGAGCATGGCTTTCTTATAAGGTAACAAATATGAATCTGGATTTTTTTCTTCTAGAGGAAACATATGAAAATTATTTTTAAAGATACATTGGCTCAAAGAAAAAATGAATTAGATACACATAGTTTTTAAAATACAGATAGATTAAAAGTAAGTGCTGGATATACCTAATGTTAAATGACGAGTTAACGGGTATAGCACACCAACATGGCACATGTATACATATGTAACTAACTTGCACATTGTGCACATGTACCCGAAAACTTAAAGTATAATTAAAAAAAAAAAAAAGTAAGTGCTGGGCATGGTGGCCTGTGCCTGTAGTCCCAGCTACTCAGAAGACTGAGGCAGGAGGATCACTTGAGCCCAGGAGTTTGAGACCAGTCTGGGCAACACAGTAAGACACTTTCTCAAAAATATTAATCAATTAATTAAAATAAAAAATTTTAAAAAGTAAGTAACTTTATTCAGATTTAAGATTGGGAACATAATTTTGGTATCCAATTATGAAACTTAACGCCTTTAGGATTCAAAGAGATTCACAATAGTTATTGGCTAAGGAAAACCCTCATAAAACAGAAACTTTGCTTGTCCAGTTTGAAAGTTAGTAAAAGTGCTTTCACGAGAGGGCTGTGGAATGTTGTCCCTGTGCTGTGCAAATGTCTACACTTTGGGCTCTCACTTCAATGCAATCAAGCAGTAAAATCCTAGGAACATCATAGAGCTTTCCAGGGAGTATATAATGTCTCTGCCCATTAAGGCCTCCTTTCACTTTATTAGGTATATATTTTATTGTTACTAAAGGAAGGACAGAAATCAAGTATGATAAATTTAAGATTGTTTCATTCTTTTCTATCATATTTGCATGAGTTTGAAGAAACTAATCAAGAAACAATGTAGAATGGCTGCAATTGTAAATTTTCACTCCAATTTTTAACAAAGGGAAAAAAGAAACAAAGTAAAAAAATTCCTTGTCAAAGGATATTTAGAGAAGTGTGGAGGAAAGAACCACGGTTTGAATTTGAAGGCACACAGTCCAATGTGCATTAAAGCACATTGGACTTCAGTGCCTTATCTATATATTAGGTAAAATAAGGACTTCTGTGAAAGGCAGGATTAAATAAAGTGGCCTATGTAAAACCATGTAGCTCAGTATCTGTCTTCCAACAAATATTTTTAAAATGTTAATTTTTTGGAAGAACAAAATACTCATAAGAAATACCAACTGTTATTCCCAATGCCATTGGAGGAGAGCCTGAGGAAATCTGGACATTCTTGGATTTCTGTCTTTGATACTACCTTGGCCAATTTTCTGTGTCTAGTTTCCTGGAGCAATGAAAATTTGTTACATTTATTGAAACTTTTTCAATGACAAGTGAAAGAAACCCAATACTCTCTAGGCTAATTAAAAAGGAGACAAGTGGCTCACGTAACTAGAAAGTCCTAGATGCATCTGGCTTTTGGGCACAGGGTCTCAAATGTGGTCATTTCCCTGCCTCCCCATCTTTCAGCACTGCTGAGTTCTGTTAGCCCCTGTGTTTCATCTGCTGAATGCACTGGATCGCCCCAAAAGCAGTGGCAGGGGAGTTCCCACAGGGAGTGCCCCAAACCGTCCTGAGATGGGGCCGGTTGGAATTCCAAAGAAAAAGCACTAAATGCCAGGGTGAGCCACCCAAAGCATTCATTAGGGGAACTTGCATACAGAGTGCTGCAGCATATCCTCATGATGGACAGCGGGGTAAAAAGGATGTTCTACGTGGGTAGGTTGGCAGTGAGGGGATCAGGGTTTAAGGAATTTGGCTCAGGGCCAGGGCCAGTTTCTTTCAGTGTTTTGGGAAACAGCCTAGATACCTTTATCTGTGCCTGGGAATTTTCTTTTTTCTTTTTTTTTTTTTTAAGTATAGTGTTTAATCCATTTATAGATGAAATCTTGAAATTTAAATACAACAGATATATGTGATGATGTCATGGTCAATTTCTTTTTTTTTTTTTTATTATACTTTAAGTTCTAGGGTACATGTGCACAATGTGCAGGTTTGTCACATATGTGCCATGTTGGTGTGCTGCACCCATTAACTCGTCATTTACATTAGGATGAAGCTGGAAACCATCATTCTCAGCAAGCTATCGCAGGGACAAAAAAACAAACACCGCATTGTTCTCACTCATAGGTGGGAATTGAACGTTCTCACTCATAGGTGGGAATTGAACAATGAGAACACTTGGACACAGGAAGGGGAACATCACACACCTGTGCCTGGGAATTTTCAAGGCCCCAGTTTGAGTTCAAGCCTATGGGAAAAACCTGCAGCTGCCTGGGTCACAGAGCAGTCAAGGCACTCTGATTTTCAGCCAGGACACAGAAAGAAAGTGGGGGAACTGAGGGGATCTACACTCTGTTAAAGAAAAAATTTATCACTACACTTGTTAAAATGGCAAGGAAGATTTTATTCAAGACTATTGCAGTAAGGTAAGGGTCAACTCTATTGTAATAGGATAGAGAGATTGGACTCAACTCCAGTAAACAAGGATAAGTAGAGATTTATAGCCAAGGAGCAGGGTGAGGAGGTGAGTGAATGGAAAATTACTTAGAAAAGACATCAAAGGTAGGGAGATACTTGCTAAGCCAAGCTAACAGGATTCTTGCTAAAGGCAGATCAAGGACTTATACATCAATGGTGGGGGTTAAAGAACTTGATCAGATACCAAGGATGATTAGATATCAAAGGTGGAGGGATTCTTGCCAAACTGACTTAGCAGAATTCTTGCTAAGATTGGGCAATGCAGGCCCAGCCAAGGACAGAATAGGCACAAAAGCCCAAGGTCAAGGTTTAGTTGAGAAGAGGGCTCAGAGGAGTCTAACTAAATTTTGTTGAAGGAGAGAGTCTTTGTAACTCCCACATGCCAGTCAAGATTTACCTCCTCCTGTTCTAGCAAACTCAAGGGCAAACGCTGCTCATTCCTAAGACTTCTCGTTGAAAATGACTCTGATTGGTGCAGTGTGGTCCCCATGCTCCTCTCTGAACCAATCACCACGTCTAGTGTAATGTACCATGGCTGGTCAAACTTGGTGTATGCTACTTCCCCTTTGAGTGACAAAGAGCCCCACTAGCATCATACAGAAGAGAGGAGATTTGTAAAGGATCCAGAAAAAGGAAGATGGGCAAACATGACAAGTGCTCAAAATCTGTGGCTGCCACAGCCCATTATGTTCACAGTACACATTTTCCAGAGGACTTTGACTTCATAATAGCAAATATGAATAGTGATGATAGAAATTATTTTAGATGTGGTTCACACATCAGGAATGCTTTATGGAATATGCTTTCATTTGTCATATTTATTTTTCTTTTCTCCCAGAACACCCCAATAAAAACCCAGTGATCCAGCCCAGCCACTCTGCTTGTCTTCCCCAGCCAGGCAACTCTTCCTCCTGAACAGATGGACCACTGCTACCACTCAACTCCAATCATGAAAGCTCTGTCTGTCCTCCAAGACCTTCTTAAATACTATCTCCACCATGTTGCTTTTCCCACAACCCCTCAAGAAAGCATCCCTCCCTTATCCAACTTATACACAACCAAGCTTCAGAACTTTGTGTAATTGAAGTATATGTCTCTTCTCTCTTCATTACTCACAAACTCACATCACAAACTCCTTAGTTTGTGAGTCCTTTAAGAACTGTGTCTCCTGTAAGAATGTTATCTAATGCTAATGATTATTTTCTTGTGTGCTTCATAGGAGGTTATACAATTTCAACATAGTGCCATAATTAAAGCTATAGTGCAAGTAAAATTTGCTTAATGAGCTAATCTATTGATTGCCATTTGTTAGGAATGCACTCTGAGTGTATAACCTTTAGCTCTTTACTTTTTCCAAGGTTTTACTTCCAACAGTTGTTTATTTGGGGGTTTGCATATATGACCATGTGTAGACATTTTGAAAAGGACAGCCTAAGGGGCCCTTTATTAATCCTTTGGAACTCTGTTTTACTACAGAACAAGCATTGAATTGGGAAATAGAAGACCTGACGTCTAGACCTATGAAGTGTTGGACCTGGTAAAACGTAGTGCCTCAAACTCCTTATCTGTAACTTGAGGGATGTTCCTAAGGTTCTTTAAAGCTCTAAAACAATTTATGGTTTCCTATTGTTCCCTATATATTTGTGGTTCTTTGTTATCTCAGGGACTTTCTCCACGCTAGTTCCTTTAAATTTTGTAAGTCTCCAAAACTGCCTGGTTCCTTTCTGATGCAACAATAAATACTTATATCTGCATTGCACTAAATAATTTGTCAAAAGCCTTCACAAGCACAATTGCTTTTGATTTTCATAATAATACTTCCTGATAGACATTATTTTCCCCGTTGTATAAATGAGAACACTGAGGTTCAGAGAGGTCCCATGACTAATAAGTAGAGTGTCAAGTGGTGGACCCACATCTTTCGACTCCAAGTCCAATGTTCTTTTCACTTCTCTACAATGTCAGGAAAAGAACCTAGAAGGATGCACAGTTTTGTGTTTTTGTACAAGATAAACAAGAATATAAATTAGTATTTGAATATTCATTACAAGTTTTTGGCCTGGTCTCCAGACAAAGGCAACAGGACAGATCACAGGGCCTCAGCTCTCTTGATGACTTGGACTAAGAGCTGCTCTCTGGAAGTGAAAGGGGAATGACGTGTGGACTCTCTTAACCCACCTTGGGTTATATTTTAAATGAAATTAGAGAAAATGTACAAATATGCAGAAGGTCAAACAAGGGTGCACTTGAAGGAAGCTCCAGGAAGGAAGACTCTTTTGCAAACACGCAAACCTGTTTGTGATAACTTTGGAATGTTGATTTGAAACCTAAGGATTTCCCTTTGAAGTATCACCCCTACTTCACCTCTCCACCTTCCCTCTCCTGCCTCTCATTGCTCCTTCCCTTCCTCCCCAGGCAGCCAGTCTAAATAGAAGTCTGCAAATTTCTTTCAGAATTGCTCTCCGTAGGAGGCACTCCCCTAGGGACTATCAGTTAATTTTCCTGGGGCTTTGAAAGCCACTCATCCAAAAGGTCTCTATCAATTTTCTACCCTATTATTGAGGCTATTTTATCGTCATCATTATTGATGATCCCTTGGATTTGAGTTGAATAATACCAAAGACCATCAACTCAGCCCCTGAGGCTAACCAGTGGAGCCCCCACTCACCACTGTTTACTCTCACTCAAGTGGTGTGGCCTTCAAGTTATTTCTTTCATATCAATATGTTTAATCTGGCCAGTGGCGTGATGTTCAGGGAGAGAGCTTTTTTCAGTAGCTTAAAAAAAAGAGGAAGGCAACAAGGAGAGGTTACCATCATTTGTGAGAACTGAGGAAACAATCAAATCAAACAGCAAATTCACACAACAGTAATGACTGTCAAGCCATTTCAACTACAAGAACTGAGGCAACTCAAAAATAAAATAAAATAATAAACTAAAATAAAATGAAGAGGGGAGGAGGGAAGACTGGGGAGTAACAAAGATGAACTATGTTTGAAGTATCTAATGTTCATACAGATCTCCTTCTCCTTCTCCTTGACAGGGTCTTGCTCTGTCGCCCAGGTTGGAGTGCAGTGGTGCGATTTCAGCTCACTGCAACCTCAACTTTCCAGGCTCAGGTGATCCTCCCACCTCAGCCTTCCAAATAGTTGGGACTACACGCATGTGCCACCACATCCAGCTAATTTTGTATTTTTTGTAGAGATGGGCTTTTGCCACATTGCCCAGGCTGGCCTCAAACTCCCGGGTTCAAGCTATCTGCCTGCCTCGGCCTCCCAAAGTGCTGGAATCACAGGCGTGAGCCACTGTGCCTGACCCAGATGCTTCATATTTTCAAAATGCAACTGGTTAACTCCCATTCAGAGATCTTGCCTGTGCCTTAAAAAACTCATCAGCCAAATTAAAGAACACGAATTTGTGTCTGCATATGACTGGGGAGGGGTCTCCACACTCCCCTTTCTGAAAGAACAGTAGGTCTTTCTCTTGAGATTGCAACTAACTACAATCAGTTTTTTACTTTGAGCAAGTTACTTATTCTTTCTTATCCTCAGTTGCCCCATATGTAAAATCAAGGTATGTATACCGGCCTCAGATAATTCTGGTAAATAATAAATGAGGCAGGTGCAGTGGCTCACACCTGTAATCCCAGCACTTTGGGAGGCTGAGGTGGGCAGATCACCTGCGGTCAGGAGTTCAAGACCAGCCTGGCCAACATTGTGAAACTCTGTCTCTACTAAAGACTCTACAAAACTTAGCTAGGTATGGTGAGGCACTCCTGTAATCCCAGCTACCCAGGAGGCTGAGGCACAAGAATTGATTGAACCCAGGAGGCAGAGGTTGCAGTGAGCAGAGATCCCACCACTGCACTCCAGCCTGGGCGACAGAGTGAGACTCTGTCTCAAAAAATAACAATAATAAAAATAATGAGATAATGTGTGAAAAATACCCAGTCCAATTCCAAGCAGAATTGGTGATCAATTATAGATAGGTGTTGTATTTTTACTGTTACTGAAATCTCTGTATGTCAATATCTAGATGTATGTCAATATTTAGAACAAATCCTACATCTGTACATCAATATTTGAATATCTGTATGTCAATATCTAGATATCTATAGATCGATATTGAGAACTAAGGACCCTGCCACTATTCTTTTATCCAGGCATGTGGCCTGAGAAGAATTTCTTAGCTAATAAATTACAAGTCAAGAAATAAGAAAAATATAGCAGCACCTCTGTTTTCTGGACTACATATTCCATGCCTTTCAGCTGGAGAACCAAAACTCAAATGACATTAAAACAGCTATAATAAGTGCTAAAGAGAATATATATTTTTACATCAATATATGAGATATTAATACATATGTTTTTTAATGGAAAATGTATTCATATAACTTGAATTTTAACATGTCACCCTCATGTAAGACTGCATTCGATAAGCTGAATAATGACTCCACAGATGTTCATACCCTAATCCCCCGAATCTGTGACTATGTTACCTGACATGGTAAAAGAGACTTTAGAAATGTGATTGAGTTAAGGGTTTTGAGATGAGAGGATTATCCTGAATTATTCAAGTGAGTTCAATATAATCACATGGGGTTCTTATTAGAGAGGGGGGTGAAGAAAGAGAGAAAGAGAGGGAGGGGGGAGAGGGAGAGGGAGGGAGAGGGAGAGAGAGAGAGAGACAGAGAGAGAGAGAGACAGAGAGAGAGAGAGAATATAATGATACAAGCGGAGTTCCAGAGGAGAGACGTTGCTACACTGCTGGCTTTGAAGAGGAAGGAAGGGGCTATGAGCCAAGAAATGTGGGCAACCTCCAGAAGCTGGAAAAGGCAAAGAAACAAATTCTCCCCTAGAACCTTAGAAGAAATGCAGCCCTGTGGATCTATTTTAGACTTCTGACATCCAGAACTATAAGATAAATTTGTATTACATTAAGCCACTAAGTTTGTGGCATTTTGTTACACCTGCAGTAGGAAATGAATACATTGAAGAAATCTGATGTGACCCAGCATTTCTCACTGAAAGCCCTAGAAACATAAATTGGGATGTCTCATAGTTCTCCTTTTGGACAAGGGTAGGAAGTTTGTTACCCATCTGTACCTTGACAGTTTGGAAACTGTGATGATGTATTGGAGAAATGTGTAGCAAACACAAACACAGCCTTAGTCTATTTTGTTACATATGCAGATTAATGTTTCTTAAAACAAAGATCCCATGTAAATACAACCTGGAGTTTTAGATGTCTATAATCATCTGCAAAATCTCGTTTGCAATTCAGGTGAGCTATTTGACAGAGCGGATTCCCTCAAACCTTATAAGGTCTCAGAGAGATAGAGAACTTGGTCTAGCAGCTCCCTACTGTTCCTGATCTCCAAGGCAATATGGAAATGCAAAAAAGGAGGAGGAAGAAGAAAGAAAGAGAAGAAGAGGGAGAAGGAGAAGAAGAAAGAAAGAAGGAAGAAGAGAAGAAGAAGGAGAAAGAGAAAGAGAAGGAGAGGGAGAGGGAGGAGGAGGAGGACAGAAGGAGGAGGAGGAGGAGAGGAGGAGGAGAGGAGGGGGAGGAGGAGGAGGAAGAGGAGGAGCTACTTTCTTTTTCAGGTAGTATTTTTTTTGAACCTCAAATTTTAAAAGTTCCCTATAACTCCCAATCACTCATGGTGTCTTTCTTTGCTTTGGCTATTTTTCAAGAACTTTCTACCTACTTTTCTTTCCCTAATAGTGGTATTTTCCCCCTCTAATTTTCTCTTTATATTGGCATTATTTGACAGAAGAATAATCTGGAAAATCAGGAGTCTAGAAGTCCTACCTCGGGCTATGGAAAACACCTTGCTGATTTCTTTAGGGTAGACGTGATCCTAAAAGAAAATTTCCCAGGCCTTTCTGCAGAGTTTCATGAAAACTTTTCTAGCACTAAAAGTAAACTTGTGGATTCCAGGCTTTCTGTGAGATCTTAGATCTAGGACTGGTCCAGAAGGTAGATTCTCTATGCATTATGTATTTCTAATTTGCTGTCCCCTGGTCCATTTCCTTAAATCCTCAATCAATACCAACTTTGACCAGCCCTGTTACCTTGCTCCCTCAGCTTCCTCCCCCTCTTTCCTTTCTTGCTACTCCCTCCCACTCCCTGCCCATGTTCTTTTTTCTTTTGTTTTCTTTCCTTATCCCCCTTTCTCTCCCTTTCTCTCTCCCTCTCAGCTTTTAACTAAGCCATTTGAAACAGTTTTTCCTAATCCTCAAATGTAGAGGGCTTATTATAATATTTTGTTGGAATAAGTAGATTTCCAAGATCACAGTGGTCAGTCAGGAGTGCTGGCGGCTTTGCAAAGGCCCTGGATAATTTTTAACAGACTCCCTATTGGGAATCAGCCATTACCATGTTAATGTCATACTGCAGTAGGGAGGCTGGCAGATGGCAATTCTGATGTAGTTTCACCCCCATTAACTTCATAGATTAGACTCTAAATAAGGAAATACCCATGTGCACAAGAGCATATAAATTATTAAATAGGGTAGCATCAAATGGCTCAAATGGTTCTTTTGTAACCTTATGTTTACAGGGTCATGTTCTACAAATCTATAGGAAAATCAGAGATTGCATCCCAGGAGCATGAAAGTATAAGTGGTTAGGGATTTAGATGCTGCTTTCTCAGGGACTGAGTTGAATTCCTGCTTTGCCACTGACAAGCCCTTGTGGCTCTGAACAAGTTAATTCAACTCTCTGAGCCTTAGTGTCCTCATCTTAAAAAAAAAAAAATCTGCATAGTGGTTTACTTGCCTCCTAATGTTGTTTTGAGAATTAAATAAGAAAGTGCATGGAAAATACTTAACACGATGTCTGCCCCATAATAAAACATAACAATGGTTAGCTCCTATTAGTTTATCATTGGGAAAGGTAAGAGGAAACTAAAACTTTTAGCTCCTCCATGCCTATATGATCAAACACCCATAACAACTCCACTCAGTACATATTAAGTCAGAAACGGAAGAGTCTGAGATCTTATCTGGCTTGTTCTGATGGGAGGCAAGAGGCTTTCTGGATTAGAGAACAGACAATCTATTAACTAGGACAAAAACAGCCAGAGTAATCTAAGCACCAGTTCCCCAAGCCCTAATCCCCATGGGGCAATGGAATGAACACCACATGTTACCTGTAACCCAACAATTAGGAGACCTGAAGCTGATATCTATCTCCTGCTGGCACTTCTGCCCATCCTCCCCTCCAAAAAGGGAGAAAGATGACTCATTAAGCAATCTCACCCATTATGGGGTAGGGGAAGGTCTCTAGCTTCACCACCCTGAATGTGTAGGCCAATGGCTCGAACTTTAGGGAAACAATAGCTCTAGTTTCCAAGGCCTTTGCTTAGAAAACCTGAACCATGTAGAAAAATGAAAGTAGTCATGGAGAATTATCTCCCAACTGGTATCATCCACATTATACAGATACAATGTTACATGTCCACTCTGGGATCAGGATTAGGAGACACCATGGCTGGCTCATCATATCAACTCTGCTTCTGTCATTTGTTCCCATACCAATGAATAGTATTATTTACTGGATTTGTAAGAGCCAACTCTTAAAGTGCTTAGTTCAGACGAACCATTTGGATGTGCTGAGGAAAGTGACATAGAGGGCTACAAATTAATGACGTCGGCTCAGGGAAAATTTTCCTGCAACATACCCCTATATTTTAGACGTATTATTTCCTTCTCCAACACTAAATTGACTTTTTATCTGTCCCATTTCCTCAGGACATTGTTAAATAATATTAAAAATAAATTTACTTTGAGGATGAATGCAATCTTCTAGGGAATTTGTGCTTAACATAAGACAGTTCATAAATGGTTTAACCCAATCTTGCAAATCCTAATGGAAAGTTTTAGACAGGTAGACATTTTGGTAGAAAGATATATCTCACACAAAACATATCTCCAATTAACAGCTAAAAGCATGTGTGTGTGAATTATTCTATTTAATCTATTAGAAAACCCAGGGCAGAGGCATTTCAGAGGAGGAAATACAGAGCTCTAGGTTAAATGCACATTAGAGGTTAAGCAGAGGTAAGCTGCAACATGGACTCCAAGTCTTCAAATGTGAAGGATGCTGGAATTTTATCAACTCTTGCATGCTCCAGATCAGTGACCCAACTATAGCATGTGTGTGGTGAGGGGAGGGGGGACAACTCATTAGGAGGGTCACCATGTCAAACCCACCTGGACGGTGGTTCAAACTATGATCTCCTTCAGAGATTTTTGTTGCCCTCTTCGAGTGAAAGCGACACTGATGTTGGGAGCCTTGTTAATGACACAACAGTGCCCCAACTTTGGGGATGTTTAGAGAGAAAAATCCCTGAGAACTACTAGTGCAATTTTATAGCTAACCAACATACTTTCAAATAGTTAATAGAAATAATTTCATTTCGTTAAGAGAGACTGTCATAAAATATAGAATATTTTAGTGCATTCTATTGTAGAACCAGCTTGGTGGGTTATGCAGCATGCATGCGAATATTCATATTAATATCTTTGTATAAATATCTCTTATTCTTGGTTTCCTTTCATTTAATCAGGTGTATAAGGGTTTCGTGTCTGTTTATCTTTTTACAATGACAACTACAGGTTACATCCCAGATTGTATAAGTCTGACTTAAATACAGTACTTAAATTCTAATAATGATGAAAAATAACTAATCAGGGAGAACACTTTTAGACAAGATTACTCAAGGAGAAAATTGTTCTTGACGGTATTAAGAGTACTGCTCCGCTCCACCAACGGGCAATCATGAAGCACACAAGAAAATCAGCATTAGCATTAGATAACATTCTTCCAGATGTCATCAAAATTCTCTCTCATGTTTCATGAGTACAATACTCTGTTCCTCACCACCTGTTTTAGTTGAATTGACTGCCAGAGAAAGGAGAGAAATGGTGTCCATTTCACTGCACTGCAATTTCCCAAAAGTCAGAACTTATAATGCAAAATGCTTGAATTTTATGTATATCCTGAAGTGGGAACATCAAACAGAATGCAAGAAAAACAACAGACCTAGGTTTTATTCCTCTTCTGCCTAATTTTAAGTGCAGGAAGTCATCCTTTGCACAGTAGCTCAGGACTGTAAAAGTGACCTTGCAAGCTGAAACTGTGCAAAGTGATCTTAACAATCAACAGGGAAAATTATGATTATGCTGGAAATTATAAACTTTACATCAAAATATTAAAGACTCAGAAATAAAGCTACATATCTACAGCCAACTGATCTTTGACAAAGTCAACAAAAATATACACAAGGTAGAGGACACCCTTTCCAATAAATGGCGCTGGGAAAATTGAATTGCCATATGCAGAAAAACAAAACTGGACCCCTATCTCTTACCACATACAAAAACCAACTCAAGGTGGATTAAAGGCTTAAATGTAAGATCTGAAATTATGAAAAAAAAATGCTAAAAGAAAACCTAGGGAAAACTCCCCTGGACATTGGTCTAGGGAAAGAACTGATGACTAAGACCTCAAAAGTACAAGCAACAAAACCAAAAATAGACAAATGGGATTAATTTAAATAAAAAGCTTCTGCACAGCAAAAGAAAGAATGAACAGAGTGAAAAGACAACCTGCAGCATGGGAAAAAATATCTGCAATTATGCATCCAACAGGAAACTAATATCCAAAATTTACAAGGAACTCAACAATTATAAACAGCCCCAAATAGGCCGGGTGCGGTCGCTCATGCCTGTAATCCCAGCACTTTGGAGGCCGAGGCAGGTGGATCATGAGGTCAGGAGATCGAGACCATCCTGGCTAACATGGTGAAACCCTGTCTCTACTAAAAATACAAAAAATTAGCCGGGCGTGGTGGCACGTGCCTGTAATCCCAGCTACCTGGGAGGCTGAAGCAGGAGAATTACTTGAACCCAGGAGGCAGAGGTTGCAGTGAGCCGAGATGGTGCCACTACACTCCAGCCTGGGTGACAGAGCAAGACTCCATCACACACACACACAAAAAAAGCCCGAAATAAGCCCATTAAAGTAGGCAAAGGACATGAATAGACATATTTCAAAAGAAGAAATACAAACGGCCAACAAGCAGATGAAAAAATGTTCAACATCACTAATCATGAGAGAAATGACAAAACCACAATGAGATATCATCTTACACCAGTCAAAATGGCTATTCCTAAAAAGTCAAAAAATAATAGATGTTGATAAGGATGCAGAGAAAATGGAACTGTTATACACTCTGGTGGGAATGTAAATTAGTACAACCTCTATGGAAAACAGTATGAAGATTTCTCAAATGACTAAAAATAGTACTACCATTTTAACCACCAATCCCACTACTGAGTATCTACCCAAAGGAAAAGAAATAATTATATCGAAATATAATGATTTTGCATGGGTATGTTTATTACAGCACTATTCACAATAGCAAAGATATGGATGCAACCTAAGTATCCAGCAGATGACTGAATAACGAAAATGTCCCAAAGACAAAAACCACATGATTATCTCAATAGATGCAGAAAAGGCCTTTGAAAAAATTCAACAACACTTTGTGCTAAAAACTCTCAATAAATTAGGTATCAATGGGATGTATCTCAAAATAATAAAAGCTATCTATGACAAACCCACAGCCAATATCATACTGAATGGGCAGAAACTGGAAGCATTCCCTCTGAAAACTGGCACAAGACAGGGATGACCTCTCTCACCACTCCTATTCAACATAGTGTTGGAAGTTCTGGCCAGGGCAGTCAGGCAGGAGAAGGAAATAAAGGGTATTCAATTAGGAAAAGAGGAAGTCAAATTATCCCTGTTTGCAGATGACGTGATTGTATATCTAGAAAACCCCACTGTCTCAGCCCAAAATCTCAAGCTGATAAGCAACTTCAGCAAAGTCTCAGGATACAAAATCAATGTACAAAAATCACAAGCATTCTTATATACCAATAACAGACAAACAGAGAGCCAAATCATGAGTGAACTCCCATTCACAATTGCTTCAAAGAAAATAAAATACCTAGGAATCCAACTTACAAGGGATGTGAAGGACCTCTTCAAGGAGAACTGCAAACCACTGCTCAATGAAATACAAGAGGATACAAACAAATGGAAGAACATTCCATGCTCATGGGTAGGAAGAATCAATATCATGAATATGGCCATACTGCCCAAGGTAATTTATAGATTCAATGCCATCCCCATCAAGCTACCAATGACTTTCTTCACAGAATTGGAAACAACTACTTTAAAGTTCATATGGAACCAAAAAAGAGCCCACAAGTCAATCCTAAGCCAAAAGAACAAAGCTGGAGGCATCATGCTACCTGACTTCAAACTATACTACAGGGCTACAGTAACCAAAACAGCATGGTACTGGTACCAAAACAGAGATATAGACCAATGGAACAGAACAGAGCCCTCAGAAATAATGCCACATATCTACAACTATCTGATCTTTGACAAATCTGACAAAAACAAGCAATGGGGAAAGGATTCCCTATTTAACAAATGGTGCTGGGAAAACTGGCTAGCCATATGTAAAAAGCTGAAACTGGATCCCTTCCTTACACCTTATACAAAAATTAATTCAAGATGGATTAAAGACTTAAATGTTAGACCTAAAACCATAAAAACCCTAGAAGAAAACCTAGGCAATACTATAGGCATGGGCAAGGACTTCATATCTAAAACACCAAAAGCAATGGCAACAAAAGCCAAAATTGACAAATGGGGTCTAATTAAACTAAAGAGCTTCTGCACAGCAAAAGAAACTACCATCAGAGTGAACAGGCAACCTACAAAATGGGAGAACATTTTTGCAACCTACTCATCTGACAAAGGGCTAATATCCAGAATCTACAATGAACTCAAACAAATTTACAAGAAAAAATCAAACAACCCCATCAAAAAGTGGGCCAAGGATATGAACAGACACTTCTCAAAAGAAGACATTTACACAGGCAGAAAACACATGAAAAAATGCTCATCATCACTGGCCATCAGAGAAATGCAAATCAAAACCACAATGAGATACCATCTCACACCAGTTAGAATGGCAATCATTCAAAAGTCAGGAAACAACAGGTGCTGGAGAGGATGTGGAGAAATAGGAACATTTTTACACTGTTGGTGGGACTGTAAACTAGTTCAACGATTGTGGAAGTCAGTGTGGCGATTCCTCAGGGATCTAGAACTAGAAATACCATTTGACCCAGCCATCCCATTACTGGGTATATACCCAAAGGATTAGAAATCATGCTGCTATAAAGACACATGCACACGTATGTTTATTGCGGCACTATTCACAATAGCAAAGACTTGGAACCAATCTAAATGTCCAACAACGATAGACTGGATTAAGAAAATGTGGCACATATACACCATGGAATACTATGCAGCCATAAAAAATGATGAGTTCCTGTCCTTTGTAGGGACATGGATGAAACTGGAAACCATCATTCTCAGCAAACTATCACAAGGACAAAAAACCAAACACCGCATGTTCTCACTCATAGGTGGGAAATGAAAAATGAGAACACATGGACACGGGAAGGGGAACATCACACTCTGGGGACTGTTGTGGGGTGGGGGGAAGGGGGAGGGATAGCATTAGGAGATATACCTAATGTAAATGATGAGTTAATGGGTGCAGCACTCCAACATGGCACATGTATACATATGTAACAAACCTGCACATTGTGCACATGTACCCTAAAACTTAAAGTATAATAATACAATTTAAAAAAAATTGTGATATATACACACAATGTAATACTAGTCAGCCACAAAAAGAATGCAATCATGTTTTTTGCAGCAACATGGAAGGAACTGGAGGCCATTATCTTAAGTGAAACAACTCAGAAACAGAAAATCTTAAGTGAAACAACTCAGAAACAGAAAATCTTAAGTGAAACAACTCAGAAACGGAAAAACAAATACTGCATGTTCTAACTTATAAGTGGGAGCTAAGTAATGTGTGCACATGGACAGAGTGTGGAATGATAGACATTAGAGACTTGGAAGGGTGGGAGAGTGGGAGTGGAGTAAGGGATGAGAAATTACTTTTTAAATAAACTTTTATTTTAGGTTCAGGGGTGCATGTGCTGGTTTGTTATTAATATATAGGTAAACTGATGTCACAGGAGTTTGGTGAACAGATAATTTCATCACCCAAGTACTAAGCATAGCAGCCAATAGTTATTTTTCCTGATCCTCTCCCTCCTCCCACCCTCCTTTCTCAAGTGGGCCCCAATGTCTGTTGTTTTCCTCTTTGTGCCCATTGGTTCTCATTATTTAGCTCCCACTTATAAGTAAGAACATTAGGTATTTGTTTTTCTGTTCCTGCATTAGTTTGTTCAGGGTAATAGCCTCCAGCTCCATCCATGTTCCTGCAAAGACACGATCTCATTCTTCTTTATGGCCGCATAGTATTCCATGGTGTATTTGTACCACATTTTCTTATCCAGTCTACTGTTGATGGGCATTTAGGTTGATTTGCTATTGTGAATATTGCTACAATGAACATGAGTGTGCATGTGTCTTTATGGTAGAAAAATTTATACGCCTTTGGGAATATACTCAGTAATGAGATTGCTGGGTCAAATGGTAGTTCTGTTTTCAGTTCTTTGAGGAATGCCACACTGCTTTCCACAATGGTTGAACTAATTTACACTCCCACCAACAGTGTATAAGCATTTCCTTTTCTCTGCAACCTCACCAGCATGTGTTATTTTTTTGACTTTTTTATAATGGCCCTTCTGACTAGTGTAAGATGGTATTTCATAGTGGTTTTGATTTGTATTTCTCTAATGATTAGTGATGTTGAGCATTTTTTAATATGCTTGTTGGTCACATATATGTCTTCTTTTGAAAATTGTCTGTTCATGTCCTTGCCCACTTTTTAATGGGGTTGTTTGGTTTTCACTTGTAAATTTAAGTTCCTTATAGATTCTGGATATTAGACCTTTGTCAGATGCATAGTTTGCAAATATTTTCTTCCATTCTTTAGGTTTTCTGCTTACTCTGTTGATAGTTTCTTTGGCTGTGCAGAAGCTCTTTAGTTCAATTAGATACCATTTGTCACTTTTTGCTTCTGTCGCAGTTGCTTTTGGTGTCTTCATCATGAAATCTTTGCCAGTTCCTATGTCCAGAATGGCCCAAGTTATCTTCCAGGGTTTTTATAGTCTGGAGTTTTACATGTAAGTCTTTAATCAATCTTAAGTTGATTTCTTTATACAGTGTAAGGAAGGAGTTCAATTTCAATCCTCTGCATATGGCTATCCAGCTAACTCAGCACCATTTAGTGAATAGGGAGTCCTTTCGCCATTGCTCGTTTTTGTTAGCTTTGTTGAAGATCAGATGGTTGTAGGTGTGTGGCATTATTTCTGAGCTCTCTATTCTGTTCCATTGGTCTATGTGTCTGTTTTTGTACTAGTACCATGCTGTTTTGATTACTGTAGCCCTGTAGTATAGCTTAAAGTCAGGTAACGTGACACCTCCAGCTTTATTCTTTTTGCTTAGGGTCACCTTGGCTATTTGGGCTCGTTTTTGGTTCCATATGAATTTTAAAATAGTTTTTCTCTAGTTCTGTGAAGAATGTCAGTGGTAGTATAGGCTGGGCGCAGTGGCTCATGCCTGTAATCCCAGCATTTTGGGAGGCTGAGGCTGGTGGATCACGAGGTCAGGAGATTGAGACCATCCTGGCTAACATGGTGAAACCCCGTCTCTACTAAAAATACAAAAAATTAGTCGGGCATGGTGGTAGGCACCTGTAGTCCCAGCTACTCAGGAGGCTGAGGCAGGAGAATGGCGTGAACCCAGGAGGCAGTGCTTGCAGTGAGCCGAGATCGTGCCACTGCACTCCAGCCTGGGCGACAGAGCGAGACTATGTCTAAAAAATAAATAAATAAACAAATAAATAAATAAATAAATAAGAATAGTGTTGAATCTGTACATTGCTTCCAGTAGTATGGCCATTTTCACAATATTGATTCTTCCATTCATGAGCACAGTATGTTTTTCCATTTGTTTCTGTCATCTCTGATTTCTTTGAGCAGCGTTTTGTAATTTTCATTGTAGAGATCTTTCACCTCCCTGGTTAACTGTACTGCTAGGTATTTTATTCTTTTTGTGGCAATTGTGAATGGGATTGTGTTCCTGATTTGGCTCTCAGCTTGGATGTTGTTGTATAGGAATACTACTGATTTCTGAGAAATTAATGGATACAGTATACATTATTTGGATGATGGTTACACTAAAAGCCCAGACTTCACCACCACAAGATATATTCAAGTAACAAAGTTGTACTTGTACCACTTAAATGTATACAAATACTAATTAAAAAGCTTTAAAACTCTCTTAATGTCAGTTACAAATGCATAAGGAAATGAAAAATACTAAAGCTAATATTTAGTACACTGTAATTTAAAACATAGAAAATTAAAGTGTTTTATTTATTTGTAAAACACCATTATGTAACCTACAATACAAAGTACCTTGCCTGGGAAAATTGTCAT
Source organism: Homo sapiens (assembly GCF_000001405.40). Taxonomy (NCBI): domain Eukaryota; kingdom Metazoa; phylum Chordata; class Mammalia; order Primates; family Hominidae; genus Homo; species Homo sapiens. The sequence continues at coordinate 10,301,562 of NC_000023.11, read as the reverse complement.
ATCCTTTTCTAACTTTGAATCCACTTTTAACATTTTATCCTTTGTATCTTCAACATCATGAATTGTCTCTGTGAATTCCTTTAGGGTGAAGTTTTTTTGTTTTGTTGGCATTTCTTCCTCTGCGGCATCTTCATTCTTCTTGTCTCAACCACATTCCTCATTTACATCCATAAGTTTCCCTTCACTAAATTCCTCTAGTTGCAGGTCTACAGGCTCTCTAATGGTAGAAGCATTGGTGTTCCCACAGTCAGCTATTTCTGTTGTTAACTCCTTTTATGTTTGATTCCAATTTCATTTCCAATGTCATCATGTTTCATTTCTTTGCCACACTTTCATTTTCATTGGCCAATTCTCTCTTCCAATTATCTATTCTGTATAATATCCTGTGAATTTACTACTGGGAGACAAGGAGGCAACACAACTACATGTTTTACTGTCTATACATAAATTGAAGAACAGATGCATAGTGACCACGCATGAATAGAATTTGAAAGAAGTCATGTCCAATTAGCCAAATACACCATATACCAGATGACCAGTTTGTTTAAAGCCAATTAACTGAAGGATCAATTTGCAAAATTTTTAATTTGCCAAATGACCAACTGATTGAATTTGCCAAAATTACTCATTGGCTGAAATCTCCCTTTAAGGAATAGTTTTCTTTAATATGGTCAATGAAAATAAATGTTGTATTCTTGGAATTATAGCCTTCTTAACCATAGTAAGTAAAAATATTGAATAATTATGCGTTAGAATATATTCAAGAATATATTCAATAAATTCAAAATATAAAATCCTTATAATTATTAATATATTTAATAAATAACTTCATTAACATGGTTTTCACAAATAGCAACATTAATGAAAAATATCTTCATGAAGTTGAAACTGCCCAAAAACTCAGAACTTTTAGCAAGTTATTGTGTCTATGGAAAATACATCAGTTGACTAAGATTCAAGGAGAATTTTCTAGGAGACAAGAAAATGCCACCCCAAAATATACAAGATTGTTGAGTGAAGGCAAGCAAGAAGAAGCAGATGCAGGAAAGTTATCTTATTTGCCTAAAAGAAAGACAAAGATTTATAAAGACAAAGGTATCTTGTCCCCTTTCTACCAGGAAGAACAAGTGTTAACCACTAAAAACAACTCTAGACCCTTATCAGCCTGAAGATGGTACCAGAGGAATCTACACCAACAAACTTTCCTAAGTAGACTTTATCTGCCAGTTATTTGCCTAGCCACAAGTTGCTGTCCCGAGAGACTCAAAGTTCTTTTCCTTTGTCTTGTCACTTCTCTGAAAATTTTTGTTCTTTGTTGAAGATGCAACATAAGCTGAAACTCAAAGCCTCTTTGAGAACTACGCATTCTCTGAATGTCTTCCATGTATATACGAAATATGAATGTTAAACTTCTGTTTTTCTCTTGTTATTCTGTCTTATGTTACAAGGGTCCATTCCCACTAAGAATTTATGAGGGTTGAAAACAGAAAGTTATTTTTCTTTCCCTAAAATATTCTTAAGATAAGTGTTTAGTAAACTTATAAACTTTGATAAATTGGCCACTAGGCAATTTGGCCATCGGCAAGAGCTCTAAGCAAGGTAGCTCTTGACCAACTGTTTTTCAGCAAACTATATCAGACCCCACCTTTCTGCCCCTCCTCCTCCCACCATCTCTCCTCTAGGCTGGTTTTGATGTCCTTGCTGTGTGCCCCCCAATATCATGTATTCCTCTATCATGGTAATTATTGCACTTTTAGCCTTACTTGAATGTCTGCCTTCCCCCCATCCACTGCAAGCTCCACCAGGTCAGAGACCAAGTCTGCTGTGTTTATTTTTGTGTTCTAGCACCTAACACAAAATAAATACCATATCGATAAGTAACATTATTGAGTACTTCCTCCAAGCCAGGGGCCATAGCTGGTCCTCTGCATGCATCATTTTCTTTACCTTTTCATACAATCCTATAAGGTGGGTGAAATTATTGTTCCTCATTTTACAAATGAGGAAGCCAAAATCGAAGTCAAAGAGTGCATAATGATAAAATGGATTCCAGAACCAGCTAAGCAGCCTCTCAGCATTAGGAGTCCCATAAACATATGTTGAATTAGTTAAGCATTTACTAACATTTGTATGTAGAGCAACTGCTTAGGAAACTACTGTGTGCTGGTAACTTCTGCTTACATTGTGTCCATGGAGCACAAGCAGGGTCCTTGTACCTCAAGAGCAGGCTTTGGGGCCAGGCACGGTGGCTCATGCCTGTAATCCTAGCACTTTGGGAGGCCGAGGTGGGTGGATCATTTGAGGCCAGGAGTTGGAAACCAACCTGGCTAACATGGTGAAACCTCATCTCTACTAAAAATATAAAAAATTAGCCGGGCATGGTGGTAGGTGCCTGTAATCCCAGCTACTCAGGAGGCTGAGGCAGGAGAATTGCTTGAACCTGGGAGACAGAGGTTGCAGTGAACCGAGATCATGCCACTGCACTCCAACCTGGGCAACAGAAGGAGACTCTGTCTCAAAAAAAAAAAAAAAAAAGCAGGAGCCATCTCTGGGATGCACTGCAGAGCTAGTCCAGTGGCACACTGCCTCTTCTTTCTTAATCAGGAAGATGGAGATCAAGAAGTCACCTCTGGAACTGTTGGCTCCAGGGGCTGCAGCATTCATGCTACGTCTGAACCAAAATGAAAAGAAAACAAAACAAAAGGAATGTCTTGTGCCCTGCCTGTCAACCTGCATGCTGGGATCTTCAGTAATTCAGAAACAGAAAACATCAACGTGTTCACAACTAGTTTTGCCAACTATGGCAAAGAGCAGAAGCCAGCATTACCTCATTCCTGCCTTCTAAATTTCTCATGAGTGCATCTGATTAGTGGAACATAAGGCAGACCTGGACTGTAGCTGCAAGAGAGTCTGGAATTGTAGCTCTTGGCAGTACCACATAGAAGGAGGATGCGATAGAGTATACATGCCTTTACCACCTTTACCATCCACAGTGAACTAATCCTGTGTTGTCACAATGCTGCACCCTCTGCATGGGAATATGGTGCTAGCATGTCTGGTTTATTTGTGCAGCAGATGGAAAGATTGTCCCTGATTCATCCACACTCTCCCACCTAACCTATTGTTATCTAAAAAACAAACAAAACAAAACAAAACAAAAAACACATAATTGGCATTGGGAAGGCCAAAGTTTGGAAAAGAACAAGTAGAACAGAGTAGAACAATCTGGCTGATGTGGGTTCTAAACCTACAATCTTACTTTTATTAGCACACTGTCCTGATGAGCCCGCCTTCCTAGACTAGACAGTAACAGTCATTATAATCATCTTGCCAGTCAGCCCCGTCTCCTTGTCATCATATAACCATGTGTTTGCGCCAACAGAATGAGCATTCCCAGTCAAATCCTCGGAAAGACATTCAAAAGATGACATACGGAGTAAAGGGCGACCCTAACAGAGATAAAGGAGCCCATTTACACTGAGACAAGCTGCCCAAGGAGCCACAAATACATAAATATCTGCAGCCAAAAGGACTGAAAGTAATTTAAGATGAAGAATCAATTCAAGATGGAATAATTCAATTGCTTGATGATGAGGAGGAGGACCACAAAAAGCAGTATTTCCTGGCACATTATTCAGGGACTCATGGGGAAGGTAGGGAGTGATCCTTAGATTTGCACCATGCATGGCAAGAGTGAAGCATGAGGAGAGGACCCTGGTTGATTTGACACCAGAACAATACCTCCCACTACAACTACCAGGACGAGTCCAACCTGAGCTGATCCCCTTGAGCCAAAGAAACTCATCAAGCTTTCTGGCTGTAAAATGGAGGATCTAATATTTGCACCCAAACTTACCTCTTATGTGGCCCATCCCATGAGCTTTTTAAGTTTAGATGTTTTTAAGGTCTAAAATTTTGTGTTGCACGTCATGTTTATATTGATATTCTCCCTTAAAATTTCATTTTTGGGGGGAACAAGTAAATACATTTTTACTGTACCTTACACAGGGATATATTTCTTTAATATCTTTATTTTACAGGCCAAATGTCCCTAATTCTCTTCCTTCCAACATTTTTATAAAATTTAAAAGCAGAGGAAATACAACAGTGAAAAGCTATTATCTTAACATAATGATTTAAAACATTTACTGCCTGCCTTCTCCTTTGCAGGCATTGAATTCTATGTTTTGCATAAATTCACTCATTTAATACTCTCACCAGCACTATAAAAAAAGGTCTACTACCATCCTCATTTTAGAGTTATAGAAACCAAGACAAGGACAAGTTAAGTAACACACCTGAGGTCACACAGATAGGAGTGCTGGAACCAGGCAGTTTCCCTGAGTCTGATCTCCAAACTTAATCACTATCCTTTCTTTCATCATTCAGTCTTTGTTCAAAAAACATCTAAGGAATACCTTCTAAAGTGATACCCTCCTCTGAGAGCAAAGGGGGGCAAAGAGAAGAACCAGACACTAGACACTAGTTTTACAACGTGTACCCTCCAGTTGGGGGATTGTAACATATAAACAGGTCATCTGGTCCCAGGTCCCCATTCTTGACTACTATGTATCCTGCCATTAAAGATAATTCATTTGTTTTTACTTCTTTGGTTACTACAAAGCTGCACTTTTCCATAGCAATGAGTAATATTTCCAGTTTACTTCTGAAACTTGTTAGTTTTTCTTCCCCTGCTGGGAAATGGTTCCCCAGGAAGATTCCAAGTGTTTCAAAGGCATAATTTATACACAGACCTTAAGAGTGCACATCAGCTAGTGGCTTGTGGTTCTTTCTGTTTTGCTTTGCTTTTCAAAAGATGGAAGGAGGCCAAGTAGGCATTTCAAAATAGCTGAAGTCCAAGGAAATAGAAATCAATTCAAATTAACACAAGTATTTACTGGGGTGATTTTTAAATCTTACAAATGTTGAAATGTCTAAGGAAGGAAAATGAATTATTGTGATAGTATATTTGTTAATAGTTTTTGGTTGCATGCAGCAAGGTCGCATGCAGCAAAAATCAACTGAGCTGGTTTAGGCAGAAGGGGTATTTGCAGGGTGTCTCATAGAACCAAGGGGAGAAATTAAGTTGGACCTCAGGGAGGGAATGGGAACAAGAACCAGAAAGGAGGTAAAACAAAATTTTAAAAGGCCGTGTGCGTGTGTATGCATGTGTGCATACAGTGCATACCCACTGATTGGCTTTTTCTGCTTCTTCATGTGGCATCTAACCTTAAAGATCATCCACTTAAATGTTATCATTTCAAGAACACTCAGACTCCAACCAACTGTCTTTCAGTGCCAATTTAAGTTCTCAGAAGAGAATCTCATTGGCTCAGTTTGGGTCATGTGTACAATCCTGATCTAATCCATTTTAGCCAAAGCGGGCATGGTAACATGTCATAATCAAGGCTTTCTAGAGGATCATCCACAGATCCAATCTTTCAACAAATACACATTAAGTGTCTACTGGACTGGATGCTGGGGACACAGCAGTGATGGATGTTTGCATTCTTCTGGACAGTTCTTAAAGGGAGAGTATAGTTTATGACCTACACAAACTCCCAAAAGATTTCTACTACACAGTCTCTAAGTTTTAAAAAATTATTTTACATCATGAAAACTCATTACCTCATACAGTTTCTCTAAAATCCTAATCCCTAATCTCAGTCTTTAGTCTGTATGCATTCACTCCTGTCCATTCTCACACTGCTATAAAGACATACCTGAGACTGGGTAATTTATAAAGAAAAGAGGTTCGATAGACTCATGGTTCTTCAGGCTGCACAGGCATCTTTTTCTGGGGAGGTCTCAGGAAATTTACAATTTACAATCATGGCAGAAGGCAAAGGGGAAACAAGCATGTCTTACATAGTGAGAGAAGGAGGAAGAAAGAGATCGAAGGGGGAAGTGCTACCCACTTTCAAACAACCAGATCTCATGAGAACTCACTCACTATCATGAGAAAAGAAAAGGGAAAATCCATCCCCATGATCCAATCACCTCCCACCAGTTCTCTCCCCCAACATTGCGGATTACAATTCAACATGAGATTTGGGTGGGGACACAGAGCCAAACCTAATCAACTCTTTTCTTTCAACAACATTTATTGAAGCCTTTTAGTGTGTTAGATGCAAACCTGGATGCTGACAGACTAGAATTTCCTAGTCTTGAAGGGTTTAAGTCTCTCAGGAGTGATTCAGATTTATGAACAAAATTTGGCCATTTACTAAGGTGCAAAGACAAACATATATGTGAAACACTGGGAGACTACAGGGCAAGGAGATACATTGAACCCTGGGGCCAGGAAGGGCTGATAAGGTGATTTCGTGTTAGTTTAACTTTATATAGAAGGTACTAGAGAGAATATAATGAAAACCTAAGTACATAGTGTACCTTAGCCGTGTTGGAAACCCTGGTGTCTTGAGTTTCATGTTAACAATATACCATGTTCTAACCTTACTCAGAAATGCCCTCTAATCGTTATCATCCTTCTGGTGGGTCAAGGCTGAGAGAGTGGTTGGTGCTCCTTAATCCTTCGTAATTATTCTTAAGACCTCAACCATTCAGTACTTTGGACTAGGATCTGGGACTGGCCCCACCAAAAAACTAAACCATTTGCAACTCTCCTTTAGAAGGGGGGCATACATCACAACTGCATCCAAGTAATAGTACCTGAAAATCACCCTTCAACTGCCTTAGCAAGGCCTAAAATCTTTTTAGATTAACCACCATAATATTTAATTATTCCTACACTTAACACTACTTTCCTCTTCAGTAAAAACATCTAAGTTTTGTTCTGGATCTTCTTTGCACTCTGGATTAAAGATTCTTCTGAATCACTCTAGGATCAGAATTGTAAGATTTTTCCTACAACATGGTATCATTTTATCATGTTCGGTTCTGACATACCATTTCAAAGATTAATGGTTTTTCAGTTATTTTGGGTTTTCTCCGTCTACCAACTCTCATTCTGCAAGCTTGGTGCAGATGTCTTTTTAATCTCACCATAAGGCATCAGAAGAAAAAACTTAGATCGCTATAGATTTCCTACTCTTTTCTTAGATAACTGATTATCAAACTTCAGCATGCACCAGAAACACTTGGCAGGCTTGTTAAAACACAGATTTCTGGGCCCCATCCCCAGAGTTTCTGATTTAGAAGGTCTGGGATGGACCTCAAGAATTTGTGTTTCTAGGTCAGGCACGGTGGCTCATGCCTATAATCCCAGCACTTTGGGAGGCCAAGGTGGGCGGATCACTTGAGGTCAGGAGTTTGAGATCAGCCTGGCCAACATTGTGAAACCTCGTCTCTACTAAAAATACAAAAATTAGCCGGCCATCGTGGCGCATGTCTGTAATCCCAGCTACTCGGGAGGCTGACAAGAATTGCTTGAACACAGGAGGTGGAGGTTGCAGCGGGCCAAGATCGTGCCACTGCACTCCAGGCTGGGTGACAGAGTAAGACTCTGTCTCGAACAAACAAACAAAAAACAACGCTGTTTCTAGCAAGTTCCCAAGTGATGCTGATGCTGATGCTGTGGTCTAGGGCTACACTTGAGAACCACTTTCCTTAGGTCTTCTCTAAATGGTTTGTTGAAACATCAAGGGCTAAAGGTGACCAGCTGTGCCGTCAAGAATAATGACTGTGTCATAGCACATTCTGCTAAATTTATTTTCAGCTGATCAGATAAATTAATTTTCTGTGGAACCCACTAAAAATTTTTTGGCTAGTTGTACCAACTAGAGATCTCTGGTATGAATATCCAATAAAAATTTTACCAATCTTCCATCAATGTAAAAATCCTGCATTCACTTTTCACACAAGTATAATTATATGATTGCAAAGGAAAGTACATGCATTCTTATGTAACTTGTGTTTTAAAATGATATAGGTGGCAGAAATATAATAAATAGCATCCGAGCAATGCACTTCATTCCCAAACTGGTGCTTTTGAACTTAACATTTTTAATAGCTTTAGGATTGGCAGCATAATTTTAAAAATTATTTTCAATTGTGGTAAAATACACATAACATAGAATTTCTCATCTTAATCATTTTTAAGTGTAGAGTTCAGTAGCACTTAGTACATTCACATTGTTGTGCAACTATCACCATCATCCATCTCCAGAACTCTTTTCATTTTATAAAACTGAAACTCTATAACCATTAAACAACGAATCCCCATTCTGCCTGTCCCAAAGCCAGGCAACCACCATTCTCCTTTCTGTCTCTCTGAATTTGCTACAATTTCTTAAAGTGCTTAAGTGGATAAATGCAAACCAATTGACACTTTACACTAGCCTAGCATAAAAATATACCTATAAACCATTTGCAGGAGAATAGAAAAGATGGGCAAACCAGTATGAGATTTATCAAAGCTAGTAGCACATGGTGGTGAAAATTTCCTACTATATTATATTGCTGCTAAGTAATCTACCGTAACACCCTCTCACCCTCTTCCCACACTGCATGTCTCATTTCTCACCAGGTGCTAAATGGTTATTGTAGCATTCATCTCCTTGGACTTAAGAACTCTAATGATCCAGTAACAGCAGCAGAATACCAAAACACCATGAAGGCCATCGTTTTTTTCTTTTCCCCTCATCTTTGAGACCCTGACATTACTGAAGAGTCTGAGCAGAATCATGTCATCATCATCAGGTGTAGAAAAAAACCTGCAACAGGCCAGAGCTGGCTGATAACACAGGCCAGGTTTGTGGGGTCGCAGCACAGAAGTGAGCCAGCATTCCTCTGGATGCCTGGATGCAGAGTTCAAAGGAAACATCCAGCACATTCTAACTTTAGTAAATCCCCAGGCCAAAGGTAGACTTTTCAGTAAATTAATAATCCCTGAGTGACATCTGATGAGTTCTTTCAAAGACATTTTCCTTCACCCTGCGCCGACCCCTGACCTACTTTTCATTCCTTGCCAAATGAACGGAGCCCATGGTAGTGACTTTTCCATTAAGATTTGGCCTCTCTCACTAAGCAGAGACCTTGAGAACACCAGATAATCAATTTACATTTAGGCTTTTCTGCAAAAGTGGAATGTTTTGATGCCTTGAATTTTATATTATTGACTTTAGCAAAGTTTGCCTTAACAAAAATGCTAAAAATAAAGATTCAGCTGAAAGCAAAAGTGTTTCATAAACACATTGTGTGTTTATTCAAATAAGGAGCTCCCAAATTATATCCTTAACGCCATACTTTTCTTTCCCTAATAATATAGAAGAGAAATATTATTAAGTCAAAAGTGAAAATTTATTGGTAACTATAAATGTACAGTTGAAAGCCTAGTTGTGGGGTTAAGCTGTATGTTGCACGGTAATAAAAGAGGAAATACTAAGTTGGATGAAGGAAAAGAACTGATATTTACTGAGCCTTTATCATGTTCTGGGAATTCTACTAGATCTTGCGCTTAATTTCACCTAGTACAACCACAACAACTACTGTCCCCCAATTTTGCAGATGAGTAACTTGTTCAAGGTCACATAGTTGATAAATGACCAAATCCGAATTCAAATCATGCTTTTGTATTCATTTATTCATTCAAAATTAGTTATTGGGCACCTAGGAAGGGCCAAGTGCAGAGGGTCCCATCATTACTCTTCATGAAAGTCCTAATATGAGGAAAGCACTCCTTTATGTGAACTATAAAGAGTATTCATGCCAACCTAAATGCTCAAGTGACATTACTGTCTTTATATTGACTATAGAAGTTAAAGAAGATGAATAATGGGTCCAAAGTCACAGGCTAGGAAGTGAACAAGCTAAGTTTTGAATCTAGGTCTGTTTGTTTCAAAAAGCAATGCTTTTAATTATTGTGTTTTAATCAATATCTGTTATGGATTGAATGTTTTTGTCCCCCCACCCCCCGCTGCCAAATTCATATGTTGAAGCCCAAGCCCCCACTGTAATGGTATTAGGAGGTAGGGCCTTTGGGAGGTGATTATGACTAGACGAGGTCATGAGGGTGGAGCCCCCATGAATGGGATTAGTGCCCTGTTAGAGTCCCCAGAGAGCTTGCTTCCACTCAGTGCTCTCTGCCATGTGAGGACACAACCAGAAGGCAATCATCTACAATCCAGGAAGTGAGCCCTCACCAGGCACCAGATCTGTCGGCACTTTGATCTTGAACTTTTCAGCCTCCAGAACTTTGAGAAATACATCCCTATTGTTTAATCCACCCAGTCTATGGTATTCTGTTGCAGCAGCCTGAACTGACTGAGACACTCTCTGAGCCTCAGCCTCTTTGCCTACAAAATAGGGCTCATAGCAGCTCTATTCACAATAGCCAAAAGGTGGAAACAACTCCAATGTCCATCAAGGGATGAATGCGTAAACAAAATGTGGTCTATCCATATGTTAGAATATTATTTAGACATTAAAAGAAATAAAGTACCCAACACAGGCTACAACATACATGAAGCACAAAAACATTATGCTAAGTGAAAGAAGCCAGACACAAAAGACTATATATCATGTAATTCCATTTATACATATGTCTAGAATTATAGAGACAAAAAGTAGATCCGTGGCTGCCAGGGGCTGGGGGAGTGACTGCTAATGGATATGGAGGTTTTTGGGTGGAGGGTGATAAAAGTATTCTAGAATTAGGTAGTGGTGATGGTTGGACAATCTTGTGAATATACTAAAAAACACTGAATTGTACAGTTTAAAATGGTGATTTTTTATAGAATGTGAATTATATCTCAAAAATAAATAAATTAGCAAATATAGGACTAATATGAGTACCTAACTCCTAGGATTGTTGTGAAAATTAAATGGAGCAGTTCCAGGGAAGTACTTGGCACAGAATCCAGGCTCATTAAGGCCCTCACCAAATGTTGACCTTAAAAAAGTAGGGAAAGGGCTGGGTGGTGTGGTTGGTCACAGCGCTGTGGCAAATAGATCACTCCCTGCCCGTTGATCCTTCCTCCATTCTTCTGTCCATGGAGCCTCAGAGCCCCTGCCTCATTGCTGGTTCCCCAACCTGGTCACTATCCCCTGCTACCTGCTGTTCTGCTGACACTCCCCTTCCCCTGCCTCCCCAACCCCACCTCACCACCCACCTTCCTCCCAGTGAGAGCAAAGGAGGATCAGTCTCTGTGTGTTCTTCATGTGGGGATATGATTCCCTTGTTGCAACTTCACCTGGTGCTGCCAACTGGACATGAGAACTCACAACCTGGAACAAGGGGATAAAAAATGCCAGGACATGCAAGGTTCTTAACAAATGACTAGAGGAGAAAAGAAAGGAAGCAACTTCTCTCTTGAGGAAATGTGAAAATAAATGTGAATATGTAAGCTATATTTGAGGAATTGCAAAGAAGTCAAATAGCTCACCAGATCCCTATGGAGAGAATAAAGGAAAGACAAGTGTGCAGGAGATGATGAGGGGTCTCCTTGGCCCTGCTGTGATGTTTGAACATCATGGGACTCTCCTGAGGAATTTAACTAAGGCAACACACCATGATCAGAATTCTACTTTTGAAAAAATATTCTTGTAGCATGAAACAAATAACAAGGCCATCAGCAAAGAAAGACGTTCAAGGGGAAAGAGTGGGCAATGCTGAGTCCAGTTTGGGTCATTTTGAGTTGGATGTGTATATGGGACTGGAGATGGAGCTTTCTGGAAGAGACTGGGTGGCTCAGTTTGGAGTATCAGAGGGAGTCCTAGGAGAGAGAATGCAAACAACCCAGGTGGTAGAGGAAGCAGGAGTATGGTTGAGATCTCCAAGATGGGGAGCAGAGCAAGACACAAAATGGGCTGTGGAAGGAATTCCAGCAACCTCTGACATTGAAGGGTGGTGAGAAGAGAGCAGGGTCTCTGCACAGAGCACGTTAACAGCCCTTGTTGCCAGAGTCTGGTGTTCAAATCCTAGCTCTTCTAATTCCCAGCAATAGAATTTTTTTTTTGAAGAGTTTTATGCTTTTTTTTTCACATCTGTATTTCACCCCCGGAGTACTGAGACCGTCATCAATTTTCAAGAGTTTTCGAATTTTCAATTTTCAAAATTCTTCACTGCATACATTTCAATATGAACACATGTTGGGATGGGCAGGTATACCTATGGCTGGCATGCAGATATCACCTGACTATAGCACCATCAGTTTAGTCCACCAATGTGTTCATAGATTGTGTTTATTTTTGTTTTTCATTTTGAAATTTTCATCTGGTTTTACACTGTTGCAGAGCAAATTAGACAAGAAACGTATGTTGTGCAATTTGTGTGGCTACTGCACATAATTGTGATTGTCCCATCTCAATCTTAAGGACAAAATGTTTTCACCCCTGTGAAGCTGAAGACACAACATAAGCAACTTGTGCAAGAACCCATCAATTGCATTCAGAAAACTAGTCACCTCTCTCCCTGCTTCCTTCTTGCTGACTTAGCCCACTCTTTTTTTATTCAGCAAATAATTGTCTAGCAGCCTAAACAATAAGGAAGCAAGAGCCGAAGAGTGGCCATATTTTGAACTGTCTTTCCAAGAAATTATTTGCTTTTTCTGAAACGTGTATTTTTTAAAAAAATAACTAGTTTAAAATATTGCTTGTCTCCACGTATTCAACTTGAGCAGATGTAAAGGAATACATTAAATCAGTTTTTTAAAGATATGCCCATTAAAGACACATTCAGACGTGATTGAGCACTTAAACTCTTTATCGTAAATGGGAGTCTTCCTTAAATACCTCTGATTATCACTTCGGGTAGCCTGTCAGTTTCATCAGAACCAAATATAGCCCCAGATTCCCTCTTCCCTTCTGCCTGAGAATCCTGAACTAAGAAACACACAGCCATCTGGTTCGCCTTTGGAATTGCTGTGTATTATAATATACAATCACATATGATAAAAGAAAATGTAGGAAACATATGGTGCAAGAGTCCGAAGGTATTTGAATGATTACAGCAAGAGCCACTTTTAGCTCATTTTATACATGGACAGAATTTTAAAAATTCTGCAAAGTCATTTGCAACAGTATATTTGTTTGCCCAGCATGATTGCATTCATAATACATTCTTTTGATGTTAAATCAGAAAGTAACAGTGGAGCGGGCTGACCATAAATCAACAGGTTACAACTGGGTCTCTCTGGCACTCTCCACCACTCAGAATGTCATGTCAACCGGCACATATTGAGGCAATTCTATAAATTGGGTTATCTTGGGAAGGGGAGAAAGGAGCAAGAAGAAAAAGGATGGAAAAAGAGCATAGCAAGCTCAAAGAAGCTCTGCATTCCTGATAAGGATCAAGACTCCTCAGTCTCTGTGATTTACTATGTCCATAGTTTCGTCTACCCTGGTAGACACCTTGGCTCCAGATTTTTCAGGATGCATGTTTTTAGTTCAGTGACACTCAATAACAGCATGGTAGGACTGATTTACCTTGACTGCAGAAGAAAATCATGTATTTTCCCCTATAAACTTTTATTTGCTTTCCAAAGCAGAATCTTCATATGTTCTCTCAACCCAAGACTTCTAAACATTACCTTATTTTTTATTTAACAAATTACTAATATAGTGTTTACCACATGCCAGGCATTGTTCCAGGGGCTTGCACATATATTAATCCTCGTAATAGAAGTCATTTAATACTCAAAACAACCATATGACATAGGTAAAATTATTCTCATTTGCAGATAGGAAAATTGAACCACAGAAGTAACCTACCACAAATCAGGAGGTGGCAGATGTGGTACTGCGAAATTCATTTGTTGAATCACTTTGTCTGAAATAAAGAAAAGAAATATACTTGGTTATCTCAAGTAAAAAGGGGTATAATACACATGGGCTGATTGGAATTAACCCTGGAATCTGAAAGCCTCCAGTCAGTTTTAGGGACTAGAACTCTCTCTCTGCCTCTCTCACATGCATCATGATCTATCTCTCCCAGAATCTCCCCCTTTCCCTGCATGTCTGTGGCCCCATGCCTCCATCTTGCTTGTGGCTTCTCTTGGCTCCTACTCTCCCTCACAAATCCTCTCTTTTTCAGCTTTGTTCTATCTCTTTCTCCCTTTCTCTCTCTCTCTCTGTTTTTGACTCAAAATTCTCCAGAAAATGGCAGGTAGCTCTGTGAAGCCAGGCCACACTGCAGTTCCCTGGACAGTCTGGTGTCACCCTCTGTTGAGTCAAGCCCACCACTGCTAACTGGACTAATTAGATGCATGGGCTAACTAGTCTCCAGAGAGGGCTCCCAATGGTTCTTCCCACCCCAGATGTGCCTGCCACACCTCCCAGTGAGAGATGAGTCTATTTCCCCTTCCCTCGAATCTGGGCTGGACTTGTGCTTTGTTTTGGCATGTGGTGGAAGACACGTTGTGGGACTTCTGAGCCCAGGACTTAATACCGACAGTTTTCATTTCCACCTTTCTCCTGAAAATAAGCCACCATGTTAGAAGTCTCACTGCCCAGATTAGAAAGAGCCAAACCCCTTACACCATGTTTCAAGGAAAACCAAACTACCTATATGGAGACAAAGAAATTAAAGGAGAAAGAGAGACAGATGGAGAGAGAGAGAGACTAACTGACCTAGTGGAGGAAGACTGTGGCCCCCAAAATATAAGCAAACCTTTCTTGGATGTTCTGGCCCAGGCCACCGCCAGGTGATACAACCAAATAAATGACCCTAGCTGATACACATGGAACAGAAGGGCCATCCATCTGAGCCCTGCCCAAATTCCTGACCCATGAAATGGTGAGAAATAATAAATTGTTACTGTTTCAAGGTTCTAAGGTTTGGGCTAGTGTGTTACACAGCAAGAGATTACTGAAACAGTGGGCTAGTCCATTTTTAATAACATTTTTATAAAAAGAAACAAACATGGAAAGCATAATAGCCAGATGGCCAGGTGGATGTCTAGAAGATGCCTATCAACAGGGCCACAAACGAAGCCTACGAGAAGCAAGGACCCCTGGCTACAACAGGACATGCCTTTCTCTCCTTAGTCATTCCTGCCTCACACCAACCCCGTGAGCTAGTTAGGTTTTCCCAGTGTAAGACTGCTAATGCAACTTCCATAAAGTCACTTATCTAAGATCAAAATTGGCTTCCATACCCCTGCTCTTTTCTATATATCATTCTGCCTCCCTTTCACTGACACGACATTTGTCCCCAAAGCCACATGACCCAGCTTCCCAGCCACCAGAGGCAAGCCAGGCTGGACACATGGGCATGACTGATTGTAATCTCCTACATCTCACATTGCCAGGCAGCAGCCCCGCCTAAAACTGCTCCACCAGAACGAAATTAGGACCCACTCTTATATCCCTGAAGGGCTAAGCGGGAAACCTCCTGTACAGTTGAACTGCTGCCACCATCTCCAACATCAGCTGCAAACATTTATTGACCCTAACTATATGTCGAGTTCTGTGCTAGTAGACCAGGATACAAAGAGATTAAAACTCCAAGGCTGACATCACGGAGGTTAATGGAGGAGGCAGATAAACACATAAACCATAAGAAGTAACACAAGGTAGCATATGCAAAAAGCTGAAAGAATCTTGTAGTAAAATAAGAGTTTGGGAACTTGGGTAAGACATTGGGATCAGTACAGGGATCCCTCTTAGAATGCAGAAGAATGAGCTAGAGTCTAAGGAGTAGAACTTGGAGTTCTCGAGTGAGAAAGGAGTGATTCAGAATTCTAAGGACTGAACTTGTTTTAAAAATATATAATTATTTAAATTATTTGAAGTTACTCAGGGTTAAAAACAGATCTGGATTAATTTAATTACATAGATAAAATTCATTCAAATAAGTATAAGCCTTCAAAGTAAGTTGCATGGTTTCCGTAGTGTAGTGGTTATCACGTTCACCTGACAATGTAAGTTGCATGAACAACTCTAGAAAGCAGGAGAGTCAGTTAACTGTGTAAGCAAAAAGAGAACCTCTTGAGAGATCCTGGGCTGGCTGTCCAAGAATGTGGAAATCAGGACCAGTTACCTTCACACAAAGCAAAGGAGTTGACTTGTCAGATAGTGAGAGCTCTTGCCATCCAAGGACATTGGATACATTTCCTCAGCCCTGATCTGACTTTTGTGACTTGGTGGTGGCCAGCTCCCAAGCATACTGCTGGGCTCTCATCTCAGCCTCACACTAGGTCTCTCCATTTGGTTTGCTCCAAGTTTTCTCTGTAAAACCAGGAGGTCACTGTGCGGGCACTGCCTAGAAGTGCCAAAGGTCAATGTGCTTGGAACAACCTTTAACTAAGAAGGGATGGGAGTTAGTAAGTACATGCCTCCCCCTCCCATGCTCCAGAGCAGCAATTCTGAAACATGTTCTATACGGTTCCTTCTGAGTCCCTGGTGGAACCAAGCCCCAGTTTTGCACAGCTGTAACCCCCTAATTAATGTACTCTCTATTAGTTTATCCACCCTCGTTTCCTCCTTCTCCCTCCTCTCTCACTCCTGCTTCCTGCAGTCACCTCTCAAAAAACCTGCACCTAAGTCCTTATCACGGATTCTAATCTCAGGGGCTAAGAGATAGCGAGATAGCAGGAAACCAAGGGTAAGAAAAGGTGAGGTGCTGAAGGGAGACTATACACTTTGGGTGAAAAGTGAAAGGTTGACCAAAACCAGAAAGTTTTTACAAAGACAAGCCTCCTAGATTCCATGTTGCCCCATAGCTGACCTTGCATAAACAGGACTCTACCCATTCATTACATGTTGAAGAAATGAGCAACAATTGGCTGAAATCAGAACACTGCAGTTAGGGCACTCTTCAAGAAAGTCTCTTTTAATAAAGGATGAAAAATGTAACAAACTATTGATGCACACAACTTGGATAGATCTCAAGGGTATGCTGAGTGTAAAAGCTAATCACAAAAGGTCACATACATGATTCCACTTATATAACCACCTTGAAGTTGTTATATACAAAATTATAGTGAGGGAGAACAGATCGGCAGTGGCAAAGAGTTAGAGTTGCAAGGAGAGTGTGACTATTAAAGGGTAACATGAAGGAGTTTCCTTGTGGTGATGGAACAATTCTGTTCCAACAATTCTGTTGTGTATTCTGATTGTGATGGTCACTCGAATCTACACGGGATGAAATTTCATAGAAATACACACACACACACACACACACACACACACACACACACACACACACACGAATGCATTATTAGTACCAGTGTTAATTTCCTGGTCTTGTCAATGCACTATCTTTATGTAAGATATTATAATTGTGGAAAGTTGAGTGAAGGGTACACAGGAACTCTCTGCACTATTTTTGCAACTTCGTGTAAGTTTTAAACTATTCCAAAATGAAAAGCTATAAAACTGAAAATTATTTTAAAAAATGGAATGCCAAAAGCCAAGAAAAGAGAGAGTAGGAGGAGGAATACAGCCAGTTTTTCCTTTTTTTCTCCCTCACAGGGCTATGTCAAGGGAGGGCTTGCCCCAGGATGTCCAGAATAAACATTATCAGTTATTATGATGTTTGTGATTATTATTGAGAAACACAATGCAAATTGTTACTCCAGGCACTTAATAAGCTAAGAATTTAGTGAAGGCATTTATTCTACTGCTTAAGGTATAGGAGTTGAAGAATTACCTGAGCATTTTCTTTATTCTGATTCCCCTTGGCCCCAACTGCTAAAGAGAATTCTAACTTGGCTGAACGTGATTTCATTAAAATGGAGAGGCCGATATCAGTGACCAGGAAACCAGGGCATCATCCAGTGAACTTTATGCAACAATGGCATTGAACCTGATCCTGATGAAAAGGATATCTGCCTGCCATATGCATGGCTTCTGAACAGAAGGCTATGAGTCTGAAATGTAGGTGCACACGTGTATGTCTGAGAGTGCCAGGACATAAGCAAGTATTTGACTAGAAGCCATATAAAGAGACGGACAGTTGGAGCCAGGTGGTGAAGAAAAGGCTAGCAGACCCGTGATGAGAGACTAGGTCACTGGGAGCAGATGTTAGAAACGAAAAGTAAGTTATTGGAAGGAAGGCAGAATTTGCAAAGAGCCTGTTAAGTTTAAATCTTTTTACACAAGTAATTAAGCACATCATAAATGGGAAACGTTTAACAATATATTAAAATTTTTAATGTTCTAAATGTTAATGAAACCACAAACATTCAAGTCATTAGATTTTAACTTAAAAATTCTCAAAGGTGTACATTCCATGGGCACCTGTCTTTTTGCTAAGCACTGTATATTTATTACTGCATGAACATTCTCATAATCTTATGCATATATAACCATTTCATTAATTCATTCAACAAAATATTTACTGAATGCCTTCTCTATCTGGTGCTGGGTTTCAGCAGAGACTAAGTTAGACCAATTAGCTGTCCTCATGAGCCAGTAGACTCAGTTTTAAAGAAAACGAGTGTGAGATGCATTCTGCATTGCAGAATGCTTAGAGAAGTGTTCAGTGCTCCAGAGACAACCTGAAGCAGTAAATGAAGAGCCACTCCCATAGAGGAATTATCACAGATACAGGAGAATCAGGAGAAACGAAAGGAGAAATTTTAGGAAGGAGAAGATAGTTGACATTGTGGGACACTTTGGAAATCTGAGGAAATATCCTAGAGTTGGGTGACAAGGAGGTTGGTGAGAATTCTGCTCAGTACACATTCAATAAGAGTATTATCTAGCAGTGTGGCTGGTAAGGAAGGAAAAACAGTCAAACATTAGCTCTTTCAAGATTTTGGAAATTAAAGGAAGGAGGAGGACAAGAAAGCAAATCAGGGAACATCCTGCAGAGGCAACTGGTATTTGGGGATATCTCTACCATAGTAAAGTCAAAAGAACACAAGAAACTGAAGCAGAAGAAAGAAGAGAATTACCCTGGCATTTCTCCCACCCTCCAGTGTCTAACCTGGTTTCCCATTGGTTGAAACTAACTGGAAGCCAGTGGGCAGGGGAGCCTGAGAAATGTAGTCTGTAGGGGTCAGAGCAGAGCAAGGAAGGTTGGGGAATGGGTCTGATATGGTTTGGATGTTTGTCCCATCCAAATCTCATGTTGAAATTTGATCCTCAATGTTAGAGGTGGGGCCTGGTGGAAGTTATTGGGGGTCATGGGAGCGGATCCCTCATGAATGGCTTGGTGCTGTCCTCATGGTGATGAGTGAGTTCTTGCTCTATTAGTTCCTCCAAGATCTGGTTGCTAAAAGGAGCCTGGCACCTACCTCCCCCCTCACTCTTTCCTCCTGTCTCACCATGTGATGCCTGCTCCCCTTCCTCTTCTGCCATGAATGGAAGCTTCCTGAGGTCCTTACCAGAAGCTGATGCTGTCGCCACTTCTTGCAGAACTGCCTGCAGATCTGTGAGCCAAATAAACCTCTTTATAAATTACCCAGCCTCGGGTATTCCTTTATAGCCATGCAAAACAGACTACGACAAGGTCTGAGCTTTAGTAGAAAGTCATTCCTTCTTTAGGACTGGAGGATCAAAGGAGGTGGTACAGCCAGAGCCCAGGAGCTGGGGCAGCCTGGAGGGAGCTGGAACCATGACAAGGACTTGCCCAGAAGAAGTACATCCATGGAGGGAGGTGCTTTCTGCTGGGATAGAATCTAGGAGGCAAAGCAGCCACATGTAGGCCTTTTGGAAGATGATTTCTGAGAATTAGGAAAATTCATGGCTTTATGTTTGGCAAATTCACATTAAAAAAAACATTACGGCAGGACTCGGCCAGTATTTTACCTTGGAAATAATATATGCATTTCTTAATGATTTCTCTAGTCTCTGAGAAACTATAAGGGCTCAGCTGGCCCCTTAATCTATATGACATTTTTATGACAATGAAACTATCACCCCAAGGAGAGTCTTTTGTTCAATTGTCAGATTTTATTGGGCTAGCATAAGCTAACAAAGCAAAATAAAATTATACAGCTAGTATTATATTTAAAACATCAATTTATTACATTTAAAGCTATACCCAAATAAATAAATACACTGGCCTTTGGTGTCAACCAAACAAAATCAATCACACAGATGTTTAATATCTGATTATAATTTTTCCCTACAAGTAAGCTTCTTTGTCTGGACCACAGATAAGAAGATTCATCCTCCCAAACATAATAAGAATTTTAATGGCAACTCAAACTAATTTTATGTCCTTTTGTCAGTCCCTTGCAGAAGTTTTGTGTAAATAAATCTAACTCCTTCCAAAGCAAAATTGTATATCTTTTGGGAGGGGAGCAACTTCTTTCTTTTTCCCTTGGACTTTGAACTGTGGAGTTATACACACTTGGGGTCAAACCATCATTCCAACACTTGTCACTGTGACTCTGGCAAGTTGTAGAAGCTTTGTAAGTATCGGTTTCCTTATTTGCTAGAAATAAGTAAACAAACAAGTAAATAAATGCTGAGGATTAATCTCTGTAAAGCACTTAGAACAGTAACTGACCCATAATAAGTATTCAAGAATTGCTAGCTGCTTTCTTTTCTCTGGAATCACTAACTTTTCTCCAAAAACTCACTGCCTTCTTGATCCAGTTTAACTGCCAATCAGTGATATTTGGCCAAAAATATTTAGCTTTGTCCCAGGGGATCACATGTCCTTGTGTGGTCTAGTATGTATTAAATCTAGCTAAACTACAGAACCACCAGGGAGCTTTAAAAATACAATTTCCCAAGCCCAATCCCAGGCCCACTGAGTTGTAACCCTCAAGGACAGAGACCTAGATCTACATTTTTAACAAGCCCCACCCCCCACTTAGAAAGCAATTAAACAGGTGACTCGGATGATATATACAGCTTGCCTTTTTGCCACTCATGAGGCAGGGTTATTAATCAACTTGACTATTTCCTTCACCTGAAATCCATAAGTGCTTTGCACACCTCTATACAATATCTAAACTTCATCTTTCCAGAAGACAATCTCAAGAAAACACAAGAAATGCATCCCCCCCCCCATTTTTTTTTAATGAACTGCTTTCAATTTTATAACCTTCAGGTTAATGTCACATTTTCTTGCCATTGGCATTTTCAGATGTAGGGTGGACTTTAAAAGTCAATATAAGCTGGAAGAAAAAAGATCAAACAGCAGAGCCTCCTCAAATGTCACTGCTATTGAGAATGGCGGCCACTGATATTACAGGGTCCAACGGTCCTATTCATATTATTTCTCTTTAATACCAAACCTTTTTCTAGCTAATCTGTCAGAAAAAAAAAGCCATTTCTGGGTGGTGATTTTTCAAGCAATGGGAGTTTTCATTTTGCTTTTCATAAAGTCACATAGTTCCAAGCAGACAGACTGGCGACAGAAATCATATTCCAAACACAGATCGAACAGGGTGTGTCACTAAAAGCCTGTGTGCACATTCACAGCAGATGCCAAGCAGCCATCTGTGTGGGGCCAGTTGGAGCTCACAAACACCAGGCCTGTAATTGCTAGAAAGGGCCTGGCAGTGCTAGTACCTCTTCATGCCAGGCCATCTTGGTACTTCCAGGGGGTCAAGTATAATGACAAAATAAAGCCACTCTTACCCCCTTATAGTCACTTTTACTCTTTACTCTGTCTTCTCAATGTTTAAGGGGAGGTCTTGGTTAGATTTTGCCTGAGGCAAAAAACAACAGCATCTTTTACTAAGAATTTTACATTGTTCCCTAACAACCACCCTAAAAAATAATATTACTATCCCATTCTAACCAGTACAGAAAGAGGTGAGTAAAGGTTCAAAGACAAAGAGCTGTGGGTGGAGGGATAAGTACTCTTTCAGGATGTCAGATTCTTAGCCCAGCTCATCCCCTGCCACTTGGTCATGTTACAAAAGGGTAAAGTTGACAACACTGACTTTGCCTGACTTTTCATTGCCCCAGCTTGAAGAGTTAACTATTCTAAAATATTTGCACTGATTTGGGATGGCTGGACTGAAGACTTTTAAGGGCACTCACTGAATGTTTATGAAAAGGAAGGAGGGAAGGAGGGAGGGAGGGAGAAAAGACAAGAGAAGGAAGGAAAGAAGGGAAGAAAAAAGATGAGGAAAAGAGAGAAAGGAGGAGGAGGAGAAAAGGAAGGAGGGAAGTGAGGGGAATAAAGGAAGGAAAAGAAGGAAGGAATACCCTGTTGAGGGCCCAAATTGAACAAAAAGGTGGAGAAAGGGCAAATTCTTTCACTCTCATCTTGAACTGGGTACTATGTGATGGATGAGAGTTCGTGATGGATGAGAGTTCATGATGGAACTCTGGTCCATTTTCTCCTGCCCTTGGACATTAGAGCTCCTGGTTCTCAGACCTTTGGACTTGGGCCGAGTTACACCACCAGCTTTCCTGGTTCTCCAACTTGCAGATAGCACATCATGGGACTTCTCAATCTCCATAATTTCATGAGCCAATATAATACATATACATATGTAATATATAAATCTTCATACACACACACACACACACACACACATACACACACACACACTCTCTCTCTCTCTCTCTCTCTCTCTCTCTCTCTACTAATTCTGTTTCCCTAGAAACCCCTGACTAATACAGATGGCAAATGGGATTACAGATGTGACTTACTTAAGGATCTTGAGATGTGGAAATTATCCTTATTATCTGGGTGACCCAATATAATCACAAGGGTCCTTATACCAGGAAAGCAGAGCAGGAGAGTAAGAGGAGATGTGATGATGGAGACTTTGGAGCAATGCCTTTTCTGGCTAGAAGAGGGCCATGAGCCAAGGAAGCTGGAAAAGACAATAAAGAGATTGTCCTCTACAGCCTCCAGAAGGAACCAGTTCTGCCGACGCCTTGCTTTTAGTCCTGTTTAGTCCCATTTTCAGACTTCTGACCTCCAAAACTATAAGATAATGGATTTGTGTTGTTTCATGCCACTAAGTTTGTGGTGATCTGTTACAGCAGTGGTAGGAAACCAATACACCAGAAATAATAGCAGCCTTCTTATCTCAGTCAAGAGTCCCCAGACCACAGGGGCCAAAACCAGCCCCTGATAGAGTCCCGTGTTAGAAACTTGTATCTCATTGAGATGTGCTACATGCTGCAGGTTACATGCAGACCACAGTCCACTGGGCCTGAAGATGTTCTCCCTCAGAGAACACCCACCAAAGGGAAGGGTACCTTTCTCCCCCGCCACCCACAACTATTTCTTTTATTTCTATAACAACACTGCCACATTCAAAAGTGGCCATGCTTACCAATTTGTCTGAATATTTAAGATATTTTAAGGAAAACGGAATATTATTTTGCCACAGAACCTTTTTGTGATAGATTTACAGGATGTACCCCACCAGGGAATTAATCAATTTTAATCCGTTGTTGCAACAATTGGTTCATCTGTGAAATCAGAAGAACTAATGTTTCTGTCTATGTATGTACAATTATGCATCGAATTCAATGACATAATGATACTCTATCAATATCCTACAAGCTTCCCCTTTTTTCTCTTTTGAGACAGGGTCTCACTCTGTCACCCAGGCCTGAGTACAGTGGCACAGTCATGGCTCAGTGCAACTTCGACCTCCCAGACTCAAGCGATCCTCCCACTTCAGTCTCATGAGTAGCTGAGGCTGAGGACTACAGTAGCTCCCAAGTAGCTGAAGTGGGACTACAGGCACGTGCCACCGCGCCAAGCTAATTTTTTTTTTTTGAGCCGGGGTTTTGCCATGCTGCCCAGGCTGTTCTTGAACTCCTGAGCTCAAGCGATTCACCCAACTCTGCCTCCCAAAGTGCTAAGATTACAGGCATGAGCCACTGCACCCAGTCAATATCCTACAGTTTTCTAAGTGTTCCATCCAGTTTGACGATCTTTGTTAAAGGCTTGCTATACCTTTGGTGTATGAGTAACCACAGTTAGGCTTTCACCAAAAGAAAAAGATTTCATTTTGAACGTCCCAATGGTCCTGTCAACCACTATGTCATTTTTACAACAATCAATTCTCCAGCACTAACTGGGTTTCCCACCATTTAATTCAATGGAGACATTAACTATCCGGAGTTAGCACAGACCCCACAGGTAAAGAGCTCAGTCCCACATGACTGCTCTCACTTCAGATGCTAGCCACAAATGGGGTCACCAGGCTCCCTGCACTTCTGCCCAGCCAATTACAAATTCAGGAGTTCCCATGACTTGCTCCCCATGTGGGTTTGACAATTCGCTAAGATGACTCACACAACTCAGGAAAGTGCTATAGTTACAACAGTTTATTATAAAAGGTACAAACAGCCAGGTAAAGAGGTATATAGAGCGAGGTCTGGAAGGACCCTGAGCACAGAAGCCTCTGTTCCCAGAAAGATGAGGCATGCCACCCTCCCAGTACATTGATATATTCACCGACCAGGAAGTTCCCCCAAACCTCATTGTCCAGTTTTTACTGAGGTTTCATGTAAGCACTATTGACACACTCATTGGCTATTGGTGATTGAATTGAATCTCCAGATCCTCTTCCCCAACCAGGGGTTGGGGATGCAGCAGAGAGTTCTAACTCTCTAGTCATGTGGTTAGCTTTTCTGTCAACTAGCCTCATCCCAAAGCTGTTTAGCCCTCCTGCCCTATAAGTCATCTCATTAGTATAAACTCAGGTATGATTGAAAGGAGCTTGTTATGGATAACAAAAGACAAGGTATGGAAGGCAATGGTTATACAGGAGTTAGCTAGTCTTGCTAAGCTGTGTTGTTATCATACATGTATTTTTGTCTTCACATAATTTTAGCTCTTTGGGAGTTAGTCAAGTCTTTCTGAATTGCAATTCTGGTTTTTCTCTTATTTTATTTCTTTATTACAATTAAATATATTCAAAGTAAAGCCTTTCTCATCTCTGTCAATCAGAACCAAGGAAGGGACGGATGTCCACAGCGAGCTAGCATTTTTTTTTTCCACGGAAAGCAGGATGGTAGTGGGTATAGAAATCAGGTAAGAGAATCCCAGAGGGAAGAAGCAACTCGGTCAGGGTGAACAGATTCAGGGTGTGTCATCCACCAGCCTATTCCTCTAGAGATCTTTTTGCTGGGGCTAAAATCACAGAAGCTCAGGGCTTTGTGGAAGAAGAAAGACTGGTTCCTTCCCATGTGTAAATGGCATTACCACTAAGAGTCATGGACCAGAGAGAAACTTTTTGGAGGCAGCATCTAGCACGGCCAACAGGGTCAATGCAGAGGTCCGTTTTCAATTATAACCCTTAGAGAATAGGGTCTGTGCCTTTTGACATTGCTTTGTATGACATTTAGTACTAAGCTCCCACAGGTGGGGGCTTTATAAATGCCACCAAAAGACAATGGGAACAGTCATTGTATTCTTTTTACGTTTCACCCAGGAGATGGGTTGTCAGCAAAAGTTCATTTTAGAGAACTCTGAGTAGATAGACATCATCCCAGGGGTGGTTTGGGTTCCTGCTACAACAATGTAAAATACTATTCATATCACCCAACTTTGTAAAGGTGGAAGCATTGGATTTTTTAAGGATTTTAAAAATTTCAATAGGTTTTTGGGGGAACAGGTGGTGTTTGGTTACATGAATAAGTTCTTTACTGGTGATTTCTGAGATTTTGGTGCACCCATCACCCCAGCAGTGTTTACTGTGTCCAATGTGTAGTCTTTTATCCCTCACCCTTTCCCACCCTTTCCTCTGAGTCTCCAAAGTCCATTGTATCATTCTTATGCCTTTGCGTCCTCATAGCTTAGCTCCCACTGATAAGTGAGAATACATGATGTTTAGTTTTCCATTCCTGAGTTACTTCACTTAGAATAATGGTCAAATGTAGTGGCATTGGATTTGAATCATCAGATGAAACCTCAACTCTCTATGCAGCTTCGATCGTAGGTATGTGTGGGGCTTCTGTAAAAGTCTGATCCAGGGTTACACAATATATTCAAAAAGTACATGGGTATTCTCATGAAGAGCTCTCAGAGTAGGGGGTAAGACCTAAATACCTGACAAGGAAAATAATCATTGAAGAGATAAATGAGAATGTAATACTAAGGAAAGCAGCAGATGTTTGGGATATTTTTCCTTTGGTGGCCAGCATTTGAACCCCTTCTGGATGCTGAGCCAAAAGTGATTTCTAGGTAACCAGAGTGTTTCTGTTGCCCATTAGTCAGAGGTGGGGCTTAATGGGGATAAGAAGTTAAACAGAATTTGATCTGTGCCAACATAATGGCAAGCTCAGTGGAACCCCAAGCCCACCCTGAGCTTAATTATCCCAAATCCTGAGTGTATGCTCGGCAACAGGCAAAATGCCAACTTTGCTCCCAACCTATGGTAGGAAGGGAAGTGGAAGAAGATTCCAGAGTCCTCCCTCCATAGCAAGAAAGGCAATTATGACCAACACCACTAGCCCAGGGCAATCGTACTGATTGGAAGCACCATTGGAGACTTAAAGATGCAGGATGGGAATTCCTATCCATCTCCACTAAACTCTGCATTGTGATGGGTAAAAGACAGATAGACATGGAAAATTGGATGGCGACTCTAGTTTAGGTTGCATTTAGGTTGCTGTTCTAGATATGGTCTCTGGGAAAAATCAACATTGTAGAAAAGCACCTCAATATAGCTGCTGACTGCCTTACACAACATCATAGTGTCCCAGACATTGCCCCCTGTGCCACATTCTAGCCCTATATCTGTCTAAAAGAAATAGCTGCAACATCAGCTAACACACTGGGAACTGATCTTCATTCTTTCTTAAAGATCCAAGTTGTAATCTAGTGTCATTTCCCTTCAGTGTAAAGAACTCCTATTATCATTTCTTGTAGTTTAGGCCAGCTATCAATGAATTCTCACAGTTCATCTGAAAATATTTCTATTTCTCCTTAATTTTTGAAGGACAGTGTTGCTGAAATGGTTTCTGGATTTGCATTAACAAGTGATCACCCAGACTAGAGGGTCTACTTGTCTGAGCCTTTGCAGCAATAATTCTGGGTTACTGCCCCTGGGTAATTGTTAGGTTTTTTTTTTTTTCCCCACTATAGTTATTTCTGCTACCATAAATACTAACCCATGTATCCCTTTATTGTAATGAAATGATTCAATATTAAGCTTTAAAAAATGAGTCAATTAGAAGAAAAGTATTTAGAAAATAAAAATAGAGATGGGATAGAGATTTGGCACAAATCTGAAGTTCATTAGGAATGACTAATTTTGTGAAATAAATATGAGGCAGCAACAAGCCTGATGCGGTGGCTCACATCTGTAATCTCAACACCTTGGGAGGCCAAGGCAGGAGGATTCCTTAAGCCCAAAACTTTGAGGCCAGCCTGGGAAACATGGCAAAACCCCGTTTCTATTTTTTAAAAATACAAAAAATTAGCTTGGCATAGTGGTGCATGCCTATAGTCCCAGCTACTTGAGAGGATGAGGTGGGAAGATCACCCGAGCCCAGGAAGTTGAGGATGCAGTGAGCCATGATCACACCACTGCACTCCAGCCTGGGCAACAGAGTGAGACCCTGTCTCAAAAGACAAAACAAAACAAACAAACAAAAACAGAGGCGGTAACCATGAGTCACAACTGCAAAGTTCCAGAGAATTAGACCCTCTAGTTTAGGTGACTACAGATAAGTGCAGGTCTAGAGACCAGAATCATAGAACTGATGGGCTCGTTGGGAACACTGAGCCAATCCTTTTCCTTTATGGAGGAAGAAGTAGAGGCTAGATAGTTTTAAGTCAATTGTCCAAGGTCACAAATTTAGCAATTACTAGAGTAAGAATTAGAACTCTGGTCTCCTGCCAGTTCGCTCCTATCCATCACCTCTCTAGATTTCACACTTAAAGTCCTGTCCAGCCTTCTAGATAAAGACTTTCCAGGTCTATGTTTGTCTAAAAGACATAGCTAGCATACCAATTCCCACACCAGGTTAGTATAATGAAACCAATTTTTTTTCTCATCAATGTTATAACTAAACAACATTGAAGAAAACGACGTTAGTCAAGGACCTGCTGTTGTATGTCATTTCAGGTAAAGTTGCACTTTCCAAGAACCTATCGACAATGCTAAGTGAGGATTTACTGTAATGGAAGTTCCAGGCTGGAGATGAAACTTGGAGCTAGCATGTCCAATATCTGTATGGGGATGTCAATATACAGGAAACAGGAGGTAGGGGAAATGCACATGGTTCATGAGCTGAAAACATTAATCAACACAGAAAGAGTGACTGAAAGAATGAGCTTATAGGTTATATAGGCACAAAGAAAGTTACTTATAACAAGTATTAGCTAAGAATCTATGTACATAGGTTTCTTTTTTTAAGGTGCATGAATTTTATGATATCACATTTGTCTGTTTGATCATTCATTTCCTATGGAAAATATAGGCAAAGAAAGTTTGTATGACAAACTTTCATGTATTCTAAGGGCCGAAATAAACTCCTTGGATGAGTAATCAGTGGACCCAACACCACTAAGTATTTTCATCTCTGAAGCTGAGGCCTCAAACAGTGACCTGGGACATGGTGCATATCCTACAGAGAGAATGGAGAGAGAAAAAGACCTACCTTTCTAATTGTGAAAGGCTGTGCCTAGCTCAGCTTTGGGATACCCAGGCTGTGATGACCTTTTCTATTTTGAGAAGGTCAGGCAGTCTGTTATCAGGCTACTGGCGGCTTATCATGAACAAATTTTGCCAAAAAAGAGAATGTATTTAGAGCCCATTCCTCCCTTGAAAAAGAAGACATCAACCTCCACAGCTGTTGGTATAAGGTGTTACTATTCCTTCCGTTTGGATGCAGCATCAAAATAAGCAGAACTCATTCATTAGACGTGGTCAAAGACCAGCAGATGCCAACATCTAAGGTGGCAGCTGCACATACTAGGAACTGGGTAGTGCTATTTCCCATAAGCAAAAGAATGGGTCATTCGTCCCTGACAAGTGAAAACCTATTACTTGGAATTTATGAATTGATAATTCTATTTATCACAAGTATATGACTCATTATTTTCCCACCCAGAAAGTAAGCAGGTTTTTTCTTTCTTGTGGTTTCCACTGAACACGTTTTTGATTGCCTGGTCAGCAAAGAGAGTCTGTTTCCCTTTTTATTGTCTACAGGTGTGTCTCACTTTATGCAATAAGTAGAGTCCAGAAAAATTAGAAGTGAATTAATTTTTTGAATATGGAGGCACATTTTAAATGCACAATGAGAACATACAACTGGAATAAAGCTTGTGGTGGATGATTCTCTATTGCTAAGTCCTTGTTCTTTCACACTGGTCATCATAATGTCTCAGAGATAGTTCCGATTTCTTGCAGGCTGCCTCAACACTTTTGTGAGGTAGAAGAATGAAAAATTGAATATGTGCATTTATTAATTTTTGATCTTATATGGAAATGAAGACTTTAGCACAAGTCATAATCTATTTTTTAATTTTGCAAGCTTTTAAAATTTTATTTCCTACAGTAAATGCTCTGTTATTTTGGCAAGTAAAAGGACAAAGGTTGATAAAGCCTTCCGGTCGAATGTGCATTAAAATTCCTTGTTTGTGTTCATGAAGAACTAGTACTATCTCCAGAGGGATTAGGGGCCTGGGGCAAGTCACGTGGGATAACGAAGTCCTCCATTGCTGAAATATATTTCCTCAGGCGAAATCTGGTTAAAATGAACTTCAAAGCCCCCTCAGATCAAGAGACACCAGAGCTTAAATGTCAGGATCAGACAGAGGTAAAATTGTGATTAAAATAAAATAAGATAGGAAAAGTCACAAAGGGCAATATTCAACTACTTGTTTGCAAAGGATTATTGTGCCTCTCCTAACACTCAACACTGTGTCAGAGAATGGGGATTCAACTATGAAATAGACACTGCCATATATTTCAAGAAACTCACAGAATAGCAATGGAAATGTACATGCAAATGTGGAAACTGTACTACGTGACCAAGTCTAATTAAGTGCCAAGGGTCATGGAGAGCTTCATAGGGGTGATGACAGTTGACCTGGTCTATAAGAACTCCATCTGGTTTTCCTAAGCAAAGAAAACAGAAAAATCATTCTGCACCAAGGTAACAGACCCATGAGACTGAAGCTCCCAGGTTTGGTGGTAAGGACTGTGGGATTTTTAAAACGAAAATGATACAGACAAGCTCTGTGGTAACTTGATCTTTTTCATCAATGTAATAATTTTAAACGATGAAAAGTCAAATAGTGAGAAGGACTTATGAAATGAAAAGCAGTGTCTTTAGCCCTGCTGCTACCTGCCCCCGCCTCAGTCTTGCCCCTGGAAGCAATCTCTTGTTTTTAGTTGTTCTGTGATTTCTCACCAAAACTCTAAATAATAGCTCATCGAAAAATGTCAGAAAGGTGACATTCCAACTGAGAACAGCACTAAGCTCCTGGGCTAGGGTTCCGGTGGGGGTTTAAGGGCTGGAGGGAAATGAGGACAAGCTCATCCTCTGTTGTCTTATCAACTAGACGGGATAGATATTGACACCCTACTCTGGAAGATGAACATTTTGCCCAATTACACTCTCCGCTGCCTGCTGGACCCCACTTGTGATGCCCCTTGTAATGATCATGGCATGAACACCCGCTGGATGAGCCATAGATACTGTGAGATGGTGAGCTCACTTTCTTTAGAGAATTTTCATTGTTGCACCCGGATGTAAGTACTAACCAGGCTGCTTCGGCCAAGTGAAGGTGAGAGGTTCTGCTTCAGTGAGTCCCCTTTATTTGAACCTCACTTCTTGCTCCCACTCTTTTACCTGCATGCTTGAGCCCAAAAGTCGCTTCAGATTTGTGAGACACAATTTGACTCCCACCTCCATTGCAACTTTCACAGGAGAGTCTGGGATGTAGCACCTCTGTTCTCTTTCGTCTGCCAACTGGCTTTGCATGTTCTGCTTTAGAGCTCCCAGATATTTGTTGAAATAGTTCCTCCTTTGATAAGCACCCCCCAACCTCCCAATCCTTCTCTGTTTATCCCCTTTGGTTGAGATGAGTAGGTGTATTAGCTTTCTATTGCTGCTGTAACAAATAGCCACAAATTTAGTGGCTTATAATTCCAAGTATTTATTAGCTTATAGTTCTGCATGTCAGAGGCTTTGGCACAATGTAGCCCAACAGGTCTTCAGCTTAGGGTCTCACAAGACCAAAGCCAAGGTGTGGCAGGGCTGCATTCCTTTCTGAAGGCTCTGAGGATGAATCTGCTTCTGAGCTTATTCAGGTTGTTGGCCAAGTTAAGGTCCTTATGGGTGTAGAACAAAGGTCCTCATTTCCTTGTGGGCTGTTGGCTCGGGGTCCTGTTTTAACTGTTGCCCACATTCCTTCTAGTGCTTTCCTTCTCCTACAACCCTGAGTTAAGTCTCTCTTAAGCTTTGAATCTCTCCAATTTCTTCTTCTGCCACATCTCCCCACCTCTATCTAGCCTAGGAAAGTTGTCTGCTTTTAAGGACTCATGATTAGATTGGACCCACCTGGATAATACAGAATACTCTCCCTAGTTTAAGGTCCATAACATTAATTATGTCTGCAAAGTTCCTTTTGGCATGTAATGTAACATACTCACAGGTTTCAGGGATTAAGGCATAGGTATGGGGGAAGGGAGACATTCTGCCTAACACAGTGGGCACAAATACTTTTGCTCAGGCCACAATCTTCAGCTCTGATGTTTTAGAAAGATTCTTAGAAGGATTAGCTCCAATGCAGAGTGTGGCCTGAAGAAAGAAGCAGGAAGCAGAGTGCCCAGTTAGGAAACTATTTGGAAAGGAAGGGCAAACAGTAGTGAAGTTCATCAGAAACAGTGGAAACTAGAAATAAGGAGGAAGATTTGAGATGCATTTCAGGTGTAAATCAAATCTTTTTGACACAATAGAATATGAAGTTATATGGAAGTATTAATCGTTCAGGATGGTTCCAAGGACAGAGACGTGGTCAGGAGATGGGTAGTACTGGCACTAAGTGAAATGGGAGGCTGCCTCCCCAAATCCATCCCCAATTATTTTTCCACCCTGCGACAACCTTAGCTTGAGTCTTTATCATTATTGCCTTGGTTTCCACTATGAGATTCCACACATAATCCAGTTTCCTCTCAATCTTTTCATTTCTAAGATATCAGATATCCTGGCCTTTCTTAAAGGCCATGAAGCCTCCTAAATGTTGGCCATGAAATGGCTAAAGGAAAGCAACCTGTCACCTATCTTGCTCAGGAAAGGATACTGAAGGATGCCAGAGGATATGTCATGACACCCAATAGTTAAAATCCATTTCTAACACAGAATTCAGCCCACTCTCTCCAATGAAAGGAACTTTACATACATCTCCTATTCCTACTGCACATTAAATACCAATTGCAGCAAAGAAGCCAGCAGACAGAGGCTAGCAGAGCACTCAAATTAAGACAAAGAGTAATAGGATCATAAAAACCATCCCTGATGTGCCCAATATATTGAATGAGCTGCATTTGGTAGGGTCCAAGCTGAGAAACAACTTTATGTGTTTCCACCAGTGAATCTGCAGATCCAGGAGCCCAGTATAGCCTAAAAGCAAAACTATCCTCCTCTAATTCCACTTTATTCTTCTACTCCTAGTCCCCTACTCATTATGCTGCCTCTGGCTACTCCAAAGTGGCTAGGAGCAGAGCTGAAGGGGGAAAAGGCCTTACTTGACTCTGTGCTTGTAATCTGGTGGTGTCACAGATGCACAAAAGCTGACTCTCTCTTGCAGAATGCTTTGTTGTGTTTTTCAGTGGCCCATTGTCTTAGTTCATTCAGGCTGCTATAACAAAATACCTGAGACTGGATCATTGGTAAAGAACAGAAATGTATTTCTTACAGTTCTGGAGACTGAAAAGTCCAAAATCAAGGTGCCAGCAGGTTTGGTGTTCGGTGAGGGTCTGGTCTCTGCTTGCCAGATGGCACCTTAAACGTTGCTTCCTACAGACGGGATGAATCTTGTCGTCATGTGGCCAAAGGGACAGAAGGAACAGACTGATCCCCTCAAACTCTTTTATAAGGTGCTAATCTCATCTGTGAGGTCTTCACCCTCATAACTTAATCACCTCCTAAAGTTCCCACCTCTTAATACTATTGCATTGGTGACTAAGTTTCAACATATAAATTGTGGGGGACACATTCAGACCATAACACCCACCCTCCTTTGGGAACTTCCCACTTCTCTCTCCTCTGCTTCAAGAATGCAGTCTCCAGAGGCCACTTGTCACCTGTACTCCTGGTTATTGCCCCTTGCAGGTTCCTTCTACCTGGACCATCTCTCCCAGGCAAGCAGTAAGCAGTATTTTTTTTTTTTTTTAAGATGGAGTCTCACTCGGTTGCCCAGGCTGGAGTGCAGTGGTGCAGTCTTGGCTCACTGCAACCTCTGCCTCCTGGGTTCAAGTGATTCTCCTGCCTCAGCCTCCTGAGTAGTAGCTGGGACTACAGAGGCGTGCCCCACCATGCCCAGCTAATTTTCGTATTTTTAGTGGAGACGGGGTTTCACCATGTTGGCCAGGCTGGTCTCAAACTCCTGACCTCCAGTGATCCGCCCGCCTCGGCCTCCCAAAGTGCTAGGGTTACAGGCATGAGCCACCGCACCGGGCCGCAAGCAGTATTCTTGAGAGGGGTCCCTCCTTGAGTACCCAGTATACCCCTTGGAAGTCGGCCTCTTTGCCAGGATGAACGTTCAAACCTCAAGCCGCCCCTATGGCAACCCTCTCTCTCTCCTCTTTGTCCTCACAGAAGTTGCCAACCTTCAGACTTTAGGCATGTCCAGGCAGGTGTCAGCCAGTAGTCTCTGTGTCCTCCAAACTCTGAGGGTCATTTGGCCAGATTTTCTATGGACTTTCACTCTAAGCTCTCCTCTGGTCCCATGGCTATAACTGGATAATGTGTTTCTACCGACACTTCCCATACAGCCTCGAGTTTCTTCAATCAACCCTCAGCTGACCTCACACACCTTTGAGGTGAGTGATAGGCTAAAGGCCCCTGGACAAATATAATCTCTTACCTTATCCTACATACATGATCTACCCCTGATATGTTTTAGATGCTTGTTTCCTCCGAATCTCTAATGTTCGAGGTGGGGCTTCGTAGGAGGTGTTTGGGTCATGGGGTTGGGTCCCTCATGAATAGCTTAGTGCCATCCCCTTGGTTATGAGTGAGTTCTCGCTGAGTTAGTTCACATGAGAGTTGGTTGTTTAAGGGAGGCTGGCTCCTCCTCCTCTCTTTCTTGTTTCCTCAAATGCCACGTAACACATGATGAGTAAAAGTACCCTGAGGCCTCATCAGAAGCCCAGCAGATGCCGGTGTCATGCTTTCTGTACAGCCTACAGAACTGTGAGCCAATTAAATCTCTTTTCTTTATAAATTACCCAGTCTCAGGTATTTCTTTACGACAGCACAGATGGTCTAACCCCAACCCCTCTCCCTAGAACGTGGAGACTTGCGACGTATTCTCAAGTGTTGAGGCCTCAGTTGAAATGGGAAACAAGAAATGTCTCGTTTAACATCAGGTTATATCAAATTAAGGAGCGAAACAAGCTTCCAGTATTTGAGCATATCAGAGGTATCAAACACCCTTAACAACACAGTGTTAAAGGTTTTATGTTTCAAGCAAACTTTGGTCAATTGTAAAAGCAAAACAAACAAACAAAAAACCAATACGATTCTACAAATGATAGACTGGGTCTTCAAACAAGAAAGTTTCCATGCTTGGTATGAAATGGAATGGGTCAAAAACAGTTTGGAGTTCAGTCAGAAGAGTAGCAAAGTGATGTTACAGTGGGCTCCCACATGAAAACCATTTGTCACACTCTGTATTACCAGCTTGTTAATATCACCAATGGCACAGCACACACAGCACCAGGAAAATAGCAAATGTTCATATAAATGGACAAATGGATAAACAGATAGACAGGAGATGAGTGAATGGCTGGATGGATAAGCAAATCCTGAATTCAACACCGTGGGTCCCTTGGTCAAACAAACTAAAAATTCTTATCAGCTACTTAAAAAGGAGTAACTGGAAGTTGTAACAGAACCCTGCAGTATATTCTTTAAAGTTTGTGGTAAAGATTTATTCAACTTAATATTTAAATGGATATAGTTCTCTTTCCAAAGCATGATTCATCTCTTGTCAGCTGATCCTTTTATTTTCACAAAGTTCCAAGTTAAAGAACTCCTCTGGCTATGTCATAAATTGATACACGAATTACCTCTACCTGGCTAATGAAATCAAAATAGCTATACCCAGAATGTGGGCCAAAACAGATAAGTAACAGCCCTTGCATATTTTGTCTCCACTGGGTTTATTTCTGTCCAGGTACGCTCCATTTCACATTTGCTTTTCCTAGTACAGAGCCATCTCTGCTATTTGTTCTCAGGGGTTATCATGTTGTCGATACTGAGTGCTAAATCATTTCTCAAGAAAAGAACACTTTCTAAGAGCAACACAAAGAGTGTTTCAAATGCAATTTGATTGATCTTTATCCTCAGATAATGGTTTCTGGTCTAATGATAAGGAATTTCTTTCTCTTTCTATTGAGTGGCAACTGAATTCCCTTTTGCATTGCATAGTGGTATATTTATTGATTTACTGCAACTCTTGAGGTGCACCAAAGCTTTCTTCATCTAGCCACTTCCTTTAGGTGAGACATTTAGGTGACCTTTAGGTGAGACATTTGGGGTAAGCTGAGGGCTCCTCATGACTTACTCATTCCCTCAAAGGATGAGGTCTCCCCCACCATACCCAGCATTAACTTAGTCAATAAACCTTTAAAGCCTGCTCCCTTATTGAGGCACTGTTCTGTGCCCAGGCAACATATGATCATTCCCCTACTAAGATAGAAAATGAGAGGTAAATGAATAATCACTTTCACTCAAAAAACTTTTGTTGGATCAGCCTGGCCAACATGGCGAAATGCCATCTCTACTAAAAATACAAAAATTAGCTGGGCGTGGTGGCATGTGCCTGTAGTCCCAGCTACTCAGGAGGCTGAGGCAGGAGAATTGCTTGAACCTGGGAGACGGAGGTTGCAGTGAGCTGAGATTGTGCCATTGCACTCTAGCCTGGGCAACAGACCAAGACACCATCTAAAAATAATAATAATAAAACTTTTGTTGAACAAATATTCACCCAGGCCAAGCATAAGCATGGGAAGGTGGCCACTGCAGTCATCCAAGCACAATGGCCTTCTCAGACCTCTTTGAAAGCCACGTTTCTGCCTTCATGACTTAAAAGACAACAATGAATAATCCCAAGGGAAACTACAATTCTTTTCCTAATCAATCAAAACCTCACACCTAGAATCCCTCCTGTTTCAGTTATCTGTTGCTGTATAACCACTCCAAAATGTAGTGGCTTAAACTAGCAACAATTTATTTTTCTCATGATTCTGTAAGTTGACTCAGCTGGATGGTTCTTTTGATCTATTTTGCCTTGACTAGAGCCACGCACTCAGCTGCATTCAGCTGGTGTCTGGGCTGGGTGAGAAGGTTCAAAAAAGCTTCACTCATGGCTGCTCACTTCATTCAGGTGGCTCATGCCTGTAATCCCAGCACTTTGGGAGGCCGAAGTGGGTGGATCATTTGAGGTCAGGAGTTTGGAGACTAGCCTGGCCAACATGGTGAAACCCTGTCTCTACTAAAAATACAAAAATTAGCTGGGCATGGTAGCACACGCCTGTAATCCCAGCTACTCAGGAGGCTGAGGCCAGAGAATTGCTTAAACGCGGGAGATGGAGGTTACAGTGAGCCAAGATTACACCACTGCACTCCAGCCTGGGCAATGGAGCGAGACTCTGTCTCAAAAAAAAAAAAAAAAAAAAAAGAGAAGACTGTACTCACATCTGGTGTCTAAGTGCTTCCCCACGTGGGCACTCCACGTGGTTGGTTTGGGCTTTCTCACAATGTGGTAGTCTCAGGATAGTCAGAATTCTTAAATGTCAGCTGTCTTGTAGAGGGATGCTGTCAAAGCAGCCACTCCACTTAAGGCTTGTGCTCAGAAGTCCCAGAATGTCATATTCTCCATATTCTGTTGGTCAAAGCAAGTCATTAGGCCAGTCTAGATTCCAGGGGAGAGGAAATAGACTCTGTTCCTTGGTTGGTGGAGACACATGCACATACATGGAAGACAGGAATTGGTGGCGGCCATCTTTGGAGACCACTTCCTAGTATGAAATAAATCCCCCTTTTTGCATAAGGTTGTCAAGTTACACCATTAACAATAATTTAAATATTGTGTGACAGGTTACATAGGAGAGGTAAAAATTTGTTACCATGTTGTCAGGAAAGAGGAATAATCAATACCACTTTTGGAAGGACGCATCTGAAAATTCTCCACAGATAACCCTCCGTAGTAACCCTCAAACCCTGGAGCTTTAGCAGAGGTGTTTAGGGCACCTAAAAAACTGCTTCATACAGTGCACATTTCTTAGGAAAGAATAAACTATGATTAGCTAAGAGGTCTGTATTAGTCAGGGTAGCTTAACCACTGCAGCAAACAACTCCCAACTCTCAGTAGCTTTTTTCTCATACATATCAGTTTAATGCAGGCTATCAGGTAGACTCTGGTCCACACAATCATTCAAAGACCCAGGCTCCCTCCCATCTACATGGCTCTAAATCCCTGGGGCCTCCTCCACTAGATGCTCTGCATTAGGTCATCCCTCAAGGAAAGAGAAAGATATAGAGAATCACATGGAGACTATTGATGGACCAGGCCTGGAGATGGTGTACAACGCATTCTCTACTTAACTGTAAGGAATTCTGGGAAATGTAGTCAAGTTGTATGTCCCAGAAAAAAAGAAAATCAGTTTGGTAATCAACTAGTTAGACTCTGCCGCAAACTCTTACCAACCCATCCCTACCTTTCTAAAACGTAAACACCCTCTGTTATTTCTAAACAATGCTTAATTTGTATTTAATGCTTATTATCAGCCATTTGAGAAGAATTGGATAGAAGATACAACTCTGAAGAAATATCTGAGCAGGCTCCTATGAAGAGCTTTAGAGCCCTTAAGCTCTGAAAGATATTACAGAAATTTCATCCACATCTAACCCCCTTTCTTAATGTCAGCCTAAATAAAACTAATACTGAGCCCTATCCCCAAAATATAAGGAAGTCCGACAAAGTCCTGATTTTTCTCATGACTGTTGGTTTGTTTTTTCAAAATATTTAATTCCCCCCAGAATGATTTGTGTGTGTGTGTGTGTGTGTGTGTGTGTGTGTGTGCATAGTCTGCCTATCAGATAATCAAGTCTAGCCCATTACCTATAGAACGAATGCCAGAAGGTAAAGGACAGGAATATAGAAAACTGTGGAGAATGCACAATTTTCCATAGAGCCCTCCATCCCTACCCCACCAAGGACACTCTTTAACACCTTCAGGCCAACTCTGACCCATCTTGTAAATAACTTAACATTCCTGAAGAGATAGTGCAATAGTGTTCTTCAGTTCTGCATTGACAAACCACATAATTTCTAGGATCCTGAGTAGTTTGGAAGAGGAGATTATTTGAGCAGAAAACTTGGGTTTGTATTTGCTTTTGTTTTTGCTTACTTGTTTAGTCTGAGTCCTAAAGGAAGCTGGCCAGAATGTTTCTCCACCTAGCCTATTCTGATACTTTAGATATTTGAGTCTGAGATCTCCAAATCTTTTATATCTGTAATCAGTTCATAGAGAAGACTGTATGTTTATAGGAATGTGGAAATAAGGTTCAGTTAGCATAAGACTGTCTATGCTGCAGTAACAAAAATCTCAAAGGCTTAGCACAACAGAAGTTTGTTTCTTACTTACATGAACTCCAATGCAAGTTGGCCAGAGCTTGCCTCCATCTGGTGACTCAGGGATCCAAACCTCCTCCATCTGGTGAAACTGCCATCTCAATATGTGAATTCCCAGGTTGCCATGGTTGAAAAAGAAAGATGGAAGAGGCACACTAGTTCTACACTTCTTTGGCCCATACATAACATATGCCATTTCTTCACAGAATTCATTCAGTAGAAGTTGTCAGATGACCTCCTCTTAACTTCAAAGGAAGCTGGGAAATTTAGGGGAACATATTGTAAACTTGACGAATATTAATCACTTTTGCCTTATAAAGGAAATAAGACTACTTTCAGAAAATTAAACAGGCAGCATTCACATATCATGAATGAAACTAGGAAGTCAGGAGTGTGTGTGTGTGTGTGTGTGTGTGTGTGTGCACGTGTGTGTGTGTGTGTGTATGTGTGTGTAAATGGGTGACAA